>NC_000007.14:123131779-123756779 GCF_000001405.40 Homo sapiens | reverse complement strand
ACAGTCACCAATTACCCTTCCTTCCTGCTCTGAGGTAACTAAAAGCAGGATTTTTATGTTCTGGGGATTGTATTCTTTACCAATCCCTCTTTCAATAGAGTAGGCTTATGATAAGGCTTATATATTCATTTTCATACCACCAAAAAAGGATTTGTAATAGTGAAAAAGCCATGAAATTGTTTATATTCCCTTATGCACTGCCTTTTACCCATTGCTTTTTAAAATGCAGGATTTTTTTAAAATCCAAAATACATGGGATTGATTATATAATTTTGAGCTGAGAAGGACCTTAGCAATCATTAAGTCATTCCTTTCATTTTACAAATGAGTAAAGAGAAGCATGATGAAGTTGAGTGATTTTAGTAAGATTTCATGGCTAGTTACTATCGGAACTCAGATCAGAAAAGCTATAGCTAATAAATACCTGCTTGCCCTTACAGCTATTTTGCCAGGTGTGAACAATGAAGACATTCCACCTACAGACTCTATCCTATCTAGGTCTTAAACTGACAAGAATAAATCCCAGTGGTTCATTACAAGTTCCGTCCCCTCAAAAGAATATGATTCAAACATAGTTTGTGTAATGCCATAAGCCTTATATGCTTGGGAAAGGGTGGAAGGTGGCTGGTGGGGGTGGTAAATTTCATCCCCTGGAGGTCGTCTTGAAGGTCTACTTATTGGAATCACCAGGAGGGCTTCTTAAAACATAGACTGATGAGTCCTATCCCCAGAGTTTCAGGTTCAGTGGGTCAAGAGTGGGGCCTGAGAATGTGCATTTCTAACATGTGATGCTAATGCTGCTATGAGAACTGCTGGCCAGTCTCCCCCAGTCCATTGGGATGCCAGCCTATTTTTTGTCCTGGTTATTTTCACTTTAGTTTCCAACGCTCCTGGATACTAAGCTTGCTTCCATATGCTTCCAGAGTTGCTTTCTAAGACCAAGTGAAGCCTTGACTTAGTGTTTTTGCAATCACTTCATGCTAAAAACTATTATTCCCCCAAATCCCTAAAATATGACACACATTTCTTTTCTCAGACTAGGCCCCTGGACACCTGAGCTCACTCAGGAGGAAAAAAAAAAAATCACTTTATCCTCTGGACTTGAATTAGGTTGCTGGGTCATCTCAAGTGGAGGTCATTCCTTTCTATTGCTGTTGTCACAAGCCCTGCTCCTGCTACCATTAGGTTGTGTGCAGTTTCTTATGTATTGTGTTTTCTCTCCAGGTGCTCTCAGAATACCACATGCTTAGTACTGTGTGGAAGAGTTTGGGCAAGACTGTGGTTTCTCTTTATTTGATCTCAGATCCTGTGTAACTATCTTTGTACCTGATAAAAATTCATATGTTTTTATTTGAATCAAAGGTGGTCATTTGATCTACAAATATACGTTGAATAATGTATAGGTTCAATGTTAAGACTAAAAAGATACAAAGATGAATAAGACATGATACCAGCTCTTAGAGAGCTTTGAGGCTAATGTAGGAGACAAACATTTAAAAAGTAATTACAATTTACAAATGAAAAGCCTGCATATCACTGACTTTGACAATTTATTATATCAAAATGACTTACTTCAATTTGCTTTAATGAATCAGCTAAATAGCTATTTATAGATAAATGATATCAACGTGTATGAACATATAGTACTAACCCATTCAACCATTACCAACTTTCTAAGGACAAGTAACCTAGTTAATGTGGGGGAAAAACACAGTTCTTATTAAAGACTTTGTATGGAGGCAAAAATAAATAAAGACTATTTACTTCCTAGATACAGAGTTTTACAATTTTATTATGTATGTAATATGCATGTAATTCAGTACACAAAAATGCTATCATCTTGATAAAATTGGAAAGCATTAATATTTCATATTATTGCTTTTTCTTAACAAAGACCCTCTCCCCAGTCATCAAACATCCTGAAGTTCCAACTGTCCCCAGTTGAATTCACTAGCTGCTGAGTACCTTTTGAATACTTTTTCTGTGTTCATGGAATTTCTGACCTTATGAATCCGCAGACCCTTAACAACGAGCCTGAAATCTCCAGCTCTTTTGCAGCTAGGGTACAGGTATGTGACCTTTCCCTCATCAGACACACCCATGGGCAACTGTGATTTGAAAACACATAAAGTGAAGAAGCATGTGGCAAAGGGCAGCAAGGATGGCAGCAGAAACACCCTGCTTTTAGAATCTCAGAAGAGATTCTAGTTTCCAATTCCCAATGTTAGCAGTAAATCTATAGTATCTCTGCCCAGAGATGACCACACTGAAGGGCTCACTGGAGTAGTTCCACAGTGAAACTTGGGTGTGCTTTCTAATTGTATAGAATGAGTCAGAAAATCTGACATTTGACCAACAGGCATTCCAGAAAGCGAAAAGAGAAAAAAGGGGAAGAAAAATATGAAAATAACAAAAGAAAAATTTCCAGCACTAAAAGACATGAGTTTTTGGATAAAAAGGGCCTTTGGAATACCCAGTACAATAAATGTAAAAGTATTCCACTATGGTACATCATCAACTTTCAGAATTCCATAAACAAACAGAATTCTGAAAACTTTTAGAGGTCATAAAGACTTATATACAAAAGATCAGAATCAGAATAACTTCAGATTTCAACAGCAATGTTGAAAGTTCGAAATCAATAAAATAACACCTTCAAATACTGAAGAAAACTGGTATTCAACCTGAAATTTTCTACCCTGTTAAACTAATCAACCAAGAGTGAGATTAGAATAAAACTATCAGCTATGCAAGGTCTCAAAATTTTACTATCTATGCACTTTTTCTTAGGAAGCCACTAAAGGATATACACTATCAAAACAAGGGAGTACATCAAGATGGATGACATAGGTTCCAAGAAACAGAGGGTCTAATACAGAAAGATAAAGGGAAATCCCAGGATAGTAACTCAATAAAATTCCAGACAATAGCCATGTAGCAACAGTACAGATTAATATGGGATGATGGATGGCTTTGGGAGACAGGTCTTTGATTAAAATTAGTGAGTCTAATAGATTCCTGATACACTTGATTATGTGGAAAATAATATGAGGAAGGACTTTATAGTTCTTAATATAGAAGAAATAAAAGAAATAAAATTTAAGCAAATTATTGAGGGGGGTAAAATCCAACAAAGTTAAAGTGGTCCAAGAATGTAACTTCTGTTTTATGCTGTTTTAAGTTTTGTACTACTATTTGATTTTTTAAATTATGTGCATTTATCATTTGTATAAAAATAAAAATTGATTTTAAAAATGTTACATGGTAGCAGAGACCATATCCTTGACCCCAATAATTTCAATGTGGTAATGGGGACATGTGGCATCTTCAAATTTTCCCAAGTATCCAGCCTGCCTACTCATTTATAATGTAGATTGACCTTGAGAACATTACAATAAAGAAATCAATGTTGTTCTCTCTCATTTGGAATAATAATAAGCCATTGAATATTCATTAAAGTTAAAGAGCAGCCAGAAAACCATAAGCAGCATCCTGGGAACTATAACATACTTAGCTCTTCAAATCATTTCTTGATTACAGGTAAGTACTAGGTATTTGGAGACTAGGACATATAATGGTAGTAACTATCACTGGTAATTTTGTAGCATGAATAAGTGTTCAATTTTCCACTAACTTCAATAAGAAATCAGAATGATTTGTAAATAAACTATTTATTCCTAAAAAAGAAAGCCCCAAAGAGGTTTGTAGTTAAAATGAATTTAAAAAGGAGAGGCAGAAAAAAAATGGTGTGCTAGCTTACTTTTCAGAATTTAGTTGATGAAAAAGAAAACAATTAACATTTAACTTGGGATAACATGTACTAGAATAAATTCTTGTAAGCATTGCCATATGCAACATTTACATAAAAATGTGCAGATATTTTACAAGACGAACATTTTAGACACATGACATTTCTGGAGGTTGCATGGGAGAAGTAGCACTCATTGCCCCTGCACTTTTTCTGCAAATCCAGATTTGCAGTATTCAGATTTGCTGTTGTTCTGTCTCTATAAAATCAGTTCTGCCATAGCCAAGCAGCAATTATGGCTACAATGGCTGCTGAATGCCGTGTGCTTTCAGCCACCTTTATATTCCCCCACAGTAAAGGGTGTCACTACATTTTAAATTATTAACATTAGCAAGGGGAATAGGGTGTTTCAGAGGACTTTTAACAGTACATAAACAATGACATTTGTAAAGAAGAAAAATATATAACAAAGAACCGTAACAAGAGAAGCTTGCAAAGTACCCATAAGGATAACAGCAGGAATGTATCTGAAAATATGCTCTCATTTCCATAATAAGCTACCCTAATGTTTTCTGTTAAAATGAGGGCTTTACCTTAAAAGATCATACCAAAGAAAGAAGAAAATGAAGTACTAGAATAGATGCTAGTTGAGGTAAGGAGAGTCAAATGGAAGAAATTAAATGTAAGAATTGCCTTTTTTTTGTTATATTCATATACACCGTAATAAAGCTTTTTTTCACAGCCCTCTCCCACTACTCTTTCCTGTCTTCAAAATAGGTTGGTGGTCTACAAGCTCTGAAAGCTGGTATTTCTAGCATATGCATTTTATATGTATATTAAGATAAAACCCCTAGTCTTCTTAACAGCGCTTACAAACTTCAAGATACTCTGTTGAAGGGAAACAGAATGCTTATGTCCTGGATAAAATCCAATCTCTCAAACTGGGTAAAAAAATTTGAGATAAGGAAATAACTTGCCAAAGAAAACAGAGAGAAAAGATGTCTTGTGTTCTGCCAAACAGAGGATATGCTATCAAGAATGAAAGAAAGGACTTGCTAAAACTTTTGAAACAAAAACAGCCAGTACTGCTTGGTCTCAGGATGAGTATGGAAAAATAGAATCCTTTATGTATGGTAAGGAGGGAATCCCCAAATATTGCTTGTTCACAGGCTTAAATGAGTAAGGAAGTCATATTTCCAGTGAAATGTTCATGCTTACATTTTCCACATCAAGAGTTGGAAAAAGCCCAGAGAAAAACAAAAATAACAATGGAGGGTAGAAGACAAGAACTTAAATTGCAATTTTGTGGACAAAGGACTATACTAAAAATTTGGAGAAAAATTAAAGAAAGGTTGGACCTGAGGAAAAAAGTCTACTGTGGTCATCATTTTCCATCTCCAAGTCTAAAGAAAACAGAAAAAGGGCAAATAGTAAAAAGAAAATTGCATTTAGATAAGTCATAAAATTTCCTGAAAGAAAAGAAAATCAAAACAATAGATAGTCTAGGCTAGTAAGAGGTTGTGAAATGATTGGAACTCAATAATTCTCAGAATGAGATAAATTCTTGAACGCAGCTACTGTCCATTCACCTATCATCTCATGGCCTTTTTTTTTTTTTTCACAGCCCTCTCCCACTACTCTTTCCTGTCTTCAAAATAGTTTGGTGGTCTACAAGTTCTAAAAGCTGGTATTTCTAACATAAAATTTGCTAATCTTTCAGTTTTTATTAAATTAGAAGCTAATAGGATTCTATCTCTGGATTTACAGTTTTAAAAAGTTTTATTTTGGCATACTGGGATATATGTAGCCTATTTGATATAATATATGGCCTAATCAGAAATTCTGCTATCAAGTTCTTCACTATATTTTTGAAAAAATATGTACAATTGTATATTTGAAGGACAGTTTTTGAAGAGTCAGAATTAGAACAAAGGTAAGAATACATATATTAAGTCTTGATCCCTTAGCTCAGGGAAAGCAGAAAAGACCATAGGCAAGGACTGTCAATGGCCGACAACTAATACTTGAGTAACCACTATGTATCAGGTACTTTACATGTGATACCTTTTTTTAATGTCTTATAATTTTAGTTTAAAAAAATTTTAATACACAATAACTGTACATATTTATGGGGGTACATAGTGATGTTGCAATACATATAACATATAGTGATTAGGGTAATTAGCATATCTATCATCTCAAAAACTTATGTCTTTGTTTTGGGAACATGCAATATCCTTCTTCTAGCTATTTGAAACTATACAATATTGTTAACTATAGTCATCCTACAGTGCTACAGAACACTAGAACTTATACCTCCTATCTAGTTGTAATTGTGTATTTTACAACTTTGAAGTAGGTGTAATTATCCCTATTTAGACTATACCTGTATGAAACAGAAATTATTTTCATTTTACAGATGAGGAAACAGACGCAGAGAAGTAATTTGTCCAAAGTCCATAGGGTTGTAAGACTCATAACAAGAACTACAACTTGGGCCTATCTGAATCTTATACTTCTGGTACTATACTTGTTCACAGGTTTGAAAAGAGCTTTAATTTCTATTATTTCTCAAGAATTTGTAATGCTTTCTCTTGTCACTGTGCTTTCAACTTAGAGGAGTTGCAGTTTTGATAAAAGACAAACTGATTTAGCTTCTAGGTTTGTTAAATATGTAATTCAGAGGCAACTCCAGGCTTATATTTCTACGACTGCTTTCTAAATCTAATTATTTTATAAATAGTCCTGTTGCTTTAATTCACTTTTTACCCTAACATAATTAATCAAGTTTAACTTTGAAATCTCCATATTTTATGTGAGAACTCCCAAGGCTATCCACTTTTATTTTCCTTTGTAAATTTATTGTTGCTCAGCCTATTTCATTAATGGCAGCTTTAATTATAATATTTTATTATATTTTCAAAGTGCATGATAATGGTTTACCAGTCTGGTTAGTACATCAGAGATTTCTATTGGGAGCTATCAGAGATGTTAACATCCAACAATTTTACCAAAGTGTAATTGTTATAGACGTCTTAACATGAATTTACGCAACAAAAATATGTTTAATGTGGAGAACAGTGAGATGCATATTTGATAATTCACTGCAGTCTGCATCATCATCTCTATATTCCAAAATTTCGTCTTAAGCCGTTTAGTATTTAACTTACAGAAGAAAGGGGGTTATCTTAGATAACTTTTAATATCCTAAGGTATTTTCCAATTCACGATACAGGGAGAAAAGAAATGTGTCCAGGCCCTTAGAAGAAAATACTTTGAATTTAAATGTGACACATACATTAAACCCGCGTGACACGCCAGGCAGGCGGTGGAAGTCAAGTGCATTTGTTTTTGTTTCATCCACCAGGGCGATCTCTTTCACAATTCTGGGAGAGGCCTGTTTGTTCCTCCACTCCCACAGCTGAAGTTTGGGACAAAGTTTGAGAAAATCCCAGGCACCTGCGGCTCCTATCGAAGCCGGCGAGGAGCACAGGGTAGAGCGTCTCTTCCCAGTTTTCAGTCTTCAGATCGCAGGCCTCTCGGACCCGCAGAGCGAGCTTCACGCTGCAGCGCTTGAGAAATAAGAGCTATTCCAAGGAGGGGCCCTGGGTCCTCACTGACGCTTCGCAAAGGTGTACGTCCGCCCAGGGAAGGCCGGCGGCGCAGCGACGGCGAGGAGTCCCCATCCATCTTCTCTTCAAGCAGCAGTAGCTGGGTTCGGGTACCCAACCGACGAGCCGAGACGCCAGAGGCCAGAGTACGAAGTTGGAAGCCTGCGCCCCAAGCCAACCGGGATTCCACTTAGCTCCGCGCGGTCCGCGCCTCGGCCGGAAGGGGGCGTGGCTTCGGGCCCGCGCCGCGAGGCCCGCCGCCGAGTGGGGGGGTTTCTCCCGGGCCGCAGCCGCGCGTTTCCGGCGCGCTCCCCCGCGCCCTCCGTCCTGTGGTCTCGCCCGCCCCCGCTGCCATGTTGGATTGTGCGGCCGCCGCCGCCGCTGCGGGAGGGTTGGGGGAGGAGTTGGGAGTTTAGCGCAGTCGCCGGAGTGCGAGGACAACGACCATCCGGCCCTAGCCTGGCCGGGCGGGTGCCGGGAGCTTCCCTTTCTCAGCGCGGCGCGAAGGTGGCTCGCCGTCAGCGCCTGCTTCCCTCGACCTCGTCCTCCTCCCCGCTCCGGAGGAGCTGCGAGATGTGGCGCCTCTGACTCCACTTCTCCCCGCCCCTGTCACCGAGAGGGGGAACGAGCTCTCGCCCACTCGCCGGAGGAGACGGCCCTGGACTCCCAACCCCGCCGGCGAAACCATGAGCTCCGTCCAGCAGCAGCCGCCGCCGCCGCGGAGGGTCACCAACGTGGGGTCCCTGTTGCTCACCCCGCAGGAGAACGAGTCCCTCTTCACTTTCCTCGGCAAGAAATGTGTGGTCAGTGGACGAGACCCGCGTCGCCACCCGTGACATTACCTCACGGGCCCGGGCTTGGGGGCCGGGAAGTGGGAGTGGGGAAGGAGGCGGGAGCGGCGCGGGCCAGGCCTCCCGCCAGCCCCGGCCCCGGCCCCGGCCCCTCGTCGGCGCCCTCGCCCTGCTCCCAGGGTGCGGGCCGTGGCGGTCGGGCGCCGCCTTCCCGAGCTGCTGGAGAATAAGGGAGTGTCACCTCCGCAGGCCTGTCCTCCAGCCTGGCCGGGCCTCGGCCCGCGCCCTTGCTGCTGGTTAAAACTTTATTCTCAGGCCACAAGGGGATTTTCTTGCAAGAGCCGCTTGGTCCTAGAATCTGGGCCCTTGTTCTAGCTCTCGCTTCACCTCTTACTGCTTGATCTGGGGGTACGTTCCTTAACAATGCCAGGTTTGAGGAGTGGATAGGTCGGGGAAGGAAGGTGGTTTTTAATCTCCCATTAGGATTCCAGGAGGGAATGAAGTCGAGTGCAAGAGCCTGGGCTCTCTTCGGATTAGAGAGGGTGCAAGAAATGTTATTGCTCTTCGTTAAAGAGAAACAAGATTTATTTCTCTAGCAACCTTGCCTAGGCCTGGTTTCTACTCTCCTTCCCACTGATTTTTTTTTTCCCCCCATTGGTGGGAGGGGGTGCTGCTCTCCCCGCAGCCATGCGCAGGGAAACCTCAATCTCTGGTAGCTCTTGGCTTTTGGGGCCGAGAATGATTCTTAGTTTGGTGCTGTGCGGCCAATTCCAACCCCAGATGGCCGGTTGGGAGCGAGCAGTTCTGCTGTGGGAAGGGGAATGTGTGTTGTTGACGGAAGCATTCATTACATTGGCTGCTGGCAATTCTGGGGGTGGGGAGGTTCTGCTCTGTGGTGTAGGCCTTGTCGGGATCATACTGCGGTGACTGGGTTGAAGTGTGGTTTGTTGAAATACTGGCTGGATCCCTTTCTCTCCACTTTGCTAGCACCTGCAGAGTATGTGCCACTGGAACCCAGAAAACACGGAAATTTCAACAAAGCAATACCATTTTATAACTCCTTTAAGTAATATTAGGTATGCCAAACCAGATTTCACCTGCTTCTTTAAGAAGTTAGGATTAGACAATTTCTGGAAAGTTATTGGATTCATTGTTAACTTCATAGGAGTCCACCCTTTGTATCTTGTGCCATCCGGTTGGAGATTGAATCGTTCCATTCAATTTCAGATGTGTTTCATATTTCGGAATTTAGACCTTAGAGAACATTGAGTTTCCTGATTAGAAGGATGAAACAAGAGGAGTGGCTCAAAACGAGAATTTTGGGTAACAACTTTAAGCCCCTCCCCATTCACACACACTTTTTTCAACAAATGAGAAAACTGATCCAGTGAGCCCAAGTCATACAGCAATTTAATAATGTAACCAGAACTAGAAAACCAGGACTCCTCACACCTAGTCCTATCCCATTGTACTTTGCACTACATCATGTTGTTTTAGAAGGGTATTTTTTTTTCCTGTTACTGATTTATTTCTAAAAGTGGTGTTAAAGAAATAACCACTTTGCCTTTTTCACCAAAAACTAATTAAAATACAAGATTCTTAAAGCACCACTAATGTTTGCATATGCTCAGTTTAGGAAAATCTTCAGCACTTTGAATGTTAGTTACCTCCAATGAAAAAAATTCAGTTGCTGGTTTAGTAGATTAGCTATGTAACCTGTATCAAAAAGGAAGTAGTTGTGCTGTGTTCTACATACCAGACACATTAACTTTAGGCAGAAAGGACATTACATTTATACACAAGTATACTAATTGTTCTGTGCTTACCTGTAGTTTTACTGGTTTCGAAAAATGGCAGATGGGGAAAAATACTGTGATAGAGAAAAATGATGTTGCACATTGGTTAGTGTAAGTGGATTGCTGAATAGGCTCTCAGTATTCAGTGCTTAATTTCTTTATGCCATCTTTTATTAATCAACTGTACCTTTTGAATTTGTCATTTAAAAACCACACTTTCAGTTGTCTGCTTTTGTGGGATGAAGTCGTTGCAAATACTAATTTCAATATTTGAAGTCCCTAGTTAATAGAGAGTGAAGTAAGAGTGATATTTTAATTTTTGAAATAATCTTTTCCTCCCTTGGCTGATTATTCAGGTTGTTTTTGTCCTTTAAAACATTACTGAAATATATTGTCTCATAATAAATCCAGCAGTAAGATTTACAGGTCAGACCAAATGTGTTAGGCAGAAGTATACTCAGTACTCAGAGCTCTACCTAAGAATTCAAGAAATGAAACAGAAGCAGTTATAGTCGAAGCTCTGGAGGAGCTTCATTTCTTCTTTCATTCAACAAACATGTATTGAATAAATGTTGAGGTCAAAATCTGGAAGGGCTGATACTTGTCCTCAGGGAGCTTACTAGGTCTAAAAAGGGAAACGTGTAAACTGATAAGTCAGTGCTTCAGAGTGATGTGTAAGAGGCTGCTTTTCACAGTAGAAAATGCCTTGGCTTTGTAACAGCAAATGTGGGTTCAAACTGGGGGTCACTTTGGACAAGTTTCTTGAGCTTCCTATCCTAGATTTGGTTTTCTCATCTGTAAAACAAGGATACTATCTCATGGGGTAGTTGTGTGGATTAAGACTGTGTATAAATATATGGAAACTATTTTTATAAAGGTTTAGGGGATTAAAGGAGAGAATGGTGGGAGAGAGGATGATTAAAAGCTTTTTAAAATGGATAACTGATTATTTATATTTAAACAGGTACTCCCTAGGCTGATGAGAGGTATGAAACAGCTTGAAAAGTTAGGAGACCTACTAATAAGTTTGTTAGGTTTGTTAGGGAGCAAGGAGGGCTTCTGCTTGGGCTCTCAGATTTAGGTATGAATTGGAATCATTGTGGAGATTATGAGAAATGCATATGCCTAGGCCCAATTCCTAGATATTACTCAGAATCACTGGATCTGAGGTGAAGCTTGGACATGTCTATTTTTAGCAAGCTTGACAGAAAATTCTAAAGTATATCACAGTTTGAAAACCACTGCTAAAGTCCACGTTGTCTGATAGGATAATCCTTGAGCACATTGGAAATCTTAATAGATTTTTCTTCAATTTTTGGTCTATATTTTGCAAATTGAAGCTAAATTAAGTTAAACCAAATTCTTTTAGTACAGCATTTCTCTCACCGCTGAAGATACCAGTGTACATTTCACAACTAAGAAGGAGATACAGTTGGGGAAGTATTGCACTATTTAATGGGGACTCACAAGATCATATTTGACTTAGAAAATTTTCAGGGGAAAGGTGGAGGCAGTATAGAAGGTGGATTGAGGATTGTGAGGGAAAGACAAGGGAAATCAGATAGTTGATTTATAGTATTGCAGGTGAAATATGATGAGGGCCTGAATTAAGAGAGTACTTTGGGAATTCAAGAACAATTAAAGTCTCCAGCAGAAATTAGTCCCAGTTATATATAGAAGGTGAGGGAAGGGAGTTTCAATAAAGGCAGGCATTATAACCACCAGCAGAAAAAGTACACAGAAACATATTTTTATTCTCATTCGCTGCAAATATGCCTAAATGTTAATGAGACTCTGGATTGGTGATTGGCTTCATGGAGGAGGCAGATCATCAGTAAATCTTTTGTTTTACCACAGTTTCTAAAAATTCATTTTGTGGAAATTGAGATTTCATTGTAATACATAAATACATGATATGTACTTTTACATAAATAGTTCTGATGCCATTCATTAGCTGGTAGTATTATGAAGGGAGAATGAGAAGGTTATAAACAAGATTACTAGGTCTTATTTTGTAGTTAGATCTGTTGCCTTTCATGTAGTGTGATTCAGTTAATTTTATATAAAGAGTATGTGCAGTTTTGCTAAGTGAAGTTCAACATATATAGTCCTGAATAAGTGAGAAACTAAGGAATAGGAAAAAATAAAACATTAAACTACGTCTCTACAGCCATATCTGGTTTATATGGATTGGGGCTGATAATGTTATTGAGCATTATCTTTCCCTGCCATACTCACCTGGTTTGTTTTTTCAAGATTTAGTGATACTTAAGCCATTTTTATTAATCAACCTTAATCTTTATTTCCTTTAACTCCTCAGCACTTGTTTTAACTTGCTTATTTTCTTTAGTTTTTTGTTTCCTCACTATATATAATTCTTGGAGATAGACTTTATGCCTAGGTAGTCTTCTATAATTTTTGTAACTTCTGGCTCCCAGATCAGTGAATACTTATTGATTGATTGAATAATTATAATTACTCGTTTATTTTTTAGGAGCTCATTCTGCGTTTCTTATTGCTTGATTAGGTTGTTAAGCCCTTCAGTTTCTAATGCACATGGTATCTGGACTTTAGTCTTCATTTATTAAGCGACCGAAATGGTTTAGTTGTGCTGCTGAACTAATATAGGTGGTAACAGTTGTCTAACAGTAGTTTGTTTGTGTTCTAAATCAGACCTGTTGGGTAGGGATTCTTACATAGGCATACAGGGAAGGATATGCTTAGAGGGATCATTGTATTGATGATGGCCTGAGTAAGGCACTGTTGGTGGAAAGTTTAGACCGGGAATGTATTTCACCTTGAGTAGTAAGGAAAGATAAAAGTTAAAATTCACTGGATTTGGAATATACAAAGATGAGAAGATACCTTTGTCTAGTATAGAGGAAAAAGATGAGCACAAAAATGTATGTGACGCAGCGTAGCTGTAAGCACAAGAAGAGATTCAGAAAAGTCCAACAGGGTTGGGTTATGAATTTTACTTCTGGTTATTCTTAGCTCTATATATATAATACAGGGACATTTCTTAACTAGTCTCAGCCTTCATGTCTAGATTTGTAAAATGGGCTTAGTCAAGGATTTCAAAGAGTAATTCAATCATTATGGAAAATACTTAGAGTCCATGACACAAAGTATTCTGGGAGTTTGGAGGAGCATATGAAAGAAAGTTGTTATGAATACTATTCAGTGCTCAGTTTAGATTTCCTGTTACTGGCAGGGAGGATTTAGAGTAAAATTTTCAGCTCTATATTGTATTTGTTTTGACTTAGGTAAATTAACAATTTTAAAGTCAGTTAATTATAGGTGTGTAAATTAAAAGTTAAGGAGCAGCTTGAATGTATCTCTTTGGGGAGTGTCTGGGCAGCCTGAGCCTCCCTGGCTGCTAATTGAAGAGGAAGAAAGGGGTCCTGATGAAAAAGTTAGGAGTTCCTGAATTTTAGTCCATGCTCTGCTACCATACATTGTGAATATGAACAGGAATTTTTTTTTTTTTTTTTTTTGAGACAGAGTCTTGCTTTGTCGCCAAGGCGGGAGTGCAGTGGCACGATCTCGGCTCACTGCAACCTCGGCCTCCCAGGTTCAAGTTATTCTCCTCCCTCAGCCTCCCAAGTAGCTGGAACTACAGGCGTGTGCCACTACCCCTGGCTAATTTTTGTATTTTTAGTACAGACAGGGTTTCACCATGCTGGCCAGGCTGGTCTCGAACTCCTGACCTCAGGTGATCTGTCCGCTTCAACCTCCCAAAGTGCTGGGATTACAGGTGTGAGCCACTGTGCCTGGCCATTTCTCCCTTCCTGAACTTCACTTTTCTAATTTGAAAATGAAGGGTCAGACAAGATAACTCCACAGTCTTTCCAGCTTTAATGCTTAATCAGTTTAACTATTCTAGATTCCAGGGACTCTAGCAGGGAAAGAACAGGCCTAATGTTAACTCTAGCATATATGTGTTTTGCACAGCCGAGACTAATATAGCATATATCTAAGCAGAAGGTAGATAATCCTGAATTATTTCATTGAAAATTCCCATTTTTAATTCACCTTTTTCTAAGCATTGTAATTTAATAGGCATTTCACTTTTAAAACAGCAGAGTGAACAGAATAAAAAAGCATTAGTAGTAGAATTACCAACTCTTAGCTAACTTAGAATTATTATTTGTAATTATAATGTATTTTTGGGTTATTAGAAACTGCTTTTTTGGTTAAGATGGAATTATTTTTAAGAATTTCTCTTTTGTTAACCAATTCCATCTAGAATCCTAATTCTGGATGAAATTGTATTAGTGATATGATAGGTGTTACATGTTACTGCTTATTTTCCAATATTAAAAAAATCGGTTTTTAGTTTCAGTGGTAGACTTAATAGTTATAGTGAATTGACTTGGTTACTTTAGAGACTGATTCAAGATTGAGGTTACTGTGGGGATTCATTTGTGTGATTAAAATAATCTTGGTTTTCTTAAATTTTTTTGTAATGCACTGGACAACATGCTGAAATTATGGCTTATTATATTAGTGAATTTTGTATTCCTGAAACAGCATACCAAGAGACACTAGAACCTTTGACAGAACTTTTCTGAAACCCAAATGAATGCCAAAATTAGGCATGCTTTTAAGATGCAAAGGGCTGGGTTTTATCTTTTACTGTCTTTCTTGCTTATTCAACTTCTGTTCTTGCTGTGCTCTGGATATTAGAAAGCACAGCTCTTGAGGAAAAGATGTGACTGGGCCTTTTGAACAGTGTCTCTTTCACCAAGTTCTGCCAGTCACTCTTTGGCCATCTCTCTGTTGTGGACAGTTGTAGGGATTTTATTTAAAATATACTATTTTTTTAAAAAGTTATCTTTTAATGTAAAAATTGTATCTATGAGTAATATCAGATTATAAAGTCTGGAAATAAAGTCTTGATTAGAGAGCAGGTTTGATTAGGACATTCAGGATTCCTCATAACATATAGAATTGGAGCTACTTAAGCGTTGGCCAAAGTACAGAGGAGCCGGGTTCTATTTGTTTTGCTGCTGAGCAATTCCTACCATGTGTATCAGTATTCTAGTCTTCTATAGTAAGATTTTTAAAAAGTCTTTATAAAAACTGGTAAGAGCAAAACTTTCCTAAGGAAATGCATGCTTGTAGTAATCTCATGTATTTCACTTTTGTCCATATTCTATAGATTTTTTAAATAAATAATATTAATGGAAGTATAATGGTAGCCCATTCTAGTTTTGAGTAGAAAAACAGATTTTAAAAGAGCAGATAAGGGTTGAACTTTGTTATAATTTATTCTGTCTAGAAGTCATAGCTTTCCTAATAGAGTTCACTCTTACTCTAAAGGTTCTAGAAACAAAAGTTTATACATTCATAGTCACAGTAATAGGATATACATTGTTAACTATAAATATAATTCTTATAGGTCACCTAGCATCGTTGATGGATTCTTGGAAACTGTGACTTTAGGTGAAACAACACATAATGAAACCAGTTTTACCATAGGGTAATTGATATAAACAAGAGCTAAGTTTCTGTAGCATATATCACCAAACTTCTAAATAAAGACAAAAACACTTCTAATATTAATTAATGAAATAAATGTGAGCTGTAACACATTTAAGAAAGAGTAATAAAAACAAGATAATTATTTACCCAGTTACTTCACTTCAGTCTCAGGTGGCTGGAGCCTATCCTGGCAGCTCAGGGTACAAGGCAAGAACCAACCCTGGACAGGACATCATCCCATCGCAGGGTGCACTCATACCTACACCCACAACTCACTCGCACACTTGCTCATCCTGGGATAATGTAGACAGACCAGTGAACCTAACATGCACATTTTTGGGATGTGGGAGGAAATCCAAGTACCCAGAGAACCCAATAGACATGGGGAGTACCTGCAAACTCCACACAGACAGTGACCCCAGCTTGAAAATGATTTTCTTTTCTCATCAAAGTTAATAATGGGCTGGACGTGGTGGTTCACACCTTTAATCGCAGCGCTTTGGGAGGCTGAGGCAGGAAGATCACTTGAGGCCAGTAGTTTGCCACCAGCGTGGGCAACATAGACCTAATCTCTACAAGAAAAAGTAGCTGGTAGTGGTGGCCCATGTCTGTAGTCCCAGTTACTCCAGAGGCTGAGGCAGGAGGTTCACTTGAGCCCAGGAATTCAAGGATGCAGTAAGCCATGATGAGGGCATTGCACTCCAGCCTGGGCAACATAGGAAGACCTGGTCTCTTAAAAACAAAAAAAAAAGTTATGATGAAAGGACATTGAACAAAATGATGTTGAACAAAAGGATGTTATTTGAGGACCTGCTGTATTAAGTATTTAGTAATTAGGAGACATTTGGCATGCTTAACCATATTCATAAATATAGTGTAATACAAAATAAATCTTATTTATTGCATCTATGTTAGTAGTCTCAGAAGTATTCGAGAGTTATACTGATATAATAGCATATAGGAGAGTAAAACTAATTAGAAAACATTATTTTCTCATAGGAGTTAATGCACTGTAGAGGAATTGTAACCCTTTTTTTAAAGAGACCAAATAATTGACTGTAATGTTGAAGAGGTAAATACAGAAAAGCCCCTCAAGAAAATGTGATCAAATGAAAGATATATATATAAAAGATAATATATGAGATATATCTGACATATGTATGAGATATATATGTCTTATCAATCAACTCCTTTACTAATACATAAACTGATGCATAAACTAGCTAGAAACTGAAATGATTTTTATTAGTGAAACGTAGTCAAGTCTTGAGGACTTACTAAGCACATAACACCCTCCCAGTATCTTGGAATATGAGGGAGCAGTAAGGAAAATCCAGGTTTTACCCCTCAGTTATTCACTGTATAGCTGAAGAAGACAAAAATTATGCACAAAAAGATATATGCTGCAAACCAGCATATATATATATATATACACACACACACACACACACACACACACACACACACACATATATAAATGTATAAAAGATTTGAATAATAGAGAGGAGAGATAGGTATATCATTGTGGGACTTGAATATGAAAAACCTTAAATAGCCTAGAGAATTGATGTCAGAAACAAGCAGCTTATCAGGTACAGATGCTCTTCTACTTATGATGGATTATGTCCTGATAAACCTGTCGTAAGTTGAAAATGTTGTAGTCAAAAATGCATTTAACACACCTAACCCACCAAACATTATAGCTTAGCCTAGCCTTCCTTAAATGTGCTCAGAACATTTACAATAACCTACAGTTGGGCAACCTGATGTAACACAAAGCCCATTTTATAATAAAGTGTTGAATATTTTACATAATTTGTTGAATACTGTACTGAAAGTACAAAACTAAATGGTTGCATGGGTACTCAAAGTATGGTTTCTACTGAATGCATATTGCTTTCGCACCATTGTAAAGCTGAAAAATTGTAAGTGGAACCATCATTAGTTGGGGAGTGTTTATATCAGGAAATGTGTAAACAAAAGTTTGGGATAGAAAATGTGTATAGAATTTTAGGAGGCATTGAGGAGACTGGTTGGCTAGAATTGAGAATGACATTTGCTTGGGCAGATAGTGGATGGTAAGTTTGAAGAGTAAATTGAGGCTAGATTTTGGAAGACCTTTGAACTTCAAGTCTTAAGGATTGAACTTTATTCCCTAGAAAGTAAGGAAACACTAAGATTTCTTCAAGAAATTTCAAGATAGGAAGGATCTGGAGAAAGAAAATTGGAAATTATTATTCATAATAGAAATAAGGATTGAGTAATACTTTATTGTTTACTAAATTTCTTATTTATTAGTTCAGCACATCAGATCTGACTAAGAAACCTGGAATTGTGGCAGCTTCTAGAGCAAGCTTGTCCAACCTGCGGCCCAGGATGGCTTTGAAGGTGGCCCAATCCAAATTCATAAACTTTCTTAAAACAGTTTGAGATTTTGGGTTTTTTTTTTGCAGTTTTTTGTTTTTGTTTTGCTCATCACCTATCATTGGTGTTACCGTATTTTGTGTGTGACTCAAGACAATTCTTCTTCTTCCAATGTGGCCCAGGGAAACCAAAAGATTGGACACCCCTGATGTATAGCAAAAAAAAGGACTAAGTCCTTGATGTATGTGTCCATGGCAGACACCAACAATCACAGCATTTTTTCCTACTGAGTTCAGACATGGTTTCTAACTACCTGTTGTATTCCTAGAGGCAACCACTACCAATTGTCCAGGTTCACGATAGATGAAATCTAGTTGTCATTCCAAGGCTAGATACCAGAAACGTGAAGAAAAAATTGGCAATATTTAATTGGCTTGTGAATTCTGGATGACAACAAAACCTCATACTATAAATGGCTAGATAGTAGGAACTAGAACTTTGGACTCTAGTGTTGATTATTGCGGCTGTGGGAGTGGGATTAGATCTGTGAAGGTGTCAAGCTCAAGATTACAGAGGGAACAGTCTAGCTAATGTTTTACTTGGCCAGCAGCATTGGAAGAGGATGGCTTTGGCCAAGTGCTAAAGTGCTATTCTCTTTAATTTGCTAGAAACATGGTATACATATTGTTCTGCAACTTAACTTTTTCACTTTTATTAATATATATAAATATATATTTCCATGTTTATATCTGTTGCATCCTTTTTATTAATATATTACTGCCTTATATCAAGTTATATTTATGTGTAATTAACCTCTATTAATGGGTGTAATAGTTTTCCCTGTAGACAGTCTCACACTGGTGAAAACATCTTATTGTTCAATTCATAGTTTTTGGTGAAATTGAATATCTTTTCATATCAGTTGACCATTTATATTTCTTCTGTGAATTGCCTCTTCTTGTCCTTAGACCAATTTTCTATTGGATTATTTGTTTTTGTCTTAGTGACTTGGAGGAGCACTTTATATGTTAAAGATAATAATTCTATACTGTAGTATTTTTTGTGGTTTGTCATTTATCTTTTGACAAGTACTTGGTTTTGGTCATTGTACAGGTTTAACATTTTTTGTAGTTAAGTGGAATAATCTTTCTATTATCATATCAAGTTCCCTAGCTCAGAATTGCAAAAATATTTGCTCACATTTTTCTGGTATTTTTATGGTTTTATTTTGAACATTTAAATCTTTAATCTTTCTGGAAGTGAATTTGGAAAAGGAATGTAATAGAAATCCAGCTTTTTATTTTTATAAATGGCTAGTTGTCCCAACACCATTTATTGAGCAATTTATTTTCTCCCATATGAAATGCTTTTTTTTTTTTTTTTTTTGGGAGACGGAGTCTTGCTCTGTCACCCAGACTGGAGTACAGTGGCGCTATCTCTGCTCACTGCAAGCTCCACCTCCCAGGTCAAGAGATTCTCCTGCCTCAGCCTCCTGAGTAGCTGGAACTACAGGCATGCACCACCACGCCCAGCTAACTTTTGTATTTTTAGTAGAGATGGGGTTTCACCTTGTTGGCCAGGATGGTCTTGATCTCTTGACCTCGTTATCTGCCCACCTTAGCCTCCCAGAGTGCTGGGATTACAGGCGTGAGCCACCGCGCCTGTCTGAAATGCTGCTTTTATAATTTACTAAATTACAAGGAGTACGTAGACCAAGCTTTTCCAACCCGTGGCCCATGGGCTGCATGTGGCCCAGGACGGTTTTGAATACAGCCCAAAACAAATTCATAAACAGTCTTAAAACATGATATTTTTTTTTGCAATTTTTTAAAAGTTCATCAGCTATTGTTAGGGTTAATGTATTTTATGTGTGGCCCAAAACAATTCTTCTTTGAATGTGGCCCAGGGAAGCCAAAAGATTAGACAGCCCTAAGTCTTAGACTTATTTTTGAAGTTTCTTCTATTTCTTTCATTTGTTTATTTCTTGGCCAGTACACTGGATTTTAATTAGTGTAGCTTCATAATGATGATACAGTTTGATAAGAGTAAGTCTCTCATTACTCTTCAATATTTTCTGGCTATTTTAATATGCATGTGCTTAGTGTTTTTTTCTAAGGCTTTATCCTTTACCAAAAAACATTTGGCTTGATTTGGAGTAGCATTGGATTTGTAGATTAATTTTGGAAGATTGACATATTGAGGCTTCCCATTGGAAAGCAAGAATTTTTATTTATTATTTGTCTTGTTTTCTTCTGCACTTTTATACTTTTCTTATATATACATTACCCATTTCTTTAACATTTTTTTTGAAGTGCAAAATAATACCCAGGTATTACATAATGTAATGTATCACATAATGGTGTTTCAGTCAGTGATGGACCACATATGTGATAAGGCCCCATAAGATTATAATGGAGCAGAAAAATCCCTATCACCCAGTGACGTAGCCCTACCGACTATTATGCTGTATTGTTGCCATGTATTTTACTTCTACAAATGTTATAAATTCCATGATGCATTTTTATAGCTTTTGCTGTAAAGATTCAGTTATCTTTTAGAGACATTTAAATAGTAAGGGAAAAAAACCTTATATTTATTCACTTGGTTATCATTTCTGGTACCCTTAATTCATCTGTCTAAATCTAGGTATTTCTCTGGTATCATTTTCTTGCAGTGAGAAGGAGAAGTATTTTTTTCTTTCCTTCTTTTAAAATGTTTCTTGTAATGCAGGTCTTCTACTTATAAATTCTTTCAGGTTGATATAACTTAAAAGTCTGTATTTTATCCCAGTTCTTGAAAGAAATTTTCTCTGGGTATAAAATTATAAGTTGATAGGTTTTTCTTTCTGTTCTTTAAAGATACTGCTCCAGTATCTTCTGGTTTGCATTATTTCTGACAGGAAATCTGCTGTTGTTTTTTTCTTTAATTTTCTGTACATAATGTATCTTTTTTTCTCTGACTGCTTTTCTGATTTTTCGCTTTATTACTAGTTTGAAGGGATCTGATTATGATGTGCCTTTGTGCAGTTTTCTTATTCTTTATCTTGCTGGGTTTTAACTAAGTTTACATCAAGTTTGGAAACTTCAGACATGATTTTTTCAAGTATCTACTTCTCTTTCCCTGGCCCTGCGTTTCAGATATATTAGACTGCTTGAAGTTGTCCCATACCTCACTGCTGTATAGCATTTTTTCCTCCCTGTCCTCCTCGTCTTCCTCCTCCTCCTTGCTTTTTCCTTTTCTGTGTTTCTTTCGGATAGCAGTTGTTGCTATGCCTTTAAATTCACAAATATTTTGTCTACAATATCTAATCTGCCATAAAAACCGTCCACTGTATTTTTCATTTCAGACATTGTAGTTTTCATTTCTAGAAGTTTGATTTGCGTGTTTTTTAAATATATGTCCAGTCTTTGCTCTAGCTACATTTTGAAATATATGGACTACAGATATAACAATTGTTCTAATGTCCTGTCTGCTAGCTACATTTTAAAATATATGGACTACAGATATAACAACTGTTCTAATGTCCTGTCTCCTATCATCTGAGTCAGTTTCTGTTTTATTCCTATTTTCACTATGGGTCTTTTCCTGTTTTTTTTTTTTTCCTGCATTTTTGGCAACTTTTGATTGAATGCCAGATTTTGTAAAATTTACCTTGACTCTTTTAATAAGTCTTGAATTTTTGATGGTAAGAAGCTATTTTTTTTCCATGAAGTCATTTGTATAATTGCTAATTGATCTGTTTTAATAGCAACCTGCTCTTTTGTGTGCTCTTTACAATAATACTTAAGTAAATATTTCTGAAGATACAGATAGTTTTTTTTAATTCCCATTGAATTTTTTTTTTTTTTTTTGGTCAGACACTTGCACTGTGTATTCATTGTAGTCACTCTACTCTTTGCTGCTGGTTTTCCTCAGCTGTCTTATTATTCTTGGTTGTTTGTTTATATTTATATTTGAAGGACTGCTTGCTCAATATAGGTAGCTGGCATGCATTTTTTTAAAAAATGAAATCTTATTTTTTAGAGCAGTTTTACATTTACAGGAAAATTGTGCAGAAAGTGCAAAGGGTTGCCATATACTCTGTCTCCTTCCCTACTCTTCAGTTTCTCCTATTAATAATATTTTGTATTAGGTAAATTTGTTACAATTGATGATCCAGTATTGATACATTATTATTAACTAAAGTTCATAGTTGACGTTAGATTTAAGTCTTTGTATTGTACAGATCATTGGGTTTTGGTTTCACAAGTACATAACATCATGTCCACCGTTACAGTGTCATACCAGAATAGTTTAACTGCCCTACAGATACCCTGCACTGCAGTTATTCCTCCCGCCCCTCCCTGCTGAAATCCTATCACTCACTGATTTTTTTTTTTTTTTTTTTTTTTACATTTTCTATAGTGTTGCCTTTTCCAGCATGTCATATAGTTGGAATCATACAGTATGTAGCCTTTATAGACTGGCTCCCTGTTTCTGTTGCACCACATTCACACCAGCATTTAGTTTTACCAGTGTTTTGGATTTTTAGTTATTTTAATAGTTTTGCTATCATATCTCATTGCTTTTGCAATTCCCTAATGCCATATGATGTTGACCATCTTTTCATATGACTATTTGCCATTTGTATATCTTCTTTGGTGAGACGTCCAGGTCCTTTGTCAGATTTTTTATTGGGTGTGTTTATGTCTTATTGATGAGCTTTAAGAGTTCCTTATCTATTTCAGAATCAATTCCTGTATCAGCTGTGTGTTTCACATGTATTTTTATCTGAGTCTGTGGCTTGCCTTTTCTTTCTTTTATCAGTGTCTTTCACAGAAAGAAGTTTTTAATTTTAATGAAGTCCATCCAGTTCATCAGCTTTTTCTTTCATGGATTGATCATGTTTTTGGTATTGTATCTAAAAAGTCATCACCGACCCCCAGGTCACCCAGGTTTTGTTTTATGTTCTCTTCTAGAACTCTTACAGTTTTGCAATTGACATTTAGATCTCTCATCCGTTTTGAGTTAATTTCTGTGTAAGTCATAAGGTCAGTGCCTGGATTTGATTTTTTTTTTTTTTTTTTTTTGGCACGTGGATGTCTAGCTTTTTACCACTTGTTGAGAAGATTATTATCAGTTCTTTATTGGATTGCCTTTGCTCCTTTGTCAAAGATCATTTGACTGCATTTGTATGGGTCTACTTCTGGGCCACCAGTCTATTTTGTCTATTTGTGTTTGCTCTCAACAAGGCCACACTGCCTGATTACTGCAGCTTTATAGTAAGTCTTGAAGACAGGTAGTGTCAGTCCTCTGATGTTACTCTTACTCTTCAGCATTGTGTTGACTATTCTGAGTCTTTTTCCTTTCCATATCTTTCCGTTTTTTGATATCCACAAAATAACTAGGATTTTGACTGGGATTCTATTGAATCTATAGATCCATTTGTGGAAATTGACATTTGAGCAGTATTTTTTTCCTATGTGAACCTGAAATACCTCTTGTTTAGGTCATCTTTGATTTCTTTCATCAAAATTTTGTAGTCATATAGATCTTATTTATTAGATTTATACAGAGATTTTTTTTGGTACTAATATAGGTGGTGCTGTGTTTTTAATTTCAGGTGTTAATTGGTCATTCCTGGTACACAGGAAAGCAGTTGACTTTGCATATTAACCTTGTATGCTACAACCTTGCTTGATATAAAGGCTTATTGGTTTCCAGAAATTTTTTGTTTCTTTGATTCTTTAGGATTTTCTACATTGGTAATTATGTCATCTGCAAACAAAGACAGTTTTATTTTTTCCTTCTCAATCTGTATACCGTTTATTGTGTTACATTAGCTAGAACTTCTAGAAGGATATGGAATAGGAGTGGTGAGAGGAAACATTTTTACTTTGTTCCCAGTATTAGGGGAGGAACAGTCTACTTTTTCTCCAGTAAGTATGGGGTTAGCTGCAGGTTATTGATGGAAATGCTTTATCAAGTTGAGGACGTTCCCTGCTATTTTTGAGATTTTTTTTTATTATGAATGAGTATGCTTTTACTGTATCTGTTCATATGATCATTTGGTTTTTCTTTAGCCTATTGATATGATAGGTTATATTAGTTGACTTTTGAGTGTTGAGCCAACCTTGCATACCTAGAATAAATTTCACTTGGTTTTGATGTTTAATTCTTATATATTGTTGGGTTCAATTTGCTAATATGTTGTTGATTTTTTTTCCATCTTTGTTCATGAGAGATAGTGGTTTGCAATTTTCCTTTTTTGTTAGATCTTTATCTGGTGTTGGTATTAGCTTAATGCTGGCTTTACAAAATAGTTACGAAGTAGTCCTTCTGCTTCTATTTCTGGAAGAGATTTCTATCATGTATTCCTCATATGTTTAGGATAATTCACCAGTGAAACCATCTGCTATGGTGTTTTTTGCTTTGGAAGGTTATTAATAATTAATCCAATTTTTAAATGGTCATAGGCCTATTCAGATTGTCTAGTTTTTGTGTAAATTTTGATAGATCGTGTCTTTCCAGGAATTGGCCCATTTAATCTAGATTACTAAAATTTGTAGGCATAGAGTTTTTCAAAATATTCCTTGTTAGTCTTTTAATGTCTGGAAGATCAATAGTGATAGACCTCTTCTTTTTTTATTTTTATTTTTTATTTTTTATTTTTCGAGACAGAGTCTCGCTCTATCACCCAGGCTGGAGTGCAGTGGCGCAGTCTCGGCTCACTGCAAGCTCCGCCTCCCGGGTTCACGCCATTCTCCTGCCTCAGCCTTCTGAGTAGCCGGGACTACAGGCGTCCGCCACCACACCCGGCTAATTTTTTTTTGTATTTTTAGTAGAGACGGGGTTTCACCATGTTAGCCAGGATGGTCTTGATCTCCTGATCTCGTGATCTGCCTGCCTTGGCCTCCCAAAGTGCTGGGATTACAGGTGTGAGCCACCGCGCCTGGCCGCCTTTTCTGTTTTTATGTTAGTAATTTGTGTCTTTTCTCTTTTTTTCTTGGTTAAGCTGGTTAGAAGCTTGTCAGTTTTATTGACTTTCATTTCTCTGTTGATTTCCTATTTTCAGTTGCATTGATTTCTGCTATAATTCTTTTTTTCTTTTCATCTGCTAACTTTGGGTTTAATTTGATCTTCCTTTTCTAGTTTCGTAAGTTAGATACTTAGGTTATTGATTTTAAATCCTTTTTCTTTTCTAGCACATTTCTGCTTTTCCTGCATTGTACTCATTTTCATGAGTTACATTTTCATCTTCATTTAGTTTAGAATATTTTAAAATTTCTCTTGAGACTCCTTTGACTCATGAATTATTTAGAAGTATGTTTAGAAATATTTACGAATTTTCCTGTCTGTTACTGATTTATAGTTTCATTCCATTATGGTCTGAGAGCATACTTTGTGTGATTTCTATTCTTTTAAATTTGTTAAGGTGTGTTTTATGGCCCAAAATGTGGTCTCTCTTGGTGATCGTTCCATATGTGTTTGAGAAGAATGTGTATTGTACTGTTGTTAGATGCTGCATTCTATAAATGTCAACTAGATCCAGTTGATTGGTGCTGTGCAGTTCAGTTCTATCCTTCCTGATTTTTTGCCCACTTGTCAATCACTGATAGAGGAGTGTTGAAGTCTCTAAGTAAAATAGAGGATCTATCTATATTTGTCCTTGTAGTTATGTGGGCTTTTGCCTCATGTATTTTGACCTGTATTGTTAGCTGCATACATATTACAGATTGTTATGTCTTTTTGTATAATTGACCCTTTTATCATTATGTAGTGTCCCTTTTTATCCTTGGTATATATGTGTGCATATATATATGTATGTATGTATATATGTGTGTGTATACATACTTACTCTGAAGCATACTTTGCCTGAAATTAATATAGCTGCTCCAGCTTTCTTTCAGTTAGTGTTATCAGGGTCTGTCTTTCTCTATCCCTTTGCTTTTAATTTATCTGTGTGTTTTTATATTTAAAATGGGTGTCTTCATTGAGTACACATGGACACAAGACAACAACAGACACCCAGGCCTACTTGAGGGTGGGGGGTAGGAGAAGGATGAAGATTTAAAAACTACCAGTGGGATACTATGCTGATTACCTGGGCGACAATTACCTGTACACCAAACCCCTGTGACATGCAATTTACCCGTATAACAAACCTGCACATGTACTCCCTGAACCTAAAATAAAAATTGGAAATAAATAAAATAGGTTTCTTGTAGACTATATAGAGTCGGGTTGTTATTTTTTAACCCATTCTGACAGTCTTCTTTTAATTGGTGTATTTAGACCATTCACATACGATTATTGGCAGTTGGATTAATATCAACTGTAACTGTTTTTGTTGTCCTTAGTCTTTTCTTTTTCTCCCATTCTTTGGTTTTAATTGAGCATTTTATGTGATTCCATTGTCTCTCTTTTTCTAACAGCAGTTATACTTATGTTTACAATTTTTTAAGTGGTTGCCCTGTAGTTTGCAATATGTATGTACAACTAATCTCAATCTAGTATCGAATTATACTCTAGTGCTTTGTGAATAGTGGAGTACTTTAGAACACAATATTCCCATTTTCTTCCTCCCATCCCTCCCCACTGTCATTAATTTTATTTATCTAAAAGCTATAATAACTGAATACATTGTGTCTACTGTTATTTTAATCAAACTATTTTCTATGAGATCAATTAAAAAGAAAAAAATTATTCACCATTTATTCGTTCTCTAACAATATTTTTTCTGTATGTATGTGTATTCAAGTTTCTGACCTCTATCATTTTCTCTAAAGAACTTTAAACATTTTTTGCTAGGCGTATCAGTAACAAATTTCTTCAATTTTCAGTTGAAAAATTATTTCTCTTTCGAAAATGTTTGAAGGATAATTTTGCTGGATACAGAATGTTAGGTTGTTGTATTTTTTTCTTTCAACACTTTAAATATTTCACTCAACTCTTTCACTATACTCTCTCCTTGTTTGCATGATTTCTGAAGAGAAGTCCAATATAATTCTTAACTTTTTTCTTCCACTGGAGAGAAAATTCCTCCAATAGGAATTTTTAGGTTTATTGAAGGCACACAGAATGAATTCTTAATTTTTTGAGCCTTGTTTCATGCTCCTAATTATTATTTTTTTCCTATTTTTGAGAAAGACCTAAGAAAGTTTGAGAAGCTTTTAACTTTATTTGATTAAACATACACCGGATTATCACAATCTCATATTAAGGGAGCTCAAAGTAATGCTCATAGAATAGTCGTAACTATTGAATTTAACTGTCAGAAATTCACTGTTAGAAAATCTGGAAATTAGAAATTGGCTTCATGTGTACACCCACATACGTATCTGTAGGAAGACTTATTTTAGTGCTACATTGTAGATTGATTTTTATGTTGTTGTATCTCTTTATTCCATAACTTTACATCAACCTGTTCATTTCCAAAAACAAGAATCTTCCATGGAATGCTAGGAACAGTTTGGAGTAATCTAAAACATTATGTAATACACAGCTGCGAGACTTTGAAAAAAGCTCTGATAGCAGTCAGGTGACTTACTTAAAAAATACTGTGTCTTACTCATTAAAAATATAGTGCTGATTATTAAAGACTTAGTCCTTCACTGTCCAGTATGGTACTTGGTAGCCATTAGCCACATGAGCTATTGAGCAATTGAAATGTAATTAATTCAAATTGAGATGTTGAGTAAGTGTGAAATACACACTGGATTTCTAAGACTTAGTGCAAAAAAAAATGTAAACTATTTCATTTAATATTGATTACATGTTGAAATGGTAGAATTTTAATATATTCAGTATATAAAATTTATTGAAATTAATTTCACTTTTGATTTACAAGTTGGCTACAAAATAATTGAAATTGGTTATTGGCTTGCATTATATTTCCAACAGATACTGTAGACATAGGCAGTTCACAGAGTAATAATGACGACAGTGCAAATCATCTATAAACCTTACCACCCAGAAATAACACTTATTAACATTTTTGTCCAAATCCTCCTAGGTTTTGTCTTACATGAATTATTGAAGAAGTACACATGTATGTACTTACTCTCAGCAAACACACACCCACAGGCACAGACATTAATGGTTTGTTTTTTTGTTCGTTCGTTTGTTTTGTTTTGTTTTTTGAGACAGAGTCTCCAGACGACTAACAGCAGTTATGTATAATGGAGTTGCCCAGGCTGGAGTGCAGTGGTACGAGTTCAGCTCACTGCAAACTCCGCCACCCACGTTCAAGCGATTCTCCTGCCTCAGCCTCCCAAGTAGCTGGGATTACAGGTGCTCACCACTACCATATTTTTTTGTATTTTTAGTAGAGATGGGGCTTCACTGTGTTGGACAGGCTGGTCTTGAACTCCTGACCTCGTGATCTGCCTGCCTCGGCCTCCCAAAGTGCTGGGATCACAGGTGTGAGCCGCTGCGCCCGGCTGACATTAATGTTTTATTGGACCTTGTTTCTTGTCAGTAGATATATACCATTATCAGTGGACACATTTATGGAATCAGCAATTTCCTAGAGATGGACAGTTGTTGGGTTGTTGTTTTCCCTTTCTACCTTTTTACTCCCTAATATAGCAGGCCACACACACATGCTCTTCATCTGTCTTCACCAGACTTGATCTATTCTTTTATGACAATTTCTAAGAAATAAGTTTGCTCAGTTTTAAATTTAATTTTTGCCTTGCCAAATTGCATTTTCCAATAATCTGTACCTTTTATAATGACAGTCTAGTGTTTTCTTTGTAGTTCTTGAAAGTGCCCAGTCCCCAGGTAATGTTAAACAAATGTGAGTTTTTTTATTTTTTTGTATTTCATTCTGTAAAATGCTCTGAATTTTAAAATGTGATCTTTCTGAATGCTGTCCATGCTTTTTGTAAGAGTCTTAGAGACATCTCACTTTGAAAATGAAAGTGGATGCCTGAGATGATGAATACAGCAGTATATTTTACAATTAAGCTTTCTTGTCTCCCTTGTAAAGTGAGGTACATTTCTTTTCAAATAAAGCAAGTAAGGTTACATTAATGTTTATTGTTTATAAGAGCTTTCTTTCCAATTTATCTAGCTACCATGAAATGAAGTGCGTCAAACATAAGAAGTCGTTAGTGTTTTTGGTGGTTTGCATTAACGCTTCATCTTAAGATTCTTTTTTTCACTTAAGAAATTACGGTATAATTTATGTATAATAAAATACACAGATCTTAAATATTAACTTTGATGAATTTTGACAAATGATACAGAGTATGACCATACCCCCAAAATAAAGTTTAGAATGTTTGTAATACCTCAAAAAGTTCCATTGGGAGTCTAACCAGTTGGTTCCTTTCTAATTCCTGCCTCTCTCCTATCTTCGTCCACCCTTTGCAATCACTTTCTGATTTCTGTCATGATGGCTTAGTTTTGTCTGTTTTGTCCTCTTCACTCAGTATATACGTTTTTGAGATTCATCTCTGTTATTGTACACATGTTCATTCTTTTTTTATTAGTCAACTGGTCAGTGTTTACCATGAATTTACCACAATTTGTTTGTCTGTTCTTCTGTTAATGGATATTTGAGTTTCCCGTTTTTGACTATTATGAATAAGGCTCCTGTGTTCTTGTATAAGTTTGTGTGTGTGTGTGTGTGTGTGTGTGTGTGACACATATTTTTATTTCTTTTGGGCAAATAGCTCAGGAATTACATTGTCACTGGAAAGATGTATGTTTATTTTTATAAGAAACTTTCAGATAGTTCTCCAAGTGGTTGTGCAATCTTTGCACTTCCACCAGCTATGTATGAGACTTCCCATTGCTCCACATCTCCAGTATTTTATGTGGTCAGTCCTTTTGTTTTTGGTCATTTTGGTGGATATGAAATGGCATCTCAGTGTGGCTTTTCATTATATTTCCTTGATGACTAATGGTATTCTTTCACCCTTTCAGTGCTTATTGGCCATTCATGTATCTTTGTTTTTTGTGTAGCACTTCAGGTCTTTTGCCCATAGATTTAGTGGGTTGATTGCTCTTTATTAATGATTTGTAGGGATGTTATATATATTCTGGACACAAGATTATTGTTAGAGATACGTACTTCAGATATTTTCTCCCAGTCTGTAGCTTGCCTAATTATTATTATTATTATTATTTGAGATGAAGTCTCACTCTGTCGCCCAGGCTGGAGTGCAGTGGTGCATTCTTGGCTCACTGCAACCTCTGCCTCATGGGTTCAAGTGATTCTCTTGCTTCAACCTCCTGAGCAGCTGGGATTACAGGTGCGTGCCAACACACTCAGCTAATTTATCTATTTTGATTAGAGATGAGAGTTTCACCATGTTGGCCAGGCTGGTCTTGAACTCCTGACCTCAAGTAATCCACCCGCCTTGGCCTCCCAAAGTACTGGGATTACAGGCAGCCACCACACCTGGCCCTAATTAATTTTTAATGATGTTTTTTGATGGGCAGGATTTTTTAGTTTTGGTGAGGCTAATGTATCTTTTTTTTTTCTTTAACCTTTTCTAGCACATGTATTTGTGGTTTGAGAAATCTTGGCCTATGCCAAGGGGTCACAGTCACAGTCTTCTGCTGCTTCTAGGAGCTTTGTGATTCTAACTTGAGGTTTATGATCCATCTCAAATTTTTTGTGTTATATAAAGTGCAAAAAAGGTCATATGAGATGATCATATGAATTTTTTCTTTACAGTTTCATTTTTTCCCTATGTAGTTAATTTGATACAGCACCATTTGGTAAAAAAGCCTTATCTTTTGTCATTGAATTGACTTGGAACCCTTTTTAATAATAATTGACCTTATATGTTTGGGTCTATTTCTGGAGTCTGACCTGTCCCATTCATTTGTTTTTCCATCCTTATATAATATATTATTGATATGATTGTAATTAGAATGATTTTTCACATTCATATGCATGAAGAATATTGATCTAAATACTGGTCTGTAACATTAACAGAGTTAATACTGGCTTTGCAAGACCTTTAAAAAATATGCTTTAGATCTCTAGGTAATATTTAACAGTGAACTTATGTTTGCTTAAAACACTGATCTGTTTATCTTCTTTTCTTGTGACCAAAATTAACTGTTAGGGATTCTTACAGACTTAGTGTTGAATAAAAATTTTTAGTTTAGGGAAGGAATTGAAATCCCACCTCCCCCTTCCAGAAGCCAGTGGGACATTTAATTTAAATGTTTTCTGCACTGAGACACATGGTTCACAGCATGGGGTCTGCAGTAAAGCAGATCTAAATTTATAACCCTGTTCTTTGAGTTTCTACCTCTGTGACAACGGGCAAGTTACTAAATCTAGCTCAATTTTAATTTCCTCATGTATGAACTTAGTTCCTTCTAGGATTGATATTAAATAAGAAAATACAAGTAAAGTTCTTAGCACTCTGCCTGATACAAGTATCAGTTCTAGACAGTTGTTATATTAATATTTTTATTTGGGATTCTAATGAGGAAAAAAACATATTTCAAGAAATTGTTTTTTTTTAAATATAACCTAATGTAAATTAAAATAGAAATAGGTTTCAGAGGCATAAATTCTGTGTAAAATTACATGTGTTTTAATTTTTATCTTTGCATACATAGCTTTACAGTTTTCAAATTATATCCCTCCTTTTTTAAAAAAAACAGATTATTAGCATCTTGAGTTTAAAAGTCTGTTCCGTATTTTCATAGCACAGTAGTGATGAGCATACTTAATATTTATTGAGTAATTTAATAGAACATTAAATTTACATACAGTTTGTGTACCACAATAATGTGTAAAAGATAGAACACCATCTGTTTTTAAGACCGTCTTGAAAACCACAAAATTGTTCAGTTAACCAAATGTACTGAAAATTATTTCGTGCTTCTATGCTCATCTGACTTACAGCCTTGTTGTACTTTGAAAATTAGTGGGAAAAGTACATTCTTTTTAAAAATGTACGTTGACTTTAGTATGCTGTTTTTTGCCTCAGAACTCTCACTACTTCCTTCTATTGGGGAAGCTTTGAGAATTAGTGGGAAAAGTACATTCTTTTTAAAAATGTATGTTGACTTTGGTATGCTTTTTTTTGCCCCCAAACTCTCACCACTTCCTTCTATTGGGGAAGCTGTTGTAGAAGCAAATTGTTGTGGCATTTAAAACAGTATGAAGGGGGATGCATTAACTGAGGTTTTTCACCATGTCATATAAATGTTTATGATTAGTTATGAAGTGCCAAGAAGAAAAGTGTCATCATTCTTCTAAAAATAATTTCAATACCACAGATTAGCAGTTTGTAATGTTCTGAAAAATTGTTTAAGACAATTTTGATAGCACAGCAGTAATCAATACGATTCTAAGAAAGGCACCCCTCTCAGTTCAATCCGGCAAATGAATAAATGCAAAACGCATATAAAATACTGTGTTGGAGGCTAAAGGTAATAACAGTTCAAGAGCATGTGGCCCTTGTCTTTAGAGGGTGAACAGTGTTTTGGTGAAGCAAACCCTACATGGGAACTTATAAGTCATTCAATAAGTGCTTTATTGGATGTATAAATGAAATATTATGAGAATACAGAAAGGGAGAAATATTTGCTTGAGGAAATTGAAAAAACTTGATCAAGTGTGACATTTGAACTCTACATATATGGAGTTTGAAAAGTTTTCAACATTATGTTTCAGCAGAGTGAACACTATAAGCTGAGAAGTATGATATGTTTGGGGGTCTGCAGATTAATTGGCTGCTATCTCTGATATATATTGGGTTCATAACAAGATAGTGTCAAAGTGTTGATTGCCCCAGACTAAGAAATAGCTTGAATTCTTGAAGAAGAGTTTGGACTTTATTTTTATCAAATAGGAACCTGTTACGTTTTCAAATATTGATCTGTGTCCTAAAAGATAACTGGCAAGCACTTACGAAAGAATAAAGTAGAGGCAGTGTCTCCTCTTGGGAAGGGGGAGCTATTACAATACTTCAGGCCAAAGCAAGGTATAAATTTGAGATCTCGCTTATATACTTGTATATAACAGCATATACATATAATGAAAAAGTGTGTCATTTCTCATTGAATTTCATTAAGATTTCAGAGATATGAGAATATACACAATCTTTTAGAAGTGTATTGTTAGCTAAGCTTCTTTTGTACAAATAAAATGAACTAATTCTGGCTGGCTCAACCAAAAAGGAATTTTTTGGCTACCAGAGGATCCCATGGAATCCAAAGCAGAATTGAACAAGGAAGTTTCAGGAACAGCAGGAAGCTGGGAAGCTCTGAGAAAAACAGCAGGAGTTATTGGAACTTTTCTGAACTCCAAGCCTCTCCTTCCTTACTAAACCCATCAGTCCTGGGTCCCAGTTTAGAATTCTAAATTCCTGGGAGAGAATCTTAATTTAATTGATTGAGCTTAGCACAAGTGCTTGTTCCTGGAGAGAGGCAATGAGTCTCTAACACTGGAAGTATTGGGGTTGGGGAATGGGTGGTACTGGCAAGGTAGGTTTGTCATATGTATACAAGCCAGCAAAAATCCTATTAAAATGTACTACATGATTATTAATTTGGTTTTTCACTGACCTAAACTTGCTTTAGATGCCATCGTTCAAAATATTTACTCTCTACTGTATTGAAGTGTTTTTTTAGTTACAGCTCCAATCTGAGATTTGCACATAGTAAAGGTGTGAATGTTATCTTTCTTATTTTTGGAAGCCTGGGCTTTTTTCAGATTCTCTTTAATTGACCAACATACTGAAAATAAAAGAAATATTAGTCTTTTCATTACTAGCTTCTGTTGGCTAGTAATAGAGCCTTAAAATGATCTGATTAGAAATGTTGCAATGATACATCTGATAATATCATAATTAGCATTTAATAATGCATACAATGCCAGTGTTCTAAGTACTTTATGTGTATTAACCCTATAATAAGGAACTTTACATGTATTAACTAAATAAAGTTAGTCCCATTTTATAGATGGGAAAACAGGGATAGGGTAGTTCAGTAATTGCTTAAAACCACATTGCTAATAAGTGGTGGAATCTATTCCCAGAGTCTGTGCTTTCAGTCATAACACTATTCTTCCCTGGGACATTCCTGATTCTTTGCCCTCACTTGTGTCCAGTTAGCATTCAGGGCTCCCTTCTTAGCCTTCCCAGAACATTTTTATTCTTGCTTTCATTTTGGTACTTATACTTTGTTATAATTATTATTATTTTTGTTGTTATTTTTTGAGACAGAGTCTCCCTCTGTCACCCAGGCTGGAGTGCAGTGGCGATCTTGGCTCACTGCAACCTCTGCCTCCCAGGTTCAAGCAATTCTCATACCTCTGGGATTGCAGTCACACACCACCACGCCTGGCTGATTTTTGTATTTTTAATAGAGGCGTGGGGTTTCGCCATGTTGGCCACGCTGGTGTTGAACTCCTGGCCTCAAGTGATCTACCTGCCTCAGCCTCCCAATGTGCTAGGATTACAGGCGTGAGCCACCATGGCCAGCCTACAATTATTTTTCTAAACATATCTCCTTTTTAGGTTATTAACATCTTGGAGACAGAGACCTTCTTTTAATCATCTAAGATGATTAAGATAATAAATAATTGTTAATTGAATTAATACCCTGTTCAGATTTAGTCTCTAGGTTAGCCAGACATTTTGTGAATAAATACGATTCTTTAAATTATTTTTATTAGGAACATTCCTTTGTGTAGTTATCCCAACTTTGACCTTCTGTTGACCTTATAAATTCCATATCTTGTTCTAATAAATTATTTGCATGAGATTATCCCTAGGACTTTCCAGAGCATTATTGTCCAATAGAACTTTTTATGATGCTGTCCAATATGGTAGACATCTGTGATTATTGCGCACTTGAAATGTAGCAGGTGTGACTTTGAGAGACAACATTTTTAACATATTTGAATAGCCATTGTGGCTAGTGGTGACCTTATTAAACAGTACAGCTCCAGAGAGCAAAAGCAAGATGAGTCCAGAAACTAACAGTACCCTCCCGCCTGCCCCTGCCCCCACCCCCAAAGCCACCCAGCTTTGGAGCTTACCTAGAGAGGACAGTAACAGTGTAAAAGATCTGTGTGGACTCAAAGTGAAATCATTCCCAATTAATTTATACATTCTAAAAAATAGAGAACATTTATTAAATCTCAATCGCAGCTCACTGCAGCCTCTGTCTCCTGGGTTCAAGCATTTCTCTTGCCTCAGCCTCCTGAGTAGCTGGGACTGGGACTACAGGCGCCCGCCACCACGCCTGACCAAATTTTGTGTTTTTAGTAGCGACAGGGTTTCATCATGTTGGACATGCTGGTCCTCAGGTGATCCACTCTCCTTGGCCTCCCAAAGTGCTGAAATTACAGATGTGAGCCACCACACCCAGCCTTAAGTCTCTTAAATTGTGAATAAAATGTAAATCTTAAAAACAAAACTTGAGAAAGGTTCTTGGATTCTTTGGTGGGGTTTTTTGTTGTTGTTGTTCGTTTGTTTGTTTTTTGGGGTGGATGCTATCTAGCTCTTGTGTGTAATGTACATGAGAGTCTCAAATGTTGTACTTTAAGTCCTTAGGTTGTATGTTGAATTTAAACTGTTACTTGTTACAAAGCCCTTACCTTTACCTTATGCCTTCAAAAGCTCATATTTAAATAAAATGGCTCTCAAAGTAACCTACCTTTTGCACGTTTTTTGCCCACCTTGATTGTACATGTCAGTCAAGCAAACTAAAAGTGCTTATTTATATAAAGTATATGTACATCCCTGTGACTGTCCTTAAATGCTTATTAGATCATTGAATTGCTGAATATAGAATAACAAATATGGAAGACAAAAAATTTTAATTTGCTTATTTTTATTAATCATGTTTAAGAGTTTGAAAGACTGCAAGAGTAAGTTTGTAAAAGAAATCAAAGACTTTGTTGTTCATTATAGACTGGCTATCTCCCTATAGTAGCCAGAGTTTGCTTTTTATTAGTTTAAGCCCCTAGGCACTGTAGTATGTTATTCAGCAATGTTTATTTTTAATTTTTTAGGGGGAAGCTAAAGAGCTACTCAAAATTCTTGCTAGGTTACTGTTTCTAGGTCAGAAAGGTTATTTTTGTTTGTTTGTTTCAGACTTGCACCATAATGTGATTTGAGTAGGTCTTTTTTTTTTAACGTGTATATATTTTAAATCAATTTTTAATTTTTGGAAAGCCAATACATCCACATGGTTTAAAAATCCCACAGTGTGCAGGCACCTGTAGTCCCAGCTACCAGGAGGCTGAGGCAGGAGAATGGCATGAACCCAGGAGGCGGAGCTTGCAGTGAGCCAAGATTGTGCCACTGTACTCCAGCCTGGGCGAGAGAATGAGACTCCATCTCAAAAAAAAAAAAAAAAAATCCCACAGTGTGAAAAGAAAGTGATGTTTCTCATTTATCCAGTCCTTCATTTGCCTAGTCATTTCTTCTCCAACAAAATACCTGTCCACACACAGAACCTTTAAACAACTGTTACTAGTTTTGTCTGTTCTTCAGAAGGTTCTGTGCATACATAGGCAAATGTAAGTTATTTATTCTTGTTTGTGGTATTGTGTACAGACGTTAGTATATGCTACCCTTACTTTTACATCTTGCCTTTTATTCAGATAACAGTGTATCTTGTTCATCTTATCATTACTTGAATAACAACTTTTTTTTTTTTTTTTTGCAGCTGTATGGTATCCTATTTGTATAGCTGAACTGTGCTTTATTTAATGAGTGTGTATTTTTCTTGATGACCAAAATATTCGAGTAATTTTGGATAATTTTAAGATTCTGAAGATTTGAATTAATGATTTAAATAATGGTTTTGATAGAAGTCATTGTAAAGTGTGTTACCCCTTTACCCTGGTTTAGTTAAATAGATCAAACACGTTACTGAACTGATTTTAATTCTTATATGATAAACTGGTTGTTGGGAAACAGGTTTGGGGGTAACCATATATTTTGTGCTAGGTGAGTATAGAAATAAGACAGGGCCCTATCTTCAAGGAGTTGACAGTCTGCTGAGAAGACCTAAGTGAACAGATTATAATACAGTAACTGGTATAATGAAGGTTCCTAGGCACTATGGGAACTCAATGGATAGGCCTTTGTCACAGACTGAGGGAAAGGTGGGTTGGGAGGTTCCTGTCACAGGTGAGCAGTGACTAGTGACTATCTGGCTGGTGGCTTGGGTGGTAAAAAGAATTTACCAAGACAGTTGTAACTACAGAAAGGCAGATTTCTTAGAGACAGTATGAAAATATGTTGCAAGGGTGCAACAGACAGGTCAGCAAGAGAGGAGCTGACTGCCAGGATACAAAGGCTTGCTGGAGATTTTATAGAATGGTGCTTGTGCTCTGTACTGAAGAGGGCTTTGTGCCATACTGATAACAAGGTTGCAGTGAGCTAACTTGAATTTTTCTGTCAGCCAAGGGTCTGCTGATAGCTGAGCTCAGGAAGATCATGAGTTATTTGCACAGAAGGGCTATGTGTCCTGGACCATGAAGAAAGGCAGACTTACAGCTTACTGCTTTCTCTTTTTGCTTTCCTTGGGTCATCTCGCCAGCCTGACTTCCCTCCCAGATTAGGACTTCACAGTTCCCATAGGCAACATCATAGCTGAAGTTTGAACAGTGACCAAGTGAAAGGAGAGTCAGAGAGGGTACTTCACTTTTGGGAGCATGGATTTCGACATAAAGGATCAGGATATGAGAGAGGTTAATGACTTCTAAGACAGTCCCATGTGACTTCAGCATATCATGTGGTAGATGACAATGAGGCTGCACATTTCTTTTTATGATCAGAAACATTATTTTCCCAATATTTTGCACTGCTGATCAGAACACATGTAAAATATTGACTTCATTTTAACAAGGGTGACCAGACTAATAAAGGGATTCATAAACCAGGTCAGATGAGGAATGATCAAAATAAATTTTACCTTAAAAAGAGATGATGTGACAAGTAGAGTTTTAGTGGAACATCGCTGTGGAAGCGAAAATGTTGCTGCCACTACACAGAAGTAAGTATGCTGTAACTGGAGGATGTGGTATATACCTTCGGTTTTGCATTATTATAGCTATAGTACCTGGCATTATGCCTGCCACATAACAAATGCTCAACAGATACTTGAATGAAAGAATAAAAAATACAAAACGTGTGGGTGGCAATTGCCAGGAAAACAGGTTTAGATTAACTATTTAAAATTTTCTAACAGTAAGATATTCTTACTGCTTAAACAGTAAAATAGTTTTTCCTTCAGGTTGTGAGCACCCCATTACAGCAAGCATTTAAGCAAATGCTATGTAATCATCTGTTAAAAATATTATATGGGGCTGGGCATGGTGGTTCATGCCTGTAATCCCAGCACTTTGGGAGACCAAGGCAGGAGGATCACTTGAGGCTAGGAGTTGGAGACCAGCCTAGACCACATAGTGAGACCCTTTCTCTTAAAAAAAAATGTTATATGAAGGATTCTTAAAACATTGAATATAGAAGACTCTCCTCCTTCCAGATACACTCATTGTCATTACCCACCTATCTTAGTGTTTTTGTGTTTTTTTGAAGTTGCTTGGCTTTAGTTTTCTTAAATGGATAAGATCACTATATGTTCAAAAGTTGTTTCGTTAAGTGTGGTTTGGCAAAATGAATATATTCGCTTAGATAGTTGTTTGTTTTCTTCATATACAAAATTCTATTGTTCTGATTGATGCATCATTTTCTCACCCCAAGCAAGGCTAATCCAGGTTTTGTGGCCTGAAGCTTATAATTGGGAGCGGCTCTCATTAAGAAAAACAATCCAAAATTAAGTCTAAAAGTGAATGTTTATTTGGTGTGAGAAAAGATCACAACAAATAAAAAATGCCATAAACTTCACAAAATTTAGACAAGTAGCTTATTGCTATTATAACTTGCTGTGTTTATTATTAATTAACAGTCCAATATATTATACCTATTTGGTACTTTTTTTCTACCTATTGTGGCCATGTATTCATTCATCACTTCTTTACATGACAGTTTTATATTTTATATAGGAAGAGTCTTTTCCTCTTGCATAAGACTTGACAGAGTACCAACCATGGACCAAATTCAGCCTGCTTGTTTTTATAAATAAAGTTTTTTGCAGCGCAGGCATATCCATATAATCTATGGCTGCTTTTGTGTGCAACAATGGATGAGTTGAAAGAGATCATGAGTTGGAAGCGTAAAGTATTAAATATCTGGCTTTTTACAGAAAAAGACTCCTGTTCTAACATATTTGCTCAAAATTTATTTACTATCGATAGCTGTGAAGCTGAAAAAAAAAGTTTTGAAACCAGTTACTAGTAATGTAATAGCACATCTGTAATTTCCTTCACTTTGCATAAAACATGTTTCTTGCCTGGGGAGAACTTTACATCTCATTTGTTTGGACCACTGTCCCTGACCCCTGAAGTGTCCATGTAGTTGGATCATAGTATGTCACACCCAGCAGGAGCTGGGCAACACTCATGCAAATCCTTGGGTTAAAGATTGAGTCCGGATGCATCATGTGGTCCAAGAGGGACAGGAAATTACTGCTAGGAGCTAGGCGGATACAGAGATAGTGCATTCTTGATGGAAGTACCACGATCATCTTCAGGGACAGCTAAAGAGGAGCCCCTAGGCATGAGGCTACAGTTGCTGCTGGTCCTGTGTCCCAAAGGAGAATAATCAAAGCCTTGTAAGGGACTCTACGAAGTAAAAGATCCTGAAACTTAAACCTAATTAGCTTCATGGTAAGTTCACCTCTTTTCCCCAGGACAAACAACTTAATGTCTGTTTGGAGTTTTTCCCTTCATAAACATGTTTTTTTTTCTCATGCACCAGCAATCCTTTACTTTCTACAACCACTACCACAAACTCTCCCTCCCTGCCATTTTCCCTGCCCCAAAATTAAGGTAAAAAACAAACCAAAAGGGGGCGTTAGAGAAATAAAACTATATTAAGGATATATCCTTCTTGGAGGATCATTTAGCTGGCATAGGGCAAAAATATGACAAATTAGGATTGGGATGAATCACTGATTATGTAGTGTATGTTGAGTATAGAATTAGCAGCTGATTGGGAAATTCATCCAAAGCTGTATAATATGTGACCTCTGGCAAATAAATTGAGCTCACCTATAAAATGAGGGGATTGTATTATATGCTTGATAAAATATATGGTGAAGTGGTATTAAGTGCTATTTGGCTCTAGCATTCAGGAATACCCACATCCCACCAGCAACTGCAGTAACTACTTTTCACCCTCTCATCCCAAACTGTTCCCACAGAAGAGTAGTAGCAAAGTTAAAAAACAAAAATCTCTCTTTCTCTCCCCCTTCCTTCCTGCCTCCCTCTTTCTCTCTCCCTCTCTCTTTACCTCTCTCTCCCTCCATCCTGCAGTTGCACTCTCCCTCCCTCTCTTTTTTTTCCCCTTGTTATCAGGACTTGGGGCTCCACTAGTAATGTTAAACTTTGGGCCGGGCACAGTGGCTCACGCCTGTAATCCCAGCACTTTGGGAGGGTGAGGCAAGCAGATCGCCTGAGTTCAAGCAATCGTCAAGCAGATTCAAGCAGATCGTCAGGAGTTCAAGACCAGCCTGGCCAACATGCTGAAACCCCATCTCTACAAAAATACAAAAATTAGCTGGGCATGATGGTGGGTTTCTGTAATCCCAGCTTCTTGGGAGGCTGAGGTGGGAGAATTGCTTGAACCTGGGAGGCGGAGGTTACAGTTAGCCAAGATCGTGCCATTGCACTCCTCCACCCTGGGTGAGAGAGCGAGCCTCCATCTAAATAAATAAATAAAAATAAAAATAAACTGATTGGTGAGCTGGGACTCCTAGGGTACCCCCTTTCCAACTTTATTCCCTGAAAATCCAGACCCAAATTTCAGGTTTTACCATAATCCAACTGAATTTGCAAGAAACAGAAGGAAAAGGAGACAGAAGAGAGAGGAAAAACTCCTTTTAAGTAGATCCACTTAAGTTACAGGGTAGGGCAGAAGAGAACCAGCCGCACCTATGAGCTGCCCTTTTAACACAGTGTCCTCACCCATTTGCAAATATAACCCAGTCTATAATGAGATCAGTATTCCTCTCACCTTTATCTGTATATGATTATCCTTCTGGTAGTAGAAAGTTGAGAATACAGTAAGACTTGCCATTTTTAGTTTTAACATCTAATTTTGATTGTTTACTGGTAATGCTAAAGGTCTGTGCCACATAATACTTTGCAGTTTTCTAGATGTATGAATTTAAATCATAGGCAGTATATAAGATTGGTGTGTGGTTGTGAATGACCTAAGCCTGCTGTGTAGCACACACCTTTCCATATGGCTTTTGTATATAATAAAGTGATTTTTTAAATGGTTCCAAACAGGAATGTGCACTGATAATGAAGGTGAGGTCTAAAACTTTTATGATTTGTAACCAAAAATTTGTCATAACTATACTGCTAGAAATGGAATAGAGGAAGACGTGGAGCCATTTCTTATAGGTTATGTCTTTTAGTATATTAAAACAATCCCCTACATCTGTTATCTGTTGTTGCAAACAAACCACCTAATGACTTTGTGACTTATAGCAGTATCAACAAATTTCTCATTCTGTAGATTGAGTGATTGGTCTGCTGGTGACTAATCTCACCAGAATGTAGGGACTGGGCTCAGAAAGGACAGTTGAAATGGACTAGGGCCTTGCTCTCTATGTGGTCTTTGATTCCAGGTTTTAGGGCAGCACTTCCAAAAGGGCAAGCTACAAGGTGCAAGTATTCCCGCTTCTCCTTCCATTTACCAGTGTCTTCTTCATCAAAACAAGTCACATAGACAAATCCAGCATAAGTGGAGGAAGATAATATATAAGAACTTGAATCAAGGGCCATTACAGGAATGATGTGCTACTGTACCAAATCTCCAGTCAAGGTTTCCAAACTGTATGTGGCTGTTTATCTCTTTAAATCACTGAATTGAGCTGTGTTTTGTATTACTTTAACATTAAATCTGTGTCTTCAATCCATGCCACTCTTCTCTTTCTTATTTCCTACTCCACACAGTTCACCAAACTTTCCTATGGTAGGGTCTTTTTGATGAGTCTACTTAGAATGCCATTTCCTCCATACTTACTCCTCACCAGCGCTTTGTTCACTTGACTCACCCTTTTTCATTCTTCAGGTAAGATGTCACCTCAGGGAAGCCTTCCTACACTAGTTAGGTTTTACATTTTTCTTGCATACTAATTTTTCCTAGTAGCATTTTAATAGTTATTAATGCCAATCTCCCCTTTATTAACTAGATGTTTTATGAGGACCTTGTCTAATTCATTTTTGTATTTGCCCTCATTTTCATTCTTGTCCTCACCCCCAGTTATCCCAGTCCCTTGTACATAGTAGGTTCTTCATAAACATTTGGTGAACAAATATGTCTGGCAGAGAAATTTTCTTAAAAAGCAGCTAAGATCTAAAAGACTCTCTGTGTTTGGTCCCTAAGATAGCAGCTGTTTCTATCTGGCTCCGTTTTTCTTCACTGTTGAGATTCTGTTTGTTATTTTATGCTTTTGTGGTTTTCCTCCTTCATTCCTCCAGGTTTGCTTTTTTAGAAATTTATTTCTTGTGGAGTCTTTTGTCATTGCCATATTCTTTTTAAAACGTGTACTGTTTTTGTTTGTTTTCTCTTTTCTTTTCTGGTTATTTCTCATTGTAGAAATTACCAGGTGATAAGATCCCTTGTCTCCAAAGTGAATTTTTGTGTTTTCTTTTCCTGGATAGTTCTTACTGATACTCACCACTCTCAGGAGTTGTTGTTCCCTGCCAGATACATTGTTTTTCTTTTTTAAATTTATGATTTCTGTATTGGGTTTTGAGGTGGGCAGGTAACAGGTGTTGCTACTTTAATTATTTAGAACATTGTTTCATGAGATCACTACATAATAAACTGTAGGAATTCAACCAAATTCTTTGCATTTCTTTACTTTTATACTACTTTTTATAATGTATAGATTAAAATTTTACAGTCATCTCTTAGTATCCATGGGGGATTGGTTCTAGGGCCACCCACAGATACCAAAGTTCACACATACTGAGGTCCTTTAGAACCCACCCATGTGAAAAGTCTGCCCTCCTGTTTTGTGGGTATCTCATCCTGCTAATAACTGTATTTTTCAATCCACGTTTGGTTGCGGATGCAGAACCCTGCGATATGGAGTCCTGACTGTATTTAGTGAAGAAGATCTGCATGTAAGTGGACCCACACAGTTCAAACCCATATTGTTCAAGGGCCAACTGTATATTCAGAGTAATAATAGGTCATTTCATGTAAATATATCATCAGAGCATCTAGGAATGTATTTAAATCTTAGCTTTTATATAATGAGAACACTTAGAATGGATTTTCTCATGTTAGTTTTCAGACATTTGAGGCCAAATGCAACATTCAGATACATGCGTACATATAAAAGTTGGAGTATTTGACTGTTAATCTAGGCCAACATGATCATAGAAAAGACTTTATTTTGTTAAGTCATATGATTTCCCCCCACATTTAGTGTATTTTGGATATTTATTGAAAATATATATTTGGCCAGGCACAGTGGCTCGCATCTGTAATCCCTACACTTTAGGAGGCCAAGGTAGGAGGATCACTTGAGGTCAGGAGTTTGAGACCAGCCTGCGTAACATAGTTAGACTGCATCTCTACAAAAAATTAGAAAATTAGCCCGTCATAGTGGTGTGTGCTGGTAGTCCCAGCTACTCAGAAGGCTGAGTGAGGTAGGAGGATCACTTGAACCTAGGGGCTTGATGCTGTGGTGAGCGATCTCACTCACCATTGCACTCCTGCCTGGGTGACAGAGCAAGACCTTGTCTCAAAAATAAAAAGAGAAAATATGTTTAAATATTTTCTTTAACATTGTATATTTGTTAGATTAAAATAATTTTAGTTATTATTAAATATTCAGTTATTCAGTATTAAATCATTTTAGTATTTGTTGTAGGCAGTTGATGGCTAAAAACAAGGATCCCTGTGACTCCTAGTATTTTCTAGTCTTTTTGTGGTCTAGCTGTTTCTGTAGTCAAAGAAATACCTATTTTCCTGATCTAAAATTCTTATTCTGACCTGTTACATAATGTGGTTGTTCTGAAAATGTGAAAGGAATTTAAACAGTAGAAGTGCTGAATGTTTGTGGTTTAAGTCTTATGCAGGATAGAACTTTTAAGAAAGTTGGTACACATATAGAGGGAATAGGAGGAAGTGGGAGTTTTCTTAGTTTTGGGCCATTGCAGCAGTGGCTAACATATATAGAGGTAGTAATGGCTCTGGGGAGAGGACCACCTTCTCAAGATTGCTGTGGTTGTGAAAGAGAGCTAAGGGTCATACATTTTAATGAATCATTCGTGCTTGTTAAAGTTAGAAATAATTTCATACTTAAAGATACAGTACAAAGAACTTCTATATATCCTTCATCCAGATTTGCCAAATGTTTATTACATTTACCATGTTTTTTTCTCTATATATATGTATACATGCATGTTATTTTTTTCTGAATAACATGAGAATAAGTTGCAGACATAATGCCTCTTTATAATATTTCAGGCTATATATCCTAAAATCAGAGTCATTCTGTTATTATTGTAGTATCATTATCAAAATCAGAACATGTAGTTTTTAACAAATACTTGTTCACTTGGGGACAAAGTATAGGTGGAGTGAAAGTACAAGCTTGCAGAACTACTTTAAGTGCTTATGGGAATTGCAGTCTTTTTAGTGGTTAGGAAATCAATACAGAAAATTATTCTGATTTAGAGTAAGACCAGTGGAATAACAGAGTAACACAAGGTACACAAACAAGCACTTCAGAAATGTGAAAAAAAAACCAAACAAACCAAAAAACTCCAATAAAAGTCATTTCAACCTAAGGAATCAGAGAAATACTTCTCAACTGGTGCAGAGTCAACCTCAAAGAGGTGGAAGTCCCAGGCAGAAGGACAGTGGGAGGGAATTCACTTCCTAGAATACATCCCCCATATTCTTCCTGCCCTTGATCATCATAGTTCTGAGAATGAATATGTCATTACAGTTACTCAGTACTGAAGTATCAGGAATACACAAGATATGACAGGTTCTGTTTCTACCAAAGTTGATACAGTACTTTTTTTCCTTTTAATTACCAGATTTTAACCTTAACATTATTAGGGTAATAAGAAATAGATTTCCCTTCCTAAGCACTTGTTCTTAGGTTGTTTTTCATTAATATCTTCTTAATTACGAAAGACAAGAAGGAATGGAATTGATTTGTTGTAATTACTTAAAGGAATGGAAGGAATGTCTGTAAAAACTTAATTAAGTCACTGTCAATCTAGAGTGTGGGGATTAGTGACTGTTTTTATATTGTCTAGCATTAATATACTGTATTAAATGTATAGCAGTTATTCTCATATTCACTGTAATTATTCTGAATTAGAAAAGGCTTTACAAGGTGCTGTGGTATGTCATTTTCAGACTGCCAGATGAAGGTAAGAATTAATGAAATAGACACTTAGACTGATAATAAGAGTGTAGCAAATTTTTTGAAAATCCAGTTACTGAAAATTGCTTTTGAATAGTTGTTTTTTTAGTTTTAATGTTTATAATGCAGTATCCTGTCTGTGAAAAATTATAGCATTGTTAGTCTTTATTTCTTAAGCAAGTGTTTTAAGAATTTAAGTTTATCTAAAGGTTAAAATGTTTTTTAGTTTGGGTTTTTTTTTGTTTTGTTTTGTTTTTTAAAGTTCACATATATAGCCACATGATGTTTTACAACGTGAATATTTATAACATCATGAATATTTAGTCCTTTGGCTAGCAAGGGGATTTTCATAATGGGATTTCAGACCCTATTGAATAACTTTTTTGTGTGTGTGTGTGAGCTGTTACTTCTTGATTTCTGGTAAAAAGCGAAGTAGGGAGATTTTTAGATCTTCATTTTGGTACATCTAGTTTCCTAATTGCTATCTTTTTAGAAATGAATGTATTTTGACAGCACCATACTAAAAAAGACTTTATGCGAATTCTCCTTAGAACTAACAAATTGCTTGTTTGATTTTTGCATTCTTCAGCCTGGTATTTGGTACCTTTAGATAGTGTATGCAAGACGCATTTTTCTGAAGTTTTCAGTGCTGGCAGCAGGATGCCTGTGGCACTATCATCCTGAGATTGTGCACTTGCAAACACAAGTGTGTTTTGAGCAGGCCAAAAAGTGTCCCACATTCTTCAGTCTCCTCTTTGAAACCCAGTGTCCCAGGATACACATTTTTTGTTTTTAAGTTATCATAATTTTTATTGACTCTTGCAGAAATTTTTCTGTTCCTTTGTGTCCTACTCAGTACTGTATGTGAAGTTCAAGGTTGAGTTTGGTCTGTAATGTTAAAAACATAACATTGAACATTGTTATCTGAGCAAGTCTTTATGGACTTTTGATCCTAACAGTATACTGATCTTACATTTCTGAATTTAGTATCTAATTATAAAAGATTTGTGCATATAATTGTTCTTTGAAATTCCTCTTACCAAAAAAGGGCACCCCTCAGGCATAGTTCAGTAAACCTAAAACAGCATATCTTCAAATCTTAATGTAGTCTATTTTTTATTACAGAGCCCAAATTCCGTTGAACTAAGGTACCATAATTACTTAATCAGCTCCTATTTTAGGTTATTTCAGTTCTTCCTCTTTAAAAAAATATATATTTATATGAAATATTTTATTTTTATATTTATATTAAAATATGAAGTATTATATTCTAAATGATTTTCTTAATTTCTAGTTTAGAAGTGAAATTACTTTATCAGAAAACATAATTATGGCTTTCAGAGGATTTGTAAGTGCTTTATCAGTGTAAGTGTGTATCACTTTCATAGAAACTTAAGGTTGAATAGTTACATTCTAGGTTATAAAGTAAACTTAATTTAGAATAAAATTAGTTTACACCTTTTCATGATATAGTCTTGAGGAAGGGGGCAACATGGTGTACTGGAAAATCCTAATGCCCTGAAGTGTCCATTGCATGTAACGAGTTAGCTTCCCTCCTATACATCTGAAAGGGTTCTATTTAGGGACTATCCTTGGTAAAATTGAGACAATAGTCACTCAAATCTTTTTCATATCCTCAGTATAGCATTAAAACTGCGTGGCCACTTGTGCAAATCACTTACAATCTTAAACTCACTTTAGAAAGGAGATACTATAATCTGCCTTCCAGGGTGGTAATACTGCTTTCAAGTTTGTCTCAATCCTTATCTAGATAAGTGCTTAACTGCTTTATACAAGTCAGCCATTACTAATGCTACTACTTCATTGCTTAAGTGTTCACTTTATTGGGAAACAGTGTAATAGGGGGAGTAAGAATGCTAGATTTGAAGTCACAAATTGCCTGGATTTGGAATTTCAGCTCTGCCATTTAGCTGTGTGGTATTGGGCAAATTAACCCCTTTAGTGTCGGGTTTCTCAAGTAAAAAATGAAGTTATCATAGTAATAACAAATGAGGCTATATTTAAAAGTGATTAACACATTTCCTAACACATTTTAAGCATCAATAAATGTTTTCAGTAATTATTGTTATGTGATTATTGTATTAGTTATTTATTACTACATAAGAAATTACTTCAGAAACTAGTGGCTTAAAATAACAATACATGTTTATTATTTCCTTGTTTCTGTGAATCAGGAATTTAGGAGCAGCTTAGCTGGGTGGTTGCGGTCAAGCTGTCAGCAGGGGCTATGATCATCTACATATTATTTTGAACCTAATGGTTATAAATTTTATATTTTGCAGACTATGTCTTCAGCAGTGGTGCAGTTATATGCAGCAGATCGGAACTGTATGTGGTCAAAGAAGTGCAGTGGTGTTGCTTGTCTTGTTAAGGACAATCCACAGAGATCTTATTTTTTAAGAATATTTGACATTAAGGTGAGTTTTGTTTTGCTTTCACTTTAAACTAGGTGATTAGGTTTTCTATATCAATTATAATTTAGTTTAGATTTGTTTATCCTATATGTGATATTTAAATTTATACATAAACTAATATTAGAAGAGTGAAGCTTGGTTTTTAGATATTGCATACGGAAATCATGACCAAATGGGAACATGTCTGAAGCCAGAATGTGAATAGTTTCCTATTTTATCTTTCTCCTGCTACCACGCATTAAGGCTTTTTTTTTTTTTAAATTATGCCTGTTGGTTCTTGGGCTTTCTTTACACTCTGTATTTTTTTAATGAAACTCTTTTATTCCACCTGGTTCATTATAGAATAGCGTAGATAGTCTGTTCAGGTAACAACAAAATAATATTTTAGCTCAGTATGTACTGTTATTTAGCCCAGGTTTAAAACATTTCAATATCTATAAAAATCTGTTTGCTACTCATTTTTCCTTATATTGTTTCTCATGATAGATATATTCAGATTTTCATAGCTTTATATCCCTCCCTTCCAATCATAAATCACATTGTTATAGATTGAATACCTTGTTAGGTATTCATTTCTTACAGTTGTCATAAAAATATTTTGCTAAGATGAAGTCTCCATTATTTTTTTAAAAAACCTTTCTGTAAGTAAGCCTCCATGATTAATATTTATATGTGGCAATAAGTGCAATGAGATTTTAATTACAAAAAACTAAAACTGCCTTTAAACTCTTGGGCGCTAATATGACCTGATAGATAACAGTGAAGAGATTTTTACACCTCTGGTCTCAGCTTTATTTGTAAAATCAGATAACCATCTTGGTTTGTTATGAGGTATTTCACTGAGATTAAATGAGATCTCAGTTATGGTATTTGGTAAATTAGTGCTTCTTTTGTTGTTGTTGTTGTTGTTTTGAGACAGGGTCTTGCTCTTGCTCTGTCACCCAGCCTGGAGTGCACAGCTTACTGCAACCTTGATCTCCTTGGCCCAAGCAATCTTCCCACCTCAGCCTTCTGAGTAGCTGTGACTACAGGTGCATGCCACCACACCTGGCTAATTTTTGTATTTTCTTATAGAGATGGGTTCTGCTGTTTTGCCCAGCCTGGATTCAAACTCCTGGACTCAAGTGATCCTCCTGCCTCAGGCTCCCAAAGTGCTGGGATTACAGGCCTGAGCCACCAGTCCCGGGCTAAATTAGTGCATCTTAATGTCTGCTTCCAAGACAGCTGAGAGATATGACATGCTTCTGTCACTAGCAGTGGCTTACTAGTAATCACTAGCAGTGGCTAACTATGGCAGTGATTCTGGGGGGTGGGGAACACATACGTAGTTTGAAAGAAACCCCCAAGTGCTTTGACATATTTCTCATAACCATTGAGAAGCACTATTTAGAAATGGCATACACTTACTACTCCACTAAGAAGAAAGGGATTCCATTGCAGTGGTTATAATGTGTGAACAGTGTATTTTACATATTTTTAAATTGTGGTCTAGGTAGAACCTTGCATTTCTGAATAGGGCAATGACTATCTTTCTCTAACCACTTATTTCCAATTGCTGGACACTCATAATTCGTCACCTTTGGTATTAAGATTAAACATATTTTTTATACTATGGCAATAGATATGGCAGCCATCATGGCACTCTTATCCATAGTTTAACCTTGATACATTTTAATTATCAGTCTCTTTCTGCATCATGATTAATACTACTTATACTAGTATATAATTAGAAAGGTACTCTGCAAAAGTTAAGAATTTGAAGATGGTTAATTAGCAGTACAAGGAAGGTATATTTGACCCTCCCACATCTATAAAATTGAGGAAAAGAACATAAAGTATTCCTGCAGTGTTTGATAGTACATTGTCTAAATATTGCTGGTGGAACTGTGCTTTGGTAATCAGTTCATGTACAAAAGTATCCTATTCCTTCTATGTAACATTGATGACCTAGTAATTATTCTGGTTATTATGTATTTGACCAAGTAGCTGAATTTGGAAATGGTTGGCTAGTGAGATTATATCTTAGCTGAATTAAACTGACTTGATATGTAGGTTTTATGAAAGATACGTTATCCAGTGTTTTCAGTTTTAAGAAATTACTGATTAGATTATGTGACACTATTTATATATTATAAATATGTTACATGTGTGCATTAAAAGTTATTTTTAATATAAACAGTTTTCTTAATATGAGTCATCTTCTTTGTTTTATTCCTAGAGATTATGTTTTGGTAGTTCTTATTTTAATTTTTAACTTTTTTCTAGGATGGGAAACTATTGTGGGAACAAGAGCTATACAATAACTTTGTATATAATAGTCCTAGAGGATATTTTCATACCTTTGCTGGAGATGTAAGTCATATTTTTCTTTATTGCCATCTTTACTTTTTTCATTGCTTGCCTTTTCTAATCCAAATTATTTATAGAACCTTATTGAAAGATCAAATTCAATTTGCTATTTTATTTTTTTGCTGAAGATGAAATATTCAAATTAGTATATGTGTCTGCTGTGATAGGTAACTTCTCTAATAGTAATCTTTTACTTGAACTTCTTCATGCTTTTGTGTTAAGTTATTCAGATCATAAAATAATGTCTTATCTGCTAGTAAAATTAACCTTTCGTTCTTTAGAAATATACTTCTTTTCCTCATTGTTTTTATGATATAAAGCTAAATTCATACATTCTGTTGTTTCCCCTTTGTGATGAAAATATTTCAGACTTGTCAAGTTGCTCTTAATTTTGCCAATGAAGAAGAAGCAAAAAAATTTCGAAAAGCAGTTACAGACCTTTTGGGCCGTCGACAAAGGAAATCTGGTAACCCTTTTTTAATTACTTAAATCAGGCCAGCAAACTAATGCTCATGGGGCAAGTGTGGTCCATTTCCTGTTTTTTGTAAATAAAAGTTTACTGAAACTTAACTGTATTCATTGGTTTACATGTTGTCTTTGGCTATTTTTTGTCACAACACAGTTAAATAGTGATGACAGTGATATATGGTCCTCAAAGCCAAAATTATTATCTGAAATATTTACTATTTACAAAAAAATTTGGTGGTCCTTACCTTAAAATAAATAATATTTTTGTTGAGAACTATTTTTTTTAGATTTACCGAAGGGCCCAATACAATAACCTTTTTTGTTGATAAAATTTCATATATATTGACTTTTAATTTTGCATTTGTGATAGCATTTTTTGTAAAGTTTTAAAAGTATTTTATACTTTGTAAACAAAGACTTTAGGTAAGCTTAGAAGCAAATAAGCAGAGTTGCTAACAAGATCTGTAAACATTGCCTTGTCTTTCTATTTTGTTCCTAATGCTATATACTATAAAACCCATAAGGAACTTAGTTTAGTGTGTGAAACAACTCTAACACATATAAAACAATTATAGAACAATGCAGGATAGTATAAAGCTTTAAGTTAATTGGAGTAGAACTATTACTTGACAACAGTGAACCAGGTGTTTCTCTTGTAAAGTGGAGAAGGGTGACTAGGAAAGGGGAACCTCTCCAAAATCATCTTAAGCAGATGAGTTTCAGAAGAAAGAACATGTGCTTTCATCCAGTCCTATAGTTCCAAAAACTGTATGCCAATGACTCTCAAAGTTTTTTCTTCAGTACTGACACATCTTCCCTGACCTTCAGACTCTGTCTACTCAAGTGGCAGAATAGCCTTTAGACTTAACACGGTCTGAGCAGAATATTTGATCCATGTCCTGTATCCTGAACCTTAGCCCCACTCAGATCTGTTCCTATTCTTCTACTAATCTTCCTTGTTTCAGTAAAAGGCATTTGTTCCATCTTATCCCTCAGGCTCACCATGGTCCCTCATAAATCCTATCAGAGTCCTATTGACTCTGCCTTCAAAAACATGTCCTGTCTGACTATTTCTTACCATTTCTGCTGCTACCATCCTAATCCAGGCCACCATGATCTGTCAGCTGGGCTGCCACACTAGCTCTCTGACTGGTCTTCCTGCTGCTACTCAATCCTTTTTACTATCTCTTTTCTATACAGTAGCCAGAGTAAACTTTTAGAATTGTAGATTAGGTTATATCACTTTCTCTATTTAAAATTCTGTAAGAGCTTCCTATCATATACACATAAAATCTATAGTCCTTAACCATGGCCTGTGGAACCCTACATGATCTAGTCCCTGACTTTCCTTCTTGTCTCCTTTCACTGTGCCATTTGCTCACTGTAGTCCAGTCTTCATGATGTTCTTTCATGTTGCACCCTCCTTGGGGCCTTTGAATGTATTGTTCCCTTACTTATTTTATTTAGATCTCTACTTAAATGTCGGGTCTTCTGAAAAATCTTCCTTAGTCACACGTATGTCAATTTAGGAATAAGACAGTTTAGTGAATTAATTTTTTTATGTTGATGTTGTCTTACATATATTTAATAATATTCTTCTAATTTATTTTCTAACAGAGAAAAGACGAGATCCCCCAAATGGTAAGCTTTTTGACAATTATTAATCTTTTAAGATTTTAGATGACAGTTTAATCCTTGTGGAAACATGTACCATACATTAGTAATATTTAGTATCTTTTACATGTTAATCCTTGTGGAAACATGTACCATACATTAGTAAGTAATGTTTAGTATCTATGATCAAATTATACAGTTTATTGTGTTCCTATTTTTAATTAATGATTGACAGATGAGACTTAGGAAACAATATTCTTTGATATTTTTCTAACATGAAGAAAGAATACATAGGGTGAAGATCACTAATACTTATTATATTTTAATTCTGGATTCACAGTTGACTAAGTATACAATCGGACCTTAACATTTTTCCTAGAGGCAGTACATTTTGTCTAGAATATTTGTTAATGTCCTACTTTAAGATTTACCTTTCATTCTTATTTCAAAATATTATTTCACATTGCTTATGTGTTATATGAAGCCCCTTTCAAAATGAACACCTACTGTTGTGGTGTATTTAGAACTAATTTAGCTCTGTATAATGCTCTTTAATTTGATAATGACCACTTGAAGTATTATGAATTCATTTTTTAAAAAACATTGAATACCAGAGAGTAAAAGCAGAATACCAGGATGTAAAAGATAAGGTCTCAGGGGTAGAAATTCTTACTCTAGACTTCATAAACTCCCTGAAATTGTGTGCTAAATATGTTCTTTTCTCTGGAGAGAGAGGATCCATGGCTTTCATCGTATTTAAATGAGGTTCCTGACTCTATGAAGGTAAAGAATCATTCTCCAGCACACTTTGTTATGATAGAGAAAATGGCTGCTTTTTAAAAGCATATCTCAAATCCTCTTATCAGAACCTAGAATGATTATTCAAGGAAAACTTACATAATACAGAGTTCTTAATATATGACAGCTATTGGTGATTGTTGGGGTTTCTTTTAAACAGATACGTTGCCTTTTGATTTTGTCCTTAAATTTCTTTTTCTGATACAGAAACATGAACCAAATGTTGCTGTATTAAATTCTGGGTTGTTTACCTTATTATTAATTTTTTAAATGCCTGACTACCTTCAGTAGTGCTTAACAGGTACCAAATATTGTATAGTTTCACTTTTTCTTTTGAATAGAAATATTAATACTTTTTAGGGCTGTTACGGGGATTGAAGTAATCAAAGCTTAGCATAGTGCTTAATAAATATTAGTTATTCTGATGAAGATGATGACAACAATAATAGCAACTACTAGTTAATGATCTTTTACTACCTGCCAGGCACTGTACAGCAACCTTCTGAAGTAGCTCCTATTATCTCTTTTATAGATAAGGAAACCGAAGCACAGATAGGTAACTTGCTCAAGGTCTCATAACTAGTAAGTAGTGAAGCAAGATTCAGCATCAGATGATTTGACCCTAGAGACTGGCCCTTTAACCACTATGTTATGTCAAGATGATTTTGAAGGCAAAACTGAGACACAGGGTAAATATCATGTCTCAGGATATATAAATTAGTACATGGCAGAGGCAAAAGAAACAGAAGCAGCTGAGTTACAGGTTGCTCATCTGTGAACTTTTAATGTAGTAGTAGAAATTTTCCTTGATATAAGCCTAGTATTTCAACCTTTTTGAATTTGTTACATTATTTTGAGTTTGGAGAGTATATACAGTATTGAGTACCAACAGAGAAGACTTTCTAGTGGTGCCATCGAAACACTTTGGGGAAAGTAACCCCATATTTTAAAGTGTAGATGCTGTAGAAATAATATAATTAAAATTAAGGTTGTAAATACATGTATCCATGTTGGATCAGTTCCAGGATCCCCCCATGGATACAAAACTTCGTTGATACTCAAGTCTGCGATACAAACAACATAGTATTTGCATGTAACTACAGATTCTCCTATATGCTTTAAATCCTCTGTAGAGTACTCATAATACCTAATACGATGTAAATGCTAGGTACATTTGGTCTTAGCCAAAAGGCTGAGAAGTAATGCTGGGTAAATAGTTGTTATACTGTATTGTCTAGGGAATAATAGCAAGAATGTTCTGTACATGTTCAGAACAGATGGACCCATCCATTTTTATTTTTAATCCACAGTTGGTCGAATCCATGGATGTGGAATGCATGGATATGGAACTGTGAATATGGAGGGCTGAACATTTATAAAATGAATTTCTGAAGAGGCATCTAGTTTCCATGAATAGATAGAATTTGAAAATTCTTTATATAACAGTGGTGTTTCATAATTTTATTACCCCTACTAAGAGACCCACTTAGAATTAAATGTAGTTTCAGGCCGGGCGCGGTGGCTCTCGCCTGTAATCCCAGCACTTTGGGAGGCTGAGGTGGGCGGATCACCTGAGGTCAGGAGTTCAAGACCAGCCTGGCCAACATAACGAAACCCCGTCTCTATTAAAAGTACAAAAATTAGCTGGGCATGGTGGCGCATGTCTGTAATCCCAGCTACTCGGGAGGCTGAGGCAGGAGAATTGCTTGAACCCAGAAGGCGGAGGTTGCAAGTGAGCCGAGATCACACCATTGCACTCCAGCCTGGGCAAAAAGAGCAAGACTCCGTCTCAAAAAAAAAAGAATTAAATGTAGTTTCTTTCTATGAGTTGGCCATTGGTTTTAAATCTTTAGTTTTAATCATTTGGCCCAGTGGTTTCAGACTTCTTTCATTAAATAAATGGAGGGTTTTTTTTTTAATAGTGTTGTTAAAGGACAAAATTATACAGCATGTATTGCCAATACTTGTATACTTATAAAATATACATATAATATGGAATTAATATATTAATACACAAAGAATGAAATAAATAATTATTAATACAAGTTGTAATATTTTAAAACTGCTTTGCATTCAACTATCTTGCTTTCCCCACTAAGTGGAGACCACTGTTTAGGAGGCAGCATTATTACTTTACTGTATTTGGTGCACCACCACTAGGTGGCAGTGGGCCCCTGGACCATGTCCTCCAGTAGCTATGCAGGTGCTTTGTCTCAGATCCTTATTTAGATTATCAGTTTACCACACCTTTTCAAATTTTAATTATTAAAAAGATACTTTATGTAGAATTTACATACATTCCTAAAATGCAGTTCAGTAACTTCCTCACTCCTAATTTCTTTATTGGTCAGTCTCACATTTTAGCATATATGCTTTCCAATGATTTGTTCTCAGCTTCGTGACTGCTTGACATCAGAGGCCTCTAGGCCACCTGTTTTTCAACTGTTTTCCTTGGTGAGGCTTCTTTGCTTCTTATGTAATTAATGGGAAACTTGAGTTCTTTTAGATTTAAAATTAACTAGACATGTCTGTTCACAAGAACATTTAAAAACCTTTTCATGCAACAGTTATCCTTAATCAGAAGGAGTTAATTTGTCATTTGTTTTTTAAAAAAGAAGGAAAACAGCCCGCCTTCATTATATGTTTACATAGTAGTTCTTAGGAGGAGTGTAATTTCATAAATGGAATAATTAAACTTTACTAGAAATGACTTCAGTACGTACATCTGTTACTAAATCTTTCATATACTTTATGTTGTTTAAAAAATGGCTCTATACCTTAAACAGGTTATCACTTTTTTTAGTGTGTCGCTTGAAACAGATACTTAATTTGGCTCTAGAATACCATTTTAAACTTATTTCCTAACATCTTCAAACTCTAAAGTAAATAACCATTGTCAACAGAAATAACCGAGTACCTAACCTCTTGAATGTATAGAAATCCATTTTTTTCTAAATTCTGTAAGTTGTTAGTAAATATTTGTTGAATAATGACTTGTTGGACCACAGACCAAGAAAACTGAAAAATTGGCAAACAAAGAATGTATTATGACATTTGTAAAATTAGCGGTGTTATCCACCTTGTAGTTTGACTTTTGTGTAAGAGGTATAAGAGGTAGAATAGTTGGCCGGGCACGGTGGCTCACGCCTGTAATCCCAACACTTTGGGAGGCCGAGGCAGGTGGATCACGAGGTCAGGAAATCAAGACCATCCTGGCTAATACGATGAAACCCCATCTCTACTAAAATATGAAAAATTAGCCAGGCTTAGTGGCACACACCTGTAGTCCCAGCCACCTGGGAGGCTGAGGCAGGAGAATCACTTGAACCCGGAGGTGAAGGTTGCAGTGAGCCGAGATGGCGCCATTGCACTCCAGCCTGGGCGAGAGAGTGAGACTCCATCTCAAAAAAAAAAAAGAGGTAAAGTAGTTAATTGGAAGGGTAGTGGACTAGGAACCAAGATATCAGAATACACTTTTGCTTCTGTCACTAATCATATGACTTTATAAAGATCACCTGACTCTTACTGTCCTTCATTTTCATTAATAAAATGAAAGGCAATTTTGAAAAGAAACTCTAATTTCCCATCTAATACTAATTTTCTATATATCTCCATTATATGGATTTTTCTTTATAGTCTTACTTAAATAATGTTGTTTTTTTTTTTTTTTTTTTTTTTTTTTTTTTTGAGACGGAGTTTCGCTCTGTTGCCCAGGCTGGAGTGCAGTGGCGCTATTTCGACTCACTGCAAGCTCCTCCTCCCGGGTTCACGCCATTCTCCTGCCTCAGCCTCCCGTGTAGCTGGGACTACAGGCGCGCGCCACCATGCCCGGATAATTTTTTGTATTGTTAGTAGAGACGGGGTTTCACCGTGTTAGCCAGGATGGTCTCGACCTCCTGACCTCGTGATCCGCCCGTCTCGGCCTCCCAAAGTGCTGGGATTACAGGCGTGAGCCACCGCGCCCGGCCTTAAATAATGTTTTAACTAGTACTAATGAAATTCATCTATAATGACTTAAAGAGATAATGTTGATGCATAATAATATATTCATGCCTGATTTTTGGGTAGAGAAAGAGGGGAAACAGTCTGATTACAGTATGAGTTAAACATTGTTACTCATTTCACATATCACTTACATTTTGTTCCTATCCTCATTCTTGAATCTTCCTCAGAGACAGCTGAATTACTTTCTCTAGTGAGTTATATAAATCAAGGTTATAAGAAGCTGATTTTTCAAAAATATACTAGCTTGGATAATTTAAATCATTAAACTTAACTTTATCCAACTGTGTTTCCATGCTAGTCATCTATAGTATAATAGATGGCTTTTATATAAGCTAAAGTGGCAGAAAATATTTTTGTTGTTTTCTGTTTTTATATTTTACTGGTGAGTCTGATTGTTTATAGTTGCTATTTGAATACTTAGTTCCGGAAAAGTCATATGAATAAAGAGAGTGCCTAATTCTTTTTCTTTTTTTCCTTTTTTGAGACAGGGTCTTGCTCTGTCGCCCGGGCTGGAGTCAGTGGCGCAATCTCAGCCCACTGCAACCTCTGCCTCCCAGGTTCAAGTGATTCTCCTGCCTCAGCCTCCTGAGTAGCAGGGATTATAGGCACACACCACCACGCCCGGCTAATTTTTGTATTAGAGGCGCGGTTTCACCATATTGGCCAGGCTGGTCTCGAACTCCTGACCTCATGATCTGCCCGCCTTGGCCTTCCAAAGTGCTGGGATTACAGGCGTGAGCCACTGTGCCTGGCCAGGGAGTACCTAATTCTGATACTCCTAATTCTGTCTTAATTCTTACATTTTATTAAGATATAAAGATAAGAAACAAAGTAATTTGTAGCATCCTTATTGTGGATAGTGTTGCTGATACTGACTGGTAAAGATAAGAAGTGAGAGGGCAGAAAGGGAAGAATGAGAAGTAAAAGTAGACCACCAGATAAGTCTGTGAAGGTCTGAGTGTAACCCCAATTCAACCCTCTAGTCCCTACATTCTGGATATTCTCAGTAAGTCCTTTATTTTGTACAACTACATAAATGTCGAAATCTGATACCTGAGCAAATTTGAAAATTCACATCCTAATCACCCTTTCAGGTCATTCGATACTGCTTAACTCACCTTTACTTACTGATCTAGTTATTTTTCATATTATTCCTGGGCACTAAAAAAGCTTTTAATGATTTTATCCATATTATTCACTAGCTCTCATTTTTCCCAAAAACTATTTCTTATCCATATCAACAACTTCCTATGGAATTTTTGAATGAAATTGTAACTAAAACTTTAGGATTATTAAAATATTATATATAAATAGGATTTGAATATTAAGGGAAAAGAGTTGAATTTTGGTGATATTAAAAATATGCCTTTCCAAATTATTTACTTTTTTGATAAGGTGACATGGCTTTCATAAATTTGTTTTAGTTTTGTTTTATCTTTAATAGTAGAGTTGGGAGAAAATAGGGTATATACAATTTACCCATGTAAATAAACTTTTTTTTTTTTTCAGATAATTTTAGTAAGTAGGATACTTTGGCAGTTTGGGGCATAATTAAAGAATAACAGTCAAGTTGGATTTTAAGGATCAACTAATATACATTAGCCTTGAGATTTCTATTTGCCATTTATTGATTATGTTGGGGATCCCCAAGACCATCCTCAGAGGTGGTGATTCACCAGGACTTACAGGACTTAATATATAGCTGTACTCATGGCAAACATTTATTACAGTGAAAACACATATAAAACAAAATCAGCAAAGGGAAAGACACATGGGATGAAGTTCATAAAAAAAAAAAACCACACACAAGTTTCCAAGAGTTCTCCCAGTGGAGAACACAGAGGTTGCACCTAATTCCTCCAATAATGAATTGTGACAACTTGTGAAATGTTGTCTAAAGGAAAAGCTTGAGACTTGGTGCCCAGGGTTTTCGTTGAGGGCTAGTTACATAGGTCTACCCTGCCTTGCACTTACCAAGATTTCAGACTCCCAGAAGGAAAGTAGATGTTCAACATAAACTGCATTGTTAGCACAAACAGTTTAGACACAATAAGCCCACCTTGTCAGGGAATAGTGGGAACCCTCTTGAAATCCAACTTCCCAAGTGGTCAACTGAGGGCCAACCTTGCAAGTGGTCCTTTCTAAGAAGAGCAGTCTAAAGTGTGCTGCCTTAAACTCTTTTCTACACAACGATGATAGTATTTCATATGTTTTGGAAGTGGTCGTTAATGTAGTCACCTCAGAGGAACTTGGTCTCAAAGGAGGATTTGTCAGAGAACCATATATAAAAATAGGATCTCTGAGGAACATGTGTTGCCCTTTAGTTGAATTTTTAAGAAATTTTTCAGTTGAATGCTCCACATTCAGACTTTCATACTTTTAAGATCAAGAATTTTATTTTGAATTGTAAGACAAGTTTTCTGCTACATTTAGTACCACTTCTGAAGATACTATTAATAATATGGAAAGATGCCTTTGACATTTTTACTGTTGATTCTTGCACAAGATGAGTGCTTTAAGAATTTTTGTGTTTTAAATTTTTAAATTCTATACTTCTGATAGTCAAGGTGTATGCGTACTGGTGGGGAAAATATCATTTGACTTAAGGATGCCAGTTCTGGAAAAAATGGTAGTAATAATTTTAAGTACCCTTTTTCTTCTTGACTAATAAAGTTGAAACAAAGAGTTAAGGCTATATTTCTTTGTTAAATTTAAAACAAAAATAGATACTTTACTTTCTTTATCCTTGTTACAAGATATGTTTCACTTTACTGTTGAGCAATGTGTTGGATATGAGGCTATTATAATCAAAATTTAAGAGATTAGACTAATTATATTTAAATTCTAGCTGGAAGTTCATATTCTTTATGAAATTTAATGGCATAAAAATGTAAGTTTGCTTTGAAATAGTGCATCTACACTCATTTCAAGAACTTAACAGGTTTTAGAAATTTAGGCAGCACTTTATGAAAAAAATGTAGAAGTTTAAAATATAAATAATTTATAATGAAGTGATCCTATTTCAGAAAAAGTATTTAAATTGTAAATTATGATTGTATATCAGTTATCTTAAATTATATCCCTTTTATATAATTTGGTTTTATTTGCAGGTCCTAATCTACCCATGGCTACAGTTGATATAAAAAATCCAGAAATCACAACAAATAGATTTTATGGTCCACAAGTCAACAACATCTCCCATACCAAAGAAAAGAAGAAGGGAAAAGCTAAAAAGAAGAGATTAACCAAGGCAGATATAGGAACACCAAGCAATTTCCAGTAAGACAGTTCTTTTGTTGTTCTTATCTTCACTTTTGATTTATTCATTGCTGTTCTTGATTTTTAACTTGTTAGAAAATTTTCTTCTCTTTTCGGGAGGGTGTGTACATTCATCACTTGGATACCGTTTTAACTATGTACTTTATTGGAGTTTTTTTTTTTTTTTAAGGCAGCTGCTCAATAGATGTTCTTGGAATCTTATGGTTTATTTACTTTTTCAACTATGAGAAAAGAAAAATTAGATAAAGTTGTTTCTTCAACTAATTATTGAACATAAAAATGATTTCTCACTTTGCTCTAAAAATAGCATTTAGAAATTGTTTACAGATACTGCCTAGGGGCAGTAAAAACCTTTGGTATTTAACATATTTCAAGCATTTTCATATGCATTATTTTATTAGCTCATTATGAAACCCTTATCCCGTCATATATATAATGCTTGGACTCTTATGCTAATTTGACAATTAAGGAAATAGATGCTCAGAGAGATTGTACAAAAATTTTAAGTTTCAGTTAGTAGCAGAGTCAGGGCTAGAATCCTGTTCTTCTGACTCCTTGTACATAGTTTTTATCACAATATGGTTATGTCTGTGAGAACTGTTAGTTCAGACCAAAAATTCAAAGCCAAATGTAGATTGGGTTTCATATATATTGTGTTTATAATGCCCTTTATGCATTTTGTTTTTCTATTTTTTTTCTATTTTCTACTTCAGGCACATTGGACATGTTGGTTGGGATCCAAATACAGGCTTTGATGTAAGTATGTTTTCAAATCATATACGTTATAACTGTATGTGGAAATGTGTTGGCCTATTTTAGATTTTTTTAAATTCATTTTTGTGGTTTCTAGTATCTGTTTGAATGTGCTTGTGTTTTATGTATGTATACAACTGAGGTTTAAAACCATATTATTGTTCTGTCATTCATGGCTAAGTCTCTAAAGACTTAGACTAAGGTTTTGTGTACCTTGGCTTTATACACTGTATAAATAAAATCCTTGTGCTTTGAAAGCCAAGAGAAGAAAATCATTTCTGCCAAGTGATAATTTCAGGGGAGTGTATACCAAATTACTAGAAAGTAGTATAATCAAATTCTGAATATTCAGTTGTTGAATTCTCCAGATCTTTTCATTCTCCTGTTCTTTTTGGCAGTTTTGCCGTTGTTTTATAGCACTGTGAAACTGCTGGCAAAAATTAATCAGCGTTTGGATGCATTATTTTAAAGAGATATTATTTGTGATTGGAGTAAAAAATATTTTTAGTTATTTTTGTTATAGCTACAATGTTAACTCAACAAACATACTGAGCACCTCTTGTGCTGGGCATTGTGCAAGGTGCTTGGGATTACAGGAAGATCCTTGCTCTCAGATTTTCAAATTAATTTACTTTTTTTGTGTTTATTCCTGATTTTTACATACTTACTTAGGACAAGGTAGAATAAATGAGCATTGGAGATGTCTGAATCATGAATAGGCTAATAGAAATCTAAATGAGATGCCCTCTTTTTGAAGGCAGGGAACAAAAAAGAAGAATAAAATAGGGAATATATCTGTTCAGTTTTTTTTAATAAAATATTTTAGTTAGCACATAAGTAATATAAGCATGTTAAAAGTTTAGGCAAAATAATTTCAGAAGGACACAGATGAGACTTAAAATTATGTTTTTTAAATTGGGATATATTTTTATAGTTAGCAGTTACTTTCTTTTGTAGCTGAATAATTTGGATCCAGAATTGAAGAATCTTTTCGATATGTGTGGAATCTCAGAGGCACAACTTAAAGACAGAGAAACATCAAAAGTTATATATGACTTTATTGAAAAAACAGGAGGTGTTGAAGCTGTTAAAAATGAACTGCGGAGGCAAGGTAACTTTTATCTCTATTCAGCGTTCTGTTTTGTTTTAATCTTTTGAGGTCAGTTTCATGGAAACCAGTTAACATTCATACATGTGAACCCTTCCTTGAGCAGAATGTTGAAGTCTATGGACAACTAATGTGGCCCATCACACTGTGTCTTAACATTATTTCATTATAACTAAAAAAACTTTACAAGGTTTTGTTTATTCTTTATTCATAAAAATCCATACAAAATCTTCCCAGCTATTCTATTTTAAAGTAAAAACTTATAGTTGCCTAAATGTTATACTTAAGGAATCCTATAAACCACCAGATTTTATTGTAATTCAGAAGTAATAATTTAAATATAATCACTTTCTAATTAGTAATATACGCATTTCCAGAATATAAATAATGTAAACTTTCTATTTTGAAATACAAATCCTTTTTCTTGGATAAAGTATGAAATTTTCTTTTGTACCTGAGAGCACAATTTATAACCTTTTAAGATTTGATATTTATTTTAAAGGACCTCGTATTTCAGTTTTGTCTTAATAATTATTGCAGTAAAATGCAGATAAAATACTCTAAATTTTCCAATTAACAGTCATCTCTTTGCTACCTTATTAGGACTGCTTTCTTTTCTTCTTCCTAGCTTTTGCATACTCATAATAGTGTAGTTAAGCAAAAGCTCCGGTTAAAACATTCTTCTGAAGAACTTAACTGTCATTTTAAATTAGGCATTCAGTTTACTTATGTCTTTTTCATTGCCAGTGTTCATTTAAACTTTGATTGATAGATTGACTTATATAGTTCATAAACATTATTATGCCAGTACTAGTCTCAGGATATTTAGATGTAAAGGATTCTCATGCCTCAGCCACCCAAGTAGCTGAGATTACAGGCATGCACCACTACACCCTGCTAATTTTTATATTTTTAATAGAAACGGGGTTTTTCCATGTTAGCCAGGTTGGTCTCAAACTCTTGGCCTCAAGTGATCCTCCCGCTTTGGCCTCCCAAAGTGCTGGGATTACAGGCATGAGCCACCATGCTCAGCCAAGTTTATTTTTCTGTTATATCTTACATTTTCACTGATGTGGAATAAGAATGCTAATATCATGACTACTGGAATAATAGTAATTTTTGTTAATAACTTTAATTTTGCAGTGTATGGAAATTCTCAGTTAATTTGTTAATAACCAGTTCATGTCTCTGGAATAAGTAATTGAGCATTTCAACAAAGCAACCAGCCTCCTATAATGCCATTACTAGAATTGCAGACAATTTTTAGAGATACAGACATTATGCTATAAAAGTACAAATGTAAATTAAATGACAAAGGCTTACATTTTGAAAGGAAAGCATTATATTTGGGCTTTAGCGCAGATTAATGTGAATGAATTCTATTAAGCTATGCTACACTATAATTCTGAATGTGAATTGATTTTACTTAAAAAAATAAGTGTACTTGATTCTTTTTTAAAGAGGGAAGGTATTTATTTTTATTAAAATGTAAACTAATGCTAATTAACAAAATGTTTAATTTCATTGGTATATTTTGTTATTATTTTGTAAAGTAGAAAATGTTTATTCCCCTTACTTTCAGAACTGGTACTAATTCCAAAAAAATAAACTATTCTGTTTTAGCTCATATTTTTTTAAGAACCAATAAGAAAGTGATCTTTAGGCTGACAATTCTCAAAAAAAATTGTGAGATATCATCTGTGCTCAGGTATCTTTGTAAAATAAAATGCAAAGATGAGACCCTTTTTTGGTATTATTCAATTTTTATACATGTTAAAATGAATTACTTTTCAATATGATGTTTATGAGAAGAAAAAAGCATGCCTTCTTTTTTTCTGTTTGCATTTCAGCACCACCACCTCCACCACCATCAAGGGGAGGGCCACCTCCTCCTCCTCCCCCTCCACACAACTCAGGTCCTCCTCCTCCTCCTGCTAGGGGAAGAGGCGCTCCTCCCCCACCACCTTCAAGAGCTCCCACAGCTGCACCTCCACCACCGCCTCCTTCCAGGCCAAGTGTAGCAGTCCCTCCACCACCGCCAAATAGGATGTACCCTCCTCCACCTCCAGCCCTTCCCTCCTCAGCACCTTCAGGGCCTCCACCACCACCTCCATCTGTGTTGGGGGTAGGGCCAGTGGCACCACCCCCACCGCCTCCACCTCCACCTCCTCCTGGGCCACCGCCCCCGCCTGGCCTGCCTTCTGATGGGGACCATCAGGTTCCAACTACTGCAGGAAACAAAGCAGCTCTTTTAGATCAAATTAGAGAGGGTGCTCAGCTAAAAAAAGTGGAGCAGAACAGTCGGCCAGTGTCCTGCTCTGGACGAGATGCACTGTTAGACCAGATACGACAGGGTATCCAACTAAAATCTGTAAGTAAGCTTTTTTTTTTTTCATTTTAGATCCTTTATCATAATGGAATTTTAAAGTAATTTATTGAAAGATATTTTTGAAAAGTGTATTCTTTTTTCCTCTTGCTAATTCATTCTTAACCCTATAAATTTAAAAATACTTTTACATGCAGTGACATGCACAAATTTTTAATTCAGCTTTGATACATCTCTATAGCCATGTAACCCATATCTCTATATCCAAATGTAGGGTATTTCTGTCACCCCAGAAGGTTTTCTCATACCTCTTCCCAGTTAATTTTTCCATAAACAATCACTGATCTAATCACCATAGATTAGTTTTACCTATTCTAGAACTTCATGTGAATGGAATTTTACAGGATGTTTGCAATTCATTGTTCTAGACTTTACTTTCAAATAAAAGGTACTTTAAAGAAAAATCCTTATTAAGCTGTGAGAATTAAAAATAGCCCTACTTGAAACCAATTGTGATCACCTTAGGAAATCTAAACCAGTAGCTTTATGAAAATTAAATCATGTTCCAAAGTTTTCATGTTCTAAAATTTAGATTAGTAGAGAATCAGACCAAAAAAATTGAAAGAGTTGTAATAGAATTTCTGACAGTGATGGCAAATAAATTTAGGATTATCTGATTTGGATGAGGTAATCATTTAATCTTACAGGTCATTTAATCTTCTAGAGTTCAGCAAACATTTTCCTATAAAGGATCAGGTAGTAAAACCTTGGGCTTATATAGGCAGTATGGCCTCTTGTGACCACTCAGCTCTGCTGTTTTACCGCAGAAGCACCACAGACAATACATAAATGAATGGACATGCTTGTGTTCTATAAAACTATATTTGGACACTGAAATTTGAATTTTATATAACTTTCACATATCAAAAATACTCTTATTTTCTTTCAGCCATTTAAAAATGTAAAAATCAAGCTTAATTTTTAGATAGTTTTAAAAAAAAATCCAAGAACAGGCTGGATTTGGCCCATGGGCTCAAGTTTGCTGACTCCTATCCTAGAACCTAACCTGTCTACATTTACATACTTCTTTTGGAGCCTTTTATAACATGTTCTCCAGGACTTCAGGGAGGTCATGGATGATAGAGTTTTTCTGTGAAGTAAATGGAGACGACAGAGGATGTTTTAATTGAAAATTATTTCCCAGTATAGGAATTAAAGTAACTTTCTAGATCTCAGAAACTTTGTCTAAAAGGAGGGTAATAGATAGGAAGCACAACTAATTGAATGAAAACATGTAAACATTAGCATAGATCTAAGAAGACTCTGATCTTTAAAATATATCTAGCTCTTTTCTTTACATGTATTCAGGATGACACTTAAACCTATGAACAGTCATCTCTGTTCTCTTTCCCCCTTTAGATCAGACTAAAGGCCTGTCAAGAGCAGTTGAAGAACTTTAAAGAGTGGTTAGTGGGGAGAATTAATGTCAAAATGACCACAGCCCAGCTTTTACCTTGGAATCTCTGCTAGTTCCTGTGTCATTCTCATTCCCGTAACTCTCACTCCTAACCCACCTTTTTGTTTTCCTTTTCTATTTCCTTTTCACAAACCAACTTTGTTTCTTTCTCTCATTTAGCTATAATAAGGTGATTTAAAATTTTTAACGAATAAAGTTGTATCCTCATTTATTTTAAAAAGTTTAAGAGTTAAATTTCTATTTACTTTCTCCATAACTTTCTCCCATCCCAACTCTCCCTTTCTTTCCAAAAAAAAAAAAAGAAGCAGCAAAACCTGTTAATTGATGTGTAAGAATGGGGGCCATTTTTATCCTAAATAATCACTTTCCTTTTGATTGCATTTATTGCAATCATAGGGTGCATAATCAGTGAACTATTGGCATGTTATACATGTAATCCGAGTTCGTTATTTTTTGAAAAAGACCATTTTGTGGTTGAAATTTCTATGGCTATGTTTCTTTAAATTTTTTGAGTAAATCATCAATTTATTCTGTGATGAATATGATTAACATAAAACCATAGACTTACTTTAAAGAGCTAGTAGGAGGTATTGAATACTCACATATATTTTTGAATTCCATGGTTTTAGTACCTCAAATAGTACTTTGTTCAAGTAAGCACTTCAAAAAATGTGTTTGATGAGAGTATGCTCACTTCTGCTTTGTGCTCTCTGCTTTACATTATCACATTGCTTAAAGGTAGTCTAAATGTCCCTACCGCTGTTGTACCTCCTTGAGAGCCTTGTGCAGAAATACAAAGCTCTGAAACTCTCTGTTATCTTTTTTCATTTGTGGTACTTCTATACTGGAAATAGTTAATACATAATGTTTAAAGCCAAAATACTAAGGAATGAATCTATATCTTAGGGGGAACCACTTTGAATTTTTTTAAAAAAGGTGTTTACTCCAGAAAGAACAAGGAGTATTAGAGGAAGAATTGTACAGATCAAAATGGAAAGTTTGTCTAAATAAAATTGTCTTTGGGAAATGATTAAGAATTTCAAAAATATATATTATATATGTATGTATTAAAACATAGGTAATTATTTAATACAGCTATGCTGTTTCATCTTTAATTATAATTTTTTTTTTCATGAATGCACTTTGGCACAGCTGGAAGTACTTCAGTTAGGGATTGTTACTTGCCTAGTGAGGCAGGTACATTTTGAAAGTTGATCAACTCATCTCCTTAAAAAGAAATTATATACTATGAGAAAAGAGGTTCATTTTGAAGGTATAAATGTAACATAAAGGTGTAAAGCTGAATTTTTGTAGGCAAATATAAGTTTCTACAGTTGTTTTTCAATATCTTCAGTGTGCGTCCCACGTAACAACTCTGGAGTCTAAGTATTAACCTCTGTTTATAACATGAAATCCCTTGATAAAAGCTTTAAAGTTGATCATCTAAGTCTGTGTGTGCTGGAATAAACAGAAGTAACCCAGCAAGTATTATTCAGGAGAGGGTTTGTTATCTGAATGTAAACATAGATTTGGAAATGTATTTTTGGCTTATACATTAAGATGGAAAGGAAATATTTTTGAATAATATCTTTAAGGCAGCAGTTTATTTCTTGTTAATTTGATTAATCTTGTCCTGCGCTTGCCAGTTTGATATCTTTTTTGTCTTTTACAATAAGAAGTGATTCTAAGAAAGTAGGACTTTCTGGAGACAAAGATTCTTGGCTAAAGATTTATTACTGAGTTTTGCTAACTTTCTTTTCCAAGGTGGCTGATGGCCAAGAGTCTACACCACCAACACCTGCACCCACTTCAGGAATTGTGGGTGCATTAATGGAAGTGATGCAGAAAAGGAGCAAAGCCATTCATTCTTCAGGTAGAGAGAGAGAGAGAGAGAGAGAGAGAGAGAGACAGAGAGAGTGTGCGTGTGTGTTTAATAAATTTGAATGTTTGACGTTCTGTTATTTTTATGACTGTCTTTGCTAGCTTTCTCTCTGCTAATTGAGTAACTACTGATGTGGGCTCTAGGATGTATTTTAAAAAGTTGTTGCCTGTGTGACTAGTCTCTCTGAGACTTAACAAATGCAACACCACCACAGCCATAGCCATAAATTGAAAGAACAGCTTTGGGAATATTGACAGTTTTGTTTCCTATATCAGGAAATGCTAATAGACTTCCTAGCAAACAACCTCTAAACAAAGCTTGAGATTTTTAGATCTCATTCCTGTGACATTACTGTGACATGAAAAATTCAGGGCTGGGTGCGGTGACTCACACCTGTAATCCCAGCACTTTGGGAGGCCGAGGCGGGTGGATCACCTGAGGTCGGGAGTTCGAGACCAGCCTGGCCTACATGGAGAAACTCCATCTCTACTAAAAATACAAAAAAGTTAGCCGGCGTGGTGGCGCATGCCTGTAATTCCAGCTACTCGGGAGGCTGAGGCAGGAGAATTGCTTGAACCCAGGAGGCAGAGGTTGTGGTGAGCCAAGATCGCACCATTGCACTCCGACATGGGCAACAAGAGCAAAACTTCGTCTCAAAAATAAAATGAATAAATAATAATAATAATAAATCGGGCCATTTACCTCATCTGTAAGGATTAGGGATAAGAATTTCAGTAATTTTTACTGTTTCTAGAGTTTGCTAAAGAATACTAACTTTTTTTAAACCTTTCTTTTTCATTTTCTAAAAGGTTGATTTGAAGAAACCAGTACCTATTCTGAGGTTATTATTAAACATATACATACCACCATATAAATATTCCTTTAAAGAAAGAACAAGAATATGAGTTTTGCTGATTGGAGTAGTTGAGGTTTGCTAAATAGCTTCTCCAACATGATGTGCTAGAATCAGATCTTTCTTCTTAGATTTATTTAATCTCTGTGAGCCTCAGTTTCTTGTTTGTTACATTCAGAGAACTCACAAAACATATAGATGTGAGAATTAAATAGTATGTCACTAACCTGCAGATTGCCTAGCACATAGTAGGTGCTTAATAAATGTTACCTTCCTTTTGTTTCTCTGTAAGGATGTCCATGTCTTAAGATCCTTGAGCAATGTTTGTTTTCCTTAAATAGGCATATTTGTACCTACCCTCCATTACAGAGATAGAGATAAATATTTATTGTGGAATAATAATAAAATTTTAACAAAAAAAAAGTCCCTGCCTTCATCGACATGCATTAGGTCTAATGAGAGAGAGAGACAAGCAATAAACAAAGAAAACTAGAAAAACATACAGTATGTTAAATGGTGACATGAAGTAAGGACAAAAGTCTAACAGAAAAGGGAAATAGGGGGCAGACTGTTGAGAGAGAGGTTCATTTTGAAATGATAAAGGATGATAAGGGACAATAAAGCCTAACTGAGGTGACATTTGAGAAAAGACCAGCAGTTCAGGAAGTGAACCATGTAGAAAACTAGGGAAAGTGTATCCGATGGAAAGAACAGAAAATATAAAGTCTGTGAGGTTGAGAAACAATGAGGAGATCACGGAGCTTGCAAGGGAGGGAGGGAAAGAATAGTAAGGAATGAAATACAAGAAGTAGTAGGAGGCCAGTGGTAAGGCTTTGGAGACCCCTGAAAGTGCACTAGCTTTTATTCTGCATATGATGGGAAGCCATTGGAGGGTTTTTAGCAGAGGTGTAGTAATGATCCAAGCAAGAGGTGATGGAGGCTTGAACCAGGTTTATAGCACCAATGAGAAGTGGTTAAATATTAATTATATTTTGAATGTGGAGATCACTGGTTTTGATGATGGTTTGAAAGTGAAGGTTGAAGAAAAAGAAGAGTGCAAAATGACTCCAAGGTTTTTGACTTGAACAACTGGAAAGGGGAAAGACTTACGAAGAAAAAGTTTGAGAGGGAAGATTAGGAGTTTGATTTTACATATTAAATTTGAGATACCTATTAATTCAACTATAGATGTGGAGTAGGCATTTCGTTATGAGTCTGGAAGTCACAGGAGAGGTCTGAATTGTTAAATTGCATGTCAGTAGGATATACATAGACACCTGGTATTTAAAGTTATGGTTATGTTTATGGTATAGTCTTCTTTAGCATAAAAACAGTGAAAATTACCTAAATTCTTAGCCCTAATCCTCACAGATGAGGTAAACTGCCTGAATTTTTTATGTCATAGTAATGTCATAGGAATGAGATCTAAAAATCTCAAGCTTTGTTTAGAGGTTGTTTGCTAGGAAGAGATAAAGAAAGGTCTTCATTCATTCATAAAGAAATGTAAGGCTTCTGTGAACTACATGATTCTGAAAAAGCATTTATTCTATGCTGGTATCTGTGAGTTCTGCTAAATATTTCCCTACAATAAGTTTTTTTTTAATAGTATGTAATAGTCACGCTAATATAATGAAAATATAGGATGGTTTTTACTTATTTTCAGACCCATTTATTTTAACTGTTAGTATTTCTGTGGTAGTACCTGATGATGAAATTATTAGCTACTTCTTCCTCTTCACCATAGATACTGATAAGTTTCTGTCTTTTGTCAGTCTGTAATGCCAGCATAGTCAGGTGTCTTTGATGCTTTTCATCCAGGTAAATTTTGTGAAGCATGTCTAGCAAAATCTGGTAGCAAATTATTTCCCTTGCTAGAAGAGTAAACAGAAATTAACATGACTCAATTGAACTCCTTTCCAAATAAATTCTGTAACAATTTAGAGCTGACCATGAGACTTAAATAAATAAATAAATAAATAATAAATAATTATCGTTTTAAAAGTAACAACTTAGTTTAGGGCTAAGAGAAGATAATGTTGCTTCTCTTGGGCTTCTGTTAATTTTCAAGTTCTAATACTAGAGCTCCAGTACTTCTTCAAATACTACCTTCACACAATCAATTTTACATGAGAAAAATAGAAGAAAAAGATTGTTCTGTGTTCTGTACATGTAACCCACACGTATGTCACCTAGTCTTACTGGCTTTTTATCATTATCAAGTACAATTACTCAGCCACTGTCCCACTTTATATACTTGGCCTTCATGGGTCCTATATATATATTTATATACATATTTATATATATTTATATATTTATATATAGGTATATGTATTTATATATTTATAGGTGTATATATTTATACATATTTTATATATAGATATATGAAGAGGTTAAATATGGAAAGTCAGTATAATATAGAAGTATGCTTATAAAATCTGATAACTAAATATTCCTTCAACAAATATTTATTGAATGGCTGGTGTGTAGTGCTGTTTTGGTGTTGAGGATACAGTGAGAAATAAGATAGGCAAGGTCCGTGCTGTCATGGAGCTTAATAGATAAAGTACAATAATTTTAGATATTAGCAAGTGATATGAGGAAAGTAAAATGGGATAGGCCGTTACTGATTATGGGGAAGAGCTATACTTTACATATGATGGTCAGGAAAGGCCTCTCTGAGGAAGTAGTTTATGAATGGTTTCTAAATGATGAAAAGATTCAGTTTAACGAAGAAATAGCTACTGCAGAAGTTCTAAAGCCAGAATAAGATTGGTGAGTTTAAGGGACAGAAAGGAGACCATCTTACTAGAGAGAGTGACTTGAAGGGAGAGTACATATGAGAGAAGTTTGGGGAGAGAGAGAGACAATAACTGGACAAATCATGTAGGGTCTTATGGAGGGAGGTAGCATCAGATTTCATTCAAATAGCAGTGGTAGCCACAGGAGGACTTTAAGAAGGGTAGCAACATATTTTTTAAACTTGAAATTTAAATAATATCACTCCATTTGCTCTGAGTCAAATAGACTCTAGAGTTGCAATAATCCAAGCAGGATGTGATGGTGGTGTGGAGAGTAGCAGTGAAAGAGGTGAAAAAGAGCAGGCTTGATAATTGGATCGTGAAAAAGGAGGAAGTAATAATAATTTCTAGGTTTTTGGCCTGATTATGTGACAGGATGGTGATGCCATTTATTGAGATGGAGCAGCAGACCAGGATGGAGCAGGAAAAGAAGATTGGGGAAGGAAATAAAAGTTAGAAGTTTTGAGTTTGAGAATCCATATGAAGAGTACAAGAAGGTAGTTGGATTTGTGACAGAAAGGTCAACCCAGATGATTTTATACATTAACAGGTTGAAATTTGTCACATAGATATTAAGGAACTAGAACCATTGTCTTCTAAGCCCTGTTTTAATCTTTAGTTTACTATCATACTCTATAGATATATTTCTTTAGATTCACTTTAAACTGTTTTAGTAACTAGATTCTTCTGGGAGTCACATTATCTGTGTTTCAGGAGTTAAATAATTGGAGAAACCACCCAAGAATTATGTAATGTCATTTTATTTATGCATATGTTTTAATTGTCTTGATTTTCTTGTAGATGAAGATGAAGATGAAGATGATGAAGAAGATTTTGAGGATGATGATGAGTGGGAAGACTGATCTATATATTATATATATATATATATTTTTAAGGTGAAATACTAAACACTACTTTCTGTCTGTGGATTCTGTAAAATTATCATGTAAATGTTCTACCAATTTGCTGTATATTTTTGTTGCCTTTTTTGCTTTTTTTTAATCTGTGCAATACCTCATTTAATCTGTAAAGGTTTGTCGTAATCCTCTACAAAGCTACTCCCTGTTATTGTGTGCAAGTTTACACCAGGATGCTCACTTGATTTGTGAATATTTTTCATTCCATCAACAAGGGAGTTTAAATACTATATGTGAGACTGACAAAAACCTTAATGTAATTTACTTATAATGCCAGAAGGAAAACACTATTTTCATACCCTACTTTTTCTGTACCTAAATTTTCTTAAAAAAAAATCTAGTATAGCACTACATTCTTTTTTAAGTGATGCAGACCTTAGTTTCTTTAGCCCCTTTATTTTGAATACAATGCTACATATGAATGTTGAAGCTGATACATTGCACAGTTCTGTAGACATCACTACACCGATGTAGTTTCTCAAATTTTAGCAATATGCTCTACATAAAATCACTACAGAGATACTAGTGGGGAAGACGATTAACACACCTCTTACAGTAATACTGCCTGTTATTGGTATAGCAGTGGTATTTGCAGACTGGGATCATAAGGAGCCCTTAAATACTTGTTATTGACTGGGGTTATTTTTATGCTGTAGCAAATGTGACAGGCTCTTTTTAGCAAAATTTTTGAAAATTTTTTTGGTATTACTCTGAAACAAAATTTAAGTTGGAGTTTCAGGGATTTAGGGAGTAGTTTTCATTCTACATGAACTGAGGTAATATTATGGTAACTCCAATATTTGGTTAAAAAAACTATACAAATCAGAATAGTACTAAAATACTGTAGAATTTTAGCATTTTTATTTTGCACTTTGTGTGGATTGAGGTGTTCAGAAATACCAACCATAAAAATGTAATCTAGTTGGCAAAGGTGTGCGCTAAAACACGGAACCGAACATGCATTGATTTGGATAACTTTTGAGGGTTTTTGTCAAATAGCATGTGAAGAGTTACATTTTTCTTAAAAGATTGGTGGTCCCAATGTCAGAGTTCTTGGAACAGATAACTGAATGATAGATTTTTTTTTTTTAAAGATAAAACTTTACAACCTGCACATTTGTTATGCATACTAAATGGTGTGTTAAAATTAGGGTTTCTTTGCCTCTCTACACTACACTAATCTGCCTAAAGGTGGTTGTTTCATATTTATAATGCTAATTATCATACCTACCTACTTTAAATTTTAGGTAGAAAATTATCTGATTTAAATACAAACATATTTTTCTCACATTGAGTAATATGCATAATGTAGTTCCAAATGTATTTCATTACTATAGTCACAATATCCAACTAAAAATTACGCTATCTAGAATTGTACCAACCAAAATCTCGTATTGGCAGATCTTGACAGGCTGGACCTGCAAGATGTGGCTTGAATTTTAACCATTTATTACATAATCTCTAGTGATCATGCATCTAGTTATCATAAGAAATAATTTAAAAGGTTTTGTTGCTGAAAGCAGTAAGTGGTGCAGTAAAATACTTAAGTTATTCAAAGAATGTTATCTTTCTTGCAAGAGTAATTTAAGCACATGGGAAAGATTCTAGACTTTTTGTTTCTTGCAACAACAGTGCCCTCTGCTGCTAGAAACCTTTTTCTACTTACTATCATTTTTATTGTGGCTTGAGCTCAGTCAATCTGGTGCAGATGAGGCTGGACAACTACTAACCAATAAAATCAGGAGTTTGTACAAAAGTTAAATGGAACATTATAATTATTTTAAGTAATGTTAATTGAAAAAATTTTTTCTTTTTGACAATATAAAAAACATTTTAAATTTCCTAGAAATGTCTTCAGGGTAATGCCAATTTAAGATCTCTCTTAACTTGTGGCCAAGAAATTCTAGATTTTCCAGCTGACTTTGGTATAATATATATTTATCAGGAACTTCTCTCAGCAGAGAGTACCCATTCTTCGAGTTCAAAGCACAATTTTAAACATGTAAAATGGATATATAATTTGCCAAAGGTAATTAATTTATTCTTTTTTTCTTAAAGAAGAAAAAGACATTGGTTGTTGTTACAAAAAGTCTAAATTACTGTTGGTTGAAACACAGCAGCTGTGGAGTTCAGTCCAGGCATGAAGACTAAATCTGCTTTACCAAGTAAGGTGTAAGGTTGCATGTTTCAGTCCTCTACCATCCTGCACTGTGAGCAGCACTATACCTGTGCGTTGTCTGAAAGCCTTCCGTATATTCTCCAGCTAAATGGTCGTCTGGTAGCCTTTGCATTTAACAAACTAGCATGAGGCTTTTTATATCTAAATGCTACGTGATAGACAATTTCAGCTAGCCACATATTGTATGTATGAGATTCATAAAGACTTTCAATCATTTCATTTTCAGACAACTGAAATTTTGTTTAGTATGTGAATTCTTTTTTTGAAATGTATAGTGAATAGGATGTTGCACTGGTGGCAATTCATCATGGAGCATAATAAAATTAATTTGACCCAAATAGAATAAAATAATGTGTTTCATGTGTTTATTGTTAAGAGAGTAAAATAGGTTTAAAATTTTTAAACTGTATAGTGAAGGGTACAGAGCGATCAATGATAATGGTTGATGTTTTCAGCAGACTGCATGCCCTGAGAGTTAGAGTGTGCCATTAAATAAACATGGTGAGCAGAAGAATGTTGCACCCTGTTCTGTTGGGAAACATGACAGCTGCTCAGCAGCTCCCCTAGAAGCCACTGCTGTCGTTCACAGAGCATTGACATTGCAAGGTCAAACTGTTTGGAACTCTTCCACATACCAGAAATGTTGAAGTTTTCTAAATCAGAATGATATTGGAGTTTATTGGTAGTTTCAATAAATGCCAAATATAGCAGTTTGTATGGGACATAAGTAGCTTTTAATAAATGATATCAAAGAGGGTGCTCATTTTAAACGGTAAACTCTGTTTTTGATAGATAGAATTTTCTGTTTCACTGACCCTGGCACAAGTGGGTGTCTGAAGATTAAACTGAGTTGCGGAATTCAGAGTGTAGGATGCTACAAAATTCCTTTTAAGAGCTTTGGCCAAATTTAACAACCATTTCAAGAGTAATACGTTCTATTAAAAAGTTGTTTCTGTTGTACAAATGTGAACACTTAAGAATATATTAGACTTTTAAAATAATTTTTTAAAGATGCCTAAGAATTGTTTCTGTCAGGTCATTTTTATCTAATCAACAGAGGGGATTCCCGAGATAACTCTTGTTTTAGAAACGGAGTTCCTAAAGGACAAATATAGAGATAAGGCTTATTTATAGTACAATAGAAAAGCCTGTATGGAAAAGTTGGGAAATTTACCTTCCACATTTATTGACATTGTCACATCTCACCTCCAAAACACAGCATTCTTTATAATCTCTTGGTCATTTATTCATGGATTAAAAAAAAAACTTTGCTTTCTAAGGAAGCCTCTAGGAAAGGTATAGTACACTGTTATGAATATGTTAGAGAACATGCTTTGCAGCTACTGCCTTTACTTCTGTATGTGATACTTGGCATCCTCCATTGCCGTGAGGAGCCTATTGAAAAATTTGTCTCCGGATGCATCTGCCATAGGTTTTTCCAAAAAAAGAAAAGCATCACAGATTGTGCTAACTAACTGTTGATACAGTGTTAACTATTACACAAGTCCAGTGTAACTCTAAATTGGCCATGCACACCATCAAGATTGACAAGTCAAGATAAGATAGCACACAATTATTTTGAGTAAAACTTTGAGTAAATTTTTTTGAGTAAAAATTATTGGAGTAAAAATTATTTTGAGATTGTAATTTATAGGTGGTTTCAGTCTAATCAGATACTTGTGTATTGGGGCGTTTCTAGTAAACTTGAAGTAGTCCCTGAATTATTTAACAACCACAAAAAATCTACCTTAGGATTTTTAAAAAAAAATGTTTCTATTTAACAGCAAGTTCAATTTCAGCAGTATCAGATTGCATTATGGAACTTGAACAAAACACTATTTTCTGTCTTGAATTGCTTAGCATTTCATGACCTAAATTTTGTCTTGTCTTAGCTGTTGCTAGATGTGTGAAGATTTTCATCAAAGCCTAATTTTAAGGATTTTTTTAAGCATCAATATCATATTATGAACTAAATGTGTGGTGGACATTAAGATACAACAGTGGATAGGATAGGTCCCCACCCACATTTACATCATTTAAATCTAAAATACTTATTTCATAAATGAAAGACGTTTGGACCATTGAGTTACATGAGTTACATGAGAACAGGCATGTGGACACCACCAAGCCTGTTCTCTAATTTTGCAGGTGAGGGTCCTCATTCATATTCACAGTGCTTGTGGGGCTTGCCCGAGGTTAAAGTATCTACTAGAAGCCAGATCTGACTAGTTCAGCTGCTCTTTCTCATGCACCATAATCCTATTGTATGCCTTTCTCTTTTTCTTAAGGATAAATGCAGATTTAGTTTGTTTCTGAAAGGTATATGGCTACAAATGTCACCCTTTCTCATATCATCTGGGTGTTGATAGATGCCGCCAACATCCTATGTCCATCTCTAACCAGAAAAGCTGGCTTGTTTTGAGGAGCCAGCCTCTGACTCTGATGCATGTGATTGTATTTTGGCTCATTGGCGGCAGTCACCCTACATTGCCCGAGCATTTGGTCATCACAGGGCACTTCTGTCATCTAGTACAGAGTTGAAATGAGGTTGAGCTTTTCATTCTACATCCAAATTATTTTTGTTAGTTTCTTACAGAAACTATAGGCATTGTTTTTACTTAGACATAAGTATTTCATAAGTCTACAATCAACTTGTCTGACAGAAAATTAAGAATATATTAATTTTCTGAATAATTTTGATCAACAGCTGCACTGTCAATTTAAAGACCGGGAGTTCTTCCAAGGACCACAAGGACAAACAATGCTTCAAATCCAACTTCCTGGCTTTATTATTGATGAGAGAGAGGGAGATCCTAACTTGGTTGCATGTATTTCAACCTTACCGGAAAAGAGGCAGGAAAATAAAATGTGGATCTCGTATTTGTGAAACAAATACAAGAAACAAATGAAAAGGCATTATCATGTCCGGTTAACTATGGGAAAACAAAGCTGTTTATGTCTCAGTTCTATAGTTGTGTTAAAGGCAAGTATAATTTAGTTCTTTAAATCAGCGTCTGACCAAATTTTTTTTTTTTTTTTTTTTAAACCAGGGTGGGAATCTAAGGAGGCAGAGAACAGAAAGGAGAGTGTGTTCCTAAGCATATTGTGGTGATTGGGGAATGCTCAGCAAGTAGAATTAAGAAATGCATTTGAATCTCCATTTTTAGGGACAAAAACTAGTTCTGGAGGAGGAGACTCATTTGTGTTTTGTTTGTTTATTGAGCAAGGATGTGAATGCATAAGGGCCAAACTTTCTCTTAATTCTGTCAGCTAAAGCTCAAAACTACACCTGACCATTCAAGTGTAAGGGTTTTTTTCTTTTCTTTTTCTTTTTTTTTTTTTTTAAGTTTTCTGAACTTTGCTGTAGATACAAGCATAGCCCTAGTATTTCAACCACATTCTTACCAAACCACCAGTAAATGGGCCTTATGATTCCATTTAAGAGGCCTTTCTTTGGCCATGGTTGAATATCTGGATGCTATAGAACATGCTTATAATGGACTTGCTGCCCAGAGATGTTTAGGAAGTTCAAGTGGATTCTGAGCCAGATGGTTGCTTTAGATCCGCACCAGTACGCAAAAGTTCTATAGCCAACATACTGCGTTAACTTGACACGGTTTAGACCAGTTAGACTGTGCAAAAAGAGGTAGTCTGCGCACACTACATGAGCCCTTTAGCACCCTGTTTGCTTTAGCACTTTCATCACTTTGTTTTCCAAAAACTCAAAACAGCCAAAAAACTGATTTGATATGGGAATCACGGTATTTTTCTTGTGTTTTTTGTTTGTTTGTTTGTTTCCAAATTGTCTAAATCACTAACCAAGATCATTCGACCAGCTTAGGAAAAACAAATAGATTGTGCCTTTGAGTTCAGTTTTGATTCTGTAAAGACTTTGCAAAGCCTACTTCACTAATTATGTGCTACTGTTAAATGGTATTTGATAGGTTGTTGGAAAAGATAGGGTAACTTATATGCACAGAAAAAAGAAATGTAGTTGCCCTTTCCAATGCATGGCAGCTTAACACTTCAATGTAGCCTTATCTTTGTATCTTGGTCTTGCCTTGTGATATTAGGATTGTGGTAATGATCCTACATATGAACTGCTTGACATAATAAACTTTGGGGTATCTTTCAACTTGTGAAAAACTATCGCTCTACACATTGGTAAGATTTTCCACAAAATTGAGGGTAGAGATAGGCATTGTAAAACTGTAAAGGAATTTTTTTTGAAGGTTTTCCCCAGAAAGCTTTTAAATATACAAGTTTCTTAAATATTAATAGGAAATGGTGACTAAAGCAAGAAAGAACAGAAATGTAAGGAAATGTTTTCCTAATTAATATTCCTGAGTCTTCAGAAATTTCCAGAAGTATGATTTATTTTCAGAGTCAATGGATAAATGCACTTGAATGCAAGTATTACTCTAATGTCCTATACTGAAACAAACTATTTTAAATGATTATCATTACTGTAAGTTGGAAATAGACCCCAGAATAAAACAAATCTATGTACTAATACATCTCTAAGATCAGGGTAATACAGGAAATTCATGTGACCATATAATGCTAAGTCCCATTGAGAAGTCAGGCTTATTTTTTTTTTCTGTCACTTCCTTAGCAAGTTTTTATAGTATATTAAGTAGGATTTAGGATACAAATAGTGCACATGACACAGTAGGATTTGGGATAGAAATTGTGCACATGACCAATTGTGAAAGAATGGCAAAAGGCATGCATTGGTGGACAAGTAAAGGACAGCTGGAAAAGTTTGACACACTATTGGAGATACACTGGTTGTGTGTGTGTGTGGGTGTACCAACAGCTGAGGCCACTTCCAAATGTGCAAAAACACAAAGCCTGCTTTAGCAGGTCACTGGAGAGGCCAGTCTTGGAGCTACTTGATGTTATTTAGAGATTGCCTTAGTATGCATGGGCAAGAACATTTATGTATATTGATGTATATAAAATATTTATAGAACCACCATGACCTGTGGAAATTTAAAACAACTTGCTAAGTACAAGGAGAAGGAACTAGTGCATAAATTATTCTGTGGCTGACTCCACTTAGGTCGAGAAGTAGCTTTTTATCCGTAGGTCATGATTCTTGGGAGGTTTACATGACTGCACTCAGCATCTAATCTAATGGGAAAATGTTGGTGAAACAAAAGGGTAAGGAGGAGATTCATATTTGTAATTCTTACCTACAAGACTGATAATGGTTCAGTGGTGAAAACAGGCTAGTTGAAAGATTTGGTGACTACAGGCTGTTTTATGCAGGATGGTTCATATCAAATTGCTGCATAATTTATTTCTAAATATGAGAGTTTAAGTCACTGATGTAGGAAATACATATCCTTTAATCATTTTGTCAAAGCTAAATCATCTGTTCTCTTATAATTGGAAAAAGGGACCATTAACCATGAAATTTTGGACATGCAGAAGTGTGTGTCCAACATGCTATTGAGAGAAATGTAGGTGGAGGTGGCATTTTAGACGAATATCTATTTCTTGTGGAAGAACTGGCCTGACTAAATATGCACCTTGGCAGTGGGATTAGGCAACTTGCTAGAGCTGTTCCAGCTCTCTTATGGAGGAACATAAATCATGCTATATAAAATTCAAAATGCAGAAAACTCTTTTTCTCAACTGGTTTCAAAACCTAAATTTCCAATGGCATTTTTTTTCCCTGCAGGATCTCAAAAGATAGAAACTGCATGATGTTGAACAGACAACTAGAAGAAACAACAGGTTTCAGAGAATTATGGCATTGCTTCTCAGTCTTCAGTTACTACTTCAAAGCATTGCTTTACTTTTTCTCTGAATATTATGGTAATAACCTTCATTCTTCTTACAACTCGGAGAAATTATCCAATGCAATTTTGTTTTATAGTTTCTGCCATTCCCTCCTTCTGTCTCCCGTTACAGCAATGAATACTAGTTTTCAGGTGCAGGTATTAAGAGGGCAATGGGGGGGATATAAAATGCACAGAGGAGGATTTGCTTTCTCATATATGGGTTCTGTAACTTGTAAGTGAGTAGATATTGGAGGATGGGTGCACAGTGAAACTTTCATGGACTTCTTGTTAGTAGTAACAAGAACACCTTCAAATATTCATCCTACTTTGCAGTGGCAATATGTGTATCAGTCCATAGTGATATTTTTCTAAAATACAGTTTCCAGAGGGCACAGTTGAGCCACTTAGTTTGCATTTCCCAGTGTAGACTGCTCTCTGACTTCCTGAGGGTGGCATCTTCTGGCCCTGTCTCCTTTCTACAGAAGTGATGGTATGTGGGCTCTCACCTAGTTTCAAACTGGACTACTTTTTCATGACGGTGATGAAGCCATTTAGAGGGACTTCCAAAAGTCCCATGGCTGTACTCACCCCATTCCCAGACCTTCATCACCAAAATGTTTTTCCTTTGAGGAAAATCATGTTGAAAAGAATTCTCATAATACTAACTAGTATTTATTGAACACTTATTAAGTGTTGCACGCTATGTGAAATGGTTTATATGAGCAAGATATCACAATATTTCAGCCAAAGCAAATGAAACTTAGATTAAATAATTTGCACAAATTTAAGTAGCTAGTAAATGTCAGAGCTGGGCTTCAAAATAAAGTCTGTCTTAATACAAACCCTTCACCACTATAGTACCCTGCCTACCAGGTAGCATTAAGACACCAGAGATGGTTTGGATGCAGAAATAAAATGGTTATTCCAATATCTACTTCAAATGTGGAGGGCTTGGGATTTTTCTGCTTATGCACATGCAAAGACCCAAAGAAAAATGCTGTCACACTCTGATTTAAAAAAAAATATGCAACAGAAAGGAAAATACATTATAATCATGCAACTAAACCAGCAGCCACTGAGGCAAGTTTTAAGATTAGAACAGCCCCAGATTTTTGGAGTACATGAATAGAATTTTTAAAATATTTTATCTGGTTTGCTCATCCCTGATCCCCATTCCCTACTTCACCACCAATGAAATATTTTTTCCACTTGAAAGATTAGGTAACTGGTATGTTTGAGTAATCCCACATGCTTAATAAATGATTACATAACAGTTTATTTGGCATTACCTCAGAGTTTTCTTTGTGAATTTAGAGTAATCTCTGCCAATGTGTCTTCTTAAGTATTTCATATTTATTTTATACTTTTGAATGAACCCAATGGTGATTTTTAATTTAAGGAGGTCAGGAACAACTTGGATTTGTTGCTTAAAAGAAAAAAAAAAGTTTGTATTTCTTTAAAAACAGCTTTTATTAGTGACAGCTTCTGAGGCAAAAGGATTGTAATCCATCCGAGCAAGTTCTAACAGGTCAAGATTCCTGTTAAATTTTCTATGAGTGTCTCTGCAGAGAGTCACCAGAAATTCTTGGCAGGATTTAGAGAAGAAGTTGGTGTTACTTTGCTCCTCTTGAATGTGATATTTTCAGCTGTTGCTGGTTTCTTGCATAGTCACCACAACTCTCAATTGCTAACATGTTGAAAAAGCAAGAACTGCAGAAGATTGAAGTATAACTTCTAGAAAGACATTCACAAATAGGTATCAATATATTTTCCCTCTGACTCTTCCCCTTAAATGTAATTTAAGAAAAAAAAAAAGCTGTATTTTTCCAGTTTTGCCTCAATGTAAAGCATCCCTTTGAGCTGCTATTTGTTGGATAATTTGTTCACAGGAATGTATTGGTTTAATCTGGGTGCTGCCACCAACCCACCCCCAGCTTGACAGGGAATTATTTCACGATAAATTCAGGAAGGACAACTTGCAAACTGTAACCTGAGAGTGACTTTAGATCATTTGTTTTTGTGTTTATGTAACAGTGATTAGTGGATCTTCTGAGATTCTATTTAGGGAGAAAGAGACATTTAGCAGTTAGTGCTAGTGACTACAGTTTTTGATGTGAGAAGATTGGTATACATTTCAATAACATGCCTAATTTTTAAAACATTCTAAATATATGGCTTAAAAAAAAGTTGTGTTGCTAACAAACTGTTTAACTTGTTCTAAAGGCTATACAGCTAATCACACAGTGTTTCAATCTGGAACAAGTGATTAGTCATCTGAAAATTCATGCAGCATTGTCAGTGTACAAACAGATATATCTAAATGAAACCCTCAGCTTTAGATTGCAAATTTGTCTAATGAACTGAAAGAGTTAAGGTTTTAAAGATTATAATTTCACCTCTGAATAGTTTATTTAGAGAAACCAGACTTGCATTTTCCAGTTGTCAACCCTTAACTTTCCCAAACACCCTCCCAACTGAAGCCTGCACAGCAATTCCTGACTACACAGCCTGACCTCTGCCGCCAGATCTCACATAGAAAAGGGGTGGAGTCTTTGAGGGAGGAGGGTCAGCACAAGTGAATGTAGATATTCTTAGAACTCTGGCCCTAAAATGTGCCAGTGTTAGAGTGAGATGGTAGAGTGAAATGCCTACGTTGGCGGCTCTTTAGTGACATGCTCCTTGGAGCCCTTTAGCCTCCATGCATAGATCCTGCCCTGTCCTAGACTTTTGGGGCCAGTCTTGCCTCTAGAACCTCATTTCTCAACCACAATCCTTTTTGATCAATGTAAAAATTTTGCATTCAAAATAAGTATTTGTAAGTAAAAGCAAAATTGAAGACAAGTGATTTGTTACACACAAGACAAGACTTCGATACGTTCCTTTCCTGTTGCATCATTTTCCAATCCCTCTACCTCTACTGGGGAGAGCCTTGTTTCTATAAGGAGCTCTAGGCCATTTTCTTTTGAACTGTTCAAACAGGACCAGTGACTAGTACTCTTGTTCCTGGACTCCAACCATCCCCTCTGAGCCACTCCTTTAGCTCCCTGCCTGTACTTTAGTTCAGATCTGCAGTATAGCTTCCCTTGCCCTAGTCCTGCCCTGTCAAGGGTGGTAGTCAAGTGCCTTATGCCCCATTGCCAGAGTCTGGGTCACTTCTTGCTCTGGTTGGACCCCATGGGTACATGTCCCACACATCCACCCACCTCCATCACCACCACTACGACAAGGGCCAGGTGGTAATGACTGTCCTGCCTAACAAGAATTGCTCTTTGCTGATTGCATGTCCACCCACATCTGACCATCCACGTGGGCTGTTGGTTTTCTGACTTGGGCGTTTCTATCTGGCTTGCCCACCACTGATCCATAGATTGATCTATAGATCTCAGTATCTTTCTTCAAAAGGTAGAAGCCATGGAATACAGCAATTCTAGGAGTTCACTTTGGGCACTTACCATGTTACCGCAGAGTCCAGTAATATACTAAAAGTGTTTGAGGGTAAAATACTTAACACCTATCCTCCTTTTTTGGCTTGGAAACATTTTAGTATGTCAACATGTCATCTAATTGTGTGGTTTTCAACAGTAAAATATTTTCAATCATGAAGTTCCAAAAGGGATGACTGATTGGGATTTTCTTTATAGCTGAGCAGCACTGTTCATGTAATATCTAGTAATTGCACAATGGAAAAGCATCCCATACCACTGTTGACCACACTGGAGGAGTGGTGAGAGGGTACTGTCATGATGTCACTTCACTATTGTTGAGTAGCTAATTATCTCCATCTAATCAAATATATGTATTGAGACCTTGCTGTTTCAAGACACGAACATAAGATATAGTGCCTGATTCCCAGGATATCAATCCAGTAGGATAGTAGGAAGATAAGACATGTGGCCGGGTGCAGTGGCTCATGCCTGTAATCCCAGCACTTTGGGAGGCTGAGGCAGGTGTATCACCTGAGGTCAGGAGTTCGAGAACAGCCTGACCAACATGGAGAAACCCTGTCTCTACTTAAAAAATACAAAATTAGCTGAGTGTGGTGGCACATGCCTGTAATCCCAGCTACTCGGGAGGCTGAGGCAGGAGAATCGCTTGAACCCGGGAGGTGGAGGTTGTGGTGAGCCAAGATTGCACCATTGCACTCCAGCCTAGGCAACAAGAGCGAAACTCAGTCTTTAAAAAAAAAAAAAAGACACGTCTACAAATAGTATAATGCAATGCAAAATATAGTAGGTACCAAAAGAAAAGTTTGAGGGAAGGATAAAGAAGACTCAGAGGGAAGAATGGAACAGGTAAATTTTATAAGAGTGAATCTTGAAAGATGAGTAGCTTATTGACCCAAGGAGATGTTAAAAAGAAAATTCTGAACTGAAGAGACCCTGTGAACAAAACCAAGAAGGTGGGGAAGCTGGTATGGTGTTTGAGGAGCAAGAGCCAAGTTTCATGCTGACTAAAGGTGTTGAATGAACCAGAGGCATTTTCTATCAGGCAAATTGTAGCCATTGTACAATATCAGAAATACAAAATCCCATTATCATAAAAACCACCATGTGAGTGGTGTGCATTTTCTTGGAGTCATTCATTTATTCAACAAACATTTATTAAATGTATTTGGCCCTGGAGCACTAACGAGATCAGACATGGCTACTGTCCCTAAACAGCTCATGTGGCAAGCGCTCTGTTAAAACTCCTCATCAATGCTGAGTGTGTGGAAATCAAAGACAGGTAACTGTCCAGTGGGAAGACAGGAGGGATAGGGATAGAGAAGACTGTCCAGTGAGTGATATGCAGGACTGTGGGATATAGCAGAAGGTTTTGGAAGAAGAGGAGGAGTTCAATTTTAAATATATTGTGTCTGAGGTGCTTTTCCATTTGGGTGTGTGGGTTTAGAATTGTAGGGGTAGATTTTGTGCTGGAGTAAAGACTTGGGGGTCATGTGGTATGATGGTATTTCAAGATAGAGACCTGGATAAGGTCACCTAAGGGAGAGTGTGGAGAAGAGCAAAGGCTCTTTTGAATCGTGCCTTTTTCCCCATCTCCTTAGGTCAATAGGATACTCATCTTTCAAAGTGTTTTTTGGAAGATGAGTAGGTATTAACCAGATGTAGAGAGTGAAAAGTGAATTCCAAACAGGTAGATGATATAAGTAAAGATGTGTGTCAAGAGGGGCCATCACTCATTCAGTGAACTACAAGTCACTCAATATGGCTTAAGCACAGGGTACCTGAGGACAAGCATTGGAAGATGAGGCAGAAAAATGGTAAGAATCATATTTACCATGCTAAAGAATATGAACTTTATTCTGTAGAATATGGGTTACTATTAAAGAATTTTAAGCAGGTGACTGATGTGATCGGAGTCGAATTTTGGAAAAAATATCACTCTGGCATGTTGAAGACAAATTGGCGGTGAATAAAAATGGAGACAGAGGCCAAGTGCAGTGGCTCACACCTGCACTCATTTGGGAGTGCAGTTTGGGAGGCCAAGGCAGGAGGATTTATTGAGTCTAGGAGTTTGAGACCAGCCTGGGCAACACAATGAGACCCCCATCTCTACAAAAAATTTAAAAATTATCTGGGCATGGTGTCGCATGCCTGTAGCCTTAGTACTCGAGAGGCTGAGTGAAGAGGATCACTTAAGCCCAGGAATTCGAAGTTGCAATGAGCCGTGATCATGCCACTGCACTCCAGCCTGGGTAACAGAGCAAGACCCTGTCTCAAAAAAAAAAAAAAAAAAAAAAAGGATGAAGATGGAGAAACCAGTTAGGCATCCTCAGCGATGCAATAGTCCAGATAACAGATTATGAGTGACTTAGCAAGGGTTTTTGTGGTGACCAAGGAGATGTACCATTTTCCAAAGGGAAGAAAATTTTCTTCACAACTACAACTTTGGAGTGGCTTCTATTAAATAAAAGATGTACCTGCTGGTCATATTGACCCATTTGGGTATGCAGCGGTAGAGCTAGAGCTGCCTTTGGGAGGAGGGTGGAGAGAGCTGAACTTGCAGTACATAAAAGAGTGAAAGAATTTGGGATTCTCAAGAGTAATCTAGGAGAGTGGTAATGAAGCAGAATCATGAGAAGAGGAAAGAAGGGATAAACCAACAAGAAAACAAAATAGCCAGTGGGAATAAATTTCTGGTGGTGTTAGCCAGAGGATTTTTCGTCATAGGGCATCTAATACTCAATTTGAAGTTGTTTATGTTGCTGTAATCTCAACCTCATCTTCATTTCCCAAAATTTCATGCTGTGTTGAGTCTATGGAAGTTAAGCATGAGGGCTGATGTGGTCAATGTAGTTTGGAATAGTGGCATTAATCATGAGTTTGCAAGATGCATGCTTAGAGTATGAAACCAAAGAGGACCATGAGCATACAAGCCTCCAGCCCCCACTCCTCCATCCAGGAATTGCATGCAAGACTCCAGCCCCCACCCCTCCATCCAGGAATTCTCAGAAATCTTGCATAACACTTTGAGCTGTCATGGAGAGAATTAAGTTTTCAGTTGACTTTATTTGGATCTTAGATATAAGTTTATATACCTTTATATGAGAAATGTTTTTTCTCATGTCAAGTCAAATAATATACTAGAAGATGTGCCTTTTTTATCCTGAGACTTTGGGGAACCTCTGAGTCTCCACCAGAGCAGTGTGCTCACTTTTTGAAGGACTGCACTACACTCTTCGTCTTGGTGAGTTGTGCCACACCACTCCTACAATCTGATTTCCACCTCCACTGTCCCATGAACTTGCTCTCACCAAGGTCAATGTTCAGGTAAACACTTTCTAGCTCTAGGACTCACTGAGGCATTTTATGCCGTTGACCCCGCCTTTCGTAATATAGCTCTCTGCTCTACAACATGACTGGCTTATCTCTGCCCTCTCTGGTCATACTCAGCCTCTGTCATTCTCCACACTCTTCCTGAGTGACCTTATCCAAACCCCTACCCTTAAATACCATTCATAACACATGACCCGCATATCCTTACTTCCAGCGCAAATCCCACCCCCACGTTTTTAGACCCACACATTCAAATGGATAGGCACCTCAGACACCATGTGTTTTAAATTAAACTCATCTTTCTCCCTCCCAAACCTGCTTCTGCTGTATTTCCTACTCCGTTTTATGCCATTTTGGACCACCCAGATGGCCCAGCTAGGAATACAAGTGTCATGCTAGTCTCCTCTCTTTTGTTGCTCACCCCCTCCCCCAACCCGCCCCCTATAGCTAACTAGTAACCAAATTCTGGGGAGTTTATGCTTTCCTAGTCTCTGCTCTATCTGTTCCAGCCTCTTCACACCTACACAGAGTTCATCGTTCAGTCTGCATCACTTCGTTCTTAGATCATTACAGTGGTCTCCTAACTGGTCTTACCACCACCAGCCTAGGCCTCACTGAATCCATTCTTCTATTGGTTACAGAAGTCATATTTTTAAAACCTATATAAATAACATGTCACTTCTCCTCTTGAGCTCCTTTGATGCTCCTCTTGGCTTTTCATAATTAAGTCCACATTCCCTAGCTTACACTAAGTTGCTCAGGACAGACTCCTGTGACACTCAGCCCATATCAGCCTTCTTATTCAGATAAAATTGTACTGGCTTTTAAAAATGCATCTTACAAATACATGCTCTGTGGTTCAGATTGTCATATAATTTGTCTCACAGAAACTTGGTAAACATGACAATTTAGTTGAAACCTAATTTCCAGTTTTGGTGTACCACAATGATGCCACACCACTCTAATCTATCTGGGAGATGGCTTTTTAGCTGTGATTTGTCACAGCTAAATCATTTCTTCTAAGGGCTTTTGGAAAAGTTAAAAGTTACAGTAGCTAAATACTAAGGGAAGAGCTGGGACAAACAAAATATATAACACCAGAGACTGGGCTAATCAAAATAATCTAAATATCCAACAGTTCTTGAAATTGCTTAAATAAAATAGGATCTTAATGGTATGTAAACTATCTTCTTTTTGAAGAAAAAAATAGTTATGTGTGTGTTCAAATATGTATTGAGAAGAATTTTTAAAGATGCACTAGACCAGGCACAGTGGCTCATGCCTGTAATCCCAGCACTTTGGGAGGCCAAGGCGGGCAGATCACTTGAGGCCAGGAGTTCCAGATCACCCTGGCCAACATGGAGAAACCCCGTCTCTACTAAAAATATTTTAAAAATTAGCCAGGCATGGTGACGCATGCCTGTAATCCCAGCTACTTAGGAGCCTGAGGCATGAGAATCGCTTGAACCTAGAAGGCCTAGGTTGCAGTGAGCCGAGATCGCACCACTGCACTCCAGCCTGGGTGACAGAGCGAGAGTCTGTCTCAGAAAAATTAAAAAATTAAATAAAAGATATGTACTAAGGAGTTATCAGTAATTGTTCTGTGTGGATGGGATAATGGGGTTCTTTATGTTCTTTTGTTTATATGTGTGTTCTGATCCTTCTTAATGATCACACACCATTTTAGTTCTAAAAAGAAAAGACCATACAGAAACTACACAATATTTATATTCTTAGTCCACCAAAATTATCAATACTAGAAAAACTAAAATATTAACTTTTTACCAAATTGCTTTTTACAGAATGACATTAAATCCTATGGTTTCCAACCATTTTTTATACTAGCCTTTTTCCTCAAATTGAAATGTCTTTCCCAATCCCTACACCTGTGAGACTTTTTTTTCCCAGACTGGTGACTTTATTGTTTAAAAATTCTGATAGTGTCGGCCGGGTGCAGTGGCTCACGCCTGTACTCCCAGCACTTTGGGAGGCCGAGGTGGGCAGATCACGAGGTCAGGAGATGAAGACCATCCTGGCTAACACGGTGAAACCCCATCTCTACTTTAAAAAAAAAAAAAAATTAGCGAGGCATGGTGGTGGGTGCCTGTAGTCCCAGCTACTCAGGAGGCTGAGGCAGGAGGATGGCTTGAACCCGGGAGGCGGAGCTTGCAGTGAACCGAGATTGCACCACTGCACTCCAGCCTGGGCGACAGAGCGAGACTCCATCTCAAAAAAAAAAAAAAAAAATTCTGGTAGTGTCACATTCTTGGCGAAGCTTTCCTTGATCCAGAGTCTGCTGTAGGTCAGGGATCTATGATAAAATGTGGTTCACAGGCTGAAGCCATCCAACACCTATTTTTGTACAGCCTGTGAACTAAGAAAATTTTTACTCTTCTGGAAGTGTTGCTTTCCTTAAAATTCCCACTGCTCTGAGGTAGAAGACACTTTCTAATTCAGCTTGGTCTCCCAAGCCTGGAGGAGAGTGCCCTGTCCATAGAAGCCACTTGATATATAAATGCAGAATGCATGAAGGAGTAGTGTAAGCTTCCTCCTTACACTAGAATGTAAGTTACATGAGGACAGGGGTTCTATTGCCTTTGCTCACTGTTTACCTCCAGTGTTTGGAAGATATCTGGAACACAGCAGGCAGTCAGAAAATATTTGTGATGTTAAGTGCACCAATATTGGTGCCATATTTCTGAGTTTTGTAAGTTTTAGATCAACTTGTAGTCTTTTATATCATACATTTGGCAATTTATGGAAATAAAAGTCCACCTTAAGAGCTTCAGAGAAACAAGGAAGAGGCAGCTTTAACTATGTCGAGAAAGGAAGTAGTTATGAGATATTTTCAAGAGCATATTGATTTACCCCTGTCTTTAGTGCATCTGCATAGAGACATTGCAGCCTGTAATTACCTCTTCCTTTCACCCTGTGGTAGTAACAGTCTCAGGGCAGGTATTAAATCAAGATCCTGCTGACACCGAGTTATTAAATACCTGTGGCAGCAGGGCTCATGAAGCAGGGGGACTCAGCATCCTGGCCCTGTTTCAAATCAGGATGAGCTGTACTGAGCTGTACTTTCTGAGATTAACATGCCCACATTAATCAGAGCCTAAACACTTCATCTGGTCTTGGACAGTCTCTCTCCCAGTGAGTTGAAAGCTCTTTATAGAGGATGAACTAATTAGTTTTCATATCAGCTCTATGAGTTTCCAGGGAGGATGGACCAGGATCCCTGTTCTGTGCTGAATAATGATCATCATAATATTTTGCATGTTTACAGTACTGGATTCTGAAATAACACATTCTAGAAATGCTTTTTTCATAATGATAAATGTGCCCACTTAGAATCTGACCGTATTATACTTGTCTTATTATATGCTTTATAACTTTGTTTCTTAGATTGATGTGAGAGCCTGTATCTTCACTTAAACTTTGTGAAGTCTGTAGTAAGTACATGTTGCTCTCTCTTAAGGCACAGAAAGCCACAGCAAGGCAGCCTGTTAAAATGCAAAGGAGAAAACATGTCTCCTTATCACTTGCTTCTGGTGAGAAGGCTTGGCCAGTCTCCCCAGCCCAACCAGCTCCTGGTAATACTCATGCTAGCCTTTTCCTCTTTATTCAGGAGGGCTGCCACACTCCGCTCCTGGGATCTCTGCATGGTTTAATCAATGACCCAGTTTATCAGCAAACTTTTGCTCCTCTGCCTCATCAGACTGGAGGTGGAAGCTGTTCACCTCTCACAACCCTTTGACTTAGAAGAGCCCTGTCTTCATGCACACACAAGGGTCAGAGGAAGGGAAGGCCTGCCTTGGCTTTCTGTTCTAAATTCACACACCTGCACACATAAATGCCTTTTAAAAACGTACATTTTACCTTTTATTTCCTTGAACAAGAATGAATGTAATTGTGACCATGAGGTGAAAATAGTGAAGTCTCTACCAAGGGAAATGAAGATCTCCACTGTTCTAAGAACAGCAAACCTTGGGAGGCTAAGTCTGGGTGGAAGAAGAGAGGTGCAGTGACACGGAAGGAGCATGAGCTTTACAGTCAGAGACACCAGCCTTACCCTCTCTGTACCTCGGTTTACTCAACTATAAAATTGCAATGGCACCTTTTAATGTTGTTGTGAAAACATGAGACAACTTAGTTCAGAAAATATCAGTCACCTCCCTTCCCTCACATGGAATCAGGGCACCAACTAGCTCATGGGCCACTGGGATCCTTTTTAAGTGATTATGTCAGTTGTTATTCTGTAAAAGAATGGCTGAACAGCAGAAACAGACTCAAAGAGCCAGGCCGAAGGACTATGGGAGAGATTTTCTAGTGAAACACAATCCTCTTGATTGGAGATAATCCAAAGCTCTGTATATGAAGCAAACAATTACTTATTGGGTGACTCAGAGAGTTTGCCAAGATCACTGTTATAATCTGTAGGACACAAAGGATACATCGCTAATCATAGTTAATACAAAGGACTTTAGAGGGATTTATAACTTTCATAAATTAGAGTGGAGCACTAGAGTGAAGTAAAGGTAATTCAATATGTCTTTCTCTTATTTGAATTCAGACACTTCTTGAGCGACAGGAGTAGAAGGATAGCTGGAAAAAATGCATGTGCTCCATGTCCCCATGTCTATTTTGTGAATGTTAGCATCATCGTGATTTGTGTAGAGACCCACTAGACTAAGGCTTATCCAAGGAGAGCTCAAAGAGAGACTTGAATGGTCCATCCTTAGCATCAGCCAAAAGGTAGCTTTGAATTTAGGGGTCTTACCTTCCAGCATTCCTCTAGCACTTATTTCCTTCCTACCAAGAAACTTCTTTTCAATTTTATTCCTTCCAGAGATCATTCATTTTTATAATAAATGATTGAATCAACATCTGGGTACCTATGGTACTTCTGGAAATATGGAAGCATCAGCTACCATCCTGGGTCTAGCATCAATGAATCTAAGATGATAATGATCACATTGATGATCTTTTTGCAACGTTTTATCTCACTTTGAAGAAAGTTCTTACTGGGCACGCTAGCTCACGCCTATAATCCCGGTGCTTTGGGAGCCCCAGGTGGGAGGATCTCTTGAGCCCAGGAGTTGGAAACCAGTCTAGGCAACACAGTGAGACCCCGTCTTTACAAAAAAATGAAATTGTTAGACAGGCGTGGTGGTGCATGCCTGTAGTCCTAGGGACTCCAGAGGCTGAGGCAGAAGGATCAGTGGAGCCAAGGAGTTTGAGGCTGCAGTGAGTTATGATTGTGCCACTGTACTCCAGTCTGGGTAACAGAGCAAGACTTGTCTCAAAAAAATAAATAAATAAATAAAATATAAAAAAAAATTATTGCTTGCAGTCCTTTAGAAAGAGATCTAATCAGATTTTCTTGAACAAGAGGAAACAAAGAAAGGCAAATGCTTAGGACCCAAACCCTTTTTGGGTGAGAATGTAATATTTTTTTTTAATGTCCAGTAATGTTACATACACACCTGACAGATGTATTAACTCACAGAAAAATATTAGTTTGGCTTTTTAAAAAAAGGGAAAAAACTTCAATACACATTTATCGAGATTACAAAAATCTGACAGATGTATCAAGTCACAGAAAAATATTAGTTTGGCTTTAAAAAAAGGGAAAAAACTTCAATCCACATTTATTGAGATTACAAAAATAACAGCACATTTCATGAACTCATTACAACTCGGAGTTACCAACACATCCACAGATAGGAAGAGCATCTTTAAATTAACTGCTTCTTGCCAATACAAATCTCACGACATAAAAAAGAAATTTATTTTCATATTTACAGAAGAAACATGCTGATTGTTTCTTAAGATTCTCTTTGGAATTAATGGGTGAGATTATTTTTAAAGTCAGGGATCATTTTGAATTGAAGAAGGTATTTTAGAAACATCTCACAATGCATTTCATGTAATACCACTGAACAGTTCTGCATCCTCTTCTAAAGATCATGTTTTTATCGCAGGGCTTCTGGAACTTCCACCTACAAAAATAGCGGATTTTCTCTCAATGAAACAACACACATGATAAGTGAAAAATATCTGTAGGATATGTCTCTAGCAGTATCCTCTGAGAAGAACTCAGGTTGATTATTGCTGCATGGTAATTTTTTTACCACATTATAAATTTTATGTTATAAATTAGGTATCGAATCAGTCACAACTCTGTGGTAAAATTTTTGACAAGTGGTGAATCCTTTTGGAATTTAGATTATATTCCCTGGTTTTCTTCTTAAGGGAATTGGGACGTGTATGAAAATGGTCCTTGCCCTTATATGATTGAGAGGCTGGGAAAGCGGCCCAGGCGTTCCTCTCAAATAGAAATGTGCTCACTTGTGTGCCTGCTCCTAATGTTTCAAACTTGGTGTGTTTGCTCTCGCATACTAAAATATTGAAAGTATTGATAAGTATTGTGAGAGGTGACTTTGGTACCACCATGCAATGGAGGACAACTCATTTACTTTATCTGTGCCCCTATGTCTGTTCTCTGGTTACTTACCCGCTTTAGCTGTTTTATGCTGCTTCCCCGAATTGCTTCCATGAGATTCTCATGAGCTGATCTCTGTGGGGTAGAAGGTCGGGAACTGTCTTCCATTTTCTTCTCTTGCACTGACCTCAGAGAATTTTTTATTTCCTTTAGAATACTGTTTGGCTGTTTCTTGACCTTTTTCCCTTTTTTCTTTTTTTGTCCATTTTGTAATGCCCGTTGGGCACTCTCCTGTTGTTTGATGACTTCTGCAATGTTTCTGGTAATGAGCTTTTTCTCTGGGAGTGGAGGAGGGGGAGGAGGAGGAGGTGGTGGCAGCCTTTGGGAAGAAGGAGGGGGAGGAGGAGGAGGAGGGGGAGGAGGAGGAGGTGTGGCCACAGGAGACAGAGGACGGCTCCTCACAGTCTGGACTTTTTTGGGGAGTTTTGGGGATGACCAGGGTGAGTGCCTGGGAGATACATAAGGTGAAGAGCTAGGTGTTCCTCTTTGCCAGACTTTGGTCCTAAGATTGGGTCCTCCATCGTATCCCTCCTGCTGTTTTTGCTCCTGCAAACGTTTTTGCCTCTGTTTATCCATATTTCTTGTCAAAATGCTCGTCATGCTCATTCTTGGTCCTGGGAGTTCAAAATGGTATCCCAGCCTCAGCAGCGTCGTGTTCTCCTTCAGCAGCTTGACAATCTCCATTTCCACCTGGCTGCCCATGATGTGCCTCTGGTTATGGAAACGCAGCTCCGTGAGCACCGTGTTGTGCTGGAGAGCTCTCATGATGGCCAGGATCCCCTTTCCCGTTATGAAGTTGGACTCGACGTTTACGTTGGTGATGTGCTCATTGACTTTGAGCATCTCTGCAATGGCCATGGCTGCACTGTCGTCGGCATGCGTGTTGGCCAGACTGAACGTCTTCACCACAGTGTTGTCCTTGAGGGCTTCAGCAAAGCGGGTAAGGGTCTGTGTTGTGATGTTCTCAATGTTGTTCAAATTGACTTCTGTGGTGTCAGGGTCATTGCTTTTAATCTTGTCCAAAGCGTCCTCAATCACTGTAGGATTTCCACAAGGGTGAATGGCAGCTGGGGACTCTGTGTTCCTCCCATTGCTGCCATTGGTCAAATTTATGTTCTCTATTTGACTTTTAAATATCTTTGGCTTAGAGTTGTCAGAATTGACACTATCATAATTTACAGTTCCATTAATCCCTTTTGCAGTTTCAATTGTTCTTTCCTCTTCGTCACTGTCTTCTTCCTCCTCTTCCTCCTGGGACTCCTCCTCCTCCTCCTCTGTATACACTTCCTCAGAAACCTCACTGTTACTTTCAGTAAAGATAAGCTCTTCTTCACTTTCCTCTTTGTCTTCTGCAACCTAAAGAGTATGATATCATCATTAAGCTTCTTAAAAATGATACCATTTTTAAGTACATTTTTTAACTTGCAAAAGTAGCACATGGCAAGTGACATAAGTTTATAATAAAAAAAGTTAATAATCCTCTGCTTCCATTCTGTCTAGTTCTCATGACCAAGGCTGACATTTTATTGCAATAAATAGCAATAGCTTTTTCTACAAACATTTCTCTTGTTTTCTGCAGAATATCCAGAATTCAACTTATTGAATAAAAATATATAATCATTTTGCTAATTTGAACAAATAAATCAGAACTTCAGCTTTGGAAAACCCTTGATAAATTTGTTCACCTCCTGAGGACCGACTCTTACTGGTTTACTCTCCATTTACTTACAATGTAGCAAATTCAACCCTCCCTTCTGGAATCACTCTGTTCTTTCTTATTTCTCCATCTCAAGCAATCAAATGACAACAAAAATATACAATATGTTAATGAGTTTCCCTTTTTAATTCAAAAATTCCCAAATTTTCCATCCATAGCAGATGTGACAGAAGCCAACCACTCTCTGCCAGGCCTTGCCTCAGTGTAGACAGAAGCAGAGCTGTCATTTGCTCCTCCAGCATTTATTTATCTGCTTCTACGGTAGAGCCCGGCACAGGGCTCTACCACAGAAGACTCTCTGAATCACCTGAGAGCTGCCTCTGTAGCTGTCCCTTATCTGGGCAAGGGAAGCCTAAAGGCAGGGCTGCTGCTCAGGACAGCAGGAGGTCAAAATCCAGTTCGATGCAGAGAAAACATTCAGGTCACCCTTTTGGGAAAATCAACTTGAAACCTCCAACTAGTCCAGGGTTAAATGAGACAGACTGTAGAAGACCAGGTGGGAAAGATAATCACCCTTGGCATCCACTAGATTCTAATCAGTAAAGTGGATGGAACAGCAGAGAACAGCAGAAAATCTTGAAGTAAGCCATTGCCCAGCCTGAAGGTCTTAAATTATTTAGCATGTATCAATTATGAAAGGCTTTCAGGCAAACACAATTTCATTCTATCTTTGTCTTTCCTGTTTACAAGATTTGCTGTACAAAGACGCTCAAGTGACCCCTTGTTTCTCTTTTTCTTGCTATCTTTTCTGATTAAAAAAAAAAAAGGTCTAGAAATTGCTGACAGAGTCTAATCTTTTTCTCCTGCTGTCTTTTTAGTCCTTTCTCTTTATCTTCTCTACAGCCCTGGGACCCTGCCCTGTCCTCCAGGCCCTGATTCTTCTCTCTATATTGGCAACTTTTTTTTTTTTGACCTCGAGGGCGCCCGCTGCCTGAAGCATGTAGATCTAGCTTTGGAAAACACTGCCCTTGTCTCCAGGTTCGTTTGCCCAGTTGCTATCACAAAATAGCCTCCAGTTATCCACTGTTTGGAGTGGCAGGCACCGAGTGATGGCCTGGGGAAGGGGTCAGCCACTCCTGGGATGACTTTTCCAGTCTTAATTTATTCACTTCTTCAGGAGCAGGGAGGGAGAGAGAGAGATACTCTGTGTGTCTCTGTGTGTGTGTGTGTGTGTGAGAGAGAGAGAGAGAGGGAGAGAGAGAGAGAGAGAGAAAGAGAGAGAAATGTTTGGTGGCAGCTGGCTGCAAGTCACAATGCAACAACATAAGAAAAAGAGTGTGGCTCTAGCCAAGTCTCCAGGCATACGTGAGGGAAGAGAGGAAGCCTTCCCTGTCCAGCAGTGAAACAAATGGATTAACCCGAGGAAGGAAAGAATTGTGGGCTGACTTCTCCTCACCCCATTCCACTCCAAATTCCTTATAATTCTAGTCCCTGTAAAGCTGTGTGTGTTCATGTGTTTGTATGTATTTTTAGCTGTTTCAGTATTTGGAGGAAAGGGGCCTGTCTCAAAATCCAAGGTATACGGCCTTGTATGACACCATTACATTTTACTCCCTTTGGTTTTTTAAAGACCCTCTGGCTCTATCTGCAAGATCTGTTTTCCCCTTATAATGTACCTGGACAGATAATATCTGAAACTGTGAATTGTCATATAGCATCTAAATGATAGATCTCCCAGAAAGCCTTCTTTGACATCCTCTCCAAATATCCCTCAGACGCATTCCCATACCATTGTACCCACCCCCAATAAAGTACCTGTCGCACTTTATTTTGGTCACTTGTTTTTCCCAGCAGACTGTTAGCTGTTGAGAGCAGTGGACCATGTCTGCTTTGCTCACCTAGCACAGTGCTTAGCATGTAGTAGGAGCTCAATAATTATTTGCTTACTGAATGGCTCTAAGTTGACATTGGTTAACAGCAGCTGAGAGTCAGGACTACACACAGGAGAAAGGTGATAAACCCTCCCAGTTTGCCTGAGTGTGAAGGGTTTCCCAGGATTTTAGTCATGAAATCTAGATAGTTCCGGACAATCTGAGATGATTAGTCACCCTAGGTGGGGGACATCTGGAGAAAGAACAGAAGGGGAAAAGGTGTCTACAGAGGCAAGGTGAGAGGATGCAAAAAACAGACTTCGCTTACTTTATAAAATACTCTGTCCCTAGGGGGCCTGTTTTATTACAGATTTCCTATATGCCACTGCTTTGGCATTAACCCTGATTCTTTGGAGAATGGAGGTGGGAAGGAGGGTATAGAATAAGGAGGTGGGAGATGAGATGGCAAGGGACTGGACAAGGAGAAGGGGAATGTTAGTAAACTTAGAAAACAAATCAGGTAATGAGAAGAGTGGCCGGTTGTTTCTCCTGATCACCTCCCTATTATGTATGTACATATCACATTCAAAGTATGTGTTAATTGACCGTTTATGTTATTGGTAAGGCTTCTGTCCACAGTAGGCTATTAGTAGTTAAGGTTTGGGGGAGTCAAAAGTTATACATGAATTTTGGATGCTGCAGGGGCAGGAGTTGGTTCACCTGACCCCCATGTTATTCAGGAGGTAACTGTAGTTGAGCGGTTCTTAAGTTTTACTGTGTGTCATAATCACCTGTGAGAGCACCAATTGTTGGGCCCCATCCCCAGAGTTTATCATTCATCAGATTGACGGGAACTCTATAATTTGCAGTTCCAAGAAGATCCCAGGTAATGCTGATGCTGCTGACCGGGCACCCACAATTTTGAAATGTTCTTTAATTTTCACTTCTATGTACAAGCTCTTAACCTCTAATGAGTTTCTTAACCTTGCCTTGTCTCAGTTCTCAAGTGCAGAAAGTTAAAAATGAAGTGAGATAATGGGAGAAACTCATTGGCACCTGTGCTGAGATTTAACCACTGCTCAATAGGGGAGCTAGACCATTGGGATTCTAGGGTCCCTGGGAGCCCCAATGCGGCATAAGTTTGTGTAAGCCCAAGTGGGCAGAAAGGCTGGCATTCAACAGGTGTTGCATCTGCTTTTTATAAGCCTTTACAGAGCCAGCCGCCTGATAATCAATCAAGACCCTCCGCTCCTTCTCAGGGTCCTTCCTTTATGGCTCTTCACTTACGCAACTACCTTGCTCCCCCAGCCACCCAACAGCTGCTCGAAGATTTTCCCTGTTGTGGGAATTGGATTTGCACCCTCCATCAGCAAGTTCCTGCTCATCATGCCTGGCAACTACAGACAGCTGGCCAGCAGGGAAAGTACTGGGAGAAAAAGTTAATAGCCTAGAAAGGAACCGAAGTCCATCAACACAGCAGCCTCTCTAATTGAGCTGATAAGCCATTGGCAGGGATCAGCAAAACCTTTGGCAGGATCAGGTGGGTTCGTCCGGCTGACGATAGGTTTTGCTCTTTGGTTCCCACCACTATCATGTCATTGTGACATTAAAAAGCCTTTGTTGGATTATTGATACATTGGTTGTACAGCCTGGATATTCTGAGACAGTTTTATTCTTTTTTTTTTTTTTTTTTTTTAATGAGACAAGGTTTTGGTTTGTGGCTCAGGCTGAGTGCAGTGGCACAACCATAGCTCACTGCAGCCTCAACCTCCCATGCTGAAGCCAACCTCCCACCTCAGCCTCCTGAGCAGCTGGGACTACCACCTGCTAATGTTCCACTAAACCCAGCTAATTTTTTTTTTTTTTTTTTTTTTTTGTAGAGATGAGATCTCACTATATTGCCAGAGCTGGATTTGAACTCCTAGGCTCAAGTGATTCTCCTGCCTCAGCCTCCCAAAAAAGTGTGGGAATTATAGGCGTGAGCCAGCATACCCAGCCAGTTTTATTTTATTAAAGAGAGTTTTAAATAATTGTGATGATAATGTCATTGTTATTTTGATGCTCATTATCACATCAAAGAAAAAAAAATCCCTCTTAAAACAATGGTTGTGGAGGAATTGACCTGCCCAAGTACTGACTTGTATGTGTCCTTCCTTCTAACACACCCCTTCTAGCTGATTAGTACTGTGGCCTTGGCAGACCCTGGCCAGATCCCAGTGGCCCTTCCTGCAATGATTGACGTGGACAAAACTCACACATATCTTGCTGCAATTGTGGCCAAGATAACCCTATCATCAAGATCATCTAACAGCCCTAGATTAGTACTGTGGAAGTCTTGCCATTGGCTTTAGGCCATTTTGATTTTAGATGATTCCAACAGAGTGCAAGGGTTTTAAACTGTTTCTCCTGACCTATGTTCTTCCATAATTCCGGAAGAATTTTTTTTTTGTTATATGGACACTTTATTGTCATTACTGTTTTCCCAGAGAATAATAGTCTTTTGGACTTCCTTCTGGTATTGACTCATTTGGCAAATTCAAAATAACTGTTTACTGGGCAGTACACAAGAGCTTTATAGGCCTGAGCTCTGATATAAGCACATTTCCTAACCTCAGGATCACCATCGTAAAGGAGACAGAAATCGAAGAGATCATCTATACAGCTGTGCTGCCCCTGAGTCCTCAGATGGGTTTCAGGATGTGTTATCATTTTGAAATTCTATGCAAAAGTTGGTGTATTTTGCACAAGCCCAGGGCTATTTTCTTAAGAAGGTTCATAACTTATCAAAATCTCAAAGGGGTTCTTGATTCGCAAAAGAAACACTGTCTCTAACTCCCTCAATGTCCAGAGGGAAAGAGAACCCTGTAAAAGTGATTGTTCAAGGTCTAAAGATGTGGGAACAGAGCAGGGACTCATAACAAGGCCCTGTGACTCTCAGTGTCATGTACTTCCCACCACCCCACACTTCTTGGTATTGGAAAAGAACTATTTCACCATAGCTACTATCACAGTCAAAGCAACCAGCGTTCCCACTTTTGTCTTTATAGGAGAAAATAAATGTACTTAACTGAAAAAAAAGTATACATTTATACGTATGCATGTATCTTGGGAACAAATATTATGCCACATTACCAACATATAGCTCAAACAACACTTATGTTTGGCAAAATATTGAATCCCATACACTGATTGTGAATTATTTTCCTCTTGAGCTTTCTATTTGTAATCAATCAAAGAGCCCCAATTAAGAATTTTACATATTATGATCCATTGGGTGGCCATAGCATTTACATGATTATTTCAGCCTGAAAAATGATTTAGTAGCAAGTATAAATGGGTTATAGGAAAATTCAAGTGATGAGGATTGAGAAGTTAGGGAAAACAAGTGTCTGGGTTTGGGATGGGGTGATGGGGAGGTGGGGTTAGCCAAGGAAAAGTCCCGAGAGCCTACCTTTCCACATTCCCCCAGCCTCTCCTTCTCCAAGAGTTTTTGGGACTCCTTTTCCCAATAGGCCATCAGTGCCTCTCTGCTGAATGTCCCTGTGGGGGTTTTCTCTGTCAGGCTCTTTTGCCTTAGCCCCACGGGAAGGTTGCGGTCAGGTTCAATGTCTTCCAACTCTCTCTCTAGCTCCTTCAGCTCCTCGGCTGACAGGGAGGCGAGGAGTTCATCCTCGTCGATGGATTCGTATTTACTGAGTCCTCTTCGGTAGCCAAAGGTAGACATGGTCCCTGCTTTGTCAGACCCAGAAGGAGCTTGAAGGACCAGGCATTCAAGGCGGCCAGAAGCAGGCAGGGAGGCAAGTGGCAGGCTGGTCAACAACTGGTGCTAGGAGTGGCTGTGGGAGCCTTTTAAGAGTGGTGATACAGGGCTGTGACAATGCAGAGAGGGGTGAAGGCATGGGCTGTTTTAAGCATCAGACGTCAGCTAGACATTTGAACACAAAGAATGTCACATCGGTGGTGGATGGAGGTCTCAGAACCAGTGGGGATTATTAACATACTGGCCAGGGCCATATTTAGCTGAGTCTGATAGCTCATGAGGACAGGCAGAGTGTTTCAGATAAGGAGTAACACAGTTCTTCTCACTTTGTATTCAAACAACAGGGAAATAAAATTTATTTTGAAAATGACTTGCCACCACCTCCATGGCCATGAAAAGATTCTTTCATTATAATCTTAGGGTTGAGAAATGTCTCCACAATACTCCATGGGTAGTTATTTTGGTTCTTCTATAAACATACTGTAGGTGGTATTGATGGGGACAAAAGGTCATAATAATATAGTATTTCATAATTTTATCCTACTTTGCAGTTTACAAAGCACTTCAATAAGTTTTTCTAATCATAAATACTGTGAGATGAATAACATGATTCTCATTTATAGATGTTGGCAACTGAGGCTCTCAGAGATTAAGTGAAACGTCAGAAGTTGGAGAGCTGAAAGTACAGAGAGGTGTCTTTCTCCACTGAACGAAATGCTTCTTCCTACTCACCATGATTACTAGTAAAAATCTAGACTTGCAAATGAAACTCGAAAAATACAAATAATAATACTGGATATGATTTATTAAGGACTGACATTATGCCATTCCAGTGTTAAGCATTATCTCCTTTAATTCTACAGTCCTGTAAGGTGTACATTAGTGCCTGTACTTAACTAGTACACACTCAGAGAGGTTAAGTTACTAGCATGGGAGCACAGAGCTAAGAAGTGAGAGAGCTAGAATCTGAGCCCAGATTTGTATCTGGCCTGAAAATGGAAGAGATGCTAATTTGAAATTATATATATGACTTAATCACTACATATTATATATATACAACAAATTTTCTTATGTACTCCATACATTTGCACAAATTAAAAAAAGAAATTATATATGAGCATATTGTTGTGTATATGTTAAAATAAATCCATAGTTTATAGGACTCCATAAATATAACACCATTTTATAGATATGTAAAATCTATTAAAAATATTAATGCATACAAAAATACATTTATCAATACATGTATAGTACATGATATTCTGATTATACCTTCAGCAGCTGGTGAATATTTGGGTTGTTTCTAGCTTTGGGTTTCTACCTTTTATCTATGAATAAAGTTTCTATGAACATTTACATGCAAGTGTTTGAGTAACCTCAGGTTTTCATTTATTTTGAGTAGATATGTAGGAGCAGAATTACTGGGTTATATGGTAAATTTACTTTTTAAGAAACTGTAAAAAACTGTTTTCCGAAACGGCTGTACCAATTTACATTCCCATCAGCAATGAATGAGAGTTCCGGTTTCTCGACATCCTCACCTATTATTGCTTGTCTTTCTATTATAGTCATTTTAGAGGGTGTCAAATGATAGTTTTAATTTTCATTTCCCTAGTAAGATGTTCATCATTTCATGTGTTTATTGGCCACCTTATATCTTCTTTGGTGAAATATTTATTCAAATCTTACCTCCCCCTTTTTTAAACAACTTTTTGAGACAGGGTCTTGCTCGGTCACCCAGGCTGGAGTGCAGTGGAGTGATCATAGCTCACTGCAGCCTCAATCTCTTGCTTATGCCCATTTTAAAATTGGGTTAATTGTCTCCTTATTATTGAGTTGTAAGAATCTTTATATGTGCTGGAGACAAATATTTTATTAGGTATATGACTTTTTTTTTCTATTCTGGGGCTTGTCTTTTGATTCATTTTGAAGAGCAAACTTTTTAAATTTTGGTGAAGTCCAAGACCAATTTATCAATTTTTTTGTTGTATTGCTTGGTGTTATAGTTAAGAAATCTTTTTCTGGCCATGCACGGTGGCTCACGCCTGTAATTCCAACACTTTGGAAGGCTGAGGTGGGCAGATCACTTGAGCCCAGGAGTTTGAGACCAGCCTGGCCAACATGGCAAAACCCTGTCTCTAGTAAACATACAAAAATTAGCTGAGCATGGTGACAGATGCCTATAAACCCAGCTACTTAGGAGGCTGAGGTGGGATAATGGTTTGAACCCAGGAAGCCGAGGCTGCAGTGAGCCAAGATGGCACCACTGCCCTCCAGCCTGGGTGACAGCGAGACTCTGTCTCATTAAAAAAAAAAGAAAATTTTTTTCCAACCCAAGGCCACAGAGATTTACTCATATTTTATTGTGAAAGTTGTATAGTTTTAGTTTTATTTAGATTTCCTACCCATTTTGACTTATTTATGTGTATATGTAAGGTAAAGTTATATATTCATCTTTTTTATTTTTATTTTTTTTAGGCGGAGTCTGACTCTGTTGCCCAGGCTGGAGTGTAATGGCACCATCATAGCTCACTGTAGCCTCTTATCTTTTGGGCTTGGGTGATCCTCCCACCTCGGCCTTCGGAGTAGCTGGGACTAGAGACAGCAAGCAACCACGCCCAGTTAATCTTTTTTTTTTTTATTTTTTGTAGGGACACTGTTTTGCCATGTTGCCCAGGTGGTTGGTTTCAAACTCATGGACTCAAATGCTGCCCCCACCGTGGCCTCCCAAAGTGCTGGGACTGCAGGCGTGAGTGACAACACTTGGCCCAAATTTATCTTTTTGCACACAGATATTCAATTGTCCTAGCACCATTTGTTGAAAAAAACTATACTTTCCTCTATTGAATTACCTTGGAACCTTTGTGGAAAATTAACTGACCGTAAATACATGGGTTTATTTCTAGACAGTCAAGTCTGTTCTATAAATCTATATATCTATCCTTATGCAAAATCACATGGTCTTAATTATTGTAGCTTTATAATAAGTTTTGAAATCAGAATGTGTATAAGTCTATCTGACTTTGCTCTCTTGTGAGAATGTTTTGGCTAGCTATTTTGATCTTAACTTGTTATGATATTCTACTCCAAAAATAACTGACACTTTTCAGTGATGCTAATGAGAGAGATAATGATTGAATTAGAAATAATGAGTTCATTTGTGTGTTTTTTTTGTTTTTTGTTTTTGTTTTTTTGTTTTTTTGTTTTTTTTTTTACAGCCTGTAGCATATGCTTTTGTGTAACCTCAGCTCAGCAAGGGCCCATCTTTTTTATTTGAATGGGTTTGATTTTTGGCAATGACATCAAGTCATGATAGCCAAATCTGATGCATGAGATGAGTCATTCAGCTCTAGTACCACAATTTAGGTGAAAAGATGAATAAGGATTACAGCCATGTAAAAATCTGTGTGCTTTTGGGAAAAAAAGAAGAAAAGACATATAAATGATAGCATGAGTTCATTCTTTCAACAATACATATTGGCCACATGTGATAGGTTGACTACTGTGCGAGTTTTAGGGTATATAAATATGTGCGAAGAAACACTGGAATTGTGTTTTACCCTATCTCTCTCATGTTTGTAATTGTTCAGTAACATCCTTTTTTTGCTAAGTTTTATTGGACAATTGACTAAACACATATTACATGCCAGATTCTAATTTAGTTGCTTGGCTTAGAGAAGTGAACAAAATCAACGAAGTTCCTTCCTCCACAGAGCTTACATTCTAGATGGGAGAGACAGACAATATCTAGACAAACATGTAAATATAGAACACATTAGAGAGAAGTTCTATGGAGAAAAATAGAGCAGGGTAAAATGGAAGGAAGATTTTGGGGGTAATATTTCATCTGGGAAGATCTCTGTAGTAAGGTAACATTTGAACACAGACCTGGGCTCGATACATGCAAACTATAATATACATTTAGTATTCAGATATTTTAGAATCACAGATTCTCAGATTTCAAAAGGACTTTGAAATACATGAATTTTGTATCACTTCTATTTGTGATCATCTAGTGTTTGCTTGAACATCTTTAGTGAAAATAGCACATTTTCAAAAGCTTATTTCATTGTTGGATGACTCAAATCCTCAGAAAATTACTTTTATTGCTTTGAAACTAGTCTCTTGAAAAATCCACATATTTTAAATTTTCTCATTGGAACAACCCAGAATAAATATCATCTCACATGGATTTCTTTTCCCAAATCTTATGTGTCCCATGAGTGACTCTGAAAATGGCTCCAAAAGGGAAGGCTTAATGCCTTTTGTTTGTTCGTTTTTGTGTGTGTTTTTGCTGTGTGGCAGCATCACTGGAAAAAGCCATTATGGCCTCTCAAAGACACTGCCTTAAAAACAATAGTCATTTAGATATCCTAGTATATTTGTTACAAATCACTCCGATTATGATAATAATCACAACTCACGAATGATCTTATGAGTTGGTTCAAATAGGTTGGATACTTCTTGGTTCCCCCTGTAAGTATCCTTCACAAACTTTAAATCTCCTGGATACAATTCTGCTGAGTGATCAAACACTACCCGCCTGACCCTGACTAGAATTAAATATGGTGAATAATTTAGTTTTCTTTGGAACTTTGTCTACATTGAAAAAATCCAGTCACTATATGTTCCAAGCATCACCATTTTGTATTTTGAGATTTTTACTTGGTTGCATTATCTTTTTGGATAGAATTGTTTTTACAGTCAATAATACTCCAAGCCTTTTGACGATTAACATTTTTTGTTTAAAAAAATCTGCCTTGGGATAGAATTTTTTCATAGTTCTGGCTTCCCAATGAGATATATTCAGATACACTCAGATACATACTATCTCCCAATATATTGGCAATTCCCTTTTTAGTGAAAACAGAGCTTCCCCTTTCAACTTTTTTTCCTTTTGTTTTCCTCCTGAAAATACTATCATCTGTTTGTTGGTTTGTTTATTCAACTCACATTTACCAACTACGTTCTGTGGAACAAGTCTGTGCTGGAAGCTGGGATTATAAACAGAAAATGGAAATTGATCTAGTCTCTGCCCTCAAGGAGTTCATACTCCTGGGAGAGAGGCAGACAGCTGACAATAACACAGTGCAGTGATGCCTCTAGCCAGGCGCCAGGGAGGGAAGAACCATGGGGCACAGATAAAGAAGCAATATAGCCTATGTGAGTGGAGTCAGAGAAAGTACAGAATCAGATAGAGCTTTCCAGGCTGAAAGAGCAGCCTCTGGGCAAATGCACAGGAGTATGAAAACAAAAACAAAAACCAGACTGTTTGGCTAGGTGGAATAGGTGGAGATGAGGCAGAAACTGGCCCTGATTCAGGTACTACTTTTTAAAAATGGCTTTGGTATCTACCCCTCCCCACTCCTAATAGCCACCAGTATCATGCCCTTCACATGGTAGGTGCTTATACATGTTGAATATTTCTTTATTTGAAGGGCTTTCTAGGCCATGTCAAAGAGTTTTGGACTTTATTACCATCTAGTGTTAGGTAGACGTAACATTATCCCGTAGCATCATCCATAGCCGTAGCTGCCTAACAAGGACACTGTTCACCTTAGCAAGTGTCCTGATTTAATAAAGACTCAACAAGAGAGTGGCAAAAACTCACCAGTTCCTCCAAAAATCAGCAATACCAGACCTGCCAGTAGATCTGGTGTTTCCACAATTAGTATTTATAGGGTGATCAGAGAGAGCTCCTAAATATACATGTATCTAATTCCTACTTCAGCCTAACAGTCTCTATGGAAGGAGACTCCCACTTCCTACAGATGAGTCACTTTGCTTGTGGCTTATGTTTTTGTGGCAGCTACTGTTTAGAAGCGTTGCAAGGCCCTACCAATTGTTTGTTTTCATACTTTATTAATCCCCAAATTTCGAGAAGAATTTGGTAATTTCAGAAACTATTCCTATTTTAAAATATTTGTTTAGGCATTACTATTTATATCCACCAAAGAGTTAAGTGAATATATTATACAAATATATTTAATTATTAATTATATATAATATTTATATATCATATATAATATATATTTCATATTTAATTAAAATCCTCATTTCCACTGATCCTCTGCTTTATTCTACTATAGGCTTGTATTTTTATTTTATTTTATTTTTTGAGACAGAATCTCGCTCTGTAGCCCAAGTTGGAATGCAGTGGCACTATCTCAGCTCACCGCAGCCTCTGCCTCCCAGGTTCAACTGATTCTCCTGCCTCAGCCTCCCAAGTAGCTGGGATTATAGGCGCCCACCACCACACCGACTAATTTTTGTATTTTTAGTAGAGACAGGGTTTTGCCATGTTGACTGGTCTCGAACTCCTGGCCTCTAGTGATCCACTCACCTCAGCCTCCCAAAGTGTTGGGATTATAGATGTGAGCCACCACACCTGGCCTACTATAGGATTTTATCACTCACAGATTTAATATGTGTATTTCAGTGATAGGAGGAAGGAAGGAAGGAAGGAAGGAAGGAAGGAAGGAAGGAAGGAAGGAAGGAACGAACGAAGGGAGGGAGGGAAGGAGGGAGGGAATCTCCATCTGAGTATATCACTGGTAGCTAAAACTCAACCTGCCCCAAACCAGTGTTTTAATTTCCCTTTATACTTTCCTCACCCACTCTTCCAGCCTTCTATGTTTCTTTTCTTTTTTCCTTATTTCATTTCTGTTGTCACTTTTTTTTTCTTTCCAACTTTTATTTTAGGTTCAAGGGGTACATATTCAGGTTTGCTGCATGGGTAAATTGCATGTTGCAGGGGTTTGGTGTATGGATAATTTTGTCGCTCAGGTAATCAGCTTCCACATTTCTGAAAACAGTATCCTCATCCACCATGTGCTGCAGTCTATGTTCTACCTTTGTCTCCTGCCTTCACCAACATCATTATATTCCTTTGGAAGGCCTGAGCTCTTATATTTTAAACAGCTCTTGAATCTTACTTCATTTCTTGCTGTTCCCCCTGCTTGAATCTAAGCTGCTGTCCTCATTTTCTTGGATGATGGTCATGATGGACTAGCAGTCTCCCTGGTACATTGCTGCATGATTCTTTCCCCTTTACCATAATGCAGCCAGAGTTAACCTTTTAAAACACAAATCTTATCAACTAATTCCCTGGCTAAAACCCCCAAATGGTTTCCATTGTCCTTCAGGCAGAACCTTCAACTGCAGGCTCTGGCTCTTCCAGCATCAAGCCCTACTCACCTCTCCAGCTTCAACTTGGGCCACTTCTTCCGACTCTCACACTTGAGCCACTTTGGGCTGAATTGTCCACACACCCTTCATCCCCAAGCCATTGCACTGCTCCTTTCTTTGCCTGGAAAGCCTTTGCCTCTTCTACTTTACTCAGGTCTTAAGTAACACTTCCTCAGGAAGGTCTTTCCTGATGTCTGAAGCCAGCTTAGTTTTCCCAGCCCCCACAAGACATTCATGGCAATATCCCAGTTGGGATTACCTGTTTCAAATAGGTCTTCGCTGGAAAGGCCTTTTCTCTGAGGAAGAAACCATGTCTGCCCCATTTGCCCTCCTCAGGGGCTAGCATAATTATTAAGAGTTCAGGAAGTAATTAAACATACACACACACACACACACACACAGAGAGAGAGAGAAAGCAAAACAAACAATACAAAACAAATGAGTTGGAGAGTAGGCAAGGGTAAATCCAGTGTTATAGAGCCCAAGAATTATACAATGTTGGGAACCTCTTTAATAATATAAAATTATAAATACAAAATTAGTTATAAAAGTGAAAATGTATTTAAAACAATAATAGAAATCATGATAAAGTACTGGGTCTTAGGTGATTTAGACTTCTTTCTTCTTTGATGCCTTTAAGGAGTTTATTAGAAATGCTTTCAGAGTAATGCCACTTCATTGTAACCTGGCTTTTCTCCCCACCAAGAGCTCTCTACTAATCCTGGAAACCCCAGCACTCACAAGGACCTGAAACTCACTCTTCATGGTCAGTCTGCCTTTGAGTATGTCCCCCAATCTAATGAGTGAGCCCAACTGGCCACTAAGTGCTCATATCTCGTAGTGGCATTTTTGTCCCTTTCATGGATGCCTTTCTTATTTAAGTTGTCCTCAGTTTGCTGGTGAGGAAACATTGAAATCATGTTGTAAACCAAAAATAAGATCCTAAGCACCTCCCCCCCGCTCCATTCTATTGAACAGACAGCGCTTTGGGCCAAGGGGACCTCAGAGAAACCTGAAAAACTGAATTTTGGCCACGATGGGAAGGTGGTCAGACACACCTCATTAAACCCTCTCCGTTTTGGAGTTTAGGCACAACTGGCCAGCATTAACATCAGAGATCATAATGAAACCGCCTTTGCAAAATTATGATTGAGGCAGTGAAAGAGATCTAACTTAACTGACTCCATCTTTCTTCTAACCTCCAAGCTGTCCTTGTTCATTCTTGGGTGTAGCATGAACTAATTTTGGGAGAAACTTAGTTTATAGCTTAAAACAAAGATGATAACAGCCCTTTCCCAAAGTAGACTTGCTTCTTTCCAGGAGAGTAGATTGCCTTTGTAGGACTAATATTAACCACAGATTAGGAATCATGGTTTACGAGTCATGCAGCTGGAGGCTACAAGATTCTGACCCTCCCTAAACTGCTCCTAAGATCAGTGCTTGAGATATTTTGCAGACTCTGCACTTGATAGCATCTCCCAGATTGATAAACTGGTTCATCTGATCTTGTGGCCCCCACGCAGAAACTGACTCAGAGCAAGAAGACAGCTTCGACTCCCTGTGATTTCATCTCTGACCTGTGACCAGTCAGCACTCCCGGCTCACTGGCTTCCCCTCACCTACCAAGTTGTCCTTAAAAACTCTGCTCCCTAAATGCTCAGGGAGGCTGATTTGAATAATAAAACTCCAGTCTCCCACGCAGCCGGCTCTGCGTGAATTACTCTTTCTCTATTGCAATTCCCCTGTCTTGAAGAATCGCTCTCTCTAGGCAGTGGGCAAGGTGAATCTCTTGGGAGGTTATAGTAAGACTGACAGAACTTCTCTTGTGGCAATAAGATTCCAAATTCCAGCATGACTCTGGTATAGCATCACATATTCTCTGAGGGTTGCCGCCTATGAAACTTCGTTTACTTAACAAGGGCCTTGGCTTCTACAACCTCCTTGTCTTAGCTCAAACATTTCTTTCTACTGACTTCCTACGTTTTTAGACAAAGTTTAACTTTTTCAACTGATTGCCAGTCAGAAAATGTTTAAATTCACTTGTAAGATGGCCCCTACTTGAAGCTATCCTGCCTTTTTTTTTTTTTTTTTTTTGAGACGGAGTCTCACTCTGTAGCCCAGGCTGGAGTGCAGTGGCGCGATCTCGGCTCACTGCAACCTCCACCTCCTGGGTTCAAGCGATTCTCTTGCCTCAGCCTCCTGAGTAGCTGGGACTACAGGCATGTGCCACCACACCTGGCTAATTTTTGTATTTTTAGTAGAGACAGGGTGAGCATGAGTCAAGTTTAAAATTATTTCACCATATTGGCCAGGCTGGTCCTGAACTCCTGACCTCGTGATCAGCCTGCCTTGGCCTCCCAAAGGGCTGGGATTACAGGCACACACCACCACGCCCGGCCTATCCTGCCTCTTTAGGCTGAACTAATGTACATCTTCCATGTATGATTTATGTCTTTAATTAAAACTCCTATCTCCCTGAAATGTATAAAACCAAGTGCTATAACCCAACTGCCTTGGGGACTCTTTCTCAGGATCTCTTGAGACTGTACATTGGGCCATGGTCACTCATATTGGCTCAGAATAAACCTGTTTAAATATTTTACAGAGTTTAGCTTTTTCATCAACAATATGTTACGTTATCATTTGCAAATTTGGGAAACTGGAAATTCTTTTATTCTCACAAATGTTAAGTCTACTGTTAACAAGCTATTCCTAATTTTCATCCTCCCTCTGCACCTGCCTTTTAAAAAAAAAGTCTTAATCTAATTTCTCTCACTGTACAGGTGCAAGGTTGCTGCCTGAAATAGATCTAACATGTTTCCCAGTTACACGGAAGGGTTTGGGTTTTCAACATTTCCTACGGATGATTTGTAATTAGGCTGCTGAACTAATGTAATGGCTCCTAAGGAAGTTAAGCTTCCGACATTGCTCAGTCAGTTTGCTGGGAGCTTCTCAGATAGCTGGAAAGAGGCTCCCAGGGGAGAATGTCAGGCAGAGGTCAGGCTCTGTACAGACAACAACCAAACAGGCCAAAGGGATCAGATGAGAACTGGCAATACCCTTATCAAGTCTTCACTCTTAGGTTTGGCAGCCAAGCAAATCTCCCAGCTGTGCCAGCTTGTGGTAGTGAGCATGAGTCAAATTTAAAATTATTGGAGCTATTTATAATATCTTGCAATTGTATAATATTTATAGTTTATAAAATACTTTTATCTAAAGTCAATGTGCCAGGCAGTACGACATGCTAATGTGATCTCCATTTAATAATTACGTATATTAACACTTAACTTGTTTGAGACAACACTTGCTGAAGTATATACTACTGAATTAGTTCCATTTTACAAAGGATAAAAGTGGGTTCTGAGGTTCTGGGAGGTTAAAAAATCCCTGTAAGTATGCCCAGCTAGTAAGTGATGGGTATAATTATGTTCTAATGAGTCCAAACTGCTTCTCACGTTGAGATCTACTAGTTAGGCATTTCAAAATGTATCAAAATGAAAGAAGGATGGGATGAAAGACAAAGATTAGTAATAGAGCATCTAATGCTTCACCTGTGTATAGTAGGTCTACTTATTGTTTGTTAATCTGATTCAAACATGTAATAATGAGTCCCACACAAGCAAATAGAAAGATAAACTGATAATGTTAAAACTGTAAAGACCAAAGAAAAAGATTTTCAGAAAAAAAAATGAGAAATAGCTGAATTTATCAACCAAGTCTTTCATCTTACACAGCAGATGGTGAATATGGAATTCCACTTATGAAACAGGAAACAGATTTAAGTTCTAATAAAAAGAAATTTTACTTGAGGTGGACTAGAAGGTTCTAATAAAGCTCACCTAAAATTTTCATAAAGGAAATTTTCCTAGAGGTGGAGTAGAAGGTCTTCCATTCATTTCAGCAATTACCTGTCCTGAAACCCCGAGTGTTGGTCTGACAAGTTTGGACAGAGTTGTTCGCTGTAGTATTAAGAAGAATGATGTGGAAGGTGAGCACCCAAGACAGCGATCTCCTTGGTATGGTTCCCTCCTCAGGGTCATGACAACTGTCACTTTAGAAGACTCCAGGTCCTGCAGGTAAATGCCACATTAAAGGGCAGAAAAGTTGAGATCTTGCTGTGAATGAGGTCAGAGAGGTAAAGTCAGTTTCAAAGTACAGGAATATGAGGACTCAGTGTGGCCCGACAATGGGACAGTTAGTGCTTGAAAGCTGGTATCTGGTTACTGAGATTTTTTTTTTGAAATTTTATCACGAATATCAAAGGCACTCTCTTTTCACACAGACTCACAGCTCCTAACTGACCTTTACTTCCACAGCGCCCTGTGTTCTTGAGATCTAGGGCTTGTTGAATATTTGCCTTCTCTGATTCCCCCCGGCCGGGAGTCCCCAGTTTCTCTTTGTTCTCCTTTCTAAGGCATCCTCAGTGAATCAGAGCTGGTTTTCAGAGAAGTTACAAAAGACCCATCCCACTGGTAACATGATCCCTTGCCAATTCCTGCCCTTAACAGGACTGGAAACTTTCACTTTTAGCTCTCCAATCTACATGTTTTATTGCATTTGTTTTCTAAAATACATATTTTTAAAAGGTGGAAAAGTTATATTACAAACAAAATGAAAATGTCAGAGGCTGGCAGAACAAGCTACATGTGTTCGGGTTGAGGTCCAGTAAGACTGGTGAAGGCAGCAGGCTTTGTGTTGCCCTTGAAGAATGTGTCATCATCTGCTTTTAATGGCCTTATCAGCAGGGCAAAACCAATAAATCATGTGCTGCCAGCACAAAAACCAAGTGCTTTCCTCCGAGCCAGATGATTCCATTGTTGTGCTGGGCCTCTCTGTGAGGTTGTAAACATGGCATTCTCTGCCAGTAAGACACATGCTCCTCCTGTCATTATTTTTTTTTAAGGAGACATATTGAGGTGAAATTTACATATCATATAACTCACCTACCTTAAGTGTAACGTTCAATGATTTTTTTTCTTCTAGTAAATTTACTGAGTTGTGCAACTATCACCACAAACCAATTTTAGAACATTTCCATGATCTCAAAAAGATCCCTTGTGCCCATTTGTAGTCAACCTTTGTCCCTATGCTCTAGCCCCAAGCAACCTCTAATCTGTTTTCAGTCTCTCAATGTTCACTTTGTCTGGATATTCTATATAAATGGAATTATACAATTTGTGATCTTTTGTGTTTGGCATCTTTCACTTAACCTAATGTGTTTGAGGTTCACTTAACCTAATGTGTTTGAGGTTCACACATGTTGTAGCATGTTAACAAACAGGATCCCATTGTCTGGATACACCACATTGTGTTCATCCATTCACCAATTGATGGACATTTGAATTGTTTCTGATTTTTGGCTATTGTGAATGATCCCTTCCTATTCTTGTTGAGCTAAAAATGATGATATGGAAGGAGCTTGGGATTTGGAGTCAGGTCCTGGGGATTTGGAGTCAAGTCCTAGCTCTGACATTTACTACTTTAGTTAACTAGAAGATTTATTTTCTTTTCTATAGAGTGGAGATAATTAGCCCCTTCCTTCTCCTGTTCCTAGAATAGCTGTAAGAATCAAGTGAGGTGATGTATGTGAAATTCTTTATGAACCGTAAAACCCAGGATAAATGAGAGACATTATTGGAGTAGTCTTTCCAGATGTATTCAAATGGTCTAGATGGTCCTCAAGATATTTTCCATATTCGTAGAACAAATTATGAAGCCTTTGGCTATAGAAAATACCTATACTTTTCTTCTGTGGACTTGGGGTTCTCATCCCTTTTCCCTTATCAAAGTCCATTATTTAAAAAAAATGTTCAGATATCATTCTACCTCTCTTAAATGTACTTGTATTTTAAACCTTAGTTTTGATTGTCAGATAAGGTTTTCTGTTGAAGAGAGGGTCTTCAGATACTCTAGAATCATTGTAGGAAGTATGCAAATCACTATGGTTGAAGTTCTCATTTAATTAGAGCACCCTCCAACCGACAGACTCAATTTAGCTTCTTGTGTACTTCAGGTGATTATGAAGGGCAGGCCCCCAATGAGGGGACTGGGTGCAGAGTCAAATGCAGGTTGAGAGGTTCCAGTGAGTCAAAGGAAAGCCTAAGCAAATGTTGGCAGCCTCCAGTCAAAGGTGATTAAAACTGTTGCTTCATTGAAATGATATTAAACCAATGTGGGTAACCATATATTTACGAGTATTCAGACACTCAGGAACATAGCAATTGCACAGAACATGCAATTGTTGACCACTGCATGTCATGCCTGGATATTTAACTTCCACAAAACCTAGAAAATAGCTTCCACGGGAAAACAGTGTGGACTTTGCTTCAAACAGAAAGAACTGGCTACTGTGTCTCACACATACTCAATCCCCAAGGTAAGTATCACATTTAGTGCCCTCCACATCTTCTACCTGATCCAACCATATAGGATGCTTCCAAGAAGTTTTATCTTAAATCTCATTGAGAGATTCCAGAATGGAAGATTTCCAGAGCAACAGCAATGGCTGTTACCAGTTTCCCAGAGTCTGAAGCACAGAATGTGAGTGCCTGTCAAGTGCTTGTGATAGAATCATTGGCTAATCCAGCATTAGAATTCAGGCGCTCCCAGTGCCCAGATTCAAATTACGACTGTCTCTTTCCCAAAACAGCAAATCCCCCGACATCTCCAGCACTCCCTGAGGTTACACAACACGGGGCACTGAGGTCAAATAAGTCTATTCCTTCTACTCATCTTCTCCCTTGAGAAACCCTTTCTTCCCTTGTCAACAATTGATAATTAAGGCTTTACTAAGGAAAAGAATATGTCGGGGTTTATTGCCTAGAGACAATTCTCTGCAAGTTTTTATTCTGTGAATGTTGTCAAAGTATTTAGAAATGACAGTGAGATGCCATATGCATTCCTAAGATTTTTTTTTTTTTTTTGTATTTTCAGATGTAATGACAATCTACAGTCATGTACCATACGACCAAGGTTCTTGACTTTTGCAGCTCTGACGTTGGCACTTCCACTATGTAGTAATAATGATGAGAGCTCAGGTTTCATGTGCACTTACTCTATATTGGATATAGTAGTTTAGACACTTAGTTCATGTCTTGTCCAAAACAAAGCAGCTAATAATTTGCAGAGCCTGGCTCAAAATGGCTCTTAGTCTGTTTTTATTTTTATATTTTAATGATACTATTTATCTGCATAAACTTAAGACACTGTAAAGGTAATTGATATCTTTTTTGGTATCTTTTTGTATTTTTTAAGTTGACAATAATTGTATATATTTATGGCATACAACATGATGCTTTGAAGTATGTATATATTGTAAAATGGCTACATTGAGCAAATCAACATATTCATTACTTCATATACTTTTTTTGGTGATGAAAACACAAAATCTACTCTCTTCGAGGTTCTCAAGTATACAATGCACTATTTTAACTATTGTCACCATGTCGTACAATAAATTTCTTGAACTTATTTCTTCTGAAATTGTGTATCCTTTGACCAACATTTCCTGAATCCCCTCACCTCCCGGCTGCTGGTGACCACCATTTTACTTTCTGCTCCCGTGAGTTTGCTTTTTTTAGATTCTACATATAAGTGAGATATTTGTCTTTCTGTGTCTGGCTTATTCCACTTAACAGGATATCTATTTAAGTACAAAATATGTGTCCTTGCCCACTGCATTACCTACAGTACTGCAATAACATGCCATACTTCAATGCATGTGTGTATGTCTATGTGTGTATTACATATGTATGTGTCATGTACTTGTGTGTATATATGTGTATAATGTGCATTTTGTTTCATAAAAACTTGAAGCAGCCTGCATTTTTAAAAAATAATTTCAACATTTATTTTAGATACAGGGGTGCATGTGAAGGTTTGTTACATGGGTATATTGCATGATGCTGAGGTTTGGGGTATGGATCCCTTTACTCAAGTAGTGAGCATAGTACCCATTAGGTAGTTTTTCAACCCCTGCCCCCTTTTGCCTTCCCCCTTCCCCCTTCCCCTTCTCCTCCCCCTCCCCCTCCCCCTCCTCCCCCTCCCCCTCCCCCTCCTCCTCCCCCTCCCCCTCCTCTCCCCCCTCCCCCTCCTCTCCCCCCTCCCCCTCCTCTCCTCTCCTCTCCTCCCCTCTTCTCCATCTAGTAGTCCACAATATCTATTGTTCCCATCTTTATGTCCATGTGTACTCAATGTTTAGCTCCCACTTACAGGTGAGAATATGTACTTGGTTTCTGTTCCTGCATCAATCCTTGCAGGATTATGACCTCCAGCTACATTCATGTTGCTGAAGCAGCTTATAATTTTTATATTCCTAAGTAATTTCTGATTGGAAGGTGGCTATATACATAAGAGTATGAAACTTGAAACCAAAATTTGCATAGGAATTTCTGGTAAAAGGTCAGTGACAAGAGAAAGGCTTACGTATGTTCTCTGTGTCATAAGATACTCCATCTTGTTAGAGTTTCCATACTGTCTGACCCATAGGTTCTGGTTGTTCAAAAGCCTGCATTAAAGGTGGTGTTACCTATGAATATTTGCTGCACATTGATACAATCGTTTTCACATCTTCTGCATTGACATCCTATTAACAGAAAACATGTTCTATGACTAATTAAAATGATTAAACCATATTCTTCAGGAGGCACTTGGTTTCAGTGTCCTTCTTAAAATTATCTTTAGCCAGAAATGGAGATCCTATTTAATGATGGCCTATGGAAAGATAAGACATGCTTAATGAGAGTTCAGATCTGCTTTTTTCCACCCGGACACTCTGTGTGATACAAAACAAAATCCACAGGGACTAAAACAGCCACAGACATCTTGGCAGCATGGGGGAAGATGGCATCCAAACTCTGCCATGTTGATTCCACAGTGGTTAGACAGGCTCCACTGTAGAATGTTTGGCTTCTCCTAATGCTGACTAGGGAGGAGCAGCTGTTACCCTTTCCCGGATAAAGTGACATACTCTAGAAGAAACAGAGTCCTAATAAGATGGAAATTAATTCCTTTTTCCATCCAGCCATCTCAAAAACAAACACACTGCTAGAAAAACCCAAAATATGGTGAGCAAAAGATCAAATCTGATTTAGATACAGCAATTGCTTCTTTTTCATAAGACACATTTTTCTCTTGCTTCATAAATGCCAAAAAGCCACTTTAAAAAACCCATACCATGTGCAGTTAATTCATATCTTTATATCCAAGTATTTCTTGAATATTATCTACACAAATATATATCAAAGAAAATGTCACAGCTTTAGTGAGCAAAAGTTTAATATATGAAGTATCATAAAGCAGACTTATAACCTCAATATGATTTTTTATTCATTAGAGTAATATTTTTAGGTAACAATACATTTAACCACGTCTAAGAGTGCAACACAAGAATAATAAAATCTTGTATACAAGATGTTGCAATTAAATATAAATACATTACAGTTTAACTTACATATAAAATATATCCTCTAGGGAATACAAGAAGTTAAAATTATAGCCCTAATTGTACGATTTTTTTCATACTTATTTATCTTTCAAAGGTAACTAAAGCTAAATACAACTTGAAAACTTTACAGACCAGTGAGATATTACTGTTTAAAGAATACGGTAACAAGGTAAAAATAAATATAAGAAAAATACACTATTAAAATCTAAGAATAATAGCATTAAATAATTACAAGATTACATAACTCACTCAGAAATTTAAAACTATTATTTCACCATGATGTCACTGATTATTTTTGTCACTTATTCAATATATTTCAACAAACAATTATTGAACTCCATGCTCTAGGGAATGTGTTTGGCCCTGAGAAAGCACTGGAAAACAAAACAAACATAGAACCTACCCTCATAGAGCTTATAGTCTAGTGGGAAGACAGCAGGGAACACAGGCATCTATAATATGGCATGACAAGTTCTGTGCTGAGGCTTCCCATCCTAGAGGAAGCAACATCTCAGCTGAGACCTATAGGGTAAGTGGGAGTTGATCAGGTGAAAGGGTGCAAAAAAAGCGGAAAGAGAGTTCCAGATGAGAGAAGGAAATGCGAAGACCCTGAGGTTAAAAGAGAGCATGGTCTATTCTACAGCAGAGGTTCCCCATACAAAGGTCCTCAGATATTTGATGGCCCACAGTGAAATTCTCACTCGTCAATGGGGAAATGAGAGCAGTGTGAGGTCTTTTCAAGGTAAAAGTCATTCAACTTGAATGACTGAATTTATGACCATCTTACTTTCTGGCATTAAAATGACCCCTCTTTTATGAAATGATGGTGATAGTAGATGGTATTTTTTAATGACTCTTTTTGAAAAATAAACACAATAAAACCTATTAGTGTATGACACCTTGAAGTCTGGGAATCAGTGTTTAAAAAATAAAATTCTAGAAGGTTCAAGGGAAAGGAGGAAAGGTAGACATCCAGAGATGAGGCTAAAGAAGAAGGCAGGAGTTAGATCATGAAAGTTCAAGTAAGAACTTTGGAATTTAAGAGCAATGGGAATGATCTTAAGCAGAGAAGTGAAACTCTATTATATTTGTAAAAGACTCTTCTGAGATGCTGTATGTAGAAAGTGTTTGGGACAGGGCAAGACAGAGTCAGGGGAGCCAGATAAGCAGCATTGTATTATCCCAGGAAAAAGAAGATAATAGACTTAGGGCCAAATGCGGGGTGGGTGGTGGGGGGCTGCTGAGTGGAAGATGACTTCAGGAGATAAACTTAATAGGATTTGGTGATTTGTCTTATTGGGTGAGGAAAATGGGATGGTCAAACCTAATGTCCAGGCTTTTTTCTTTGGAAACTGAATTGAGCATTGTGCTAACTACTGAGCTCGGGAAAGAGGTTTTTTTTTTTTTTTTTTTTTTAGTTCATCTGGGGACATGTTGAATTTGAGGTGTCTTTGTGTTCAAATGTTCATGAGGCCAATTGTCTACATAGGTCAGGAGAACATGAGAGAAAGAGCTGAGCTTTGGATGGAAATTTTGTAGTCTCTAGCAAAATGATTAAGACCATGGATGTGGATAAAATATCCCAGAGAACAAAGCAAAGAGGGCTTAGGATATATAACTTAAAGAACAAAGAGAAGAGGGCTTAAGATATATAACTGTAAGATTGGCTAGAGATGAGCTAGGCAGAAAGAAGCCAGAGACAGAGTGTCCAGGGAGGTGGGAGGACACCCAAGAGAACAGGTTTTGCGAGAAACAAGGAAAGAGATATCATTTCAAGCAAGGAACAGGCAACAATGTTAGATGCTGTAGGAATCGATTGGAAGAGGGACTGAAGAATGTTCACTGAATTTACCAACAAAGAGATTGTCAGGGACCTTGAGAAAAGCAGTGGAGGGTCAGATGCCAGATCACAGTCTGTGAACTTACAGGCAGGAGGAGCTCTTTTACACAGCAAGACCGTGAAAGACAGGAGAATCTGGCCAGCAACTGGCAGATGTGGGTTTGAGAAAGTGGTTATCTGTTTTTTAAACATAGAGACTTGATTGTGGATATTGTAGGAGCCACTTGATAGGGAGAGTTTGATGACTTGTAGCAAACAAAGATACAAATCTAAGTTCAAAATACTATCTTTAAAAAATGCAAATGTCTTTAAAGACATAAATCATGGTGTTCCCATAAGAACACATGATAACCTATAAAACTGTCAATGAATTTAAATACACTTTACAATTAAGGATGTAAAATGGTTACAAGAAATTATCTGAGGGAATCACATTTCAACATTTTTTTTAAATCACATTTTAAAATATTAAGTTATGTCAATTTTAGCTCTTGTCCATAGAGATCATACTCTTTAAATAATATGTATCTTTGAATAGCTGGTGGTAGAGGAAGCTTCTCCACTGAGGCTGGCTGGCAGAGTTTCTGGAGACCCATAAGCCTTCGAATTTTTAACCGACACAAATGCTTCAATGAACAAGGATTCTCTAAAAGAAATCGGGAAAATAAGCAAAAAAATTTTTTAAATAGTGGATTGGCCCCTAAGATATGACTGTTTCAGAATAACATGAGTAGTGTATTCTCAAAAACATGTATGCACACTTTAGCAACTGGTGATTTTAAGTGAAATTCAAATTGTAATTGAGCATTCTAGTCTACTCCTCTAGAATGTAAGCTCCATGGGGGCAGAAATTTAGTCTGTCTCTGTGCCAGGAAGAGAGTCTGGCTCATGGTAGGTGTTCAACTAGAATTTGTGGAATGAATAAATGGACTGAAGAAAGCAAATGCTCACATCTCTTCTTTATTTTTTAGAGCTAAGTATTATAGAGCTAAATATTATATATTTCTTTACTTTCTTTCTCCTACCAATCTGTCTGATAAATAACTATCCATGAAACATCGACACAGATGATTCCATAGATCATGAATAATCCAATCTGAGTTTTGCTTCCAGTGTCTAATACTTAAACCTTGTATATTCTCAAAAAATATACTAACATTATTTAAATATCTGATATTTTCAATTCTTACTTTATCTATATTATAATTGCAAGATTGAGATTTTATAGCAGCAATATGAATGAATGAAGGAGCAGCATAGCATTCAGGCTTAGATGTGCACTCTGGACCTGGTCAGCTTGGATTAAACTCCCAGCTCTGCCCCTTAATATTTGTGTGACCTTGGGCAAATCGCTTAATGTCTGTGAGTTTGGTATTCTCATCTGTGAAATAAGGATAACAACAGTACTTATCTCGTAGGGTTGTTTGAAGATTAAACAAATCATGTAAAGTATTAGAAAAGTGCTTGGTACATTGTAACCATTCGATAAATATTAACTGTCATTCAGTGCAATAATAAACATGATCACATCTCTATTACATTTGATGATATAAACAATTTATCTTTTAAAATTAAAAACAATGTTCTCAAAAATTATTGATGCAACATTACCAAAATAAGCAAAACAAAAATCTAAAAAATAGACAATTTTTTTTTTTCCTAACCAATATGCTGCCTTACAGATAGCTGGAGGACTCCTGACATCCAGTGGTTAATCACACTCATAGCAATCAACTGGCTTCGACTCTAGTTGCAGTAAAGTATGATGGAAACAATAAAAAAAACTTCCTGGCCTTATTCTTACTTGGATTGTCTTTCTAAAGTCATCAGAATTAGTAAGTATTTTGCAAAAAAAAAAAAAAAAAAAAAAAGCAATTAATTTCCATTTAAAAGCAAAGTCTATTCTTTCTATGACAGGAAGTATAATGGTATTGTAGAGTCTGTGTTTTCAAGTAAGACAAACAAGGGTTCAAATCTTCACTTTGTTATTTTCTATGTCTATTACTATGAGAAATTAACTTATCTAAGCCTCACCATTTTTCTCTGTCTTGCAATCTCCAAGCTAAAAAAGAGACGGTTTTAAGCTTTTTATTGCAAAATAAAATAAAGAAAGTACACATGTATAGTTTCATAAGTTATGTAAGTAATTATTAGTCGAACATCTATAATCACCTCCTAGGTCTATAGGAAATAGAACTTTGCCGGAGACCAAAGAAATTCTTCTACAATCCATTCTTCTTTATTTCTTTCTCCTACCATAAATAACTACTATTCTGAATGGTAATCACTTTCTTTAGAGTTTCATCATCTAAGTGCACTATCCCTGCACTATAGTATTGACAGTACATTTTTAAAATTTTTGCTATGTCCTTTAAGTCTTTTCTAATCTGCAGGTTATTCTCTCCATCCCCTTTTTGTCTTTTCAACTAATCTTTGAAGAACCCAAATGCCCTTTAGTTTCCCACAGCCTGAACTTTGCTGATTGCATTTCCATGGTGCAGTTCCATGTCCCACTGTCTCCTCTACTTCTTGCAAATTGATAACTGGATACAGAGACTTGATCAGGCTCGGGTTTGATCTCTTTGGCAAAACTATATCAGGTTCTGTGTTCATTCTTTGGGGGCTACATATTAGCAGCTGTTGATGCTCATTGACTACATCCATTAATTTATCGGAGGCTATATAATGGTGATAACTAATTATATCTTTTTAAATTATTTAGAATACTTTTATAAAGGAATGCTTTTACTTATCTACTCTTTAGTTACTAATGGCACAGTTTATACATATACATATATGTAAAGCAGAATAAATGCTTAAGTCTTTCTTTTATCAGTTTTTAAGATAATGAGTTGATTTTCTATCATATTCTGGAGCTGACCAGTTTTTTTTAAAAATTGTATATTTAATAAAACATCCTATTGTAAAGATACATGCACACGTATATTCATTGCAGCCCTATTTGCAATAGCAAAGACATGGAATCAACCTAAATGCCCATCAAGGATAGACTGGATAAAGAAAGTTTGATACATATACACCATGGAATACTGTGCAGCTATAAAAAGGAATGAGATCATGTCCTTTGCAGGGACATGGATGGATTTGGAAACCATTATCCTCAGCAAACTAATGCAGGAACAGAAAACCAAACACTGCATGTTCTCACTTATAAGTGGGAGCTGAATGATGAGAACACACAGACACATGGAGGGGAACAGCACATACTGGGTGGGGCCTGTCGGGGGGGTGGCTGGGGGAGTCTGAGCATCAGGAAGAATAGCTAATGGATGCTGGACTTAATACCTAGGTGATGGGATGATCTGTGCAGCAAACCACCATGATAAATGTTTACCTGTGTAACAAACCTGCACATTCTGCACATGTACACTTAAACTTAAAATACAAGTTGAAGGAAAAAAAACAGAAAAAAACCCACCAATCGTATATTTAAATAGATTGGCTTCAATTCATTGAAATCATTACCCTTTTTGAAACTTAAATTGTCCCATCTTTGGCCAGTTGGAGCCTCTTCAAGTTAGCCCCTGAATTCTTTTGTCATGAATCATGTAGTCTTTCAGAGTTTCTTTGCTTTCTGGTATGACCAGATGTTCCAGGTTCATCTTATTCATTTCCTTCCCCAGATACAATCATCCATTTCTCAAAAACAAAACAAAACAACCTCCAGCAAAAACCCTGGTTTCTTTTGTTAGGAAATGGCATTTCCAGGCCAAAATCTGGGTCGTAGGAATGCTCATTGCTACTGGGTTCATCATTATTTCTAAGACTTATCTGTAAACAGACGCACGTGCGCGCGCGTGCACACACACACACACACACTCAGCATAATCCACATGCACACAGATGCTTTCAAGATAAAATAGCTTATGAGTTTATATTGTTATTTCTAATTCAAATTCAGGACTACAGGATTTCTCTTTAATCTCTTCTCTATTACATCTGTATTTTCTTTCTGCCACACTGACAATCCTTGGTTTCAAGGATACAAAGAGTAATGGAATTGGAATATTCCTTAATTACTCATTTACTGAATATATCTCTCATCCTCAGCATAACAATATTAATATTATATCACTATCAATATTTTAAGATATTTAAAAATATGTATTCTAATTATTAAATATTATTTATTTTATCTATGTACTAATATTCAAAAATAAATAATTGTGCTGTATCTATTTTATCAGAGCATATAACCATTATGTATTGCATCTTCTCCCTTTTAACTCTCACTTAGTCTTGGCATTCTGTTTAGTGTTAGCCTTGTTTAATACTAGTCCTCATGGTGATATCTCGCTAATCATTTTGGGTTGTCTAAAGGCCATTTCTTAGTGGATCCTTTGGACGTCAGCAAGAGGAACAATATTTCCTGAGTTCTTGCATGCTGACAACAGTTTGCCTACATTGATCATTGGAAGTCAATTTTGCTGTGTAAGCATCCTTGCCTCACATTTTCCTTCCAAGGAGAGTCTTAAATATGTTACTCCATTGTCTTTTGGCATAAAGTATTGTTGATGAAAAGTTTAATAATAATCTATTTTTTTCTCTTATAAGTCACTTGTTCTTTTTGCCTATGTGCCCAAAGGATATAGTATTTTATATATTATAGTTTCAAATCTTTCTTTTTTATTACAAGTTTTTCTTGAAACTTAGTTTTTTGTATTTCTTATGTTCCCTTGATTTGGTTTTCCTTTTCAAGGAATCCTATTATCCATATATTGACTATTCATTGTCTGTCATCAATGTTTTTAGCTGTCTTTCAAATCCTTTTATCTAAGCTACAGGGATGCAAAGGCATAAGAATGATACAATGGACTTTGAGGACTCAGGGGGAAGGGTGGGTCAGGGATAAAAGAGTACACATTGGGTACAGTGTACACTGCTTAGGTGATGGGTGCACCAAAATCTCAGAAATCACCGCCAAACAACTTATCCATATAACCAACACGACCCGTTCCCCCAAAACCTATTGAAATAAACAAATATACATATTTTAAAATCCTTTTATCTATTTCTTCGTTTATATTTGATTTACAATTTTTCTTCCATATCCTCTTTTATATCTCTCAATGTATTGTCAACTGTGTTGCTAGTTCTTGTTTTCATTCTAGTTCAGTCTTCACATTTGACATTAATTTTTTCTAATTTTTATTCCTAAATCTTTCCTCAGTTGTTACCTGATTTCTGAATTTTTCAAATTTTGACTCGTATTGTTCTTTCATATCTGATATTATTTTCCTCATGCTTTTTAGCTCATTTTTGAAATAGAAGGTTTGCATTTTTTAAGTTATGTATTCATTGCCCGTGGGGATATTATTCTGTTCTTCTTTCTATTATTATTATTATTATTATTTTTGAGATGGAGTCTCGCTCTGTCGCCCAGGCTGGAGTGCAGTGGGGCGATCTCGGCTCACTGCAAGCTCCGCCTCCCGGGTTCACGCCATTCTCCTGCCTCAGCCTCCTGAGTAGCTGGGATTACAGGCGCCCGCCAGCACGCCCGGCTAATTTTTTGTATTTTTAGTAGAGACGGGGTTTCACCTTGTTAGCCAGGGTGGTCTCGATCTCCTGACCTCGTGATCCGTTCGCCTCGGCCTCCCAAAGTGCTGAGATTACAGGTGTGAGCCACCGCGCCCTCTCTGTTGCTCATTTTTATTTGCATTTAGTTTTCTTGACTTTTTAGAAGGATGCTTGGTTCCAGATAGCTCTTCTAACTTTGCAGAGCTTCTTACTCTATTATTTTCTTGCAATGACTCAAAATATGGTGGTTAGATCTCTGAGGTTTCCTGGCTCTGTTTGCCACCCCAACTTTTTTGTGGGTCCTTTCTTGTTTCTGTCCTGCTCGATTTTTGATTTTACTCTCAATGCGGGCTTAAGTCCAGGAAGGGAACTTAGAGAAGTGGTTTTCAAGAATGCATAGGGTCTAGACTGTTTTGTAATTTCCCTTAGGCTTAGCTTTTTATTTGTAAAAAATAAGCATGATAATACTTTACAATATTTCATAGCACACTGTACATATACATTTCAGATACCTCACATAAACTTACCATGTAGTAAAAACATAAAAATGTTAATACTTTAGTTTTAAAACTAAATAAATTTATTAAGTAATTTAAGTATTCTAGACACTACCACCTTATATGCATTATTTCTTTAGATTCCCACAACAACTTTATGAGGTTAATACTATCTTACATCTACTTTGCAATGGGAAAACCTAGGCATAAGAAGAATAAGTAACTTGCTCAAAGTCACACAACTAGGATGGCTATCTTGGTCTTTTTATAGGAAATAAAAAAATCCTCCTCCACTTAGAGAAGCAAAAATGGTAACAATAAATTGTTGCTTTTTATCATGAAAACATCAGTCCTGAATTACATATGCATTTTATAATCTAGCAATCCTACTCCTAGGCAAGGCCAGAATTTCATTTCATTCTAGGTCTATCTGACCCCAGAGCTCAATTTCTGGGCTAACAATACTATATTACTCATCAGATTCTCCAAGACTCCTGTTTTAGTTGCTGCAAAGTCTCTTCTATTATAGAACTAATTCCAGGGGAAGGCTGATTCAGGTACATTAAAAATGTCAAATTATTTAAATGTCATATAAAATTCTATAATGCTTCTTTAGGCTTCATGAAATTGATGTCCAACTAGGTTTTGAAAGTTTATTTTTCCAAACTTATATTTTGAAAGTGAAAGCATCTCAAATCTATGATATTTTTCTGGTTTTTATTTGTATTTGCATTATTTAAAAATGTACTTTCATTGAAACTTGTATTATTCATTTTCATGGTAAACTTTCACCTAGAAAAGACAAAATGGCCTGTCTACAAATACTAACCTTTGATGGTAGGACTTTGTCAATAAAGACCCCAGAGAAAGCATGTCAAAAAGAGTAATTCTAATCCCTGCTGTTCATTCATTTACTCCATATTTATTGAAATGTACTACTTACTAGGCACTATGCTAAGCCTTGCAAATATAACAAGAAACAAAGTAGATCTCTACCCACATGGAGCTTGCAGTCTACGTATTGTATGATATTATAGAAGTTAATTTTTAAAATGAATTGTAATCAGAACGTTAATATAGCTGTAGTATTACTCATTATACAATTACAAAGCTGGAAAATATAAAGAAAAATGAAAATATGTATCTTACAACAGAGGAAGTGTTAAGGATGATTTTAAAACCCAGATAATTCTGGAAATACAGTAGAGTAGCATAGGAAAAGTATCAAAGAAGACATTAAGAAATTTCCCCCATATAAGTTCTTAATTTAAAAATTGTAGGCAAAACTTTTGGTTTTTACCTAGTATTTGGCGGATTTCTGGCCATTCTCTCTGTACTTCTAGTGCAGACTTCAGTTTAGCACACAGAGGAACATAATCCATGTAATCTATTAGTACACGAGTAACTCTGCCTACCAAGTGCTTCATCCAAGGAACTGTAATAAACTCACAGAACTGAGAGAATTGATAAAATTTAATTTAGTAGTATTTTTAATATCATATACATAAACACTCAATTGTGTTATGGAAAAATTACTCTGTTTTACTACAGAAAATAAAAGATCTCTCCTTGTAATGAACAAAAATTAAAAATAAATTGTTTGCTTCTCTCTGTGAAACCATCAGCCCTGAAGACTCGCCTGGCTCTGATGTGATTGTAGTCAGCAAAGCATGGAGAAGTCATGCTTCTTCCCATCTGGCCCCAATATTCTACCAAACAGGCAGAAGTGACTAATTACATACATTTTCACATTCTTCTACATTCAGTTTTCAAGTCAAGAAAAAACAAACAACATATTTTTGGGGGAGAGGTTGGGGGGCTAGATTTATGCTTATATCCCTGTATCATTGCATACAAAAATTGAAAAAACAAGAAAAATAGAAAAATTAGAGTTTATTTTTCTTTTCTTGTAACATCCCTAATTGAATGAACATGTATTAAATTAGGATGATAACTCAATATAAAGCAGAAAAGGCATAACTCACCGGGTTATCTTTTATTACACAAGATGTCCATCCTGGCAGCACCTCTTCCTGTATCTCTGACCACACAAATGAATTTCCAAAGATGTCACCATGCATGCAGTCAAAGCACATCTCCACTTGATAGCCATTATTCAGCAATAGCCTCAGCATTACCTCGTCGTTTAGAGCATATTGAATGACACTGGGGAAACGAGTGTCATTCACATGCATAAAATAACAATTGACATTAGCTCCATGGGAGAGAAGCAGCCTGACAATTTCATAATTATTGGCCCTCACTGCAACAAGTAGACAGTTGAGGGGATCTAAGTTTGGGTCTGCACCTGCAGCCAGAAGGACTTCTGTGCAATGAACGTCATTATTAGAAACGCCAAAATACAGCGCAGTCTTCCTCTCATCGTCATAGCTCTGGGAAATGTGGTCAGCAAGTAGAGTGTTGACATCAAAACCATTTTCAATGAGCAGTTCTAGACACTGTGCATTTTGTCCATCTGCTGCTGAGTGAATTGGTGTTAGCCCACTTTTCCGAATTGCATTTTTAGATGTTACTGGGATAAGATATTTCAGTGCACTAAAAGAAAAAAGTCAAATATCTACTTGCCATAAAGAAAATCAAGAAATTAAATAAACTACCGTTCTCACTAGATAAGTGAATGCAAGTTGTATAGTTTCCCTTATTTTCTCTAGATAACTTTATACTGAAACATTTAACCTTTGTCTGCCGAGGTACAACTATTTAGTTTAGTGTAATGTAGCTCAGTTTTGATTTAGCTTTTTGTTCTAAATATTCCTGGGAAACTGCATCTTATATGTTTTTTCCTAGAATTGTAGTTCCTCAAGAACACGCCCCATCTTCCAATTCTCCTCTGAACAATATAATATTTACAGGCAACCAATACTATTTTTAAAAATGTAGAAGAAAAGTAAGCCTTTCTAATGCCACAGAGGAATGCTTCATAATCTTGACCATTAGGATCATGGGGTGATAGGAAGTGACCCTGGATGTCATTCAGTCCAACTGCTTCATTTAACAGAAGAACAATCTGAAGTCTAGAGAGGCAAAAAGATTGTCCAAGGTCACACAGTTAGACGCAGAGCAGGACAAGAATTTGGGCCTTTTCCAATTCTCATGAATTATTCCTCTTTCACTGATTCCTACACAATCTATTTTTTAATATTGACCATGAACACTCTGTCTGCTTCCATATAACTTGCAATTGAATTATTAGCCAAAAGAAGAGTCTTTAGTATTCCATCAACCTTGCATCAGTCCAATTGAGATAACCAGCCACAGTTTATGTTTCTAAGTACATGTGATATAGTTGTGAGTTTCACACTTGACTAACCAGCCAGACATGTATGAGAGTCACAGGCAAGGAGAACCTGATCTCTTGTGTCTACTGTTGTGAATTTATGAACACTGGGAGTAAATCCAGGTAAACTCTAACAACATGTCACTTAGCATCAATTATGCGTCACTGGCCACTTAGCCAATGGCCCACTGAAAACTATAAAGCCCGATTACTTCAAAGTTTTTGAGCTTATGAAATATATTTAATTGCCTAAAACCATCTTCTCATGGTGGGTAGTTTAATATAGGGATCTAGACTTCTACCAATGTGTTAATTATGTACATTTTGTGATTTAAGAATCTATTCAACCGTTCGTATGGAATAAAAAATTATAAACTTATAATGAAACTTTTCTATTCAACAATACATTTGACATTATACTATAATATCCTGGAGATGTTAGGAAATAACTGGAATAACACTGATAGTATTGCTACAAATTTTAATCCTTTGTCAAGGGCAAAATTTTTAGAAACTGTAGCCTTTTGTTAAATACATTTGTAAACAGAAAGGCACTCTTGAGTGGCTTGTGCAGAATTCTCACTTATGCCTTAATTCCTTCTAAAAGAAAATTTCTTTTCATTATAAAAGTACTATAAATTCATTTTTTGGAAGTACAAGAATATCAAAAGGAGGAAAATTAAATAAGTTCTAAATATCTAAATTTGGAGCATCAAAACCTGAAGATTATGCCTATTTCTCCTTGGATTTTGAAAGGTATTACATATAGACTTGTGATTATACTGTATATACAAATTAGCATTTTTAACTCAAATAATTACCCTATAATTTATCACTCACAGATAATGCCCCTCATAGGCAGCTCGGTGTATAGGAAGATGTCCTGCTCGGTTAGGTACATTTCCGCTTCCTCCATATTCCAGCAGGAGGGAAATGCAGTCGGGATTGCCACCTCCTGCTGCCTCAAACAGCACCGACGCCCCATCATCCGCCAAAGCAAGCACATCACCACCTGGCAGTATAAAACGTGGCATAATGATAACTGGATGGTATTGTTTAAACAATCCCCTTAAAAACAGCCTGTTGTGGGGCTGGGCATGGTGGCTCACACCTGTAATCCCAGCACTGGAGGCTGAGGCGGGCGGATCATGAGGTCAGGAGTTCGAGATCAGCCTGGCTAACATGGTGAAACCCTGTCTCAACTAAAAATACAAAAATTAGCTGGGCACGGTGGCGTGCACCTGTAGTCCCAGCTACCCAGGAGTCTGAAGCAGGAGAATCATTTGAACCTGGGAGGTGGAGGTTGTGATGAGCCGAGATCACTCCACTGCACTCCAGAATGGGCAACAGAGTGAGACTCCATCTCAAAAACAAAGAAACAAACAAACAAAAAACCCCCACAAAACCTGTTGTGTTCCTTTCTGGTTAGTACTTAAAAAGTATAGAATTAAGGGCCTCCATGTTTTCTATACTTTCAATAAACAGTCATGCATGCAGCATGGTTTGTTTTATTAAAATCTTTGGGCCAAAAATCATGAGAGAAACTAAGTCAATTTTCATGACAGGCAAATTCTTCTGAAAAAGGCTCATTAGACTTTTTAATTTAAAGACAGTAGTTTCTTATTTTATTTATTTATTTATTTATTTATGTTGACAGAATCTCACTCTGTCGACCAGGCTGGAGTGCGGTGGTGTGATCTCAGCTCACTGCAGCCTCCGCCTCCTGGGTTTAAGCAGTTCTTCTGCCTCAGTCTCCTGAGTAGCTGGGATTGCAGGCATGTGCCACCACAGGGTTTCGCCATGTTGGCCAGGCTGGTCTTGAACTCTAGGCCTTAAGTAATCTACCCACCTTGGCCTTCCAAAATGCTGGGATTACAGGCATGAGCCATGGTGCCCGGCCCCCTCTATTTTAACTTAACAAATACTTACAGTTAATAAAGTATTAACAAATACTTTATTGCCCTCTATGTGCAATCAGTGTGTGTGACCCTAAGAAGAATAAGTGTGACTACTCTAAGGAGCTTAGAGGGGAAATGAAACAAAATATCAGACAGCACAAACTGTATGATATTCCAGTGACACTGACATTAAGACAAGGAGACATGATGTAGGGGACTGTGGCTCTGCTGCTTATGGTGAGAGCTGGGGGCAAGCCGTTTACTTCCGTGCACCTCCATCTCCACATCTGTGAATGATTAATACAGCTTACTTCACAGGGCTTATTTGAAAATTAAACGTGGTTGTATTGGGACACCTCAAAAATGTTAGTCTTTTTCCTACAGGGAATCACTGGGGATCATGCGGTTCTAGAGGTCATTTGCAGATGAGGACGCTGAGGACCAGATATTTAAGGAATAAGGCTAGGGTCTCACAGTGAGTAGTGGCTCAACCAGTTTAGGAGTCAGGTCTCCTTAACTCATGGTTCTGTAGTTGTATAAAACACCTGGAGGGTTTAAGAAAGGGCAGTGTCACAATCTGTTGGAAAGAATTAGGAAAGGATTTAGGGAGGAGGTGTCTCAAGAGATTGACTTTGAATTGTGCTGAAGAGATAAAGGCAAGGACCTGACCCAAACCCTGCAAGGTACGTTTGGGAATACTGCTAGTATATTTTGACTGGAGTGTAGGATACAAGATGGGAGCAGTGAGGGATAAACGTGGTAAAACAATTTGAGATGATGCAATAGGGATTGTTTTTTGGATAGTTGACACTATTGTAGCTGCCCTATAGGGAGAGGAGCCAAGTTGCAGTATGTACTGTGATTCTCTGATGGGAGACTAGAAACCCAGAAAATGGTTAGAAACTATTTGCACTGGTCCAGGGAGAATTGAGGGACCTGATCAGGATGGCAGATGGATTGCAATGAGAGGACAAGAGAAACGCTACAAGAATTTGCAACTGATTGGATTTAGGAAAGCAGGTGATGGAGGAATTAGAGATAAATACGATCTTTCAATCCTGTTGAGAGAAATTATTACATTAGAAGAGTAGAAAAACAGGAGGAATTCAGTTAAGGAGAAGATGAGCATGAGGCCCTGATGGGCCATCTATGTGCAGATTGAACTGTCTCTCGAGAGAGCAATCAGGACTGGGCTTGTAAATTCGTAGGTCACAATGTATAGGGCTTAGCTGAGTTGTAGAATAAGGGTCTACTGAGGGACCAGGTGGGAAAACCTGATGCCAAGTTCCATTCAGCAGAGGAAGAGGAGCTCCCCTAGTTACATTCAGGTGAGGAAGAGTGATGAATGGAGAAAAGGAGAGTTCGAGAGGCAGGACAAAAGTCAGGAAGTGTAACTCCTTTTCACATACCTTTGTGGATTAGATGTTCTAACACGTCACAGTGACCATACTCGGCAGCGACGCCTAGTGGTGTGACTCCAAATCCATCTCTCAGGTGGACATTGCCTCCATGTTTCAGCAGCAGAGCTACGATATCTTTTCGGCCTTGCTTGGCTGCTTCATGCATTGCTGACCATCGCTTGACACAGGGCTGGTCTAGGCTAGTGTTATGTTTGATCAGAGTCGACACCATGTCATAGGAGCCCTTTTTCACAGCTTGAAAATGATTGTTAAAAACAACAGTAAGTATATTAACACAAATACCTTAGGTGGTATTAAACTAATTACTAAATTTAATATTGAAATAGATACTAGCTAGTAACTTTTTTTCTACAAGGAAAATAATGTATTTCTCATATCCCTTCTGTTTCTCATACCCAAGTTTATATTTGTGAAATATAAGTTTACAAGATGACACTACCTTTTCTTTAAGACCTGGAGGAGGGGTAAGAGTTTCACAGAAAATAACACGTATCACTAGGATAGGATGCTGTGTGCCCTCTTTCCAAATTTTAATTTCTTCACCAACAAAATGGAAATAACACTTGTTGTTGGGTTGTACAAATTAAATAATGTATGTAAAATTCTCAGTGTAGTACCTAGTACATAACAGGAGCTCAGTAACTGGCTATTATTATTATATCACTCCTAGGACCCAGGAACCTCATATGTAAATCATGTTCATCAGGTTTCCCCTATAGAAACAGGGTTTTTTCCCCTTGCCGCAAAAGATAGCAGCAAGTATTGAATGAACTTCTCTTTCTTATATATGTATTTTCTTTCCTTTCTCTTTCTTTCTTTCTTTCTTTCTTTCTTTCTTTCTTTCTTTCTTTCTTTCTTTCTTTCTTTCTTTTCTTTCTTTCTTCCTTCCTTCCTTCCTTCCATTCTTTCTTTCTTCTTTTCTTTTCTTTTTTTTTTTTTGAGACAGAGTCTCGCTCTGTCGCTCAGGCTGGAGTGCGATGGCACAATCTCAGCTCACTGCAACCTCCACCTCCTGGGTTCAAGCAATTCTCCTGCCTCAGCCTCCTGAGTAGCTGGAATTACAGGCGCATACCACCAAGTCTGGCTAATTTTTGTATTTTTAGTAGAGACAGGGTTTCACCGTGTTGGTCAGGCTGGTCTCAAACTCCTGACCTCGTGATCTGCCCGCCTTGGCCTCCTAAAGTGCTTGGATTACAGGTGTGAGCTACCACGCCCGGCCCTCTTTCTTACATTTTTAATGGGTGATTATCAATTAGATTGTTTAGAATCTACATAGGCCAACTGTTCCCAGTGAGTGAAGTAAGTGACCGTTAATGTAGTACAATTAAGGAGGTTCACCAAATCAGTTGTCCCTCTCCCTCTCTGCTCATCTCTAATGGCTGAAATTATACTGTTACAAGGTTTTCCCCTTTTGGATTATTAAGAGATTGTCCCCATTTAGATGTATACACTTCTAAAAATGTAACTTTTTTTTCCTTTTAAGTAAAATCTTATTAAAATACAGATTAGGATGAGTGCTGCCCCTACAAATGGAGATGTACACAGTTACATTCACTCATTCATTCATTCACTCACTCATTTCCTATTCAGTTAATACGGCTAGCTCCACTAAAGGCTCTGTGTTATGCACTGTGGACAACAGGAAGAAGAGACAGATTTGGATCTCACTCGTAGAGTTTATGGCCTAGAGAAGAAGCCTATGCTGCCTTCTATTTAAAGAGAGACTCAAAGTCTGGGCCTGTACTGGGAAACGTAGAAGAAGATATGAGGCCACATGGAACATTCTGGGGTAACCAGGAGGCAGAACGCAGAAAGGATCTAAAGCCAAGGCAAGGAAAGCAGCTCCCAATGTGGTAATGGGAGGATGAAGACGAACTTTGCCTACTTCATTTGGGAGCAGGCAAGCCATCCCTGCAGGAGATGCCCGTTTTTCTCCCTCTCCTTGTCTAAAGTAGAACCTGTTGACAAATGCCTCTCTCTGAATTGCCCAACTGTCACTGGCAGCTCTAATTACAGTGAATTACCTCATGCTAGCTGGTGTTATTGCAGAGCAAACATCAAGTAAGCTAAACAAACTAAGAGAAATGTGTCCTCATGGATCTTCTTGCTCTGATGGCAGTTTTTATAATTAGAAAAAAAATGTATTAAAATAATGAGCCTGTTCCCTCATAATCTTTTTACCTTTTGTCTGACTCAGAAAACATATGGATTAAAATAGTTTCTCTTCATGAAAATAACTGCATAAATGGGCCATCTTCAACTTAAGATAGTTTTTAAAAAATCAAAACTTCACTTCCAATTTAATTTTTTGAAATCAAGAATGTATTTCCCATAGAAATAATAATGCAAATGGTAGGAAATCCCTTCCAAGCTAACTCATGAAGACATTCTTAACCAATAAATGACTGAAATAATGAAAACTCATAAAGCACAGTATTGGTGTAACATAAATGATTAAGTAAAATAATTTAAAAATGTCTTGTTTTACATGTGGATTATATATATGTTTACATATTATATATAAATTTTTTTCTCTAGAACTTAAAATTCTAAAATCTAGAATTCTTTAGAATTTTTTCAGAAATGTTCAAATTATTTATTAATTTTTAAAATGTATAGCTTCAATAGTAATGCTTAAAACTGACTTTAAGTTGAAGAGTTTAGGGAATTAGATTAAGAATTTTGCATAGATGATAGGCAAGGGTTATCTTGATTATCTTGACAAGGACTGCTGGATTAAAAGCGGAAATGGAGTGAAGAAGATGTGTATTGATTTGTGAGAAAGAAAATGTCTGAAGCAAAATGAACTGATCTGTGAATGGGGTAAGGCCATCAGGAATGGAGGGCAGTGGGACTGAAGCGTCATGCCAGATGGTCCCTGAGCGTCCTCCTTACTCTGGGCTCCACTGGCCAGGATCAGCTTGTGCCTATCCAACTAGGGAAAGGTGACACCAACTCCAGGGGAGTGGGCAGAGAAGGAGTCCAAGTGCAAAAACCTTTAGTAAGTGTCAGATCATCACAAATCAGATATCTACCACTCAGCAAGAAACTCGATGACTATAATACATCAAAGTACCTTAAATAAGGAAGGGCCAGATGGCTGATAGGGAATAAGGGTCCCAGAGGGACCAAAAGTGATTTTTTTCTTGGCCCTCTAAGGATATCTCATAAATAGAGATAAGGATGATGCCATTAGGGTAAGAAAAATTAACATGGCATTGTACAGACAAAAAGAAGAAATACTTTTTTCCCTCTTATCTCTCCTCTACAAGTTAAGGGATTCTGAATAGCAAATCTCAAAGAAGACCATAGATTCAAGAACAAACTGAGGAAGTGCCATGAATAATCCATTTTCCTATAAAACCTAAGAAGACTTGGCATGGGTTCCACAACAAAGGTGCTGATTAAGGTAACCCAGGAAAAGTCCCTATTCCCCAGATGTGTGGCTGATGAGGATGTATATGAGCACCTCCAGGATATTAACTTCATGGAGACTTTAGTCCTCTCTCGACCTTACCACTTAGTTTTTAAAATATATTACTTCCTAATATTAATTCTATTTCAACTCTGATAACTCAGTGATAGAGTTCCTTTCCTACACTTTAGATATTGCTAGCATAGAGAATGAAACCAACATGGAACTTTGAAATGCATGTAAATGTTTACTGCTCTGTTGTAGGCCTTAAGCATTAAAGAAAAATTTAAATGAGGCCAAAAGAAAACAAGGAGTGATAATCACGGCTTAGTTGTCCTTTAAGAAATAAGTGGATTGATACTAGCAAGTAGAGAATAATTCTGTATTTGCAAAGTGAAGCAGTATACAATTCTGGAAGTGTGTCCTTTTTGTGCAGAAATTCAAGGTGATCTATAGAAACAACACAGGTGTTGCTGCAAACACTCCTGTGGCATATTCTGGCCTTTAAAAAATAATATAGGTCACGGGCCAGGCACAGTGGCTCACGCCTGTAATCCCAGCATTTTGGGAGGCCGAGGAGGGCGGATCACGAGGTCAGGAGACCGAGACCATCCTAGCTAACATGGTGAAACCCTGTCTCTAATAAAAATACAAAAAATTAGCCAGGCATGGTGGTGGGCGCCTGTAGTCCCAGCTACTCGGGAGGCTGAGGCAGGAGAATGGTGTGAACCCGGGAGGCAGAGTTTTGAGATCGCGCCACTGCACTCCAGCCTGGGCGACAGAGCGAGACTCTGTCTCAAAAAAAAAAAAAAAAAAAAAAAAAAAAAAAAAAATATATATATATATATATATATATATATATATATATATATATATATATGTATGTATATGTGTCACATTACTAGTGGTGAATCAACACCCACAGATACATATTCTGTTTAATATCTGTAGAGCCTGCTCAGGAAAAGAGTTCTGGTTTATTTATGAAAAGTGTCACGTGACTGTGATTTAAAGGCAGATTAAAATGTATGCAGAGACTATGATTGGTTTCTCAGTATTTATGCTTCCCCTTTTCCTTCTAGCTACAGAAGCCCCAAGTATTTAGCTGGCCACAGACCATCCAGGTAGACAATAAATGTCCTGGCCTCCGTTGCCCCAAGGTGTGGTGGCATTGTGACAAAATCTGAACTAATGGGACATGAGTGGAAGGGCCGTGTGCACTGTCCCGGTCATCTTTTTAAATTGAAGATGCTTGCCTAGGGCTTCCTCTTTAGTCCTTCCTGCTGCCTGGAAAATGGCGACGTTGGGAGCAACTTTGGAAGCACACTGTAATGTTGATACAGCCACCCTCACAACCCTGGGCCATTCTGCAATGTGTGAGAGAGAAATGACTTCTTTCTCTTTAAGCCATTCTTGTTTATTTGTTTGCTTTGTGGATGCATTTTTGTTTTTTGTTACAGAAGCTTTGTCTGTATTCTAACTATATGGATTAGATTGTTTTTCCCATCTTATCTGAATTTGTGAAGGCTGAAAGTTCTGACATGGGGCAAGAGCAGGCAAGAAGGGGCCAGGAGCGGTGGCTCACGCCTGTAATCCCAGCACTTTGGGAGGCTGAGGTGGGCTGATCACGAGGTCAGGAGATCGAGACCATCCTGGCTAACACGGTGAAACCCCATCTCTACTAAAAATACAAAACATTAGCTGGGCGTGGTGGCGGGCGCCTGTAGTCCCAGCTACTCGGGAGGCTGAGGCAGCAGAATGGCTTGAACCCGGGAGGCAGAGCTTGCAGTGAGCCGAGATTGCGCCACTGCACTCCAGCCTGGGCAACAGAGCGAGACTCTGCCTCAAAAAAAAGAGTAGGCAAGAAGGAACCAGGCCAAAATGACACCGTGCCGTGGAGACCCTCTTCACTGAGCAAACTGTATCGGGGCAGAACACCTGCCGTTCCCCTATACAACCCTCAAGGCAATCTCCAAGAGCAAGGCTCTTTGAAGTCTTTACAGATTTACTGCTTTTTTATTCTCCTAATTTAATTTAAATATATACTTTATTATAGCACTTATAACACTAATTTTCCATTTAAATCACATCTAATTCTCCTCCTAGACTCTGAAAGGAGGAAGATTAGTCCATTCATCTTTATATCCACACTACCCAGGACAGCGTCTGGCTTAATGTGACTTCTTTTTTTTTTTTTTTTTTTTTTTTGAGACGGCGTCTCTCTCTGTCGTCCAGGCTGGAGTACAGTGGTGCGATCTCGGCTCACTGAAACCTCCACCTCCCAGGTTCAAGCGATTCTCCTGCATCAGCCTCCCGAGTAGCTGGGATTACAGGTGCCTGCCACGAAGCCCAGCTAATTTTTGTTTTTGTATTTTTAGTAGAGACGGGGTTTCACCATGCTGGCCAGGCTGGTCTTGAACTCCTGACCTCGTGATTCGCCCACCTTGGCCTCCCAAAGTGCTGGGATTACAGGCATGAGCCACCGCGCCTGGCCAATGTGACTTCTTAATACGTTTTTTACATTGATATTGTTGAATCAATGCCATCAAATACAAATATTTTACTGATGTTCATGATTTATCCAAGTTTGCTTAACAATATTCAGGTTTTCTTAATATTAAGGTTGTTTAAAATTTTTTTTTAAGTGATTCCTCTGTGAACAGGAGCTGTGATGGTTCTTAACTAGTTATGACCTTTAACGTCTTTCTCTGTGATTGCTGGTAAATAATCTTACATCCTTTCCTCCCTCTCCTCCTGCTCCTGCTCCTCTTCCGTCTCCTCCTCCCGCCACACAGACAACTTCATAATGGCTCTTCCCTCTTGAACATCTATTAATGTGAGAGCTTTTATATATTTTTTCTCTAATTTTCCTCACAATTCTGCATGGTAGGTGTTGTATTTCCATTTTATACTTGAGAAAACTGAGGCCCATGATTGCAATTCACAGCTAAGATTTAAACCCAGTGATCTCACGTGCCAACACCACATTCTTACTCCACCACCCTGTGTCCCTAAGAGAAAGGAAATGTTATCTCTGGGTCATTTGGAGTTAATCTTATCACTCTCTGCTTTCACAAACAGACTTGCCAATTCTTATTGTTCAGCAAATAGCGGGATATACAAGACAGAGCTGGTAAATGTCACCTTCAGATTTCCCATTCTTCCCTCGTGTCACAGTGTACCCCTCATAGGTGCCATGCTCTGCATCTGTGTGCTCAGAATCTGCTGGCCTCCCTTCCTTCCAGGTTCGCCTGATCAGTCTGATGTGAACTTGATGTCTCCCTTTGGAATCCCTTTCCACCTCTTGCTTCTGGCTACATATGGCACATGCAACCCTCCTTACAACTGGATCCTACCTAGAGAATATTCCTTTAAAATTGCTATCTCTGGCTTCAAAAAACTAATTCAGATCCCTCCTGGTTAGTTGCAGTCTCTACAACTGGATACTGAAGGATGTAGCCATCTTTCATATTTGACATCCTTGTGGGATAGGAAAACAAAATCACAGGACAGAAGACATGGGGGTTAGGCAAGTAGCTCAGGGAATGGAAGGAACTGAGATCACAATTTTAGCCATTATACAGTGGTTTCCAATAAATACTTATTCTTTGTTTCAAACTATAAAAGTTCTAGAAAAAAAGGTCATTTACCAATCAGAAGGGGGGTCTCTCCTTTATCATTTTTTGTGTTGGGCCACACTCCCTTTTCTAATAAAGTTCTTACATTTTCCACCAGACCAGCTTTGACTGCCAAAGTCAAGGGTGTTTCTCCATCACAGGTCTTGAATTCCCAGAGTGTCTTATAGGATGCTGTGACATGAAAGCATTATGTTGAAAAGTTGAAAATACTCACTTATAGGATATTACACAAATCAGAGCAATCCAATATTATATACATCGGATTGAACAAAGTCAATTGATGAAAATGAAAGGACTTTGACAAAAGTTTACCAAATGACGGTGAGGATAAAGTAGATGCACATGGACTTGCTAATCAAATTGACAGCTAGAAAACCAAAAATCTGTTTCTAGCTGCTTTTTTGAAAATGATGTGCTAAGTCTCATTTCTTGATACATTACAAAACAATGTTTCAATCCTTTGTATTATAATTTATATTGTAACTGAAATTGTTTTTTTGTGAAATGAAATCTGTGAATGTGGGAATGGAGAATGTACTTGAATGTAGGTATCGCTGTGTCAAAATGATCCTTAACATCATCTATATCTGTCTGTCTGGCTGTCTAGTTTTCTAGATGGCTGGCTTATAATCAAGTATGTATCTCCCAGAACATAGAGCTGTCATGCAACAGTGGAAGCTGAACGATAGGGCACTCTCAAAAGTGTTCTGTAAGATGCTGAGATGTGAAAACACTGTATTAGAACATAAAAGTTACTGTTAATATTTAACAGTGGCTTGATTTGCCATAATATTTTTTAATGCTTACATTATGAAAAAAATCAATGTAATGTAAAGACCAGTATTGTCAGTACTCCCTGTTGTACTATATAAGAATCTTTTGGAAACTGTTAACTCAAGAGATAGTTCAAAATGAAAAATTTAAAATTGATTTCCAAAAGAAAAGTGTTATATATGACTCAATTAATTCATGATATATAGAAACTTTTATCACTTTTATGTGATAACCACATCTTTCCACCAACCTGTGTCTCATTCATAGGTAAAAGGATGCAAAAGGTAAACCCCCAATGTCAAAAAAATTCCTAATTTTTATACTCTGAGTTTAAAACATGGGTGCTGCCTTTTTCAAATTCCAAATAATATTTTAATCTGCCTTTTCTTTCTGCTAGTTATGTTCACTGAAAACACTTATAACATCAACATATCAACATTCTTGCTCTGGCTTGGTCAAACATGTTTTATGTTCTCTTACCATCCAGAACAATCTCAAGTATTTGTTGAATGGGTTGAACAACAGCTTCATGCAATGGAAACCATCCTTTTTCATCAGCTTCATCCATTGCATATTTATATTTTACATACTCCTGGAGCTCAGGAATGTGACCTAAATTAAACACATGGACTGATGACTAATCTCTGTTTTTGCAAGGTGGAATCTCCAGTCCATCCCACTGTAGATAGTACACCCATTTACCTTGTTTTATGGCCTCCACAAGTTTTCTGTTTTGAGCACTTAGGGGTACAAATCTATGAGATAAAGAAAAATAATATTTATACTAGATACTAGTGATATAGTTCAAGGAACCAAACATTTTAATTTATATTGCATTTTTAAACTTAATTTTAATAATCAAGATCCAAAGGAGATGCATATAATTGATTTTATCTCCTTAAAAAGTAAATGTATGGGAGTCAGACACAGAGTATATTTATGATGCATTGATCTAAGAATATTAGTGAAGATGGCAAAATAGAAGATTACAATGCTATCTCTGAGATATCTCAAAGCAATAAAAAAGGAGTAAACAATTGGAGTCAGATTCAGAGGAGCTAGGTTCAATTCCCAGCCTGATTTTGTGATTCTGGGGAGGCCAATTAGCCTTTCTGGATGTGGGTTCTTCATCTGCAAAATGATGGAATTAATAGAAAGATCTCTAGGTTTTTCTAATTTTAAACACTCTATGCTCAAAAAATGTTTTTTGCTTTGAACTTAATAATTGCTAATAAGATACTTACTTGGGAGCTTATGGTCTAAACTACATATGCGAGTTTTAAATCAACTGTTCCACAAGTGAAAATAGGCAGGGCATTTACTGAACAAACTCCCAATCACTGGCCCAGCAGGTCATGATTTAAACCCTCATGGAGGTTTTCTGGTGTGTGTGTTTGTTAAGTGGAAAGAAGGAATTCCATAACAAATTTACTTAACTCTGTTAAGCAGAAACATCTGCTAGCATACCAGGGTTGTGAATGCCTTCCAGGAAGCTCTGAAGTTCTAAAGCTTGTTGGAGATAAGGGAGAAATTCCAGACCAGAAATTTCAGTGTACTACGTCTATTTTTTCAAAGCTCAAAAGCAACAATTTTTAAACACTGGATCTCTTCAAAAGTACTACTAAATTCCAGAATACAAGATTTTAAACACTATAACAAAAAGTAAAGGTAAGCTAGTTTATTTCTCAGACGTATAATGTGTTTTTTTAAGAAAGAAATTTACTTTTGCAGTTTTAGACTCTATAAATCCTACCTACATAATACATCACTTTTAGGTATATTTTAATTTATTAATTCTTGTCATTTGGGTAGTAGATAATCAAATAGGTGGTAGTTTGTATATTACTTTGCCATATAGAATAAAAGCCCACAACGCTTCTCTCATTCATTAACTAATGGGCTACATGGCTTAGCATTATTCTTCATATTTTAAACATACAACAATGGAATACGTTACCTATAAAGGGTTAGCTGTATCAGTAGCAGAATGAGCTCTAGAGTGTACAGACCTCTGTATACCAACCTGTGTATTTGTTCTATAAACTGTACTTGCAAATATGTTCAAATTACTCATTGCCCTTTGTTAATCTATATTAATTTAGAAAATAGGCAATTCTATACAACCAAATTCATCTAGGAATTTTCCACATAGGGTTTTTCCTGTTTTCCACATGAGGTGAGGATTTGTGGAAGATCAGATTGCTAAAACTTATGAACAGTGGCCCTTGGAAAGCTGTTAGATTCCCTATCAGAAAGGAAAGGTCAATTTTCCTAGAGGAGGAATTAGGAAACGGTATTCATTTTATCTTACAACAAAATGAATGCCATAAAGAAATTTTGCTGAGGATAGTTGGTTTGAATACTACCTTTCAGGACAAAGTGCAGTCTTGCTGGCTTCAATGGATTCTTGAATACTTAGCTGAATATCATAACTTGTAAGATGGTCTTCATCAGGGTCATCATTAGTATCCATTCCTGCATATAATTTTGAACGAGACAAGTTCTTATTATCAAGAAATGGCCCAAAACAGTACATAGAGTAAACATGAAAAATGCATAGTGAAAAACTAAAATGCATTTTCCTTTCCCTAGTTAACAAATACAAATGTGGGTAACATTTTAATCCACATTACTTGTGAGGTCCATTTTATTAACTTAAATGGTCTAACTGTTGAAACCTTTAATGACCTGCCCTTTGAGCATTTGCACTTTCTAACTTTTGACTTTTTTTTTTTTCAGTAATGACTGCAGTTGGGCTTATAAGAATTCACTTTTTCCTGAGCTTCTGATTGATGCCAATTTTGGTCCATCAGTTTTCTTGGAGAGTGTGTACATAACATATTAAAAGCTTAAAAATTGATCCAATGAGGGTAAGATGGATAATGGCTGTAATGGAGAACAGTCATCCTGTTACATTCCTTTTGTTTTTGGAGATGGAGTCTTGCTCTGTCGCTCGGGCTGGAGTGCAGTGGCATGATCTCGGCTTACTGCAACCTCCGCCTCCTGGATTCAAGCAATTCTCCCTCCTCAGCCTCCTGAGTAGCTTGGATTACAGGTGCACACCACCATGTCTGGCTAATTTTCATATTTTTTTAGTAGAGACAGAGTTTCACCATGTTGGCCAGGCTGGTCTCAAACTCCTGACCTTGTGATCTGCCCACCTCAGCCTCCCAAAGTGCTGGGGTTTACAGGTGTGAGCCACCATGCCTGGTCCCTTTTACATTCTTCACAAACCAGCAATGGTCAGCTTCAAAGTCTGACTGGTCTCAGAGCATCATTTGAACATTGTTATAAGGACCATTTTAACTTCATCCATAGACCGGAAACCAGCCCTCCTATAGAGTCCCCATTCACTCCCTTACACAGTTCTATTACAAGCCACTGCTCTTGACTGGCCCACCTCCCTGAAGATAATACAGAAAAATGTAGATTAGTCTTCATTTGCTTATTTATCCCAAATATCAAATTAGGAGAATGAATTTACTATTTTACTCTTTACTATTGAGTCAATTGCTTTATTTTATTTAGAGAGGACATTTAGTAAATATAGAAATAAAATTTCTATAGCTGAGTTGACTGGCTAATATGAAATTATCTTTGATTGATGGTACTTTTCAAGCCTTTTATAGTCTCTATATGAAATTTTACTTTATAGTATGTCTTCTGAATGAGAGAAAAACAAAAGAGTGCTCTGCAGGCAATTTCCAAAACACAGTTGACACATGCTTTACCTCTTCTCATTCTTCCTCAAGGTTGGATAATTTCAAACTCTATACCTGCTAACATCCAAGGTCTCTAACCTGTGGACAGACTGCGCATGAACTCAATGGCAATATTATGATTAATTGTTCATTGTTCTATATCAGTGGCCTTAATATCACCTCAGAACAAAAGGTATAGAATAGTGCTAATGTTCAGAGACCACACACGAGATAGTCACCATGCTCCACCAAGCATGTTCCCTGACACTGTGGTATCTCAGTCTCCTCAAAAGGCACCCTAGAGATCTTATTCACCACATAGATGTAAATGGTATTTTGCTTTTTAATTTATTGTTTATTGGCTCATTGTGTGTCTCCTCTCCTTAGAATGTAACTCAGTAAAAGCAGGGAATTAGTCTGTGATCTCAGTGCCAAGAGAAGCGTCATCTCCAGGTTTGTGCTCTCTAAATATGTGTTGAATAAATGAATTAATGAATTAATAAGTGAGCATTGAAATATAATTCGGGCTCTTCTTTGTTCTTAGAACTGACCATTTCCTTTGGATATGGAGTTTCTTTTTTTTCCAACTAAACAAATTTGATTGTTCACTCTGTGCTTAGCTTCATTTGTCTCTCTTCTGTTCTTTTACATAATATTTCTCTTTATTCACGAGGCCCTCCAGCTGATCCCCATCCATGGCTCGCACTGTGTTAAGGCTGGCACAAGACATTCCTCCTATATAAACTCTCGGTATAATTCTTCAGTTCCTCTCCAGCCATCTTAATCTGTGAATATCTCCTCTTATGTAATATTTTTCCAATGTCTGGGTTTATACTCATTCATTCTGTATTTGCTTTACAAGTTATTTACATACTTGTGTTTGTGTTTTCACTTGGACCATTGGTTTTCTGAGAGGAAACAAAATCTCTTCTTTTCTCTATCTTTTCCCTCTATTCCTTCTCCTTGTCAACTATTGCAAACAGCTGCTGTCAGTGGTCCCTGGAATAAAAGTTGTTGACTCATTACTAGCAGACAAGTACTGAATCTGTCAGCCAGCACCAGTAGATGACAAAGTTCAACCTGTGGCCTTGCCTGGTGACTTTCTCAGTGATATTACTGGGGTGATAGGGGGGATTGTATGGCTCTGGGATTAGTAATAGGATACAGAGCCTTTCACCTATTTAAATCACCAGCTTAAATCTAACCCTGTTTGAAATTTGGGCTTTCAGTGTATGAGAGAGCACAGGCTCCATAAAGAACTGAGCTGGTCTGTGGAAAGTATTTTATTTTAACGTTTTTTTTTTTTCTCCTACTATCACAAAGGAAGTTCCCTAGCTTCCTGTTTGGTATCTCTAATGACAGTAGGGTGAAAATGATCGGAACACTTTCTATGCAGAACAACGCCAATCTAGCACAGGTGTCTCCAGCCTTTTCCTGAAAGCTTGAGATGAAGTGAAGATCTGCATGCAGGTGTACTAAGGTGCCAGACAGTCAGTCAAAGGAGCATTACTGGAATGGACTTAAAGACGTCAAGACACAATGATAAAGGCAAGAGGAGAGTAACTTATTTATCTAAACCTCACATAAATTTATCCTTTAGATAAATAAGAGTAACTTCTTTATCTAAGACCAGTTCAGTTCTCTATGGAGCCTGTGCTATCTCATAAATAAGAGTAACTGGCCGGGCACCGTGGCTCACGCCTGTAATCCCAGTACTTTGGGAGGCCAAGGCGGGTGGGTCACGAGGTCAGGAGATCGAGACCATCCTGGCTAACACGGTGAAACCCCGTCTCTACTAAAAAAAAATACAAAAAAAATTAGGTACGGTGGCGGGCGCCTGTAGTCCCAGCTACTCGGGAGACTGAGGCAGGAGAATGGCGTGAACCCGGGAGGCGGAGCTTGCAGTGAGCCGAGATCGCGCCACTGCACCCCAGCCTGGGCGACAGAGCGAGACTCCGTCTCAAAAAAAAGAAAAAAAAATTATTTATCTAAACCTCCTTGAGTGGCTAGGACTCAATCCCACCTGAGGGCCAGCAACAGTCTATGGGAAATTATTTCTATAAAGCACTACTCAGAAGCATGAGGAAAGGCCAGACAATATTTTGACATCTTTAAGGTATATGTGTGGGTATCCCACTTCTCAGTCTAGAGAAAATTGATTTTTCTTTTCTTTTTTTTTTTTTTTTTTTTTTGAGATGGAGTTTTGCTCTTTTGCCCAGGTTGGAGTGAAACGGCACAATCTTGGCTCACTGCAACCTCCCGCCTGCTGGGTTCGAGTGATTCTCCTGCCTTAGCCTCCCGAGTAGCTGGGATTATAGGCACCGGCCACCATGCCTGGCTAATTTTTGTATTTTTAGTAGAGATGGGCCCCCGCAATGTGCTAGGATTACAGGCATGAGCCACCATGCCTGGCCTAGAGAAACTGACTCTTAATAATAATTTGCCATTTAACATTCAATCTTGTTCTAGAGAAGACCACAAGATAAATCATTTGTTCTCCATAAGTAGCTGATTTACAAAGTAACTGATGCAATCATATTGTACAATCAGCCTCTTCATTTAAAGCACTGGTTAACCTTGCTTAGGGTCATGAAAACATTTGATAAAAGCTATGGATTCTCCCTCCAGAGGGACACATGTCCACTCAAAATTTTGCATGCGATTTTAGGGAACTTATGGAATCTCAGAGGTTTTTTCATGTTCTCCTGGTAAAAAACCACTGAATTAAGGATTCCTAAATGCTAAATGCCAAATATATTCCTCAGATATCAATAAGTTTTAGTTTATTTTACAGATAGGCTATGTTAAATCCTTAATTCAGATAGTGAGAAAAGGGAACTTTGGTGATCATGTAAATTTTTTGATACATTTGGCAATAGTAATAATAACCATAAATTATCAAGTGCTTGCTTTGTTTCAAGCACTGTGCAAAGCATTTTGCATATATTACCTTGTTTTAAATTCTCATTCCAATTCTATATTGTAGGTATTATAGATTCAAGAGGTTAAATGACCCACCAAATGTCCCAGAGCTAATAAGTAGAGTCTGGACCGAGCAGGAAATACCTTCACTTTTAAGGTCTTTCAGAAGTTAGAGGAAAATATCTCACAGTCTGTTGCCTTTAAAAGAAAACACTGTGATCTTGCTTTTAACAGCCAGCATTTGATGACAATCACTTCCAAAAATAAAAAATAGCTTCCAGGGACACATAAATCTTTTTCTTTGGCTCCATGCAATAAGGCTTTATGTTACTTAGGGTGGTCTGAGGTTCCTAAGCTTGCCTTCATTCTGTACTTTTTGCCTTGGAGTCTAAACATCATGGTCCAAACAACAGGATCGACATACCAGTTGGTGCCTGACTGAAATGGTGAGGAGGTTGGTAATGTTGAAAAATATGATGCAGGAGTGAACATGAATATATGACACCTTTTTGCATCAGTTTTGCTAAACTGCCTCCAAACCATGATCAGAGCTAATGCCTTCCTGTAAAGGCAGCTGATAAATTTTTGACACCTGTCAGAGCTTCCTTTGAAATACAGTAGCTCCCACAGCACGGAACCAAGGTTCTCCCTTTCCCTGAAAAAGGACGAATACAACTTTCTTCCTCATGTATTGTTTAGTTGGTTTACTCCTGCTTACATGCAGATCTGTTTTCCCCACCTACCCTCACACTCTGTCTTGGGCATAACAAAATTGAAACCATCTCTATGAGTCCTAAACAAGGCTGGCCTTGAGACTAAGCAGAGTGGACAGTTGCTTCCATGGTGCAAGGAAGGGCTCTGTGTCTATAAATAACACACTGCCCCCAGCACCTGTCACATCAGTGTCATTCTATTGCATCAGCAAGAGATTCTGTCCTTTAGGGCTTATTGTTCCATCTTCCAGTGTCCCTTTTAAAATTTAGATAGCAACATACTGGCCCCTAGTTTAGAACCAAGATGTCTTGGGATAGTTACTGGAGTACCATGAGGCTGGGAAGATGGCAGAAAGTTTAAGGCTAGGATCTAGTAGGAAGTGATACGAAGGGACAACAAAAGGGTCAATAGAATACAATTTGGTTTTCTTTACAATTTTATCCAAGGCCAGCCCAAATAGAAACCCTGGGGTTCTGAGGGAGATGCAGGTTTCGGCTGTGTGGAATGGGGGACACTGATTCCCTGGGAATTTTTCTTTTACCTTGAAGCTGCAATGATTCTCGAGTGTTGAGCTAATCTACTAGAGGTCCCTGAGAGAATCATCAGGATTTATCCTATCAGAGGAAGGGCAAGAGTTAAAAGACATTTTCTTTTTTTTTTTTTTTTTTGGTACGGTAAAAAAAATACAGTTGTTATATACCAAACAATACGAATTCTCATTTTTATGCACTTTGATCATTTGTATGCATACTTTTAAAGATGTGGAGAAATCAATATAAATACAATTCTGTTATAACTTTGCTTTTTATTTGGTGGCTGAATGCTTATTTTTAAAGAATTGCATAGCACAAAGTGGCAAATCACATGAATGGATTCGTTAGGATGATTTAAACAACAGAATCAACTAGTTCCCCAAAAATTTCAGATAGAAGTGTAACTGTCAGAATTGGGTTTTACCCCACAGTCACAGGTAATTTTACTTACAAGCAATAAGTTACAGCGATTCCTTCTTTATGGTATTTGCCTTTTCTACTGAAGAGAAATCCTAAGCATGATGGGGAGAACTAAATCAGTTTAAATAGCATCTTTCTTAACAGCAAAGTATGTTCTTCTGATACCTTGAAAACATGCACACACACAAACAATCTTAGTCCAAAAAACAAATGCTACTTTTATGTTACTTCGAAGAAACACAACTCAACATTTTAGAAAAAGATATAAAAGGCAAAATGATCTGTAGAAACTAAACATGATATCTGGCATGGGATAAAAACTCAGCATTTACTAAATGAATGAATAATTGTATAATTAAATACACACAACTCTTAAAATTAGCCTTGTGTTTCTTTATAGGTCACAGATATATTTTTGCCGAATTCTCTTCAAATTTTGGGGCTTTACTGATTGATGCTTAATTTCTATGCAAATATACTAACGATAGAACCCGTTTAGTAGTTTTATCTCCAGTTTCATATTACAAAAGTAAAAAATTTTAATGAAATTAGTATGAGGACTAGATAAAAAAATAAAATAAGAACAAGAAAAAATAGAGAAAAAAGAAAGTTTTACTCTTTACTATTGATTTCCAAGTCAAATTTAATTATAACAGAAATGTGGGAAGATGCATGTTAGCTTTTGAGGACTACACTCATAACAGTTTAGGAAGGAGCTTTAGACTCACAAACTCACAGGTTTCTAGGGGAATATAAACTTACAGAATAGCAAAGAGTTAAAGAAAGATAAGCCCATGAAAAGACAACTTATTAGTAGACGTGCCCTGATCACAAGCTAATGTGATATAATGATTTTTAAAAGCCCTATCCTTCTTCTGTAATTCTATGTCTAGGAAGAAGGCCGGGCCTGGTGGCTCATGCCTGTAATCCGAGGACTTTGGGAGGCTGAGATAGGTGGATTGCCTGAGCTCAGGAGTTTGAGACCAGCCTGGGCAACATGGTGAAACCTCATCTCTACAACAAATACAAAAACTAATTGGATGTGGTGGTAGGCACCTGTAGTATCAGCTACTTGGGGGGCTGAGGTGGGAGGATTGCTTGAGCCTAGAAGGTCGAGGCTGCAGTGAGCCATGTTCATGCCACTTCACTCCAGTTTGGGTGATAAAACAAGACTCTGTCTCAAAAACTAAATAAGTAAATAAATAAAAGAAATAATCAGAGATGTAAAAAAAGATGTGCATGTGAGAATGTTTATCTCAGCTGTGTTTAAATTGCCAAAACATTAGAAACAACATAAATGTCCCAAAATAGGAAATTTGTATAAGACATTATTGTACACATAAAAATGGAATACTACACAGTTATTAAAATTCATATACTTGAAGAATATTTAACATTATATGTAAAGTGTTAGTTTAAGTATGATGTTTATTTAACCAGATATGACTAACCACTTTTAAGGAACTATGATGGATTTTTCCCCCAACTTTATTGAAGTATAGTTGACAATTTAAAATTATATGTATTTACCATGTACAACTTGATAATTCGACATATGTATACATTGTGAAATATTCACCACTATCAAGCTAAGTAAACTATCCATTCTGGCACATAGTTTATCTTTTTTGGGGGTATAGCTATTTTAAAAAACAGTACAAAGGTTTCTCAAAAATTTAAAAATAGAACTACCTTATGATCCAGCAATCTCACTTCTGTGTGTATATATCCAAAGGAATTGAAATCACTATCTCAGAGAGATATCTGCACTTCCATGTTAGTTGCAGCAGTATTTACGGCAGCCAAGATATAGAAACAACCTAAATGTCCATTGACAGATGAATAAATGAAGAAAATGTGCTGTGTATTTACAATGGACTATTAACCTTAAAAAAGAAGAGAATCTTGCCATTTGTGACAACATGGATCAACCTAGAGGACGTTATGCTAAATGAAACAAGCCAGGTACAGAGAGACAAATATTGTGATATTTATCTGTGGAATCTAAAAAGTTGAAGTCATAGAAAAAAGAGTAGAATGTTGGTTGCCTGGGGCTAGGAGGTGCTGGCCAAGGGGTACAAATTTCAGTTAAGCAGGATGAGTAAATTCTGGAAATCTAATGTACAACAATGTAACTGTAGTTAACAATATTGTATTGTATACTTGAAATTTGCTAAGGGTGTAGATTTTAAGAGTTTTCACCACCAGTAACAACAAGAAAAGTGAACTAAGATGGACTTTACAGAGGCAAAGCTTACAAAGCCCTCTCAGGAAAATTAGCTTAGCATCTACCTCTTAGGACTGAGCAGGCCAGGAACCTTGGTGACCTCGAGAAGAGAGAAGATTGCCCAAATGTACAGGAAAGCAGGTAGAACTTGGTGAAGAGAGTTTCTTGGCGTGGGAAGGAGCAGAAATTTGAAAGAGCAATTCATTTATCTGAATCGTCCAAGCAGTGGCTTCATTACCTAAGTTATTGTGTCTGTCTGCATGAAATCAATAGTTTATTTTCCATTAATTAGTGAGTGGTGGCTCCTGAGAAAGGTGAGGCCAGTTACAGACAATAAAAAAGCTACTTTTGGTTTGTGCAATTGAGTTGTAGGGTGAGTAAAAAACGTTTTGACTACATTGATTACCTATAGTAACAATAAAAATAATATCTCCAGACTTTTAAAAAGTATTATTTTTTTTAACTTTCATTTTAAGTTTTATCTTAACGTTTGTTATATAGGTAAATTGTATATTGCAAGGGTTTGGTGTACAGAGTATTTTATCATGCAGGTAATAGGCATAGTACCTCATAGGTAGTTTTTCTATCCTTGCCCTCCTCCCACTTTCGACCCTCAGGTAGGTCTTGGCGTCTGTTGTTCCCTTCTTTGTGTCCGTATGTACTCACAGTTTAGTTCCTACTTGTAAGTGAGAACATGGGGTATTTGGTTTTCTGTTCCGGTGTTAATTTGCTTAGGATAATGACCCTACAGCTCCATCCATGTTGCTGCAAAGGACACAATCTCATTCTTTTTTGTGGCTGGCTAGTATTCTATGGTGTATACGTACAACATTATCTTTATCCAGTCTACTGTCATTGTGCATTTAGGTTGATTCCATGTTTTTGCTGTTGTGAACAATACTGCAGTGAACGTACGTGTGCATGTATCTTTATGGTACGGTGATTTATATTCCTTTGGGTGTATATCCAAAAATGCGATTACTGGATTGAATGGTAATTCTGCTTTAAGTTCTTTGAGAAATCACCAAACTGTTTTCCACAGTGGCCGAACTAAGTTACATTCCCACCAGCATTGTATAAGCATTCCCTTTTCTCCATAACCTCGCCAGCATCTGTTATTTTTTGACTTTTTAGTAGTAGCCATTCTGACTGGTGTGTGAGATGGTATCTCATTGTGGTTTTGATTTGCATTTCTCTAATGATTAGGGATGTTGAGCATTTTAAAAAGTATTATTCTTATGCATATACACATAAATATTCATATACAAATATATATGCATATATTCTCTCCAAAAATATTCATTCCTGGCATAATGTATTTTGTTCAACATGACAAACAATCCTGTCTGGTGCTCAAGTCAAATTTTTTTCCCTTCAAAATTGATTCAAATAATAATGAGTCACTGCATTTTTTCATATCTTGTTTTGAAATCATGTACAGGCCATTGATTTCTTTCTGTTGGAGGCAGTTGAATATAACGGTTGAACCTTTGTTCAAATGCCGACCTGCCTGCATTAGCTGCCTGGTTAACTGTGTCTGACGTGTCACAAGTAGTCAGTAAACATTACCTGTTATTATTCTGTGATTGAACTCCTGTGGAATGGGAAAGTAGGATTCTAGTACTTTTTGAAAGTTTTAGTTCTATTCCTTACCCTTGAATATTGACCCTGACACCCCCATTTTATTTTCTTCTCCCTCCTTTTCCCTAGAATCACCAATTTTCAGAGTTAAAGACTGTCAGGTAGCCCCACCTGTAAATTTTATTTACAACATGCCCAATAAGTAATTGGTAGCCTCAGTTTGAACATCAAAGTGTCAGGGAGTTTGCTATCTCCTCACACGGTGCTTCTTCTTTAGCCAGCATTTTTTTTTTTTTTAGACAGAGTCTCCTTCTGTCAACCAAGCTGGAGTCCAATGGCATGATCTCGGCTCACTGCAACATCCACCTCCCAGGTTCAAGTGATTCTCCTGCCCCAGCCTCCCGAGTAGCTGGGATTACAGGAGCCCACCACTATGCTGGGCTAATTTTTGTATTTTTATTAGAGACAGGGTTTCACCACGTTGGTCAGGCTGGTCTTGAACTCCTGACCTCAGGTGATTCTCCCCCATCGGCCTCCCAAAATGCTGGGATTATAGGCATGAGCTATGGCACCCGGCCTAGCCAGATTTCACAATTAGGAAAACCAGTGAACTTGAATCCACTCTTCAAAACATTATCTGAAGATAATGTTTCTACTTCTCTTACCTTTTTCTGGTTCTCTTTCTCAGAGCTACACTGAGAAAGTAGTGTTCCTCTGCAACACAGGAGCCCTGTTAATATCCCCCAGGAAGGCTGTCAGATCTCCACTGAGCTTTTTCTTCCAGAGGCTGGACAACTGCTCTTCCTATAAGATGGCCTCACCTCCTGCACTGTCTTGACTGCTTTCCTGGAAACACATTTGTTTATCCATTTCTTTCTAAAAGTGACACTGAACCACAGGCTCTGAAGGCAACACAACAGCTACAGTCAGACCAACACAAGTTTAAGTGTTCCCTTTTCTCAAACACTATACATCTGTTAATTTAGTCCAAGTTCAGATAAATATTTAGGCTATTATGTTACAGACTTGATTTAGACCCCAGTATCCCAAAGATCTACAAGTCGTATGTTTTCCCCACGTTGTTTTCTGTGCAATTGTATGCAGGACCCTATTGGACTCTATTTATTCCTATTACATTTTATATTTTTTCAATTTGGCCTTTATTTCCTTCTGCTAAAATTGAATGCATTTTCTATCTCTCCAAGTATTGTTTTATTTGCTGACTTAATAAGCATGCCTTCTATATGTCCTTAAGCTCCACTGATAAAGATAAATGTTGAAAAGAAATTGGCAAAGGACAGAGGCCTCTATGTTGACATTGATCCATTATTTTGCACCCTCCCAGAAAAGGTGTTTATCCAGCTACAAACCCTCTTAAAGACACCACCACCTAGTATTAATGTCTCCTTTTTGATAATAAGACCATCATCAAGGAATATTGTCAAATACCTTGTTGTAATACAAATGCACAGTTATCTATGATACTACATTCCTTTGCTCTGCTAATCAAAAAGACAAAGGAAAAGAATTAACCCACCAATTCTTAGTGATTATTTTTTTCCTAAGGATGTTCAGACTATCCTATTTGTCCATGCAAAAATATACATTCAACGTCTGTTGTGTTCCAGGCACAGGGCTAGACACATATATATGGGATCCATGCCCTCAGAGAGTTTTCTGCCTTTAAATAATGTATTTTAGATTTTTCTCCAGAAATAATACCAATTTCTCTTTAAGGTTTAGCACACAGTAAAGCACATAGCATAGCAAGTCTTTAATAAGTATTTTTATATTGAGTTTAATAATTATTATAACTAATATCTATTGAGTGTTTACCTGTGATAGGGATTACACTAAGTGCATTAAATGGATGTCACTTAACGTCTATGACATAATTCTCCCCCACTTTACAGATGAGAAAACTGAAGCACAGAGTCATTAGGTAACTTACCTAAGCCCACATATCTAGTGGGCAGTGGAGAGTGGGATATAGCCCAGTCATCTGACAATGGAGGCCACACACGCTTAACCAGTATACTCTAACTATGACTCAGCTACTTTGAATGAATTAATGAAAAGAGGGTCTTATTTTGTAACCTAAAAATTCATAAACCTGAGAAAAAGTTTTCTCAAAAAGTTTAAGCAACTACCTAACAAATTCATCGAACAACTCCAGGGGAAATATAAAACTTGTAGGCAAATTTCTATTTGAAGATAAAATATTCTCATAAAATAACTGAAGTGTAAAATTATAATTTTTATCACAATAAATTAATAATCTCAGCACAAAGCAGTGATAAGATTTTTCTTGTCCACATCACTGCTTTACTTCGTGGAAGTCAAATCATTTTAGATATAGAAAGCTCCTTAGAAGTTAACTGTGCATTTAAGAACAATATGAGTGACGATATCAGATAAATTTTAAGGACTTTCCAACCTTTAGATTTTGTGATATAATTTGCAGGAGTAAATTTCCAATTCTATTCGGTTTATTTTTTAAAAAATCTAACTAATTTAAAGAAATGTTTCAATCTGGGCAGAAAGCATTCATCTTTTTCAACAAGTGATGAAAAAGCCTTAAAAGATTTATTTTATTTATTCACAAAAATTATTTAATTTTTTTTATTAGAAACCAAGAGGTGAGCTGAGACCCTTCTGGGATTCTATAGTAAATATATTGACATGTTCTATAAGGATACTCATTCTTAATCTGTTTTTCTCATGATACAATTTTTTATGCTTAGTAATTATGCAATTGAGTTGATATTCTATAAGCAAACAAATTCTAGCTTTAGTCTCTAATTAAAAAGGCTCTAAACAGGTAAGCCCGTAGGTGATCAAGTGGAAAGAAAGTAATGAGTAGCTACTATAATTTGTATTTCAATCTGTTTAAAATATTACCAATAATGAACTATTCAATAAGCTAGTTGGTGAGGTACAGATCAAATATTTCATAATCTCACCTTTTGGAATGATCATCTTGTCATTCTTATCCAGGGACTTGCCTTCCTAAATCAGAGGAAGTGCCCTGGAGCCAATGTGTGCTTCTGTGTATCTAAAATTAAGTATCCAGTTGGTGGTTAAATTAAGACCTGACCTTGTACAACTGAAACATAAGCGGTCTCTGGCACACGGTAAAGTATTACCCATGACTTCTCTAGACTCTCATCAAAAGAAACGCAAGCCTACAGAGGTATAATAAGATTATCTCTGTCCTGATTGGTTCAAAGAACTCTTATGAAAACAAAGGACCTGCCAATTCAGCTGCAGGGAGTGTTGCTACTGATGGAACAAAACCAAACCACTTGGAATTAACGCACAATTTAAAGGTATTTGTTCAAGAGACAAATCTGTAAGTCTTTGTGTTGTCAGAGCCTAATCCACTTTTGACATATTTTAATACACACTATTTTTCTTTCTCCATCTTTCAGATTCAGGTCAAATTTCATTAAATACAATCTTCTTGTCATACTAATTTGCTGTCTTTGATTTTTGTTTAATAATTGCTAGTCTGATATACAGACGGAGATAGGGCAGTCAGTGACATCTAATCTGATCAAGAATTTTTAGGTCAAGTTATTGAGCATATATAGTCTAAAAAAATGAGTAGCAAATGTATTAATAAAACAAGCAAAAAAATTGGGATTTTTAATTGAGGAAGGTTGTTTTCTTTTAAAAAACCAATTAAGTTTATTGTCTTACTGATTTTCCAATGAAAATAGTCTGCCTTAAATTTGTTTTGACACAGCTATCCTTGGATTAACTCAGGCCACCATCGGCACTCACAAAGCCATCTGGCCTCTATCCCCTACACCCCCCTACTAAAACAACTCGTTTTGCAGGTCTCAGTGACCTCTTTCTGACTTACATTAGAAACTCATTTCATATTTTATATTCATTTTCATTTCTTATTTTACAAACCCTCATTGGATTTGCTGCCAGTGATTCTTCCCTTTTTCCTGAAACTCTCTACTTCTTAAGCTACTGGGAGCACTACACGCTTTTGTTTTTCGTCTCATCTCTGACATTTTCTTTGTACTCAGTGTTAATGAATATAAATACGTGGATTGTAGTGAATTTGCCAGTTTTATTTCAAAAATTGAGAAACCGTAAATGTGAAATGAGAGGTCCTAACTCCTCTTTAACTGTGATAAAAGAAGGTGCGTTTCAGTCATCTTCAAAGCAAACTGAGAAGTATTTTATGTTTAAACCACTATTAACTGTGTATTGCAATAGTCAAGGGTAAAAGTTAGATCATTGCATACATTGTCTACATTTTATCATTATTAATCTAATTTGGAATTTTTCAATGAAGAATTCTTGTGAAAAGCAATCAGCATTGTGAAACACTTTAATTTTATACAACTTTTTTTTACTTACAATATTAGAAATTCATATAAAGCTTTAGAGTATAATGCAAATGTGTGGGAAAATGTGCACCTAACACTTTAAAGTGTGGCTTGACACATTGCAGTGACTTTTCTGCTCTTAAACTAATGATGGTATGCCTGTTTTATCCGTTTATATAATAGTTGTTATAGATCTACCTATACCATACAACATTTAAAATAATGCATATAATGATAGAAAAGCCAAAATAAGATCATGTGGTAAAATAAATGAGAGCCTGTTACTGAAGACATAGTCCTGTGAACACGTCTTGCTTTACCACTTACTGTTTCTGTAGATGCATTATTTACATTTTTGAGATTATTTATCTGTAGTATGGGAGTGATGATGATGATGATGATACAATGACCATGGCACCACCATTTTAATGAGGCCTATTCCTCAAGTAGTTAGTCATCTATGCACACACAATAAGACATACTTTGAGTAACTCATATATTTGAAAGAATGATCTATTCATAATGCTAGTAATCGCTTCCACATTTGCCTCTATGAAAGCTGGCTTTTCCTGTGGGTTTTCTCAAAGGGGAAACAAAATGAGTCCTAGCTTTTCAAACAGTGCCTCTAGTTTTGTCTGGTGAGAATGAGTTTCAGGGAGGGGTCAGATTTAACAGTGAAGGACTAGTTGAATACTACTGTTGTTCCAAGGAAGGTATACAAAATGACACTGACATCCAAATACGCATTCCTTCTATCTATATATAGCAAGAAATGCATGTACTGTTTCAAAATGATAATTATAGCAACTGATATGAAAGATGAAGAGTCTTAGGTTAAAATAGTTGAAGCACGGTGTTAGAAGAACTGTCCTTGGACCCACCTATTTCTATTTTGGGAATAAGAAATTTAGGTAGCATTGTTTGTGAATTTCCAGGGAGCAATGTGGCAGCTTGGCCTTCATATTTTAGGCACCTGCCACTGCTACAGCCTCACTTTGCCCACAGGTATTCTTTCTTCCTGAAAAAGAGTGTGGCACTTGCAGGCCTGGATTTTAAAAAACAGCTCTTGCTATGATTAGTCATACAATCCCATCTACCCTCTACAATGCCACTTATTAAGTCCTTTCTGATCCAGCCCATTCTTTATGAGGCTTTGTCAGAACTGGAGCTTTATCTTTGCCTTCTACAAAAAATGGTGTTGTTCAAACACCTTGGGGAGTCCTACTTTAAGTTATCCTATTATTTTTTGTTTGTTTTGTGTGTTTTTTTGGTATTCTTTTTTGTTGTTGTTTTTAAGTTATCCTCTTATTTTGTTGTTTAGTAAGCAATACCCATGTATATCTCTCTTGGCTTCATTTTCACTTTGGTATATTTCAGGCTTTCTCCTTTTTCTCCTTCTTTCTTTTTTGTACTTGACCATTATTTTGGCCTTGGGGTCAGTGATTTAAGAAATGCACATTTTATTTTGGTTAGGCATAAAACAGTAGAAAAGAATATAAAAACATAAAATAAATCCTTTATTTCTAGTATGCTTCCCAGAACCTTGGTAATTGTTTATTTTTGCTATGCTGTACGCTGTTTTTCCAGACTGAAAATCAAACAACTGAAAACATGAGCCAAATCTATTAGCACTGAACTCCTCCAACAGCACTGATGTCACAGGCCCCTGGAAGAATCCACGTTGTTGACATTACTCTGGTCATTTAGTTGCCATGTAGCCAAGCAAAGGCAAGTGACGGAAATAGTATTTTTTAGTAAGGTAGCACTATAGGTAGTTATACTAAATTAATGACAAACAAACAGTGAGGAAGATCCTGTATGGGGTTTCAGTTAGGGGTTTCAAAGTTCACTTTGTCTAGTAAAGTTTTTGGCACTCATCAAATATGTGTTGAATATTTTGTTGAACACTGATGACTTGTTCAAATGGGTTCGCAGTTATTTCTGTTTAACCAAAGTTTAAGTCAATTAAGGTTGAGTCACAATAAATTTTTTAAAAGCTGGTTGATCTTTTTTTTTCTTGTTTTTCCTTTTGCGAACAAAGTACTTAATTTTCACTATTGTGAAAGGCATTTCAAGTGTATCTAAGAGAAACAAACTTGGATTAAAAGGAGAGAATATGTATCTTAGTCTAAGTTCTGCCAGTTTTTGTGAATTAAGACAAATCATTTAGAGATATCTAAAGGTTTATACTTCAGTTTCCTACTGTGTAATAACACTGCTCTTGTTATTTCATATCATTGTTATCAAAATAAGGGCATAATTATGAAAGTTCTTTGAAAAACTAATAATCCCTATACAGATACAGGACTTATAGTCTAGATATAAAAGTATATTATACTTCCAGGGACATAAAATGGACATGAGGGAAACCATTGCATTTGGTTTTCTATTCTATATATACAGACACACATTTTAGTATATGCATAATGTGAGGCTAGGCACTTCTGGGAGTGTCATGATGGGTGGGACATGTGGTTCTAGTCCCAAAAGCTTACCATTGTATAGAGACAAACAAGTAGAGAGATGAGACCTAAGAAGGCTGTGGAGGAGAAGGTCAGAGAACAAAGACACACACACACACACACACACACACACACACACACACACACACGAAGTTTGAAAAGAGAAAATGGTTTTACATTAATGGATCATCAACCTAGAGTAGTTTCCCCATATCTGTGAAGGATTATTTTTTTTTCAGATGAAGTCTTGCTCTGTTGCCCAGGCTGGAGTGCAGTGGTGCGATCTCAGCTCACTGCAACCTCTGCCTCCTGTGTACAAGCAATTCTCCTGCCTCAGCCTCCCGCGTAGCTAGGATTACAGGTGTGTGCCACCACGTCTTCTAATTTTTGTATTTTTAGTAGATACGGGGTTTCACCATGTTGGCCAAGCTGGTCTCGAACTCCTGACCTCAAGTGATCTGCCCACCTTGGCCTCCCAAAGTGCTGGGATTACAGGCGTGAGCCACCACGTCTGGCCAGGGGAGGATATGCTTTAAGACTCACAGTGCTGAGTGCCTGGAAACACAAATAATACAGAACTCTATGTATGCTGGTTTTTTTCCTATACATAGATACTTATGATAACGTTTAATTTATAAATAAAGCACAGTAAGCAATTAACAACAATACTAATAATGAAGAACAATTATAACAACATACTAGCATCAATATTCTTGCAGCCATCATTAAATAAAATAAAGGTTCCTTGAACACAAACACTGTGATACCATCATGATTGATCTGACAATCAGGAAAACCACTAAATGTTCAGATAGGCTGGTGACATATGCAGAGTGAATATGCTGAACAAAGGGGTGATTTATGTTCTAAGCAGAACAGAGCAGGGTGACCCAAAATTTCATCACACTACTCAGAAGGGCATGCAATTTAAACTTATGAATTGTTTATTGCTAGGATTTTTCGTTTAATATTTTTTGACTAGGGTAACAAGCAAAACCGTGTGTAAGAGGGATTATTGTTTAAGAACCTTCCTTTTTCTTCCAGTCTCTTGTAATTCTGACTTCTTACATATCTCAGTAGTGCTAAGGCAAAGAGATTGTCACTATTCTTAGTACCTTATTTAATATAAACCAAGCCTAATTATAATCAGGACTTAAAATAAAGCTCTATATTGGCAACCAAAGTAAATTTTGAATTATTGAAAATTCAGTATTGTACTCTATTCTCTCTGAAAATAATTGATCTTTTCATGTGCATTTGTGTTTTGTTTCAATTTCTAATTGAAGTTGCTAATGCGTAATGACATTTAATTAATATTTGATTGTAAAAAGCATTTTAACAGTACATACTATAGAAGAAATTATATAAATTTAACGAAGAAAACTTAGCACAATAAATTCAAATTTTTCTTTTTCTCTTTCTTTATTTTTTCCTTATTATTACTATTATTATTTTGAGACAGGGTCTCCCTCTGTCACTTAGCCTGGAGTGCACTGGTACGATCTTGGTTCACAGCAACCTCCGCCTCCCAGGCTCAAGTAATCATCTCGCATCAGCCTCCTGAGCAGCTGGGACCACAGGCATGCACCACCACATCTGGCTAATTTTTTTTTTTATTTCTTTTGTAGAGATGGGGTTTGACCTTGTTGTCCAGGCTGGTTTCAAACTCCTGAGTTCGAGCAATCTACCCACCCTTCAAAGTGTTGGGATCACAGGTATGAGCCACTGCACCTGGCCTAAATATTTCAATGTAAATCCATCCTTTCTACCATTAAAAGATGTCACTCTTGCCTCTTGTGGATTCAGGTCTTTATATTTCAAATTGGAGCCACCACTTTGTGTATGTTAAAACAATTTTTAATGGTCTCATGATTTGCCTCCCCCCAATTTTTTTTTCCAATATAAGAGGTAAATTTAGTAATTCCTTTGGGAAACTAGAAAAAGTGTGATGATTTATGCTAGTTTTAGATTTATCTTTAGTAGAACAGTATAAGTACTGAGAAAAAATATTCTGAATATTCCCAAAGTATTTACTACATATTTGGCTTAGTTATGGCTTGATTTCAAGATTTAAAATGTAATTACCATTCAAATAAAGCAAAATTTTACATTTCCTTTATGTATACATTAATATAAAAAGTATTAAATCAGATTGAGTTTTGAGGTTTGGTTAAGCTGTTTTTATGCAGCTTGGAATGTCTGGGTAATTTTCCAGTCTTGAAGATATGGCCCATTCACCCACAGTGTAGACAAATACTTTCAAGGGGGCTTTGGGTGGGAAATGATAGTGAATTGGCTCACTAGCTAAAGAGCATTTACAAAGTCAAGAATGGTAGGATCCAGAGAAGTAGATGAATGTGGGATTCTCACCAGTGCAGTATTTAACAAATATTGACCATCTGCAATGCCAGGTATTATGCTGTGCACTAGGTATGCCAATGAGCTATATCAAGTTCCTGTCACTGAAAAGTTTGTATTTAAGTAGGTGAGGTGAATGTTACATAAGTAAGAAAATGAATTGTGGTAAACTCTGTGAAGAAAATAAGCATGACGATAGTTGGTCATTGAAGTGGGGAGGCTTCCTTCAGAAAGGATAGTCTGAGAGGGAACACATCTGTGCTGAGAACTTTCACAAAGAATAACCCGACACAGAAAGGTATAGAGGACAAACTTTTAGGAAGATGAAATGTAAGTTTAATTTTACTTTTTGTCATGAGGCAAAAAGGATGTGCCATGTTGAAGGGATCAACCAGAGAACAAATGAAAGTGAAGATCATCAAGGGATGGTAGGGATGGGAGGTGGGCCATGGATAAAAGCTTGGGTTTTATTACAAGCACATGAATTGAATGGCTTTAAGTTAGGGACTAATAATCTGGCTTATTTTTAAACAGTGATCAGTGTCATTTAGGGCAAGTGTCATTTAGGATAAGTGTCATTTAGGCCTCCCATGCCTGGCTCAGCGAGTTCCACGTCCACGGAGCCTTGCTTGCTGCTAGTGCAGCAGTCTGAGATCGACCTGGGATGCTGGAGCTTGGCGGGTGGAGGGGCATCTGCCATTGCTGAGGCTTGAGTAGGCGGTTTTATGCTCACAGTGTAAACAAAGCGGCAGGGAAGCTCGAACTGGGTGGAGCACACGGCTGCTCAGCAAGGCCTACTGCCTCTCTTGATTCCACCTCTGGGGGCAGGGCCTATCTGAACAAAAGGCAGCAGACAGCTTCTGCAGGCTTAAACGTCCCTGCCTGACAGCTCTGAAGAGAGCAGTGGTTCTCCCAGCATGGCATTTGAGATCCAATAATGGACAGACTGCCTCCTTAAGTGGGTCCCTGACCCCCGTGTAGCCTGACAGGGAGACTCCTCCCAGTAGGGGCTGACAGACACCTCATACAGGCAGGTGACCCTCTGGGACGAAGCTTCCAGAGGATGGATCAGGCAGCAATATTTGCTGTTCTGCAGCTTCTGCTGGTGATACCTAGGCAAACAGGGTCTGGAGTGGACCTCCAGCAAACTCCAACAGACTTGCAGCTGAGGGGCCTGTCTGTTAGAAGGAAAACTAACAAACAGAAAGGAATAGCATCAACATCAACAAAAAGGACATCCACACCAAAACCCCATACGTAGGTCACCAACAACAAAGACCAAAGGCAAATGAAACCACAAAGATGGGGAGAAACCAGAGCAGAAAGGCTGAAAATTCCAAAAAGCAGAATGCCTCTTCTCCTCCAAAGGAACACAACTCCTTGCCAGCAAGGGAACAAAACTGGACAGAGAATGAGTTTGACGAGTTGACAGAAGTAGGCCTCAGAAGTCGGTAATAACAAACTTCTCTGAGCTAAAGAAGCATGTTCTAACCCATTGCAAGGAAGCTAAAAACCTTGAAAAAAGGTTAGAGGAATGGCAAACTAGAATAAGCAGTGTAGAGAAGAGCTTAAATGACCTGATGGAGCTGAAAACCACAGTACGAGAACTGCATGAAGCATACACAAGCTTCAGTAGCTGATTTGATCAAGCAGAAGAAGGGATATCGTGATTGATGATCAAATTAGTGAAATAAAGCGAGAAGACAAGATTAGAGAAAAAAGAGTGAAAAGAAATGAACAAAGCCTCCAAGAAATATGGGACTATGTGAAAAGACCAAATCTATGTTTGATTGGTGTACCTGAAAGTGACGGGGAGAATTGAACCAAGTTAGAAAACACTCTTCAGGCTATTATCCAGGAGAACTTCCCCAACCTAGCAAGGCAGGCCAACTTTCAAATTCAGGAAATACAGAGAACGCCACAAAGCTATTCCTCGAGAAGAGCAACCCCAAGACACATAAGTGTTCAGATTCACCAAGGTTGAAATGAAGGAAAAAATGTTAAGGGCAGCCAGAGAGAAAGGTCAGGTTACCCACAAAGAGAAGCCCATCAGACTTAACAGTGGATCTCTTGGCAGAAACCCTACAAGCCAGAAGAGAGTGGGGGCCAAGTATTCAACATTCTTAAAGAAAAAAAAAGAATTTTCAACCCAGAATTTCATATCCAGCCAAACTAAGCTTTGTAAGTGAAGGAGAAATAAAATCCTTTATAGACAAGTAAATGCTGAGAGATTTTGTCACACCAGGCCTGCCTTACAAGAGCTCCTGAAGGAAGCACTAAACATGGAAAGGAACAACGGGTACCAGCCACTGCAAAAACATGCCAAATTATAAAGACCATCGAGGCTGTGAAGAAACTGCATCAATTAACGGGCAAAATAACCAGCTAACATTATAATGGCAGGATCAAACTCACACATAACAATATTAACCTTAAATGTAAACAGGCTAAATGCCCCAATTACAAGACACAGACTGGCAAATTGGATAAAAAGTCAAGACCCATCTGTGTGCTATATTCAGGAGACCCATCTCACATGCAAAGACACACATAGGCTCAAAATAAAGGGTTGGAGTAAGATCTACCAAACAAATGGAAAGTAAAAAAAAAGCAGGGGCTGCAATCCTGGTCTCTGATAAAACAAACTTTAAACCAACAAAGATCAAAAGAGACAAAGAAAACCATTACATAATGGTAAAGGGATCAATTCAACAGGAAGAACTAACTATCCTAAATATATATGCACCCAATACAGGAGCACCGAGATTCATAAAATAAGTCCTTAGAGAACTACAAAGAGACTTAGACTCCCACACAATAATAATGGAAGACTTTAATACCGCACTGTCAATATTGGACAGATCAATGAGACAGAAAATTAACAAGGATATCCAGGACTTGAATTCAGACGTAATGCACATCTACAGAACTCTCCACCCCAAATCAACAGAATATACATTCTTCTCAGCACCACATCGCACTTATTCCGAAATTGACCAAAAAATTGGAAGTAAAACACTCCTCAGCAAATGTAAAAGAACAGAAATCGCAACAAACGGTCTCTCAGACCACAGTGCAATCAAATTAGAAATAAGGATTAAGAAACTCACTCCAAACTGCACAACTGCATGGAAACTGAACAACCTGCTCCTGAGTGACTACTGGGTACATAACAAAATGAAGGCAGAAATGAAGATGTTCTTTGAAATCAATGAGAACAAAGACACAACGTACCAGAATCTCTGGGATACATTTAAAGCAGTGTGTGGAGGGAAATTTATAGCACTAAATGCCCACAAGAGAAAGCAGGAAAGATCTAAAATAATCACCCTAACATCACAATTAAAAGAACTAGAGAAGCAAGAGAAACAAATTCAAAAGCTAGCAGAAGACAAGAAATAACTAAGATCGGAGCAGAACTGAATGAGACAGAGACACAAAAAATCAATGAATCCAAGAGGTGGTTTTTTGAAAAGATCAACAAAATAGATAGACAGCTAGCAAGACTAATAAAGAAGAAAAGAGATAAGAATCAAATAGATGCAATAAAAAATGATAAAGGGGATATCACCACTGATCCCACAGAAATACAAACTACTATCAGAATACTATAAACACCTCTACAGAAATAAACTAAAATATCTAGAAGAAATGGATAAATTCCTGGACACATACACCCTCCCAAGACTAAACCAGGAAAAAGTTGAATCTCTGAATAGACCAATAACAGGTCCTGAAATTGAGGCATTAATTAATAGCCTACCAACAAAAAAAAGTCTGGGGCCAGAAGGATTCACAGCCAAATTCTACCAGAGGTACAAAGAAAAGCTGGTACCATTCCTTCTGAAACTATTTCAATCAACAGAAAAAGAGGTAATCTTCCCTAACTCATTTTATGAGGTCAGCATCATCCTGATACCAAAGCCTGGCAGAGACACTATATAAAAAGATAATTTTAGGCCAATATCCCTGATGAACATCGATGTGAAAATCCTCAGTAAAACACTGGCAAACCGAATCCAGCAACACGTCAAAAAGCATATCCACCACGATCAAGTTGGCTTCATCCCTGGGATGCAAGTCTGGTTCATTATACACAAATCAATAAATGTAATCCATCACATAAACAGAACCAACAACAAAAACCACATGATTATCTCAATATGTGCAGAAAAGGCCTTCGACAAACTTCAACAGCCTTTCATGTTAAAACTCTCAATAAACTAGATGTTGATGGAATGTGTTTCAAAATAATAAGAGCTATTTATGACAAACCCACAGCCAATATGTTACTAAGTGGGCAAAAACTGGAAGCATTCCTTTTGAAAACTGGCACAAGACAAGGATGACCTCTCTCACCACTCCTATTCAACATAGTATTGGAAGTTCTGGCCAGGGCAATCAGGCAAGATAAAGAAATATAGGGTATTCAATCAGGAAAAGAGGAAGTCAAATTGTCTGTATTTGCAGATGACATGATTTTATATTTAGAAAATCCCATTGTCTCAGCCCAAAATCTCCTTAAGCTGATAAGCAACTTCAGCAAAGTCTCAGGATACAAAATCAATTTGCAAAAATCACAAGCATTCCTATACAGCAAGAACAGACAAACAGAGAGCCAAATTATGAGTGAACTCCCATTTACAATTACTACAAAGAGAATAAAATACCTAGGAATCCACCTTACAGGGGACGTGAAGGACCTCTTCAAGGAGAACTACAAACCACTGCTCAATAAAATAAAAGAAGACACAAACAAATGGAAGAACATTCCATACTCATCGATAGGAAGAATCAGTATCGTGAAAATGGCCATACTGCCCAAGGTAATTTATAGATTCAATGCCCTCCCCATCAAGCTACCACTGCCTTTGTTCACAGAATTGGAAAAAACTACTTTAAAGTTCATATGGAACCAAAAAGGAGCCCGCATAGCCAAGACAATCCTAAGCAAATAGAACAAAGTTGGAGGCATCACGCTACCTGACATCGAACTATACTATGAGGCTACAGTAACCAAAACAGAGATATAGACCAATGGAACAGAACAGAGGCCTCAGAAATAACACCACACATCTATAACCATCTGATCTTTGACAAACCTGACAAAAACAAGAAATGGGGAAAGGATTCCCTATTTAATAAATGGTGCTGGGAAAACTGGCTAGCCATATGTAGAAAGCTGAAACTGGACCCCTTCCTTACACCCTACAAAACATTAACTCAAGATGGATTAAAGACTTAAATGTAAGACCTAAAACCATAAAAGCCCTAGAAGAAAACCTAGGCAATACCATTCAGCACATAGGCGTGAGCAAAGACTTCATGACTAAAACACGAAAAGCAATGGCAACAAAAGCCAAAATAGACAAATGGGATCTAATTAAACTAAAGAGCTTCTGCACAGCAAAATAAACTATCATCAGAGTGAATGGGCAACCTACAGAATGGGATAAAATTTTTGCAACCTATCCATCTGACAAAGGGTGAATAACCAGAATCTACACAGAACTTAAACAAATTTACAGGAAAAAAAACAAACAACCCCATCAACAAGTGGGCAAAGGACATGAACAGACACTTCTCAAAAGAAGACATTTATGCAGCCAAAAAACACATGAAGAAATGCTCACCATCACTGATCATCAGAGAAATGCAAATCAAAACCACAATGAGATACCATCTCATGCCAGTTAGAATGACAATCATTAAAAATTCAGGAAACAACAGATGCTGGAGAGGATGTGGAGAAATAGGAACGCTTTTACACTGTTGGTGGGAGTGTAAATTAGTTCAATAATTGTGGAAGACAGCGTGGCGATTCCTCAAGGATCTGGAACTAGAAATACCATTTGACTTAGCGATCCCATTACTGGGTATATACCCGAATGATTGTATATCATGCTACTATAAAGACACATGCACACATATGTTTATTGTGGCCCTCTTCACAATAGCAAGACTTGGAATCAACCCAAATGTCCATCAATATTAGACTGGATAAAGAAAATGTGGCACATATACACCATGCAATACTATGCAGCCATAAAAAAGGATGAGTTCATGTCCTTTGCAGGGACATGGATAAAGCTGGAAACCACCATTCTCAGCAAAATATCACAAGGACATAAAACCAAACACAGCATATTCTCACTCATAAGTGAGAGTTGAATAATGAGAACACAGGGACAGAGAGAAGGGAACATCACACACCAGGGGCTGTTGAGAGGTGGGGGGCTGGAGGAGGGATAGTGTTAGGAGAAATACCTAATGTAAATGATGAGTTGATGGGTGCAGCACACCACTATGGCACATGTATACCTATGTAACAAACCTCCACATTGTGCATATGTACCCTTGAACTTAAAGTATAATAATAATAATGATAATAATAATAATAATAATAAAGAGATGAAAGTCATTATATAATGATGAAGTGGTTAAATTTATCAAGAGAAAATAACAATTGTAATTATATGTGCACCCAACATCAGAGCACCTAAACATAGTAAGGAAATATTAAGAGTTCTGAAGGGAGAAATAGACAATAATAGTAGGGGACTTCAATACTCTACTTTCAACAATGAAAAGATTATTTAGACAGGAAAACCAGCAAGGAAATATTGAACTTTAGACTAAATGAACCTAACAGACATATGCAGAACATTACATAGAAGAATACACATTATCAATGGACATAGAATATTCTCCAGGATAGATCATGTTAGGCCCTAAAGAAATCTTAAGAAATTTAACTAGATTGAATTCATATCAATTATCTTTTCCAACCACAATGGTATGGAACAAGAAACCAATAATAGAAAAAAAATGGGAAAATTAAAAAATATGTGAAGATTAAACACACTCATGAAAAACCAGTGGGTCAAAAAAGAAATCAAAAGGGAAATTTAAAAACTCTTGAGACAAACAAAAATGGACATAGAACACACCCAAACTCGCAAGATGTAGCAAAAGCAATTCTAAAAGGGAAGAGCATAGCAGTAAACACCTATGTTAAGAAAAAAAAAATCCCAAATAAATAGCCTAACTTTATACCTCAAACAACTAGAAAAAGAAAAACAAAATAACCCCAAAGTTAGTAGAAAAAAGACAGAAAGGAAGGAAGGAAGGGAGGAAGGAAGGAAGGAAGAAGGAAAGAAAGAAAAAGAAGGAAAGAAAGAAAGAAAGGAAAATCAGAGCAAAAATAAATGAAATAGAGATAAGACAAACAAGAGAAAAGATCAAAAGTTGGCTTTTTGAAAAGATAAAATTAACGAAACTTTAGCTGGCCTAACTAAGAAAAAAAGAGAGAAGATTCAAATGAAATGAATAAAATCACATATATAAAAATACAGAAATACAAAAGATTATAAGAAACTACAATGAACAATTAAGCACTAATAAACTGTATAACCTAGAAGAATAGACAAATGCTAGAAACCTACAACCTACCAAGACTGAACTATGAAGAAACAGAAAATCTGAATAGACCAAAATGAGAAAGGAAATTAAATCAGTAATCAAAAATCTCCCTACAAAGAGAAACCCAAACCTAGTGCCTTCACTTTTGAATTTTTTCAAACACTTAAAGCATTAATTCCAATTCTGCTCAAACTCTTGCAAAAAGTTGAAGAGGAGGGAATACTCCCAAACTCATTTTATAAGGCCAGCATTATCCTGATACCAAAGCCAGACAAGGACACCATAAGAAAGAAAATTACATGGCAATATCCCTGATGAACATAGATGCAAAAACTTCAACAAAATACTAGTAAACCAAATTCAGCAGTGCATTAAAAGGATTATGTACCATGGTTAAGTGGCATTTATCTCTGGGATGCAAGTATAATTTAACATAAGTAAATCAATAAATATGATATGCCACATTAACAGAATAGAGGATAAAAATCATGATCATCTCAACTGATGCAGAAAAAGTATTTGACAAATATCAACATCTTTTTTGATATTAAAAACTCTCAGCTAATTAGGTATAGAAAGAATGTACCTCAACACAATAAAGGTCATATTTGGCAAGCTTACAGTGAACATACAGGTGAAAAGCTGAAAGCTTTTCTTTAAGAACTGGAACAAGACAAGGAAGCCTTCTCTCGTCACTTCTATTCAATATAGTACTGGAGGTTCTCACCAGAGCAATTAGGAAAGAGAAAGAAATAAAAGGCATCCAAATAGAAAAGGAAGAAGTTAAGTTGTCTCTGCAGATGACATAATACCATGTATAAAAAAAAAACCTCAAAGACTTCACCAAAGAACTATTAGAACTAATAAACAATTACAGTAAAGTTGCAGGATACAAAATTAACCTACAGAAATTAGTAGTATTTCTATACACTAACAATAAAATATCAGAAAAATAAATTTTAATAAAATCCCATATACAATAGCTACAAAAATAAAATACCTGGGAGTAAATTTAACCAAGGAGGTGAAAGGTGAGTACACTGAAAAACATAAAACAATGATGAAAGACATTGAAAGAAGACACAAATAAATGGAATTTGGAAGAATTAACAGTGTTAAAATGTTCACACTACAAAGTGATCTACAGATTCAATCCAAGTCTTACCAAAATTCCAATGATGTTTTTCACAGAAATGGGAGGAATATATTGAAATTTGTATGGAACCAAAAAAGACCTTAAATGGCTAAATCAATCTTGAGAAAGACCAAAGCTGAAAGCATCAAATTATAATACAATTCAAATTATAATACAAAGATTTCAAATTATAATACAAAGACAAAGATATAGTAAACAAGACAATATAGTACTTTCATAAAAACAGACACATCAAAAGAGAGCACAGAGCCTAGAAATAAACCCATAAATGTATAATCAACTGATCTTTGACAAAGGCACAAAAAATACACAATGAGGAAACGATAGTCTTTTCAATAAATCATGTTGGGAAAACTGGATATCCACATATATGAAATTAACCCTTATCTTACACCATATACAAAAATTAACTGAAAATAAAGACAAATTTAAGACTTGAAACTGTAAAACTACTAGAAGAAAAATGGGGTTGGCTGGGGGAGGTGTACTTGACAATGGACTTGGCAATAATTTTTTGGATATGACACCAAAAGGACAGGCAATAAAAGCAAAAATAAACAAGTACAAGCAAATCAAATTTTAAAAGTTTCTGCACAGCAAAGGAAACAATCAACGAAAGAAAATGCAACCAAGGGAGAAAATATTTACAAAACATATATCCAAAATATATAAGGAATGTATACAACTCAATACAGAAAAAACAAATAACCTAATTAAAAAACAGGCAAAGGATCTGAATAGACATTTTTTCTAAAGAAGATATACAAGTGTCCAACAGGAGTGAAAAGGTCCTCAACATCATTAATCCTTAGGGAAATGCAAATGAAAACCACAAAGAGACAGCACTTCACACCTGTTAGGAAGGCTGTTGTCAAAAAGTCAAAAGATAGCAAGTGTTGATGATGAAGTGGAGAAATAAAACGTCTTGTACACTCTTGGTAGGAAAGTAAATTCGTACAGCCATTATGGAAAACAGTTTGGTGGTTCCTCAAAAAATTTAAAATAAATCTATTATATGATCTAGCAACCTCACCTGTTAGTATATAGCTAAAGGAATTGAAATCAGTATCTCAAAGACATATTTGCACTTCCATATTCATTGCAGCATTATTCAGAATAAGCAAGAGGTGGAATTAACCTAAGTGTCCATAAGTGGATGAATGGATAAAGAAAATGTAATATATATTTATCATGGAAGATTACTCAACCTTAAGAAAAAAGAAATTCTGGTATTCGTGACAACATGAATGAAACTGGAGGACCTTATAGTAGGTGAAATAAGCTAGTAACAGAAAGACAAATACTGCATGATATCTCTTATATGTGGAATCTAAAAACGTTGAATTCATAGAAACAGAGTTTCAGTTATAAGTTTTAGAGATCTAATGTACAGCATGGTAACTATAGTTAATGATAATTTATAGTATACTTAAAGTTTGCTAAGAGAGTTTGCTTAATTGTTCTCACCACACACACACACACACACACACACACAAATAGTAACTATGTAAGGTGATGGATATGTTAATTAGCTTGGTTGTGGTAATCATTTCACAATGTGTAAATATATCAAACAATCACATTGCAGCATTATGTATATACACGTTTTATTTATTAATTATACCTCAATAAAGCTGGAAAAATGTAAAGCATAAACGTAAGTAAGAAATCCAGGTCAAAGGGTGCTGATGTTAATCCAGCAATATTGCATATGCATTCCTACATGTAATGTGTCAGTTTGAGGACTTTCTCCTAGTGTGCTCTAAATTAAGGTTTAGGGAATAGGGGGAGGAAGTTGTCTCTTCTGCTTGGATAAATTTGCTTGTTTCTTTAACAATTTAACAGTTAAACAGTTTATTTTTAAGAAACAACAAATTTTTCAATTTTCAGAAATTTAAAAATTAATTTCTAAGAGGGGGATTGGTACAAAATTCAAATGCAAGATTATTTGAATTCTTTGTTCAGATAATTATATTTTACAACTGAATAACAAAGTCATGGAAATGCTAACACATACGTATATTGGTCTTTTCCTTTACTGGTTTCACATTATTTTTATTTGGGAGGGAAGATCTTTCCTCGTAATTTTCCTTTTAAAAATATTTTGATTTCACTCATTGTTTCTTTCAGGTGACTCTTAGAATCATCTAGTCAAAATGGAATTGTGACTGTAAGTGCACTAAGAAAAGATCCCTTTGGGAAGAATGAACTTATTTTGACAAATATGTTCAATATTTTTACATATTTAAAATATTGACTCTCACCCAGGAAAATATGTCTTAATTTATTCAAAACTTTTCTTTTGAACTAATGGAAAGTTTCATAGTTTTACTGAAGTCTTGAATATTCCTGACATATTTATTCTTCAATAGTTTGTGATTTTTATTTCTTCGTGAATAGAATTGTTTCCCCTGGTTATTCTGGCACATTGAAAGCTAACAGTCTTTGTATATTTATTTTTATTCAGCTGCATTTTAGAATTCCTATTTGTTCTAATGATTTTAGGTTGATTTTCTTGCTTTCTGTACAAAATGCTGTCATGTTGAGTGGTTGAAAACCTTATAAGAAATATTATACTAATCTATTACAGGGAGAAAAGATAGATTCTACTAAGAAACATTTAGAACAAGATGTTAGTATGTAAACTCTTAAGTGTGACTTCCATAGAGCAGTTGTTCTTAGGTTTGACTTGCATTGGAATCACCTGGGGAGCTTTAGAAAACACTGATGCCTAGCCGCCTCCCTCAGATACTCTAATTTCTGTGCATCAGGACATTAAAACTTCTTTCTTTTTCTCTTACTTTTTTTTTTTTTTTTTTTTTGACAAGGCCTTTCTGTGTCACACAGGCTGAGTGCAGTGGCACGATCATAGCTCACTGCAGCCTTGATTACCTGGGCTTCAGTGATCCTCCTGGAACTCAGTTTGGATCATGTAAAATTTGAGATACCTATCAAAGTCTAACAAGAAAGGTTAAGTAGGCAGGTTAATATGGTCCAAGTTTAGAAGAAAAGTCTGAGCTGAAGAAATAAATTAGTGATACTTAAAACCGTGTGGCTAGAAGAGCTCACCAAAGCAGTACATGCACATATAAAAATAGAGATGTTTAAGGGATGAACTCCGGGGCTAACCAGAGCTATGAGACAGAATACAAGCCAAGGGAAGAAAAATATTTACAGCCGAAAGGAGTGATCGACTGTATCAAATTCTGCTGCTAAGTCAAGTAAGATGAGGACAGAGAACTGACCATTGGATTTGGCAAACTTTAGGTTTGGTTTTTTATTGTGGAATCATCTCACTAACTGGCTACACTTCCTTTCCTGGTTTTCCATCTTGTCCCCCCTCTACTTTGCTTCTCAGTATATTATGAAGATGTTATGAGGAAAAGAGACAGTGTTCTTATGCTTAAGGATCAGAAGACCCATATACAATTTCCTAAGTCTAGGAATGTTACTCCTCTTTCCTGTGCCTTCTCTCCGAAAAAATCTTTCTTCGCTCATTTTGTTTGACTTACTTTATGACTAAGGGTTGTTGATTTATCAAAATCAGCTTTTTAAAAGTTTATACTAGTAACTACTTTAGAATAAAGAGAATGTCATATAGCAGAAATTGAAGTAGAATTTAAAACTCATTTTATTGCATTTTCTTAGAGAATCATCAAACACTAGATGAGCAAGTGTTGAGGTAAAGAGTGTATTACCCACTGTCAGAGAAGACTTTTGGAGGAGTTTAGAAATTTGCTACACTTCATGGTTATCAATTCCAGTTTCCCGTTAGTTCCCACTTCCCATGATATCTCCTCATATGATATATGTTGAAATTAGGCCCAAAAATAGCTCTGATTTCCTGTTCAGTTTTAGAATCTACAGTGCTGTCTTTTATTTATTTATCTATTTATTTATCTTTTTAGAGACAGTGTTGTTATAATTGCCCCAGCTGATCTTGAACTCCTGGCCTCAAGCAATCCTCTTGCCTCAGCTCCCAAGTAGCTTGTATTACGGGAGTGAGCCACTGCACCTAGGTCTACAATGTTATCATTTTATGTTCTCTCATCTGAACAGTCTATAATTTTAAAGATCCAAATTCCACTACAATATTTGTTTGTGATGCTTGCCATCTCTTTGCCTGCTATAAAAATTAAATTTTAAAATAGAGGCTAGTAGATTAATTTTTAAAACAAGATTTACACTAGTTTCTTTCATGGTACCAAGTTATCATTTCTGAGCGTTCTAAATGAGGTATATTCCTCTTTGAATAATACTGCATTCATTTATTTGCCAAGTATGTATTTATTAGCTACTATGTGCCTGGTGCAATGAAAATGTTAAAGAAGGCAGTTCTTACTCTCAGTCAGTGGAGGGGATGAATAGATGATCAAAAGAAGGTGATGCTTAGCTTCCAGGAGGGGACCAAGAGTATGCCTTAGACGATATAAAGTCTTGAGCTGAGACTTGAAGGATAAGAAGGAGTTTTCGAGATAATGTATAAGGGGAGAGGCATTCCAGGCAGAGAAAATACACATAGATCTGAGGGAAAATGGCATATCTGGGGGGAATGCTGATCATTTACTCTTGCTGGTCACAGAACGCATTGAGGAACCTACAGACAATGAGCAGGAGCTTTAGGTAAGAGTTAGAATATGTAGGATATATGTATATACTGAACTATATACTGGAGTAAAGAATTTGGGGCTTTATTTTATTTCTTCCTCCAGGACGGTGGCAATGAGAAAAGGCTTTCTCTTTGGGGTGCACTAGGGTAGTGGTGTTATTTGTCAGAATCTCTAAAGGCCATCTGTGGAGTCTTAACATTCTGAAGCACTCACTCCCTTTGGATATTGTAATGCAACCCCCCCTCCCCATCTCCCATTGTCACACATCCTTCCTTCCACAGGGACGTTACCTTCACATACTGTGGGTTGAACCTGTCCCTCAAAGTGGTCTGGGCCTGAGAACCACTGCAGGAGACAAGAAGAAGCCACAGGAGCATTTTAGGTAGGAAAAGATCATGATCAGCTTGAGCAATTTCTCCTCCCTTTCCTTGTTTTGCAGATATTTTACCATTACAATATAGATGGAGATTTTCATCTATTAATAAAAGATGTTCTCTATTCACAAATGGAAATGGAGCAACAGTACACAATTTCTGCCCCAGAATTCATGGCTGGTGCAGGTAAAAAGCTCTTTACAGTTTGCTAGTCAATCCATTTGCTTTACCTAAAAAGTTCATTTATATAGTTTTAAATGGTTTGCAGAAGTCTTTTGAACAGTACTCTTGAAGTTTCATGTCTTTTCCTCAAAACTTGACAGTCTTGGGAGTGACAAAAAGGGAGAAAATATACAAACATATGTGATATATTCATAGCTGGACTTAAACAATGATAAAAGAAAATTTTCATGTTACAGCCTACTTCCAGTAGAATTTTACAATCCTACTATCTAGTAGGAATCATTTCCTCTGAGTGGTGTTCTCACTCTGAGCAAATCATTTCTTAAGTAGCAAATTCTCCTCACAATTTGATGTATATCAGTTTAACCGAAAGACTTTTCAGAAACCTAATATGTAGCAAAGCTCACAAGGTCTTTAGAACATGACACATCAAAAAAGATGAAGGTAGAAATAACAAAAATGTGCCCTTAGGACTTAAGTTGGATGGGATCCCCTTTCTCTGGCATGGAGTCTAGGTATCTGGAGAGTACCTTTTTTTTTTTTTTTTTTAAGTGCTCACTTGAATGATCATGTTTTGTTTTCACTCCCACACTCTCACAATGCCCAAGAAGGGCAAATAGTAAAATGATGCTGTTATTTGATAAATTAATTACTGATGATAGACTCGTTTTGAATTCAAAGTGTTAGGAATTTAATGGAGTTTCTCCTTAGTGGCTTACAGATCTCCCATACCCTTCTACTATCTAGTAAGTATCATGTCCTCTGAACGGTGTTCATGCCCTGAGCAACATTCATGCTCTCAGAGAAACACCTCCTCCTCCGCAAAGAGCTGAAGGAGGTTGGTGGGACACAGATACCACCTGAATTATCCGTAAATACAAGCCATTTTTAAGTGGAAGACAGTTCTACTGCAACAAGCTGAAGAAAGCCAGCACCATCTAGTGGAAGGAGAGTCACACAGGAATGGACGCCTGTTGGTTTGGTTTCCTGTTCTGTATTTTGAACTCTTTGCTGAGACTTAGGTGTGCATTGTTAATATTGGTCTCTTTTCATAATAGACTTAACCGAACGGTCTCTGACCAAGCTTCAACACTGCGTTTTTTTAGTGGTTTGCGGTATAATAATTATAATGATGGCTATGTTTATTTAGATTTTGTTATACCTAAGCATTTCTCTAAGCCCTTATCTCAGGGCTTCCAGGTACGGTTGTGCAGGTTGTATACTGCACAAGGTTGCTTGGGTGAGGTTATGGGGAGACTGGAATCCATCTTAATCTCCACTCACCCACATGGGTGCCCTAGAGAAGGGTTGCATTCACTTGGAGAGATGATCAAAATTTTCCAAACTGCACAAAGGTGCCATATGATGCAGTTCTGGGTTTTCATATGCATTATCTCATTTAACCTCATGGCATTCTTGCAAAGTAGGTGTCATATTATTGTGACCATTTTTCAAGGAAGAAGTAAGGCTTAGGGGGTTAAGTAAAATTGCCTAAGGCCACATAACTACCCTGAGCAGTTTTTGGTCAAGTGGCTCACAGCAGAGGCAAGCTCAAAGCCTCTCCTGTGCCTAGCAAGTTTGATTGTGATGACTGCTTCACTCACTGACTCAAGCAACTCAAACCAAAAACTTAACAAGCAAAGCCAAAAATGTAAAAAGCAGTGCAACAGAGAACGGCCTGCCATGCACCTGAGGACTTCATCTGCCACCTTAGCATAACTCCTGTTTGCTCTCTGAACAGGCAAAACGCATCCTTTCGCTGGGTTCTTGTTCATCTTGTCCTTTCAAATGCCCTTTCTTGCCACTCCCCCATTTCCTTCAGTAGAAATCCTTCTGCTAATTTAAGACCCAATTTAGACCATCCTTCTCCATCTCCATGAATTTTTCTAATCCCGCCAATCTCTTTTCCTCCTTTATTTCCCTATCATATTTATTTTGTTTGCCTTACATAGTAATTATTTATGTACCTTTGTTACATCAGGATTTATTGTAACTTTTTTAAGGACAGGAGGTGTAACAGGCTTTGGACAATGTGGCCATTCAATAAATGAGAATTAAATTGAAAACCTAGAGACCTAAACAATGGCAAGAGAAACCTGCAGTTTTATTATATGCTTTATGTTCTCACTTAAACTAAATGTCTAAATAGGAATTTCATAATATTGAATAATGACAAGCTGGGAGTCTTAAGCCAAATCCACAATGCATTCTATAGCATAATAGATTTGTTTCTAATAAAGACCTAGTGAAAATTGAGTTAGTGTGATTTGCCAAATTAACTCAACTCCCAGGAGCAGAAGGAGTTATAGATTTGCAAATCCCAAGGTACCAGGCATGTTGCAAACTTGTTCTAAATTAAGTTTTAACTTTCATTTTGACTGCAATTATCTATTAAGCCCTCAGGCTACAGTGGGGCAGATAATAGAGAGAAAAGAAATCAGAACAACTCTTCATGGTATTTTTGAGACTATTTATAGAGAGTTTACTTTGCATGGAAGTGAACTGGTAATACAAAAGAATTCATAGAACAAACATATAACTATTGTAACCTCTACAGTGAGTACATAGCAAAACAAATTTAACAATAGTTATTCACTGAAAATGTAAATCTAAGATCCTTATTTTTAACTATAACTAAGAAAGTATTTTTATCTAAAATTTTCCCAATTACACTTATAAAGAAAATGTAGTATATCTACACCATGAAATACTACACAGCCATAAAAAGAATGAAATCATGTCCTTTTCAGCAACATGGATACAGCTGGAGGCCATTACCCTAAGTGAATTAATACAGAAACATAAAATCAAGTACTGCATATTTGTAGGAGTTAAACAATGATATACGTGGACATAAAGATGGATACAATAGACACTGAGGACACCAAAAGGGAGGAAGGAGGGAGCGAGAGGGGCAAAGGTTGAAAAACCACCTATTAGTACTACAATCACTATTTGGCTGTTGGGTTCAATAGAAGCCCAAACCCCAGCATTATACAATATCCATGTAACAAACCTGCATATGTACCACCCGAATCTAAAATAAAATAAAATAAAATACCTTGCATGTAAATTACATTGTCATAGGTTTATGTTAATGAAGACAAACAGAACTAGTTATTTCAAATAGATTGACAAAAATAGGGGAAATAAGACTTTATAAAATAGTTTAAAGATAGCAATGATTCAGTAGCCTGAATCTATAAGAGGAAGGTGGACTTTAGCACATAAAATTCTAACCGTGCATTCAATGTCTCCCTGAGAAAGAAAAGACTAAGCTATTGAATGAAATTGCTGTGGTAAACAGCAATCTCTCTCATTAGCTCAGATATTAAAAGAGTATATACAAAAATTGGCAAAGGTCTCCATAATAAGGAAAAATATCAGTCTGGTGATAATAGTTAGAAAAGCAAATGCCTGAAATTAACTGAGCTTGCACAGATAAATAAGTGAATGAATAAAAAAGCAAGTACTAAAAGTATAGAGGAAACAAAGTTCCAGAAAAATAAGTAGAAGGAGGAAAGAGGGGTATGTTCACAGTCTGGACAAATGGCAAACACTAAAATGACAGATGTTTAGGCCAAGGCAAATTACTTCCTAGAGGCTAAAAAACAGAGTTCTAGTCACAGGAATACTGCTGGTAATTTTTGAGCAACATAGAGAATGAAAGAGGGACCAAGAGGCTTTAGATGAATTTTGTCATTTTTTTTCCAACTGATACAAAATATCAGCAGGTAGCTTGTGAATAGTGAAAACAGTAATAGATGATCTAGTATGGGTTACGAATAACTTTTATAATTTGAAATTTATTTTACTATTCATTTGTCCTTTTATTCATTCAACATTTAAGTTGAACAATGAGAACACATGGACACAGGGAGGGGAACTTCACACACCGGGGCCTGTCATGGGGTGGGGGGCTAGGGGAGGGATAACATTAGGAGAAATACTTAATGTAGGTGATGGGTTGATGGGTGCAGCAAATCACCATGGCACGTGTATACCTATGTAACAAAACTGCACATTCTGCACACGTATCCCGGAACTTAAAGTATAATTTTTAAAAAAGTAATTTCTACATGCAAAGACTACGCTTGATATTTTTTCAAAAGGAACACTCATAAACAAAGAACATGATGTCTAGAATGTCTTTGATAGAAACTGTCCTTGCAACCCTGGGGATAAGATGAAGAAACATGAGCTGGATGGAGAACAGTTAGTGGATTTAAAACTGTTTGCATAACCATATCCAAAGAAAATCTAATAACGGATTGATGTCAGTTTGACTCTGTATTGTTCAACATGTTTGCTATGTTTATTACCATTTTTGATCAATTTCTAAGAGGACCACATTTTGGAGTTTTCAAAACCTGAGAAGAAGAGAATTCTGGCAGAAAGAATTTAATTTGACTTACAATGTTAAATAAGGTATGACAAAATGAAATTAATTAAAGTCGATCTGAATAAAAACTGAAGCTATAATAAAAGCAAATGTCATTGTGATGTGTTCAGTTATCTTAAGTGAATGAAAAATGTGATTGTTATATTCTAACAGCTGTTAAAGGAAGGGAAACTGGGCCAGTTACAGAAGCATTTTATGTAAAACATAGTGCTTGTTCAAGACAAGTGACAGTTCTTCTCAGTATCGAATAAGAATGAATAACATTCACCAAAATAACACATAGCACAATTATTATTTTTGTAATAAAATGCAAAATCATGGCCATATCCTGCAATAATGGGAAAAACTCAACAATGGAAGATATCAATGATATAGTAAACCTTTACATCTAAGTTCAAAACATCAGTCATGTAGGTATACAAATAATATGAAAAAGACAGAGACTTCAGTTTATTAAGTAGGAGGTGGTTATGTAAAAGATATTTTTATAACTACAAATGTTGTCTTACATGATATCAATAAGAGAATAATTTCCATATTAAAATAGATAACAGGAAGTCTTCTTGTTTGACCACGGCTGCAAAAGTTGACATCTTTCTCTTTTTCCTCCTGAAAATTTGTGCATAAGCAACACGGAGAATGACAAGAAGAATAAAGTAATAGAAAACATAAATTCCATTTTCACAAAACTGGAATAATGTAACCAGCAGACCCTGCAAGAAATGCAAGGACTAGTAAAAGTACAGAGTGGTGAGAAAACCTAGTGGCAGCAGATCTTAGACATGCCACAAAAATATACTTTCTAAAGGTGAAGAACTCATCTTCACAGTGAAGTGTGTAGTAAAAGCTGTTTTCTTTTACTGCAGCATTCCGTGCAGGAACTAAAGAGAGCAAGGTGGTGGTACAAGTCTTCTTGGATCTAATTTGGCTCAGAGAAGCCGAGGATGTGGAGCTACACAGAGAATCCCATAGATGAGTGACAGCTATGGGAAGCAGTCCCTTTGTTATCACTTAGACATAGTTGGCCAAGGAAAATCCAACTTATTTTAAAGTGAGAAATAAACATGAAATTCCTATGGCACAAATATAAAGACACTATGAAAAATATAGAAAAAAGCAAAACTTTTCAACGTATGAATCACACACACATGGAAAATGTTGCCATTGAACAGATGAAAATTATGATCATATATTTTACCATTAATTAAAACAACAACAACAAAAAACACAACTTCATATATAAAAAAGAGTAAAAAGTACAAATGCAAAAACTCAATAAAGAGATGCAAATAAAATAGAGGAAGATCAAATTAAAGCTGCAAACTCAGAAAAGAAGAAAATAAACTAGTCACAAAAGTGAAAATCAAATTTGAAGGATTACAGGACCATAAAAAATATAGAAGATGAAAATAAGAAAATAAAATAAAATAAAATTGAAATAAAGAAAGTCTTAAGGATAATAAAGCATATTCCTATATATCTATATATTTATATGTATATTTACATATAAAACAGTCAAGTAAAATCCAACAAATTTATAGTTGGAGACCCTAAGGAATGAAGCTGAAGAAAATAGAAGCCAACAAGAATTGAAAGTCATAAATCAAGAAAATTTTCCTGAAATAAAAGAAGGTTTAAATCTAAATACTTACAGGACACACTATGCATGCCAGGGAAAAGTAACCAAAAATTTGATATGGAGACATAGTCTAGGAGTGTCAGTGGATTTCAAAAAAAAAAAAAAAGAAAACTTCATGCTGCCAGGTTAAAAAAATCAAATAATTCATAAAGGGAAAAACAATCTAACAAAATATTTTTCCAAAGCATCACTTACAAGATAATTAAGTAAAGAAAATATAAGCAAACAATTTTATATCTAGTCAAGCTGTCCTTCAAAGATAAAGGTTACAAACATATTGTTACAACCAAACAATAATGGCTTGGGTAACTATGACAAATGGAGTAGTAGGGAACATTGAAAATATTTCACTGTAGAAATAATAATAAAAGAAATGTAGGGAATTAAGATTACTGAGCAGAATGTTGATGTTATATGCCCTCACAATACAGAAGTGATACAATTAAAGTTGTTTTCTTTAATTGTGTATGATTTAATTGTGTATGATTGCCTCATGTGGAATATCTGAGATTGAAAGGAGATATATTGTATCTGACATACCAAAATAATAGAGGTATGAACATATTTAACATATGAAAGCAAGCACTAAGAAAGGCGGTGTTTTACTAGAATCAATGGAAGAGGATATGCAAAGGATGAGAGAGAAAGAAGGAACGTGATAGTTTCATTGTTTTTTCCTAGTAGGGAACTAATAGGTGTTGTCTAGAAAAAATGGAAAACCAAGAGTTATGTAATATAAATATAATGTTAATCCTTAAATTAAAAATACAAACCTTCTTAAATATCTGAAAAATTATCCAAAAATTGAAACAGCCTGCCTAGGCAAAGATATTTTTTAAAACTACCAAAAAAAAAAAAAAAAGGAAACATACCTGTCATATTAAATGCAAGTAAGCCTAACTCATTGCTTAGGGAAAAGGATCAATGTAACTTATTCATGGTGGAGTCTTACATCTGTCTCCATATTTTTCTCCCCTATGTGTCTTAAATACAGCCCAAGGGAGCTGAGAGTTAAACAAGTATGATGTAGATCCAGTAAAGTCTTCAAGACTGAAATAGAAAAAATAAAAAGAGTACTTTGGAGGAAAACAATCATGGAACTACTTAAAGATGTGTAAGCTGCCTGTTACTAGATAAGAAAGTAATCCACTCTTCAAGAAAAAAAATATTGCTTGATGTAAGATCTTTTGAACAAAGTACAGTGGGTTAAGGAATTAGCTGTAAGACTGCCACAGAGATGGAGAAATGGAATTGGCAAGTAGAATGAGGTTCAATGTTAGAGGGCCTCAAACTTGGGAATGTAGATATGATGCTACTGGCAGTAGGAAATGGCTGAAGGATATTGAGTACTGGAGTGCTAACATGTAAACAGTGTTTTTAACTAGCGGTTCTTAAAGTGTGGTTCACAGCCCACTATCATTATCATCACCTGAGAACTTGTTAGAAATTCATATTCAGGTCCTATCCCTGACTTACTGTATCACAAACTGGGGGCCTGGGGATAGGATCAGGGAGGCTTTAGCTGGAGCCAGCAATCTGTGTTTTAACAAGTCCTCAGGTGATTCCGACATATACTAAAATTTGAGAGCCACTGTCTTAAAAGATTGTCCTGGGCTAAACAGATGCTTAGAAGGCTGTTGCATAGTACAGGAGTGAAGTGTTGAGAAACTGGAAGTGGGTAGAATGTTGCAATAGTGAATCAGAAAAAAAAAAAGAAAAAAAAAGGAGATGGAACCTGGTGATCAATTTTATATAAAAAAAGAAGAGATGTCAAAAATGATTCTAAAAAACATTTTGGCAAAGAATGTGGCACTCCAAAGGGGATATTTAACAGGCTAACAATCATGTGGAAATAGACTGCTATCACTTTTAACAGAAGCATAGCAAATTCAATGAGTAACATGTATTTCTTTGGTCTATCATATTACTAGGTATTTATAAAAGCGACCTAATGAAGTTCAGTTAAAATAATATTGTAAATTTGTAATTTTTGTCCCCTGCCTTGACCCAAGCACAAGACAATGGTAGTTTTTTTTTAATTAATAAGACCCAATCATGCTAAAAATAATATAAACATTTCTGTAGAACAGAAATAAAACTGGAACATACTTTTAAATGATTGAAGCTACAAAGCTATTGGTCTTTAGACTTAGATCTAAAGTAGTCTAGAAATTTGAGACTTTCTGGATAATGGGAACCAAATTTACTCCACTCCTGGAAGGATACAGAAGCCAGGCCTACCACATGAAATTTAAGACTGGAATCAGACTCCCTCCTCAAGAAAGGAGGCTAAGAAAAACTATGTTGATTGCTAGGGTCACAGCTCTTATAAACTGGAGTGTTTGGGATGGCAGGGGGAGGGAGGCTAGAGGGAGGAGGTTTAGAGAAAGCCCTCACAGATCAGCACACCAGCCGAGCTGCTTCTTTGCTTGAGGACTAGAACCGTGGTATCTTCAGAGGCCCCAAGACAAGAAATAAATACATAAACAAATAAGACTTAGTTATAGACTGGGAGCTCTAGGCAAAATGCACAGACAAATGAGGGTCAGGTGATGGGAAGAAAGAAGATTCCACTTACGATGAGCATTTAAACTAAATTTCCAAACCCTAAGATGACAAAAAAAAAAAAAAAAAGCAAATCCAGAGGGAAAGGAGAGGTTATGGGGAGGCGGGGGGGAAGCTTGGTGATAAAATAAGTGAATTATATTAGAAAATAAAATTAACTAACTCTTGCCTGTGGGGAGAAAAATCTCTATTTTTACATAAATGATGGAATTAAAATCATAGACAATAATAGAAAAGAACATGGAAGAGGTGATTTCAGGGAGTACTTTTAGAGCATACTAAATCTTTGCATTTTTTCAGTAAGAAGCTAAAAATTTACTGATCACATTTAGATGTTGTTAAAAACACATAGCTGATCGTTTGTTAAAATTTGATAGGTCACCATTAGAAAATGAAAAGTAAATCATTTTTAAACCAGCAGGGACAAAAAAAGACAAAAAAGAGAAAAAAGAAAAATGTCAACAATTAATTAAATAGCATAAAATAAGGGTATAGAAAGCAAAGAGAAGCATAATAAATTTAAAAGATGGAAAATATAAATACCTCAGTTATAATAAATGTAACAAATGTATAAAACTCATCTAATTAAAAATATATACTACTTAAAGTACACACATTTAAAATAACATGTTGCAGAAAATTGAAAAAAAAGAGATAGAGTGAATATATTAAGAAAATGTTTAACAAAAACAAAAAACCGTGGGGTAATAATATCAGACATACCAGGAGTTAAAAGAAAAAGCATTAATAAGGAAAGGAAAGAAAAATTATAACAATATAAGGAACAACCACCAAGAAGATACATCAATCTTTACGATTGGTAAACTTATATGAACCTGAAAAGAACATAAAATATATAAAGCAAAACCTGGCAGAATTATAAGGAGAAATAGTATCCAGGCTACATAAAGAAATTCTAGGCTGGGCGTGGTGGCTCGTGCCTGTAATCCCAGTACTTTCGGAGGCTGAGGCGGGCGGATCATGAGGTCAAGAGATCGAGACCGTCCTGGCCAACATGGTGAAACCTGTCTCTACTAAAAATACAAAAATTAAGCGGGCATGGTGGCGCGTGCCTACAGTCCCAGCTACGTAGGAGGCTGAGGCAAGAGAATCGCTTGAACCCAGGAGGCAGAGGTTGCAGTGAGGCAAGATCGCGTCACTGCACTCCAGCCTAGTGACAGAGTGAGACTCTGTCTCCAAAAAAAAAAAAAAAAAAAAAAAAAAAAGAAATTCTACAATCACTGTAAAATCACTGTAAAACAAGACAACTGGTCTGGCACACTGGCTCACACCTGTAAACCCAGTGCTTTGGGAAACCAAGGCAGGAGGATTGCTTGAGCCCAGGAATTTGAGACTAGCCTGGGCAAGATCCCTACAAAAGATGTAGTGAGACCTCCATCTCTATAAAAACATTAAAAAAACTAGCTGGGCATGATGGTGCATGCCTGTGGTGTGGTCTCAGCTACTCAGGAGGCTGAAACAGGAGGATCACTCGGGCCCAGGAGGTCAAGGCTACAGTGAGTCATGATCATGCCACTGCACTCCAGCTTGGGAAACAAATGCAAAAATAGACAAGTGGGACTATATTATCAACTTCTTTCACTTTTCTTCTTAAAAATTTTGTTTAAATTAAAACATTGCTGGTGTGAATTTGGTGAAACAACATCTCTTTTACATTGCTGGTTATTTTGTAAATTAGTACCACTGTTTTGAAAGACTTGGCAATGACCTTAACTGTTTATATTTTTTGATATAATGCTTCTCTTTTGGGGAATTGAACCCATATTTTGGCTTGGATACACTTTATTATCTACAAATAAAAAGATAAACTGGATTAAAAATCATATTTTCTATTTTTAAAATTGTTTGATTGGCCTTCCTGGGACATATTATTATGATATTTCATCACTTTCACAGGGTGATTAATGAAATGAAAGTCCAAATATTTTGAAGTAAATTTTACATAGTTAGCATTTTTGTATTGTTCTTCCTTAACTCATAGATTGACCTTACACTTGTTTTAAACAATAATTAAATGCAATTAAAAACCACAGTACAACGAAAATGAAGAACAACTTAATACTGAATAATAATCAAAACTGTTGAGGCTTTGTATGTACAGGTTTGATAAAGTGCTCCCAATCTCACTTGACCTCCACTAACCACAGCATGTACTCAACTGCTGTGCAGTTGGTGCTTCTCAATTGTATTTGTTTTTATGGTAAATTTAAAGAAATGATCATTTATTCCTTAAAAACAAGTGGAAACAAATATTACAACTTTTATTGACCCAAATGACCTGGAACGCAGACTTGAACAGCTAGGGGTTCTTGAACCACTGTCAGGAAATGATGTCCTAGTCAAACCATTGTGTGTTTTACAGATGGAAATATTGGCATAGTTCCAGAGGAGTTAAAGGACTCACCCAGGCCGTACAGCTGGTAAGTTTTAGAGCTATATTCCTGCTGAGAGTTCTTTTCAGTTTTAGTGATTTTGAAGAGAAATCCATATGGACAGGTAAATTTGTTAGAAAAAGAACTATATAAATGCAGTGGTAATGGGAAATGGATGGGGCTCAAGAAGCAAAGATATATAAACCTACTTGACCCAAGTTAGGAACAGGAAGGGAGAAATTGTCTGATAGCTCCCTTGCAGTGGTTCCTTGCAGAACTAATACAAGATTTACCAAAGGATTCTTTAGGGCTATTCTGCTAAGGCCTATAATTTGTCAAGGTGAGTCATTTCAAGCCTAAGGGTAGAGGTAAGCAGGCATGCCTGCTAGAGTGAGTGAGGACGTCAGAAGCCAGTTTCTTAGTGTGTTTGGCTTTCCTTGCTCATGCCCAGATCATTCCAGAAATAAAGAAAAGGCCATTCAAGGAGGCATCACATGGCTACTCACATGAATATTATACCAGTAACAGTCCCTGCCACTCTCGGTGGAAGGGACAGTCAGGGAACATCAGGGTGGGTGATATAGTCAAAAAGTAAGTGCTACCTTTCACCACTTATAAGAGCTATGGCAGGCTGGGCGCGGTGGCTCACGCCTGTAATCCCAGCACTTTGGGGGGCCGAGGTGGGTGGATCACGAGGTCAGGAGATCTAGACCATCCTGGCTAACATGGTGAAACCCCGTCTCTACTAAAAAATACAAAAAAATTAGCTGGGCATGGTGGCGGGCGCCTGTGGTCCCAGCTACTTGGGAGGCTGAGGCAGGAGAATGGTGTGAACCCGGGAGGCAGAGCTTATAGTGAGCCGAGATCGTGCCACTGCAAGCCAGCCTGGGCAACAGAGCCAGACTCCGTCTCAAAAAAAAAAAAAAAAAAAAAAAGCTATGGCAGTAGTTGTAAACTTTAGGTATTGTTGACAGTGACTTATATCCCATCATAGTGCAGTTTTTCCTTAGTCAAAAACATAATAATAACAATCATTATTTGCTTCTAACTTCTAATTGTCTAAGTCATCCGTACAAAGGCATTCTTATCACATTCAAATTCCCTTCTGCTTCCTCTTTTTTGTAACTTGCCAAAGAAATTAGTTATACTTAACGGGCTTGCCTCTCTGTTACAAGAGTGTTTCCTACATGTCCCCTGCAACCACCACAGCTACACTATGCATTTAAGATATGTAAATTCCATTTAGCATCCTTTTCTACCTTGTTTACTGGCCTTGTGCTACTGTGGGTTCATCTTCTTGTTCAGCTGGATTTTATAATAACCTTGTCCACCTTTCTTCAGCCTCTTCCTTTTCCCTGACTACTCCCCTTCCCCTAGGGGCTGACAGCAGATGCACTGACTCTCTCACTTCCTTCCAGATTTTATGGTCTCTTAAGTCAATCTCATACATCCTCTAACTATTAAAAATGCATGCAATAGCATTTTAAGGCCACATAGGATCACACACCACCACCCACACCAGGTAGTAATGACTTTTTAAATATTATGTTGGCCTTTTTTTTGGGCCCTAGCTATTGCTGGACCACATTTTTTCCCCTTGCTATTTACATGTATCTGAGATCTTTTAGCTCAAACTCCTTTATGCTGTATTGGTTGTTATGTTTCTTCCCAGATGAATTTACCAGAACATTTAAAAGAAGAAAAGCTTTTTATTCCCTCAATGTTAAGATGTTGCCAAGATTGCCATTTACGTCTGTCTCTTTAGCATGACCACCGGACAAAATGACTCCTTAATGGTTGAGAACGGCCAGTCTAGTTTACTGACAGGTCCCCAGAATCCTCAGTACTTACAGTAGTTTCTGATACAGACTAAACTTCAATAGACTTTGGCTTAATAAATGATTATTTTAGTTGTTATGTAGTTTATTCAGTTTTTAAAAAACATTCATATCCTTCTCACATTTCTGAAGTCCTTTCTCTATTTTAGCTGTTGTCTTCTGTCCCCCATTTTATCATGTTTATTTCACTGGTCATTGTATGTTGGACGAGATTAGTTAGAAATATAGTATCAACATTTATTATGTATTTTCATAATTTTTCAACTTTTTATACTTAATTTTCTCATTCTATATCTAAATTATGTTAAGGTATTCATTTTTAAAATAATTACTGTTTTGTTACCATTTTGTTGATTTGTATATTCTCATCACCATTTACATTAATAATGCATATTTATTTTAATCCCACAAAATAGTTTTTATCTCCTTAGACAAACATTTTTGCCTTTCATCACTTATTTTCTTTCTTGCTTTTAAATGAGGAGCAACATTTCCCATACAGAAGTGGAGTTAAGCCTTCCCCAAATGGCACGGGTGAGGTGGCTAGAAATATTTAATATTCAATCCTCCCATAGGTTTTAATTTTCTTTTTTTTTTTTTTTCTTGAGATGGACTTTCGCTCTTGTTGTTCAGGCTGGAGTGCAATGGCACGATCTCTGCTCACTGCAACCTCCACCCTCCCGGGTTCAAGCAATTCTCCTGTCTCAGCCTCCCAAGTAGGTGGGATTACAAGCATGCGCCACCATGCCCGGCTAATTTTGTATTTTTTTTTTTTTAGTAGAGATGGGGTTTCTCCACGTTGGTCAGGCTGGTCTCAAACTCCCAACCTCAGGCGATCTGCCCGCCTCAGCCTCCCAAAGTGCTGGGATTACAGGCGTGAGCCACCGCGCCCAGCCAGTTTTAATTTTCAATAGAGACAACTATGTTTAACCTCAATATTAAACTTAATCCAAATCTCAGTGGGAGTGTGAGATATCCCCATTTTCACATATTGATTAACTCAAATGTACAGAAGCAGATAGCCACTAAGATAAAACTGGGTAATGGCGCTTTTATTTGAATTTCAGCCCATTTTAGAATGAAGTTCTGAAAATCAACATATCTGAAAACCACAATTATTTGAGTATGGACACTTTTTAGAAGTGTTCATACTATAGATAGAGAAAAAAAACAGGTAAAAATCCAAATCATTTTGAACATACCTGATATGGATGGAGGCACAAGAGATGGATAACATCCAAGTGATTGGAATTTGAATATTTTCGTCTATTTTAATCATTAGCTTAGCAGAATGTTTGTTTTTTTTTTCTTTCCAAGGTTGAGAGAGGAAATAATAGTTTCTGATTCTGGGTTATTTTCGCTTTTGCTACCAGTCTTGAAAAATAAGGGGAAACTGGCTAAGCATTACCTGTCCCCTGTACATTTTCAGAAATGAGCTCCCCAGGGTCTGAGAATTGAGATGCTTTCTTCCTGTTGAGTGGTTTTTCCTCATGCCTCTCTCAGTGATTGGCTGTGGAGGAGCGCTCCAGAATCCTAGATTCCAGGCTAACATTTTAACCACCTAACTTTGGTAGGACCCAGTCCCTCACAAAAGAGCTTGCATCACTGAGAAGCAGCGTAGGAAGTCCTAACTCTTCCAACACTTAATTTTGGATAAACAAGAGCTCTTTTATTGGATAGGCTAGAGGCATCACAAAGCAAATTTTGTAAAATGTGAGACCCAGATTTTTGCTCTAAGTCACCTGGATCTGGCCTACTAACCTTATTTACAGAACTTCCCAACATTCATCTCCTTCCTGAAGAGGATAAGAACATTTACTCCTCTGGCAACTCTCTCCCACCTGAGAACACAGGGCCTTTGATCCCCTTGCTACTCACATTTAGACATTCTGAAATCCCTTTCTGATGCCAAGGATGATGTTCCTAATTCTACTATCACTAGCCTAGAATACCACTCTCAAGCCACTGCCCCTCTGCAAAAGGATTGGCCCAGAAATCTACACATTTTCTCACTACATGAAACTTAATTATGCAGTACCTTAGTCAGGATCAAATAGCTCTATCTAGTTTTGGTGTCTTTAGCAAATATGATACAGCAGAAGCCTGAACCCAGGGTTACAACAAATCAACACATATGCATCTTTCATGATCATATGATTCTATATTCTAGAATACATCCTACAATGATAAAAATTCTTAGAATCTGGAGGAACAGGGAACAAAGACTATGACCTCATAAGCTTCTATTCATCTCAGTTCCAGTGACTATACCAGCATTGCCTCGTTTGAAAAATAAGGTCATTTCGGCCAAATCCAAATGTGGTTTCCAGAAAAGAGTGACTTAGGGTATCCAAATACATAGGTCCCTTCACAGAGGAGCAAATGGATATATAGGTGATTAATTCCAATGTAATAGTTTCTTTATATTTATGAAAATGTATATATATACATGCACATGTATCTTTAAAATGTCATTAGTACATATATGTTTGTTAATAAATATTTCTTCTGTCCTAAATTATAATTGTGGATGATATAAATACTAGAAATTAAAAATTATGATGGTAATTTGGTAAAGGCCTATTTTTCAGCAATCTGAACTGGAAAGGCTGTATTTCCATGGTTCATGTTTCTAGGGGCAGCTATCCTAAGGAAGAGGGGAGCATATTATTAAACTAATCTATTTCTCAGGGTATTAGTTTTCTAGGGTTGCTATAACAAAAGTGCCACAAATTGAGTGGCTTAACCAACAGAAATTTATTATCTCACAATTCTGGAGGCTAGAGGTCCAATATAGAGGTATTGACAGTGTTAGTTCCTTCTGAGGGCTGAGAGAAACAATCTGTTCTATGCCTCTTCCCTAACTTCTGGTGGTTTGGGGGCAATCTTTGGTGGTCCTTGGCTTGTAGATGCATCACTCTGATCTCTGCCTTCATCTTTGCTAGTGGTACTGAACAGTGTGTGTTTCTATGTCCAAATTTCCACTTTTAATAAGGACATCATTGACACTGGATAAGGTCTCACTCTAATGACCTCATCTTAACTTGATTACATCTGCAATGACCCTATTTCCAATGAAGGTCACTTTTTTTTTCTTTTTTTTTTTTTTAGACGGAGTCTCACTCTGTCACCCAGGCTGGAGTGCAGTGGCATGATCTCGGCTCACTGCAACCTCCACCTCCCTGGTTCAAGCAATTCCCCTGTCTCAGCCTCCTGAGTAGCTGGGACTACAGGTGCGTGCCACCACGCCTGGCTAATTTTTTTGTATTTTTAGTAAAGACGGGGTTTTACCATGGTGGCCAGACTGGTCTCAAACTCCTGACCTCAGGAAATCCACCCGCCTTGGCCTCCCAAAGTGCTGGGATTACAAGGCGTGAGCCACTGCGCCCGGCTAACTTTTGTATTTTTAGTAGAGGTGGGGTTTCACCATGTTGGCCGGGCTGGTCTTGAACTCGTGACCTCAAGTTATCCATCTGCCTCGGCTTCCCAAAGTGCTGGGATTACAGGCGTGAGCCACCGCACCCGGCCTGAAGGTCACATTTTGAGGTAATGGGGATTAGGACTTCAACATATAAATTTTGGGGGAAACAATTTGTATTATGGTTCCCCAGAGAAACAGAACAAATATGGTATATAAAAACATATGTTATCTGGGGAACCCTAAAGCAAATTGTTTCTCCCTAAATTCGTGTGTGGATGTGTGTGTGTGTGTGTGTGTGTGTGTGTGTGTATTATAAGCTAAATAGCCAGATAGCTGGTAAAACATTTCTGGGTGCGTCTGTTACGTCTGAGGATGCTTAGAGAAAAGATTAGCATTTGAATTTATAGAATAAGGCAAAGAAGATTACCCTCACCAATAAGGTGGCCATCATCCAATCCCTTGAAGGCTTGAACAAAGAGACAGAAGAAAGGTGAATTCACTCTCCCTGTTTGAGCTGAGACATCTATATTCTTCTGCCTTTGATTATCAGTGCTCTTACTCTTGGACTGGGACCAGGATTGATACCATTGGCTCTGTGGGTTTTCAGGCTTTTGGGCTTGGACTGAATCACAACACCAGCTTTCCTAGTTCATCAGCTTGCAGACAGCAGATTGTGGGACTTTTCAACTTCCGTAATTGCATAAGCCAATTTCTATAATAAATCTCTCTACATGTATGTGTGTGTGTATGTTTATATGTACTTGTGTGTGTATGTGTATATATATGTGTGTGTGTGTGTGTGTGTGTGTGTGTCCAGATGCTTCTCAACTTACAAAGGGGCTATATACCAATAAACCCATCATAAAATTGAAAATATCATAAGTCAAAAATCCATTTAATACTCCAATGAACTATCATAAAGTTAAGAAATCATAAGGCAAACAATCGTTAAGTCCAGATGTTTCTTGACTTATGGTGTTACGTCCCAATAAACCTATCTTAACATCAAAAAATCGTAAGTCAAAACATTGTAACTTGGAGATCATCTGTATATGTGTGTGTATGTGTGTATGTGTATATACACACACACACAATAGGATATATAAAAATATCCTATATATAGGGGTATTTTATATATATCTCCTATATATATGGCTATTTCATATGTGTATATGTGTGTGTGCATGAAATTAAAATGAAATATTAAATATCCCACTGGTTCTCTTTCTCTGGGGAACCCTGACTAATACAGGAGGTTAGGTCTGAGAAGTGGGGCAGGGCCTTGTGGATTGCAAGGTGTAAGAACTTTGACTTTTACAGCTTGAGTGAAAAAAATCATGGGAGAATTTTGAGCAAAGTACTTTTTAAAAGAATTATTCTAGCTACTGGGTTGAGAATAAAAAAAGTAAACTAATAAATTAATAGAAGTCAAGTAGGTGGTGCCATATTACACATACTGGGTGAGGCATATACATATAATAACTCATTTAATGTACTCCAGAGAGGGAGGCAAAAGTCAAAGTAGGGAGACCTGTTTTGGGTGTTCTTTTCTTGTTGTTGTTTTATTGATTTACAAAAGTTCCTTACATATTCTAGGCATCGCCTATTTTTTGGTGGCTATATGGGTTGCAGATATCTTCTTCCCGTCTGTGTTGTTTTACAATTTAAGTTGTGTCTCTTGTTATTCAGAAGTATAGAATATTAATGTAGTCAAATTCACCAACCTTTTTTTTGATAGATTTTATTTCATTTTTTCATAGATGTTTGTATTGGGTCATACTGCTCACAGTCCTGCCACATGCAGACTCCTTCTTCACACTGCCCATGATGTGGCATCTAAACATAAATCTCAATCCTGGTGCTTCCTGTTTAGAACCCTTAGAGAACTGCCTGTGGCTCTGTGACCCTCATCATTTAGCCTCCTGTAGGTCTACTGGCTCTAGGATACTGTGATAACAGCCACGTATATGTATAAAAGGCACACTTTATGTTATTGTGCTTTGCTATATTGTTTTACTTCGCAGATATTTTGCAAATTTAAAGTTTGTGGCAACTATGTATCAAGCAAGTCTATTAGCACCATTTTTTCCAACAGCATGTACTCACTTCATGCTTCTGTGTCACGTTTTGGTAACTCTTGAAATATTTCAAACTTCTTCCTTATCTATTATGGTGATCTGTAATTACTGATCTTTGATGTTAGTGTTATTAAGTGTCTTAGAGTTCAACAAACCACACCCATATAAGACAACAAACTTAAATGTTATTTGTGTTCTGGTTGCTCCACCGACTGGCTGTTCCCCATCTCTCTCCTTCTGCTCTAGCCTTCCTATTCCCTGAGATACAACAATGTTGAAATTAGGCCAGTTAATAATGCTGCAATGGCCTTTAAGTGTTCATGTGAAAGGAAGAGTCACAAATCTCTCACTTTAAAACAAAAGTTAGAAACGATTAAGCTTAGTGAGGGAGGCATGTTGAAAGCTAAGATGGGCCAAAAAGTAGGCCTCTTGCACCAGTTAGCCAAGCTGTGAATACAAAGAAAAAGTTCTTGAAGAAAATTAAAAGTGCTACTCTGTTAACACACGAATGATAAAAAGGCAAAACAGGCCAGGCGCGGTGGCTCACACCTGTAACCCCAGCACATTCAGAGACCGAGGTGGGCGGATCACCTGAGGTCAGGAGTTCTAGGCCAGCCTGACCAACATGGTGAAACCCTGTCTCTACTAAAAATACAAAAAAAAATTAGCTGGGAGTGGTGTGCCTGCCTGTAATCCTAGTTACTCAGGAGGCTGAGGCAGGAGAAATGCTTGAACCAGGGAGGCAAAGGTTGCAGTGAGGCGAGATCGTGCTGCTGCACTCCAGCCTGGGCAACAGAGAGAAAACTCTGACTCAAAAAAAAAAAAAAAAGAAAGAAAGAAAGAAAAGAAAAAGAAAAACAGCCTTATTGCTGATATGGAGAAAGTTTTAGTGACCTGGATAGACCAGGCCATCCACAACATTCCCTTAAGCCAAAACCTAATCCAGAGCAAGGCCCTGACTCTCTTCAGCACTATGAAGCCTAAGAGAGGTAAAAAAAGCTGCAGAAGAAAACTCTGAAGCTGTTAGAAATTGGTTCATGAGGTTTAAGGAAAGAAGCCATTTTCGTAACATAAAAGTGCAAGGTGAAGCAGCAAGTGCTGATGTAGAAGCTGCAGCAAGATCCAGAAGATCTAGCTAAGATCACTGATGGAGATAACCACAGGAAACAATAGATTTTTAAAAATGTAGATGAAACAGCCTTCTATGGGAAAAAGATGCTATCTAAGACTTTCAAAGCTAGAGAGGACAAGTCAACACCTGGCTTCAAAGCTTCAAAAGACAGGCTAACTCTCTTGTTACAGGCTTATGCAGCTGTTGAAGCCCATGCTCACTTACCATCCTGAAAATCCTAGGACCCTGAAGAATGATGCTAAATCTAGTCTGCCTGTGTTCTATAAATGGAACAACAAAGTCTGGGCTAAGAAAAAAGAAGATTTCTTTCAAAATATTACTGCTCATTGAAAATGTACCTGGTCACTCAAGAGCCCTGAGGATGAAGATGTACAAAGAGATTAACATTGTTTTCACGCACAACATGCTGCAGTCATCATTCTGCAGTCCACGAGTCAAGGAGTAATGTCCACTTTCAAGTCTTATTTAAAAAAATACATTTTATAAGGCTATAGTTACCATAAATACCGATTCCTCTGACAGATCTGGGTAACATAAATTGAAAACCTTCTTGAAAGAACTGACCACACTAGATGCTATTAAAAAGATTTGGTGATTCATGGGCCAGGTGCGGTGGCCACGCTTGTAATCCTAGCACTTTGGAAGGCTGAGGTGGGTGGATCATGAGGTCAGGAGTTCAAGACCAGCCCGGCCAAGACGGTGAAACCCCGTCTCTACTAAGAATACAAAAATTAGCCGGGTGCGGTGGCAGATGCCTGTAATTCCAGCTACTCGGGAGGCTGAGGCAGGAGAATTGCTTGAACTGGGGCAGCAGAGGTTGCAGTGAGCCAAGATCATGCCACTGCACTCCAGCCTGGGCAATAGAGACTCTGTCTCAAAAAAAAAATTGGTGATTCATGCAAGGAGGTCAAAATATCAATATTAACAGGAGTTTAGCAAAAGTTGATTCCAACTCACATGGATGACTTTGAGGGGTTGAAGATCAGTGGAAAAAGCCATTGCAAATGTGAGGAAAACAGCAAGAGAACCAGAATTAGAAGTAGAGCTTGAAGATGTGACTGAACTGCTGCAATCTCATGATAAAACTTGATCAGATGATGAGTTGCTTCTTGAATGAACAAAGAAAGTGGTTTCTTGAGATGGAATCTACTCCTGGTGAAGATACTGTGAATATTGTTTAAATGACAACAAAGTCTTTATAATATTTTATAAATTTGGTTGATAAAGCAGCAGCAGAATTGAGAGGACTGATTCCAATTTTGAGAGTTCTTCTGTGAGACAAGTGTTATCAAACAGTGCCTTCTGCTACTGACAAATCTTTTGTGAAAAATTTCTGCAAAAAGGAAGCTGGGATTTTGATAGGAATTGTGATGAAACGCTACATCAACTTGAGTATTGCCATCTGACCAATATTGACTTCAAATCATTAAATAAGAAATGTCTATTTATTTAGATCTTTAGTATTTCCAACAATATTTAATACTTTTCAGTGTACAAGTGTTACACTTATTTTGTTAGATTTATTTCTTTTTGATGCTATGGTAAATAGAATTGTTTTCTTAATTTATTTTCAGATTATTCATTGCTATAATAGACTAGAGCATATTTTTGTATATTGATTGCTATGGACTATGTCCCCCAGATTTCATATATTACAGCTCTAAACCTCAATAAAATGGTATTTGGAGATGGAATCTTTGGGAGATAATTAGGTTTAGATGAGGTCATGATGGTAACAGTGGCCTTATAAAAAGGGACACCAGAGATCTTGCTCTCCACCCTGACCCAACCCCAAGCACACACGAAAAGAGGTAAATATGAGCATACCATGAGAGGGTAACCAGTATAAGCCAAAAGAAAAAGCCTCAGAATGAAATCTGTCTTGCTGGCTTTGGTCTTAAACTTATCAGCCTTCAGAACTGTGAGAAATACATTTCTGTTGTTTAAGCCACCTCATCCATAGTATTTTGTTATGGCAGCCTGAGCTGACCCTGATAGATCACGTATAATGTAACTTTGCTGAAGTTATTTGTTTTAATTGTATGTATGTGTGTATTCCTTAATAATCCTATATAAAAGATTATGCAACTGTGAATAGAGATAGTTTTACTTTTTCCTGTCTCTTCTGGATGACTTTTATTCATTTTATTTTCTTGCCTAATTCCCTTAGCTAATATTTCCAATATATTGTTGGATAGAAGTGGTGAGAGTGGAAAAATATTTGTCTTGTGAATGATCTTAGCAGAAAAGAATTGCCTTTCACTCTTAAGTATGATGTTGTGGGGTTTTTCTAAGCATCTTTATCAGGTTGAAAAATTTCTCTTCTTTTCCCAGCTTGTTGTGTGCTTTTATCATGAAAGCATGTTGAAATTTGTCCAATGCTTTTTCTGCATCTATTAAAATTATCATATAGTTTTTGTCCTGTATTCAATGGTACATTAGATTAATTGATTTGGGGATGTTAAACCAACTTTGTATTTTTGAAATAAATATCATTTATTTGTGGTGTATAATTTTTTTTTCATATGCTACTGAATTTGGTTTGCTAGTACTTTTCTGAGTATTTTGTGTTTATTAATAAGGGATATTGGCCTGAAGTTTTATTTTCTTTTTTCTTTCCTTTTTTTTTTTTTTTTTTGTGAGACGGAATCTTGCTCTGTCACCCAGGCTAGAGTGCAATGGCCCAATCTTGGCTCACTGCAACCTCTGCCTCCTGAGTTTGAGTGATTCTCCTGTCTCAGCCTCCAGAGTAGCTGAGATTACAGGCACACACCACAAGGCCTGGCTAATTTTTGTATTTTTAGTAGAGAGAAGGTTTTGTCATGTTGGCCAGGCTGTCTCAAACCCTTGACCTCAGGTGATCCTCCTGCCTCAGCTTCCCAAAGTGCTGGGATTACAGGCATGAGCCACCAGGCCCAGCCGAAGTTTTCTTTTCTTGTTGATTTCTTTGTCTGGTTGGAATCAGAGTCCACACCTGGCTGAAGTTTTTGTTTCTTGTTGATTTCTTTGTCTGGTTGGAATCAGAGTAATACTTGCCTTATAGAATTAGTTGTTAATTGTTTCCTCCTCTTCTATATTTTGGAATAGTTTCTTAAGTGTTATTCTTTAATTGTTCAGTGGAATTTACCAGCGAAGCCATCTGGACCTGTGCTTTTCCTTCTGGATAGGTTTTTTTTTTTTTCTTGCTAATTCAATTTCTTTAATTATGTTAGATCTAGTCAGATTTTTCTTTATGCCTTCTTGAGTTGATTTAGGTAGTTTGTGTTTTTCTAGGAATCTGGCCATTTTATCTACTTTATCTTTTTTAAGCATAGTTGTTCATAGTATTCCTTCTTATTCCTGTTTATTTCAGCAAGGCTATTAGTGATGGTTCTTTTATTCTTGCTTGTATTAAATCTTCTCTCTTTTTTTTCTTAGTTTCACTAAAGGTTTGCCAATTTTGTTGATCCTTTTAGGGAACCAATTCCTGGTTTCATTGATTTTCTTTATTGATATTCTGTCTCCTTCTTTTCTAATCTTTAATATTTCCTTTCTTCTGTTTGCTTTTGGTTTAGCTTTCATTTTTTCTAGTCTCATGCCTCTAATGAAAGGCCTCATCTCTTCCAACTCATTCTCTTCAACTGTTGCCTAAGTTGTTTGTATATCTGAAACATAAATTTGATGGTGTCACTTAGAAGCTTAAAAGTCTTCTCATTGTTCCCATTCCTTAAAAAGTAAAATTCAAATTTTGTATAATGGCAAACAACACCTTTCATAATCTTAACCAGTTTACCTTAACAATCAAACCCACCTTTCCAATCACATAAAATCACCTGGAATTTATATATACATTTTTAACCTCTTTTCCTTTGTACTTGTGTTTTCTCAATTTGTTCTTTTCTCCTACTGACTTTTTAGAAAGTCACCCACGCTTTTTAGTTATTTCCTTTTCCCTGGTACCATCACACTTTGCATCAACTTCTTTTAGAACAGTTACCAAATTATTTATTAATACACGCCTTCTTCATTATTCTTTGAATTCCAGGATGTGAAATCCCATTTTAGAAATTATGTCCCAGTAACTGACACATAGTGAGTGGTCAGTGTTTGTGGAGGTAGGAAAAAGTGGTATGGTCTGATATCATTTCATCTGGAAATAAGATGATGTATTTCAGCCAGTGAAATCGAAAAGAGCGATGGAAAATGACCTCACACTCCATAGGGCTTTGGTTCGTAAGACACAGAGAATACTGATATCCTTGTGCGAAGAACTAACTTGCTGTTGAGAGATCAATTCAGAGGATGCTCAAGCTCCGTTATCACTTTCATTTTACTAAACTGAGAAAGGAAGGTTGAGGAATGCATCAACGGTTAAGCACAGTGCAGGTTCCTACAGCGACTGGAGTTTTTTGGTAGTTGGGAGTGTTTCCCTCAATCTTTGGGCAAGCCGTCAGCAGTGGCAGGAACAGGAACAGACAGCTGGGAAACCCTTTCTTTCCCCAATCGTCTTCTAGCTTAGCTTTAGGCTTGTATGCCCATCGCGCATGCGTCAATTTTTCTCTTTTAAGATGGGCGGGGCAGAGTCTTTGCTCCTTTGGCGATCCTGAAGGGGTGGAGCTAAGCTGTTTCCAGGGTGACAGAGTGGCGACCTCGGTGGTCGATTGAGCAGGTCTGAGAATTGTTCCCAAAGGGTTGTGCGTCACCGAGTCGTTGGCGCTGTCATGGCGGGTGTGCTGAAGAAGGTGAGACGAATGGAGGTCACTGTTGGAATTTAGACTGTGGGGGTAGACTCAGTCCGATAGCCCTACTTCCCGCGGGTGTTGACCCCTACTGTCGCGGGCTCGGCGGTGCTTTTCGGGGACTCGTTCTGCATGCCTTACCGGGTAGGGCAGGTTAGTGGTTCCGCTCCGAGAGTCAGGAAAAAAGCTCCAAACAAGCGAGACTGAGAGACCAGTAGCTGGCTTTAGACCAGTTTTAGCCGGGGGATTCGTGGTTTTGTATTTCCTTAGCGTGCTGGATGTATGGAAACCGTAGTAAACAGCATGAATCGTGTTTTGTTTTTGAACAGACCACTGGCCTTGTGGGATTGGCTGTGTGCAATACTCCTCACGAGGTATGTACCTTTGTTCTTTCTTCGTTCTTGAATTCCCAAGGAAGACTAAATTCCTGTCACTTTGCTTATTGCAGGGTTAACGGGATACAGATGTTTCAAGCCCTTAATTACAAGCCGCGTGAGCTCTTGAGACACGGGCGCTGTCCACCTACTTCGTTGATCCGATGTCACATTTTTATTTATTTTTGCCATGACCTCTTTATTAAGCCAGTTTTCTTGTTGACTTTTTCCTTGACATTTTCATGGCTTCACTTGTGCTTGCTTCTGTCAGCGCCATCTCAAATTTATATCTCCGTTTTCCATCTTTTCTCCTTGCCTTACCGTTTCTGCTTAGGTGCGTTGGATTACATATATTTAGGCTTACTAAAGGTACTGCCCCCTTTTCCTTCTGTTAGGTCTTTTCCATCTGTATTCACGAATGTTTTCATCAAAAAAACCCACAAAATTTTTTTATTCTTCTTGTCCCTTCTATAATCACACCATTTCTTTGCTTCACTTTACAGATAACTCAAAAGAGTTATCTCTATTTTCTCCAATTTCTTTCTTATTCACCCTTGAATGCACTCAGTCACCCTTGGCGTTTTTCAAGTTCACCAATTATCTCCATGCTGCCAAATCCAATGGTCAGCTCATATTTCTCACCTTCATTGACCTAATAGCAGCGTTTTTTGACACATTTGACACTTTTTCCATCACGCTCTTTTCAAGTTCACCAGTTATCTCCATGTTGCCAAATCCAATGGTCAGCTTATGTTTCTCACCTTCATTGACCTAATAGCAGCGTTTTTTTTTTTTTGACACATTTGACACTTTTTCCATCATGCGCTTTCTTTACTGGGCTTCAGGACTCCCCCAGTCTCCTGATTTTTTCCCCCTACTCTTTGGCTTTCTCTTTTTCTGGTTATTTCTCTTATGCCCACTTTTAAAATTTGAGTTAGTCAGGATTTAGTTCTTGGACCTTTTCTTTTGGACCTGTACTCTGTCACCAAGAGAGAGCAAATCCAAATAGAGAACGGTTTTAAATACCACCTATACACTGACAACAGATTTCCATGTAAAGCACTGACCTCTTCCTTTATAAAAGTCCTGAATATTTAATTGCTTAGTGGGCATCTCTATTTGTATGTGTCAGACAGGCAACCCAAACTTAACATGTCCAAAATGGGGTTCCTGATCTTCTGCCTAAAACCTGCTCTTCTCTCAGTCTTGCTCATCTCAATTAATGGCAGCTCAATTATTTTGACTCAGGTCAGAAACTTGAAATCATCTTTGATTCCTTCCTTTCTCTTACACTCCACATTTGTTATTTCAGTAAACCCTCTAGGTTCCACCTTCAAAATATATCTTGATTTTGACAACATCTCACTACCTCCTCTGCTACTACCCTCTTCCTCAGTCACCATCATCACTGATGTGGATAATTGCATTCACTTCTTAACTGCCTCTCAATGCTTGTCACAGCCTCCATTTGGTCTTTTTTTCCAGCCAGGCTACTAGAGTTAGTCTGTTAAAATATGAGGTAGGTCAGATCTCTCCTTTCCTTAAAACTAATGGCTTTCCATTTCACTCTAAATAAAGACAAGTTTCTTACTGTGACCCTCTGGTTCACTATTCTACTGATTTATTTTGTTATGTCTCTACTAGAATGTAGGTTTCATGAAGGCAGGGATTTGTAATTGTTTCACTGCTAGAACTCTGTCACATAGTATGTGCTCAGTAAATAGTGTTAGTTGAATGAGTGTCTTGCACTTCCTATGATTTCATAATAACTTTATTGTCATTGATGTAAAGAACTGAACTCATGGTTTTTCCCTTCTAAATATATTTCTTCCTCTGTGGGCTGTATTTTTCTTGATAGTTTCAGATCTTTCTACTCCCTAGGCTGGGAATTTGGACATCATAGTTGGTATTTCTCTTATACTTGTACTCTCATATTCATTCCAATGATGATTTTTATTTTTATTTTTTTTGCTGATCCTTTTCTATAACAGCTCTCCAGTCTGACTTCTGTTTACTATTTCTATTGTTACTACCATAGTTCAGGTCCTTGTTCTTGTTTAGAGAATTGCAACAACCTCCTTACTGGCCTTTCTGCCTTGTTTCTCCTTCAGTCCTTTTAACTCACTACAATGAAGCTAATTTTCCTAATCTAATCATATGATTTTCCTAAATCTTTTAATTGTCCACAGAATAAAGCCCGAATGCTTTAACTTGGAATGCAGAACCACTTATAATGTGACATTTTCTCTAACTTTATCTCCTATGCATTTCCTTATGTGTCCTGTACAGCAGTATATTCCAAAATCCCCAGTGGATGTCTGAAAACCACATATAGTACCAAACTGTATATATGCTATGTTTTGTTTCATACATACCTATAATAAAGTTTAATTTATGAATTAGGCACAATAAGAGATAAGCAGGCTGGACGTGCTGGCTCACGCCTGTAATCCCAGCACTTTGGGAGGCTGAGGCGGGTGGATTGCTTTAGCCCAGGAGTTTAAGACCAGCCTGGCCAACATGGCAAAACCCCGTCTCTACAAAAAATGTGGAAATTAATCAGGTGTGGTGGTGTGCACCTAGTCCCAGCTACTCGGGAGGCAGAGGCAGCAGGATTGCTTGAGCCCCAGAGGTTGAGGCTGCAGTGAGCTGTGATGATGCCATTACACTCTAGCCTGGGTGATGGAGTGAGACCCTGTCTCAAAAAAGAAAAAAAAAAAAAAGAGATAACAACTAATAAAATAGAACAATTATAACAATATACTGTAATAAAAGTTATGTGAATGTGGTCTCTTTGTCTCAAAATATCTTACTGTACTGTACCACCCTCTTGTGATGAAGAAAGGATAGAGTGGGATAGTGTGAGATTTCACCACACTACTTTGAACGGCACATAGTTTAAAACTTATAAATTGTTTATTTCTGGAATTTTTCATTTAATATTTTCTGACTGAGGTTGACTATTAGTAACTGAAACCTTGGAAAATGAAACCACGGATGGGTAAAGGGGAGCTACTGTATTCTAACCAAGTGCTGGCCATTAAAAACATAATGCGAGCCTTAAATGTAAGCCATATTTGTATGTAATTTAAAATTTTCTAGGACTAATTTTTTAATGAAGAAAAAGGTAAAATTTAATTATTTTATTTACCCTAACAAATCTAAAATATTGCCATTTCAGTATATAATAAAAAAATTAATGGTATTTTATAGTGTTTTTCTTCATACTAAATTTTCCAACTCTGGTATGTATTTATACTTATAACACATCTCAGTTTGGACTAGCCACATATCAAATGCTCAGTAGCCATATTTAGCTAGCATCTACTGTTTTAGACAGCACAGTTCAAGAAAATAGAACTATATACCACTTCCTTATGTTTGCTGTATTTTCTGCCATTCAGTTCTATGTATTCTGTATGTAATTGCCTTTTCCAATATCATTTAAGTTTCTATGATCTACCATCCCTCTGGGTCTATCTTAGATGCCACCTTTTTGAAATATGAATGCTTCTCTGGTCTCAGCTGAAGTGAATTCTTCTTCTGCTATAGAAAAATAATGCTAATACTTAGTGAAACTTAATGTGTACCAGGTACTGTTCTAAGTTGTATATACCCTATGAGGCAGTATTATTCCCATCTTACAGATGAGGGATGAAGGCACAGAGATGGAAATAACTTGTCCAGTGCACCTAAGGAGTGGAGCCAGTGTAAACTCAAGCAGTTATGTTCTGGTTAGCACACCCTTAACCGTTGCTAAGTATTATAATATCTCTTTGCTCTATGTATTTCCCCATCCCTGCCAAACACACACTTATTTTTTCTTTTTATCATTTTTATTATTTTTCCTCTTCTGTAGCTTACCCTGTGATATGGTTTAGCTCTGTCCCCATCCAAATCTCATCTTGAATTGTAGCTCCCATAATCCCCATGTGTCGTGGGAGAGGAACCTGGTGGGAGGTAATTGAATCATGGGGTGGGTTTTTCCCATGCTGTTCTTGTGATAGTGAAGAAGTCTCGTGAGATCTGATGGTTTTATAAAGGGCAGGTCCCCTGCACATGCTCTCTTGCTTCCTGCCATGTAAGACAAGCCTTTGCCCCTCTTTCATCTTCTGCCATGATTGTGAGGCCTCTCCAGCCATGTGGAACTGTAAGTTCATTAAACTTCTTTTCCTTTATAAATCACCCAGTCTCAGGTATGTCTCTATTAGCAGCATGAGAACAGATAAGTACACTCGATAGTACCTTAAACATATTGGAGTGTGATCCATGTCCAGTCTATCTTTATACGCAAACAGTGTGGTATTGTACATGGAAGTACTGAGTATATTTTTTCGCGGGTAGCGACTGTCTGGGGCTGGTGTTGCGTGGTGGTAAAAATAATTTACCAAGACATTTGAGGTAAAGAAAGGCAGATTTATTAGAGAAAGTATGAAAATACATTGCAAGAAAGCTATTGGCAAGTCAGCAAAAGAGGAGCTGAATGCAAGTAGCAAAGGCTTGCTGGGGATCTTAAAGGATGGTGCTTGTGCTGTGGGCTGAAGAGAGCTTTGTGCAGTACTGATAACACCTAGGTTGCAATGAGCTATCAGGCGAGGGTCTGATGATAGCTGGGCACAGGAAGATTGTGAGTTATTTGTGGAGGAGGACTGTGTGTCCTGGACCATGAAGAAAGGTGGACTTCTAGCTTATCTGCTTTTTTATTTTTGCTTTACCCTGTTCCCTTATTAGGACTGCACACAATTTTTTTTTTTTTTTTTTTTTTTTAGTTATACTTTAAGTTCTGGGGTACATGTGCAGAACGTGCAGGTTTGTTACATAGGTATACACGTGCCATGGTGGTTTGCCGCACCCATCAACCCGTCATCTACATTAGGTATTTCTCCTAATGCTATCCCTCCCCTGGCCCCCCACCCACTGACAGGCCCCAGTGTGTGATGTTCCCCTCCCTGTGTCCATGTGTTCTCATTGTTCAACTCTCACTTATGAGTGAGAACATGTGATGTTTGGTTTTCTGTTCTTGTGTTAGTTTGCTGAGAATGATGGTTTCCAGCTTCATCCATTTCCCTGCAAAGGATATGAGCTCATCCTTTTTTATGGCTGCATAGTATTCCATGTTGTATATGTGTCATATTTTCTTTATCCAGTCTATCACTGGGCATTTGGGTTGGTTCCAAGTCTTTGCTATTATGAATAGTGAGGACTGCACACATTTTTTTTTTTTAATTGAAAAAAAAGGTTGCTCTTTAGGAGAAGGGTTTGTATACTTGTAATTATTGAGACTTACTCCTGGAGTGATCATGTCTTGTTTGTTTCAACTGTTCTGGTTCATACCTGTGTTTTGGCGTAATGATTAATAGGTATCTTTTCACTGTTATAAGTGTCCAAGTTTGGATGATAAACTAAGTGTCCACCCTATTGATAACATTTTTTCTTTTATTCTATATTAATAGTCCCCTGTTCTCATCTGTATTTCTCTAGACACTGATACATTTTTGTCAGGAAAGATGAAAATTTAAAACCTGAATTTTAGATCATATTAAAACTTAATTAAAATGCTATATTAAAAACTAATATATGCATTATATATTTAAATTGGAGAGGATCAACTTCTTACTGATTTCTATACTGAAGTTTAAGTTCAGTGTGCTTCAGTACATGCTATGCATTGACTCAATTCTCTTGCTACTTTTTCGGTTGAGCCTTTTATGCAGACTTTATGTCGTAACTCATTCATAATCAGAAGCAAGAACACTGAAGTATTATGACCGTATTTAGTTAAATTTGATCATACAGATGTAATGATTATATGTGTTTATTTCTACAGAAATTCAAATAAGAAAAATTAAAAAAAAAAATTTGCAGTGCTTCGGACCTCACTTTGAAAAATACTGATTCAGGCTGGGTGGGCTCACGCCTGTAATCCCAGCACTTTGGGAGGCTGAGGTGGGCGGATCACCTGAAGTCAGGAGTTTGAGACCATCCTGGCCAACATGGCAAAACCCTGTCTCTACTAAAAATAGAAAAAATAGCCAGGTATGGTGGCGGGTACCTGTAATCCCAGCTACTTGGGAGGCTGAGGCAGGAGAATCACTTGACCCCAGGAGGTGGAGGTTGTAGTGAGCCAAGTTCACGCCATTGTACTCCAGCCTGGGCTATAAGAGCGAAACTCCGTTTCAAAAAAAAAAAAAAGAAAGAAAGAAAAATACTGATTTAGTAAATGACTTGATTTCCAAAAAGGTCATTAGCAATAAGTTGTTTTGTTTCTGACCAGTCTGGCCAACATGGCAAAACCCCGTCTCTACCAAAAATTAGCCAGGCGTGGTGGCGGCCACCTGTAATCCTAGCTACTGTGGAGGCAGAGGCAGGAGAATCGCTTGAACCTGGGAGGTGGAGGTTGCAATGAGCCAAGATCATGCCATTGTACTCCAGCCTGGGCAACAAGTGAAACTTCGTCTCAAAAGAAAGAAAGAAAGAAAAATACTGATTTGGTAAATGATTCGATTTCCCAAAAGGTCCTTAGCAATAAGTTAGTTTTGTTTCTACTTGTTATCATACCTTTGACTTATCTAGAACTTGTTATACACAGAAAATACAGAATGTTCCCATGTTTATATACAGGTTTTTCCTAAGTTATAAAGGGTGTAGATAGGGCACAGACATAAAGAAGTCAGAGCAAAGAAGAGTTAAATTAAAAAAAAAAAGCAAAAAAAAAAAACAGATGTGAGTTTTGTTTGTTTTGTCTTTGAGACAAGTGTTCCATTAAGTCTTTGGTAATATTTTAACCTATGGAAATTTGTATGGTTTGTCTTTTCAGAGGCTAAGAATATTGTACACAAAGATTCTTGATGTTCTTGAGGAAATCCCTAAAAATGCAGCATATAGAAAGTATACAGAACAGATTACAAATGAGAAGCTGGCTATGGTTAAAGCGGTAAGTAGCTAAGTCAGTTTTGTTGTCTTGTGTAACATTTAACCAAAAAAGTTTAGTTCCTTATTTTTTATATATTCGACACACTTTTCTTCTATTCTCCTTCCTTGAATGCTCTTTTCCCATCATTCCTCCCTTTTATTCAGCAAACTCTTGTTTATTGAGTGTTTTCTATATGCAGGCCTCTGTTACATACTGGAGTTTGAGACTAGGATCAGATCCTTCCTTGAAGTAACATTGTAGCTGTTCCTTTTACCTCTCTTCACTATTTAGTCCTTTATTGATCTTTTGCTTTTTATCTTGGATATATCAATCTTGATCTCCTTTTTCTAATCTTAGAGAACAATAAAAGCAAAACAAAAAAGGGCATTTTTTTTTCAAAGAAACCTGTCAAAAAGACTAGACTGTTATTAAGTAGCAGTTAATAAAAGTCTAGACTGCTGATTCATACCAAACTATATTGTACTATTGTTAAATTTTCACACTAGCAATCATTAAATGGACTTTATGTAATTATCTAAAATAGTGCTTAGAAACTCTGAAGGTAATTTATATACATGCATAAGTGATCCTAGTCACATATATTTCTTCTTATTAGATTACCAGACTATATAGTTCAAAGAGAATTCCTATCTTTCGTTAGGTATGCAACAAAACAATGCAGTTTGTATTATATCGTATTTTGTATTGTATTATATGATGGGTCTCACTCTGTTACCCAGTCTAGAGTGCAGTGGCACGATCACAGCTCACTGCAGCCTTGACCTGCCAGTCTCAAGCAATCCTCCTACCTCAGCCTCCCAAGTAGCTGAGACCACAGGCACTCACCATCATGCCCAGCTAATTTTTAAAATTTTTTGTAGAGGCGGAGTTTCACTGTGTTGCCCTAGCTGATCTCAAGCTCCTGGCTTCAAGTGACCTTCCTGCCTTAGCCTTCCAAAGTGCTGGGATCACAGGCATGAGCTACCTGCACCCGGTGCCTCACCTATTTTATCATCATCTTTCAAATAGCCTCAAATGTTTTTAGCTTGTTCCTATCTTAAAAATAAAAAAAACTGTATGCTTGTATTTTCCTTTACTTATTGTCCTATTTTTGTTTTCTCCCATAGCCAGTTTCAACCAAAGAAGAGTTTACTCTCATACTTCTTTACTTACTGGTTCCAAAATCCTTTTCTCTGCTATTTAAACTGCCTTATAACTAATTGATCTGTTTGTACTTCCATTATACTTCATTACATGCTCCACCATACAGCCAATAATAGACTGATTTTTTTTTCAATATGTAAATCTTGTGATGGTACAGTTGTCCCTTGGTATCCATGAGGGATTGGTTCCAGGATTCCCATGGATGCCAAAATACAAGGATGCTCAAGTCCCTTATATAAAATGGCATAGTATTTGCATATAACCTATGCACATCCTCTTGTATACTTTAAATCATCTCTAGGTTACTTATAATACTACAATGTAATGCTGTGTAAGTAGTTATACTGTATTTTAAAAATTGCTGTATTGTTATTTTTATTGTGTTTTTTTGAATATTTTCCATCTGTGGTTGGTTGAATCCATTCTTAGTTGAATCCACAGATGCAGATCCTGAGGGCCAACTGTGCTGTCTTGCTTAAAATCTTACTGTGGTTTTCTGTTCAGTGTTTCTCAAAGGCTGAGTTTAAGGATTTATGTTGAGCTGGTTGTATGAAGCTTGCTTAGCTACCTTTATCTGCATGATTTTGATGTGTGGCCATGTTTGGGAACCACTGGCCTAACAGGGTAAAAACATGGTATAGAAGGCCTTCTAAGTTCTGGCTCTTGGTTATTTTCTCAATCTGATCCTGTTGCTTCCTGTTTTATACTCTATACTTAAGCAGTACCAAACTGCTGGCAGTTCTGTGGATTCCTTGCATTTTTATTTTTGTGTTCATTTGTATTTTCTCATTTCCTGGAATGCCTTTACGTTGTTTGGTAGTTCTTACTTTTTCTTCATAAATCATCACTTCTTCTGTGAAACCTTTTCTTACTTTCTTAAGTAGAGTTTGACAACTTTGTTACCTCCTTTCCATTGTACCTTCATGCTGTATTATGTCTCCACCAGCCATAAGCTACTTGTTAATGATATTGGATTCAACTTTGTATCCTTAGACTCTAGCATGGTACCTGGAACATAAGGTTCCTTAGAAATGTGTCTTTATCCCAAAGGCTAGATATAACCCCAAACACTTAACAGTTGTATCTCTGATTCCTGTTTTTGGTAAAATTATCACAGATTTTTAACCCTGCATACAGCCACACACAAAATCTTTAGTGAATATTGCCATTATTATAAAATATCTATTTACTAAGCCTAAGGTGGAAATAAAAGTAACTTTTTTTTTCAGATTATTACTAGGGAGATAGTACTATTTTGGTGAAAAGCGTTGTTTGTGTCCCTGTCCAAGATTTTCATCTTAGTTCTAATACTTATTTGTGGAGTGACTTGGCATATTGCTAGTTTTCTCGGTCTCAATTTCATCATCTATAACGTGGGTATAATAATACCCACCTCGAACACTTTTTGTTAGAACCGAATGAGGTAATGCACGTAAAAGCTTAACATAGTCCCAAGTATATAGTGAGCATTCAGTACATGGTACCTTATCAAGTTTAATAGCATTATGCCATTGGTGACTAAAAATCACATTATTCACTATCGGTAAGACAAATTTTGAACTGTTCACCTAACACAGGCTTTTTCTGAAATGAAAGTGTCGTTGAACTTTCCTTGCCTTCTTTACCTTCACTCTCCTGAGTCTCTTATAACAGTGACCAGCTTCCCTGTTTTGTTTTTGATTTTTGGTCTCTCATATGAGTTAATTCCCTGTTAAATAATCTGTCTTAAACATGCTTATTACTTTTTCCCCTTTTCTCCCCCTTTCAGCTGTTTTTTATGTATTCACTTCTTTAACCAAGAAACATTTATTGAATGCCATGTATGGTTCTAGGCATGGAAACTTGTGCCTAGTTGGCACAAAACAGATAAAAATCCTTTCCTTCTTGGAGATTACATGTTAGTGATGGGAGACCAAAAGAAAAAAAAAAAGTAAAAACTGAGTAAAGACGTACATAGTGTGTTAGAAAATAGTAAGTGCAGTGAAGGAAAATAAAACAAGGAAAATGTGTGCCATGGTGGGGATAGGGGATGTTACACTATGTATTAATTTCGTATGGCTGCTGTAATATTCCCACAAACTTGGTGGCTTAAAACAATGTAAGTTTATTTTATTAGACTTCTGGAGGCCAGAAGTTGGAAATCAACATCAGGGACCCAAATCAAGATGGTGTTGTCAGGGCTGTGCTTCCTTTGGAGGATATTGGGTAGAATCTGTTCTTGCCTCTTTCAGCTTCTGGTGGCTTTTGGCATTTATTGGCTTGTGGTCTCATCACTGCAATTTCTGCCTTTGTGGTTACATTACCTTTTCCTTTTCTGTGTGTAATATCCCTCTGCCTCTCTCTTATAAGGACACTTATAATTGCAGTTAGGGACTATATGGATAATTCAGGAAAATCTCCCCATGTCAGCATCCTTAACTTGATCATATATGTGAAGTCTTTGCTGTATAAAGTAACACTCACAGTTTCTAGAAATTAATACATGTATATCTTTTGTGGTATTTTTCAGCCTATCATAATGCAAATTATCAGTAGTTAATCAATAAGAAGGTGTTATTTGAGCAAAGATTTGAAAAGTGGTGAAGAAACAAGTGATGCAGATACCCTGGGCCATCCAGCAAGATACCCTGAGGCAGTAACATATCACGTCTTGTGTTGAAAAGCAAAATGTATTATTTTCTCCCTCTTTATTCCATTTATTGGCCAGAAAAACACCCTGAAAAGACAAAGCCTTATTTACATATGTGGGTATATTTACAGAGCATGATTTCTGGCTCAAAAAGCTCAGTTTACTAGAAAATAACTAAATGTCATTGAATGTTCTAGGTACTATATTTATTAACATTTTGTTCTTAAAAACTTCTATTAAATAATTATATACATTACAAATGTGTAGAAAAAAAGGACTTTTCCAGAACAACAAAACCCTTGCCTCTTCCCCTTCAATTTACTACTTGTAAAGTTAATCTCTATTTGGACTTCTTTTTGCCTGTTTTTGAATTTTATATAAATGAAATCATTAGTATGTACTGTCTTATACATACTGTACTCTGGCTTGTGCTTAATACTGTGGTTAAGAGAATCACCTATATTGTTGCATACAGTTTATTCATTTTCATTGCTGTGAAGTATTATATCCAAATATTATAATTAATTGATCCATTCTATTACAGATGATCATTTGGGTTATTTCTAGTTTGGGGCTATAATTTGTGCTGCTGTGAATATTCTCAAACATGTTTTTTAAAAAATATATTATGCATTTCTGTTTGGCATTATGCCTAGAAGTGTAATTTCTGGGTCATAGAGTAGCATTTATTTCTAATTCTAATGCTCTCAGAGGAAATACAGGAAATATTAAGAAAGCAAAGTCATATTTTAAAATCTGTTTTAGGAAGACTGAATTTGACATTGTATTTCTGTCCCTTGATCAGCATGTCAATAAACATTTAGCACTTTTCAATATTAAGACAGAAAAGCAATGAAATAGCAGAGGTGAAATGAATTTTCACCAAATATTTAGTAAAAAGAGTATGATGAAAGAAAAGTTGTATTTTTAAGTGTTTTTATATAGGAATTTTAAAATATATAGGATATTGAAACATTCAGTTAGTATGCTTCTTTAATTTTTTTTCTCCCTGAAATTATAGGAACCAGATGTTAAAAAATTAGAAGACCAACTTCAAGGCGGTCAATTAGAAGAGGTGATTCTTCAGGTAAAGAAAAAGTTGACTATTTAGGTGTTTGGTTTCATAGAGACACACAACTGACGTTCTAGAATGAAAGGAAAACTAAATTTCCTTGTTTATATCAACTCGTCAAATATGTAAGACTAATCACATATAGAAAATGTGGTGCTTCTCATGTGTATGTTGATTATAGTATTTATTGTTGATTATAGCATGAATTTATGAGACTTCTGTTAGAAGCCTGGAGTTTGACACTCTTTTAATTTAATTAGCATGTTCTCCTTGGCCTAACCTTAGTTTAAATTGGTAGCACAATATTACTGTTGTTTTAATAGTTGTATCTTATTTTAAGAGTGTGGCATATTTTTAGTAGGGAAAAATACAGACATTTTGAATTATAAAATTAAAATGTACTTTTATTTTTATTTTTGGTTCTTGAGCATTTGAGCAAGTTAAAAAACAATTGCATAGTATATTTGAGAGCTTAATTCTACATTATTTCCCAAATACTAACCCTGACAAATAATATTGAGTAGTAAAATGTAAGCATGATTATGAAGAGACTGAGATTAGAAAAATTATTAACATTATTAATTACATTTAGAATATTTAAATCTTAAATTATTCTATTGGGAAATTTTCTTCTCCTCTCACTATACCTGCTGCTTATACAAGAGAACAAACACCGCAGTTTAGTTTTATTTAATCTGAATTTTAATTCTTTTCCTTTGGTCATAGTTAGGTTATAGAAATAGATAGGTTACTGATGTAAATAGGCTGGAAATATACTATTTTGAGTATTCCGTAGTTGGTTTTTTAAAGCATCTATGGGAAAATAATGATAACTCTTTTTTTTTTTTTTTTTTTTTTTTTAAGATTTGCATCTTTTTTCTCCAATTGCTAGTAAGGTTAAACTTTAAAAATATGTTCTTATATTTTATAAATTATGTCATTAATATTTTTACTGGGTCATTTAGTCTGGGTTATTTATACATGAGTGTCTTTTTATAATAAAAGATATTAACCTTAAACTTTTCTGACATTGTCTGCACATACTTTTTCTAGCCTGCTTTTGCCTCTCAAATGGGGTTTTTCCCCCATATGTAGAGGTTTTCAATTTTTTTTTTTTTTTTTTTTTTGAGATGGAGTTTTGCTCTTGTTGCCCAGGCTGGAGTGCAGTGGCATGATCTCGGCTCACCACAACCTCCGCCTCCCGGGTTCAAGCAATTCTCCTGCCTCAGCCTCCTAAGTAGCTAGGATTACAGGCATGTGCCACCACATCCAGCTAATTTTGTATTTTTAGTAGAGACAGGGTTTCTCCATTTTGGTCAGGCTGGTCTCGAACTCCTGACCTCAGGTGATCTGCCTGCCTCGGCCTCCCAAAGTGCTGGGATTACAGGCGTGAGCCACCCTGCCCAGCTCAAATTTTTTTTATTTGGTGAAATTTTGTTGTTCCACACCCCTACAACCCTCATATTATAGGTTTAGAATGTCTTCATCTTATAAGTGTCTGATAAATATTCAATTGTTTCATTTAATTTTATTTTGTTGCATCTTTTTTCAAATGTAACCCTTTCTAATGTTTTCTTACTGTTGATTGAAGGACAGATAAAAGGAAATATTGGATAATATTGGAGATTAGGGAGGTATATCACCAACAGACATGATATACCAAATCAAAAGAATTGTTAGATGGCTCTGGAAAAAGAGGAATATAGCATTCAGACAGCTTTCTATGAATGTAGACTGTTTCAGTTATTCAAAGGCCTGTTTACCTGGCCTTTATATTCGTCAGGTTGGCTGTGGTACTAGATACAGTGTTATGGGAACTTGCCGCAAACCTTATACTGTTGCCCTATACCTATTTCTCTTTTCTGTACCACCTGATTTCACTTTGATCATGACTTTATTTAGTTGATACATCAATTTTTCATGGAATTAAGTTTTAAGGCATATTAAGTATTTTTAAGTCAGCTGTGCAGTTCCCCATGTTTTCATGGTCAGTATTAAGGGTAAATTAATTTTAGTATTTTTTTAACTCAGTATATGTAGTATATTATTTAAATATAATCATAAAAATATTGAGATATTTTACATTCTTTTTTATATGAAGTCATCAAAATCTGGTATGTATTTTACACTTTGCAGCACATCTGAATTTGGACTAGCTGCATTTCAAGTCCCCAGTAGCCATGTATGGGTAGTGGCTAACATATTAGACAGTCCCATTTCTAGATGGATGGTATGATGGTGTGTCAGAAAGGAGGAAATAGGCATCAGGGGCCAGGTGCAGCTGGGTCCAGGTTCCTGAGATAGGGCTGATTCTCAAGGATGAATGAGGCCTAGGTGACCTCCTCATGCCCTATAATGGCTGGGGGAGATTGAGAAAGCATTGGATGTTCGTGAGACCCAGGGCAACCTTAGGAAATATTTTATCAGTATTTAAATTATTTTCTCCTTTTGGCATTAGTAATACCTCTACCCCTGATTTCCATTCATCTGCTCTTTAACTCATTGTTTTTTATAGTTGCTTGTAAACATAGATTGACTTTTGGGACCGCTGTCATAGATGGGGTATTATCTTTTAACTGTGTAATAATAATTACCTTGAATATAATCTGAGCGCTTATTCTGTGTTTGAATTTCTTTTCTAACATCCTGACAGGTGTTTAATAGTATTCATCTTATAAGTTGGCTAGAGTTGTCATAAATATTGTTTGTTGTAGAAAAAATATGAAATAAAAAGCTACCTAAAATGTGTGTGTTAAATATAAGTTGTGTTTGAAAGGAAAAATTAAATGAAACATAATTTGATTAAGGAATTTACTCAGTTAGTAAATATTAATTATACATGTATTGTGTTCTACATTCCATAGATCACTGTTTTATAAACTCTGGGTCTCAAGTGACTGTGGGTCATGGAATCAGTTAGTTGGATAGTGATTAGCTTAAAAAAACACAATAGAAAAAAGAATATATCACTGCCAGTAAAGATAATAATTTAAAAAGTTTTAGTTATATGTTTGTATTGTGGAACTCAAAATAAAACATATTTTCTTACTGTGGGCCATGGTAAAATAAAGTTTGAAAGCCACTGACATAGATGAAAAGACATACTTCTGATGCTCAAAAAACTTGTGAAATATTATTAAGATAAAAAACCTCACCAGCTAAACTTTTAAACACTATAGCCTATTTCAATCAAATAGAAGATAACAAAAGATATCCTTTCTTACTCCTGATTATGTAGATGTGAGAATTAAGGTAATTTAATTACTTAATATTCAACATTTGATGGTGGAATAGATTATGAGATATTAAATGAAAGTAGTAACTAATAGTTAAATTTCAGTTGTTCTGATAAATATCTGTTGAAGAGTAAAATCCAATGATCTTTTAAAAAATTTGTATTAACAGGCTGAACATGAACTAAATCTGGCAAGAAAAATGAGGGAATGGAAACTATGGGAGCCATTAGTGGAAGAGCCTCCTGCCGATCAGTGGAAATGGCCAATATAATTATTAAGTGACTTTGGTGTGTTCATGGGAAACTGATGTAATTAAATATTCTGTTATATTAAGAGCGTGTTCTTATTACTGACATTTTGTAATCAAGAAAAGTGATATAGAAAATATGTAGGAGACTGTTAAAATTGGTGATTATGGTAATATGGTCATGTGAATCAATTTTTGATTTATAAAGTACTCACACAAGTTGTTTCAAAGATGATATTTCTGTGAACAGAGAGGCCATGGGAAGATTTGAAAATTATTAAAGAAAAATTCCTACAGATTTTCAATGCAGAGACCATAATCAAAAAGTAAACTTTCTTTAGTAGTATGTTCAATACATCATTTAATTTTTTAAGTTATCCTGAAGAAGGAAAGGTCCTTAATTATTATAGTCTAAACAAATTTATAGATTACTGTTTGAAGTAAATAATACGAGTGAATATTTTCAAATGTGATAAAATAGCACAAGTGGCTGGTGATAAAATTTGAAATTATGGTTAACCTCAGCTGTGATCTTATGTATGTAAAGTGAAATTTAAATAGATAATTATAGGTTGATTACAAAATCCATAGTGTCATTTTATTTTAGTCATTATTGAATTATACCATTTACTCTGTTTTCTTATAGTCTTAATTTTATTATATTTTGTTGTTACTGTATTATATTTGAAAACCTTCAAATTAGAATACATTGTACAGTTAAAGAAATTGACTTGGTACTTAAAAGAAAGATTTCCCATTGCATACAGGTTATTGGAGAAATTTTCCTTTTGTTGCATTTGTGGAAGTTAGTTTTCTGGCCCGTGGCCTTTAATTTTCTTAATCAACCTAATTACATCAGGATAGAGGTAGAGTTTCTGTAAAAGAAGAGACATTAAGAGTTCCTGAAATTTATATCTGGCATACGGATAGGCTTATATTCAAAACATCTTAGTCATACGACCATAAATTAAAAGTGGAGTCACTAAATAGTTTGCAGTACGTTTCTAATATAAGTGTAGGTGGGTATCAAAACAAGACAAATGCTGTTCAGGGAAAGAAGTTGGCAAGCTTAAGGTTAAACAAAAATAAAATTACATGTGTTTTCGCCTTCCTAGCTCCCTGTCATTCCTAAATACTTGGTTAAATTTAACGTGGTATCTCTTTCCTTCATAGATAGTACTATACTCTTGTGGGGTTTTGTGTATACGTGTGTGTGTGTGTGTGTGTGTGTGTGTGTGTGTGTGTGTGTGTGCACGCGCATGCGCACATTTGCTCAGAATGAGAAAAAAATGGTATTTTTCCTTCTTTCCAGTATATTTCTCCCCTCATAGAGCTGTAACATGAATACTAAATAAATATTAAATAAGGTGGATTCTTAGAGGTTAGAGTGCAAGAAGGCTCCTTCTGGTGGGGAAGTGTTAGAGGGGGAGTTAGAAGCCCAGGGTTTCTCATTCTCATGGTTCTAGTGTTGTTAACTCAATGACTACATTGAGGCAAGTTTGGCCTGTTTCTCAGAATGGCCTATTTCTAATGCTGCAAAAGAAATAGAATATGATTTATAACAACATTTTCAGTTCTAAACATTTCTTGAATATATAATATATTTATTAAAACATGATGCTGAAGTGTGTTTGCATGGGTACTTTCAAGGTAATTTTCTAGCCAACCATTATTTTTCAGGTCCTTTGGACAACACAGAAACAAAGATGGCTTGCTGTGTTTTTGTCATATTTTCAGTCCCGTATCTGCCATGATTCTTGGGCATCTTTTATGTTTCACCAACAGTGTTACTGAACTTTTTTGCTAAAAGGGGACCTTACTGGTGTTTGCATTAGAAATGCTAGTTGCAGAATAATAGTCATTGTAAAAATAATATTATAACAATAATAGCTAATGTTTGTTGAGACTTTAATATGAATGTCAGGCACTATCATAAGTACCTGACTAATTTCACTCATTAAACCTGCACTACAACCCTAAGAGTGATACTACAAATTATCTTCATTTTCCAGATAAGAAACCAGAACCCTACGTGAGTAGTTTTCCCCTGCAATTATGCAACTTGGGGCCTTGGGGACACTGAAACCAAGAGATGATTTAATAACAAATCCAAGGTCACATAGCTAGTAAGATGTGAAGCTGAAGTTTGAACCCAGGCAGTCTGGTTCTAGAACTGATGCTCCTGTTATATTATTATTTATGAATATGCTTGGGATGTTGTGACTTCTTCCTGTGCTGTATGGGCTGTACCAAATGAAACTAGATCCTGCTCTCTTTACCTTTTCTGTCAAAATTATCTGTAAAGAACAAATATGAGCAGAAGTAGTAAACGATTTCATTTTCTGCAAAGAGCTGCATATAGGTTATAGGCAGATTATGTTAATGGGATAGGTATCTAAAAGGTATTGCAATTTGGTCATTGGTTCTTTCTCCTGTCTCAATTGCTCACAGAACTTTACACCTGATCGTTTTTACTCCTTCAGTCTTTTCCCAGTTGCTTCCTATAAACATCCAGGTTAAGTCTCCTGATCACTTTGCAAATGATTCTTTTATTCAGAGATCTTCAGTGTTTTGAGTGGCTACTAAACTAATTTTAATAATTTTCAGAATGGCCTATTTCAGTTCTCCCATGGGTTTCATTCTAGTTAATCATCATACTGCAGATACTTCAAAAGAAAGAGAAGCTAATCAATTTGAGCTTTGCTAAGAAAGAAGAAATGGCAACAAAGTTGATGCCCCCTTTCTCCCACACTGGGACTTAGTGCAGACGATTCCAATTTCTTGGCATTCTTTCCTTTGGGATGAAAATGGCTTATATTTAGGATAACTATAGGATAATTTATCATTCCACTTGGAATGATTTTGAGTGAAAATAATTACATAAGGATAACAGATGTACACCATGACTGTCCTGGGCAAACAAGATATAGGGGGGCACCCTACTGGAGTAAGGCTCAGGTCTCAAGGTTGCCATCTTTCCCACACCAGTAGGATCAACTAGTCTGTCATTGGAATAGAATGAATTGATGCCAGCAGTAGTAGTCATCATGTGCAATCAGGCCTCAAGTTTTATTGTATCCTTTCACTCTCCCTCATTCTCCCCTCCCCCTCCTTTTCCCTCAGAATTGGGGGATGGAAGAAAAGAGAGCTTATATTTTATTGTCAATTTTCTAATCACATTCAGAGGAGCGAAGCTAATTAAGCCAATAACAATGTTTATGAATGTATCTTTTTTAAAAGGGAGATGACAATATATAGGAAAATTCCCACATGTAGGCTAATAGCAGCTTTTTCTTTTTCCTCCCATCCTCTATGATTATGTAAACATACAGAAGTCTAACACCCTACACAAGTGTATTGTGGGGTATGGGATTAAGTACCAAATTGCTGAACATATCACTAGTATTTTGGATTTGCTGAGTGCAGTCTTCCCATTAAAACTAAGTGTTCAGTAGGGAGGCGTGGTGGCTCACACCTATAATCCCACTACTTTGGGAGGCCGAGGTGGGTGGATCACTTGAGGTCAAAAGTTCGAGGCCAGCCTGGCCAATATGGTGAAACCCCGTCTCTACTAAAAACAAAAACAAAAACTAAGTGTTCAGTGAGATTGTAGCCTATGCTACAACAATAGTAATGCCAATTGTTTTAGAGAAAAGTAAATGAGAGGCTACCAGTTGTGTTTAGAGGAGGTCGACGTTTTATTTTAGACAAAATTCACAGGAAATCACAGTGGGAATGTGATAAGGGGTTTGAATGATTGATGGGGACAGGAAGAATTCATTTGAGAGACTAGAGATGAGTCAGTATTCTAGATCGTGAAGTAAAATAGTGAGTCATGTAGTGACTTAGCATGGGTTATCCTTAAATCCCAGTGTCTTAAGTGTATTTTTTATTCATACTGCATGTCTAAGGAGGGTTGGCAAGGAGTGCTCATAGACCCACAAGGAATCCAGGCTGAGTGTGGCACCATCAACATATATTTCCATGACCATAGTGGTGGTGGGGAATTGGAACATGGTAAATTACACATAGGAATAAAAAAAAAGAAACAACCAAGGTTAAATTTTTTTTTGACTGTGCCACAAAATTTATGAATTGAACTTGCCATGCATCACTAATAATTTTCAAATTGGTCTTTAGGTTTACATTAGCAGCTAATTTTTTGTGGTACACTTAAATGTAATTTATGATTGGCATCTGTATATAATTAAATGAAAAGCATTGCAAAGATTTCTATTTTGGTATTTCTCATGATCTTCAATTTTTTTTTAGGTGAATCTATTAGGTTTTCTAAAGATAACTATTTTTTTTTTTTTACAAAATATTGGCATTTTAATCTCTCTATAACTGGAGGGTGAATTATTTTTCACCAGAGTAAAACAGGTCCAAAGTCCCTTATCTAAATTCCTAATTTCAAAAATCTCTGAAAACAAAGTTTTTTCATAACTCATTTGGCAACAAACCCCACCTGAATTACATGAGGCTATTTGTGGTATTTATCGCACTTCAATGTGAATATGAATATATTTTGCCACAGATGTATCAATATATTTGATTCTAAACTGCTTCCTCAGACCCTCTTAATGTGTTACATAATGTAAAGTATATGCCCATATTTCCTTTCAAAAATCTGAAAAATTGTGAATATCAAACACATCTGTCTTAAAAGGTTTCAGAAAAGGGACAATAGACCTATATTTCCATTCTCTTAACAAGTTCACAAAGTGGTATTATGATCCAAATTTAATCTAAATAATTTCCAAAACAAAAATTTTCAGGTCCTTAGTTTTCTAAATTATTTTAATATTAAAAATATTCATTATTCATTTTAACCTGTAGTAACAACAGGAGATACTTTGAAATGCTTGATTTTATCAAGCCACTAGGTGGCATCTTTGTAAAAATAAAAGCACATCAAAAGAAATGTTTATTACATAAATAAATGCTGAGATGAATAAAGGTAGATGTTTCATGAGAAATACGAAGTCGTTTGGTGGAATAAATCCTGAGAAAATGCATAGATTTATCATGAAAAGGAAAATGGAAAATGGTATTGTAAAATTACTCTTTCACTTTTGGAATTGAGAAGCTTTTTCCTATTGGTTGTTTTCATTAAGTTTGAATATAAATTTATTATGTAACCAAACTACATTTGTGTGTATGTGCGTGTATGTGTGCGTGGACAGGATTTTGACATGCTAATAACTTTTCCATGCTCCACAGACTACCCAAGGAAGCCTAACTAAGTTAGGTTCCTATTTAAGATTAAATTGTATAAAGTCATCCTCACAGCAAACTACAAAAAAAAATGAATAGTGGCTATCAAGTCACATTTAACACTGTGAGACACTTAAGTTCTCTCCTACCAGTTTTTCTTCCCCCATCTCCTGACTCTATTCCTAAACCTACTGTTTGCATACCGTCTCTAACATTGAGAACAGTGAATGACAAATTTTAAAGAGGAGACCCAGCAAAGTGAATGTTTAAAACCAGTGGAATGTTTATTAGTAGCAGAATGTAAGATAAATTATGATTTTGGAGATGGGAGTGTATGAGTGTTTGTAAAATCTTATCTGCACACCTCCACACCTGGTCTACCCATCCAAGAAAGCCTAATTCTAGTGGTTACCTCTATGCCCATTTTTCCCCTTTACTTTTCATGAATGTGTGGAAATGATTAAAATGAATTTACTTTTACTGATCATTATTAAAACAAAGCCAATTTTATCTGAATATATATTTCACTATTCTAGTAAAAATATATTTTAAAATGGGATGACTGAAAAAAATGGCATTGGATATTACAAAGTTATTGGGGAGATGAGAGTGCAATTTCAGCAGAACAGTATAAAGAAATAAATGAAGACAATGAACATTTATGAATAAGGGAATGGACCTGTATTAATTTTATTAATCCTTTTAACATATCAAATCAAATTAAACAGTACTGTAATGGTTAAAAAATCTGGGACCTGGAGTTAGATTGCTTAGGTTTAATCCTGGTTCCCTCATTAAACTTTGTGTGCCTTAGTTTTCTCATTTACAAAATGGGTCTAATAGCAGTTTCTCCCTAATAAAATCGTTGTAAGGATTAAATTAGAAATCTATGTACGGTGCCTCATGACAATGAATACTTCATAAATGTTAGCTGCTATTATGAGATAGCAACATGTAGTTTGTTACTAAATTTCCAAGAGGAACATACTTGACTTGACCTCCAATACTATCCTGTGGTTCTTTAAAAGTTTTCTTATTCATTGATAGGCCGGGCGCGGTGGCTCACTCCTGTAATCCCCAACACTTTTGAAGGCGGATTGCTTGAGGCTAGGAGTTCCAGATCAGCCTGGCCAACATGGTGAAACCCCATCTCTACTAAAAATACCAAAATTAGCCGGGGGTGGTGGCGGGCGCCTGTAATCTCAGCTACTCAGGAGGCTGAGGCAGGAGAATCGCGGGAGCCAGGGAGGTAGAGGTTGCATTGAGCCGAGATCGAACCACTGCACTTCAACCTGGGCGACAGAGCAAGACTCTGTATACACTAGAAAAAAAAAAAAAAAAAAGAATTTGTTGTTAGACAAAATTTAGTTTATTAACTAATTTAGTGATTAACAAAAGTTCTTCTAAGCAGAATTATTTGATAGCTACTATCTCCCTTTTCTCTTTGGCTGCCAGGAAGCTGAGAGCCAAGTTGTTAGTTTAACAAAAGCAAGTAGGCACCTGACAGTTTCTCGCCTCTGACTTCATCGTGATGATTTCTCTGACTCGGATTTTTTTTATATCTGTAAAATTAAACTGCTGTCAGTGTTTGGTTTAGAGAGCTGTGCCGTTTCACAAGTGTAAAAGATCTTGGAGAGAAGTTAGTGTCCTGATTCACTTGGATCTAGGTAGCCAGTTGGTAACAGCCTCCGCCTCTGGCTCCTCCCCTTCTCCCTGCCGCGTCCCTCCTCCCCGCCCCTTCGCCTCTGGCCCCGCCCCTTCTCCCTGCCGCTTCCCTCCTCCACGCCCGCTCGCCTCTGACTCCTCCCCTTCTCCCTGACGCGTCCCTCTTCCTGTCTCTTCGCCTCTGGCTCCTCCCCTTTCTCCTGCCATGTTTCTTCTCCCCGCCCCCTCGCCTCTGGCTCCTCCCCCTTTTCCCTATCGCGTTCCTCCTTTGCAGCCCCCATCCCCCTCCTCTGGCTCCTCTTCTTCCCTACCGCGATCCTCCTTCCAGACCCCGGCCCCCAGCCCGCCTCTAGCTCCTTCCCTTATTTCCTGCCGCGCTCCTCCTTCCCGACACCGCCCCTCCGCCTCTGGCTACTCCTCTTCTCTCCTGCCGCACTCCTCCTTCCCGGCCCCACCTCCCCGCCTCTGGCTCATCCCCTTCTCTTCTGCCGCCCTCCTCCTTCCCGGCCCCGCCCCCAGTCTTTGGCTCCTCCCCCTACCCTGCCGCGCTCCTCCTTCCCGGCCCCTCCCCGCTGCCCTCTTCTGGCTCCTCCCCCCCACCCGCCTCTGGCTCCTCTCCTTCCCACCCCTGCCGTGCTCCGGCAGGAAGAGGTGGTGCCAGGGCCGTTGCTAGGATACGACCAACAGCTGAGAACGCGGCGAGTATGGAAGCTGCGTCTTAGGAGCCTGGGAAAGCACTTCGACGAGAATAGTTTGGTTTCGTACACAGGTAGGAGAACAGATTTTGACTGCGGCCTCCTGGTCCGACGCTTAGATCCAGCCTAGAGCCGGTGACAGCCGCGCTGGACTCTGGGTTCTGTGTGCTGGGCAGTGATTCCCACCTGAGCGCCTGGGGCTGCCTAGTCGGTCAGGAATGTTCCGACTTTACTTTAAAAACCGTGCGAAGCATCTCATCTTTCTCGGCTCCTTTTTTGGCTTCCCCTCTCTGATTTGGGACTTGAACCAGCAGCATCAAGCTAGGAGGTACACCTCACCTCACACCCTGGGTGCTTGTCACGGTAATTGCATAGAAGATGTGTGTATAACCCACACCTGGCACTAGAGACTCTTAGCCTTCCGTGGCCACCATTCTCATATTAAGTCGAGAGATTTTAGACTTTCCTCACCTGGCACTCTCACTCCTTCCTCTCCACCCTTGGTCTTTGCCTCTTAACAAACCTAAAAATTCAACAGATCTATTTGGTAGAAGGCAATACTGGATCCCTGCCTCACTAATTATACTACATTCTAAATGTGTTAAGCTTTAAATGGTAGGGAATGAAATGTAGGTGAAAAGGGAGACTTTTTTGTATGCAAACATGATAGAGGTTGCTTTTTAAACAATAAGATTTAAACATTTTCATTTGAATAGATAATACATAAAAAAATAGTTCGAATAGTAAAAAGAATGAAGAGTGAAAATCCTCCATCTACCCATTTCTCCCCATCTCCAGGCCACCTTCCACAGGTGTTTTAGACATACGCAAATATGTAGTTACACCTGTAACATTGTGCATACTCTTCTGTGATTGGCTTTTACACTTAAGACTGTGTGTCCAGTTGTTTTCTATCAATATTTACAGATCTGTCTCATTTATGCATTTATGGATGAATTTATGTATTTATGTTTCATTGTGAGAAGGTGTTTCGAAGCATGTCAGGAAATTTGGAAACTCTCATAAGCAAAAAGATTGATAAATGTCACTACCTAACAATCTAAAACTTTTATATAGTAAGAGAAAAACAACATCAAACATACAATGGGAAATATAAGGGCAACACACAACAAAGGGATATTTAATTATTAGGACTCATAAAACAATATGAGGATGTAAGGAAACAGTCAAGGGGAACTTCTTGGGGCTATAATAGAAAACAGTTTGATGGAATTTAACAAAATTAAGATCTGTATGCCCTTTGACTTGTCCATTCTAATTCTGGGAACTCATTTTCAGTATACTTACACATATATACAGAGATAGATGTATAAAATGTTTGTTGCAGCACTATTTTTAATAGTAAAAAACTAGAGGGGTCTGCATGGCGGGGCCTCGGAGCCAAGACGAGGTTGAGTAGACTCGTTTTGAATTTTCTCCCCTCTGCTCCGGCGGACTTCCCATGTCGCCTTGTGGGGCTATCGGCGGCGGCAGGACTGGGGGAGTCAGAGGTCTGGCAGCGCTGTCTGCGCAGACCTACCGGACGCTACCTCCCAACCCCCCTTTCTTCCTCCTGCCTCCTCCTCCTCCCGTCACCTCCTGACCCGCCGGAGCTCCGAGCAACTGCCGGCCTCCGCCCCCAGCCGCAGCCGGTCACTGGCGGCGCCTTCCGCGCCAAGCTTGGGGGCCTTTTCGGGGTCCTACATGGCACGGCTTCCGACCCCCGGCCCGGGACGGGGCTCGCAGGCCCCAGAGGGGCAGGCTGGAGAAGGAGGAGGTTAGGTGTCTTCAGGAGGGTTGCTGAGCCCAAGGACGCGCCATCGCCGCGGAGAAGGAGCCGGACCCCTTGGGCGGAGCGCCCAATGTGTGGTCCCTCACGCCGTCCCGCACCTTGCTTTTTAGGGTTCTTTTTCCGCTTTCTGAGCCCTTTTATACCTTACGTTTAGAAGGGGAAAATCATCCTCCCACACCTTCTCCCCGACTTTTTGCCTTTTTTGTCTTGAAGTTACCCAAAGGTCTGTGTATTGTTCTCAGTGGTCCCAAGAATTACTCGAATATAGTTGTTTTTCTGAGGGAGGATGGATGGAGATAACTATCCTGATCCCAGTGTCACTTTTTAAGGCATTCGCTTCAAGAGACAAGCAGTTTAGAATCAGGCAGAACTGGATTGCAAAATTTATGGGCAGACCGGTATGTGTGAAGGTGAAGACAAAGCTTTCCTTTTTTACGTTGTTTAAAGATGTCCTACTGTAAGGTAGACGCCTAATATTTAAATGAACGCCTAATATTTAAATAGAGAATGAGAAGAGATTTAAACAATTGGAAGAAAAAAATAATTTTTATTAGAAAGCAATGACAATAAAAGTAGGACTCTTTTCAGTTTACTCACCTTTGTAACTCCGAATCCGGGCCCTGGAACCAGAATTCCTGGGTTCAAATCCTGCCTCTGCTACTTGATTAACCTTTTTGTGCCACACTTTTATCAACTGTAAGAATTAACTGCGCCATCGGAAGCACTCAGTATATGTTAATTATTATCATCAAATAGTTACTAATTCCAGTTTAACTAGAAGCTTTGCCAGCGTGAATAGATAAGGGAGAATAGCCACATTGAGTGGAGGAATAAAATTAGAAAACCTCTGTGCTGAAGTCCCAGGAGATCACTTATTAGGCTTGAGCTTGCTAATGGAAGTGGTGATCGTTTAACCATGTGGTTATTGTAGTGGTGAAGATTTACACATTAAATAAGTCTTGGGCATCTGAAGCTTGAAACACTTTCTTAATGAAATCTTGCCGTTGAATCTGTACTTACTGATAATATGTCATTGGTTAAAATATATTTATAAAATGTATAATTGACCAGCAGGTTAATACATTTTTATCATTAATTTGAAATTTATCAAAATGAGAATATACAGTACCTGACGGTCAGTGGAGTTTGATCTTAATTTGATTTGAAAATTATGATCAGGAAAATAAATAACCTGAATATATGCTTAATAATATAAGACTTTGAGTTTGCAAAACAGAAATCCTGACTTGACTAAAATACACTTTTCATTTGACGGAGACCTTTAGTTAAGGAAAGATTAGTTTTAGCATTCAACATAACTAAATACCCAGCATTATGTTTTACGGTTTTTTTCAACAATGATTTATGTGTCGTGTTTGGTGTTGCCTCCAAGCAGTACCTAGGATAGCTGATGCTTTTACTTTGAGTCTTTTTCTTTAGTTGGAACATTAATTGCAAGCTTTTGGTTGGTAATCATTTTTTATGGGATGTATTTACTATATGGTCCTCACGGAGACACATTGTTATCTGGAGAACCACAGTTTGGAAAATACATTTCTCTTTATTATAAAGTTTTTTGTTTTATATATATAATGCCACAGTGTGATAGGATACAAAGACTATGCATTAGGGCTTTGGAGTCTTAATTGTTCTTTGTGTTTTTCTTTTTTTCCAATTTGATTATGGATCCGAACCTAATGCACTCTGTGATCTTAAGCAAGTTTCTTGACAGTTCCAGTTTTCCTATCTACAGAGACAAGAAGATCTACCTCAGAGTCATTGTAAGGATTAAATAAATTTGTAAAGCTCTCAAAGAGCAGCCTAATCCCAGCATTTTGGGTGGCCGAGGCGGGCGGAGCACCTGAGGTCAGGAGTTTGAGACCAGCCTGGCCAACATGGTGAAACCCCGTCTCTGCTAAAAATACAAAAATTGGCCAGGCATGGTGGGGGGTGCCTATAATCTGAGCTACTGGGGAGGCTGAGGCAGGAGAATTGCTTGAATCTGGGAGGTGGAGTTTGCAGTAAGCCAAGATCGCGCCACTTCACTCCAGCCTGGGCAAAAAGAGTGAAACTCCATCTCAAAAAAAAAAAAAAAAAAAAATCAAAGAGCAAAAAGGTAAAAAGTTTGTGCAGAGTAAAAAATGGGTAGAAATGGATTACAGGGAAGCTTATAGTGAGAACAAACCATAAATAAAATTGACATTGTGAACACCAGCCTTAGATTTTTTTTCCCTGAAAATTAAAAAGTGCTTTTTTAAATTTTTTTATTTTTTGAGTTGGAGGGTTTTTTGGTGTTGTTGTTGTTGTTTGTTGTTGTTTTGTTTTTGGTTTTTTGTTTTTTTTCAGAGTCTCCCTCTGTCGCCAGGCTGGAGTGCAGTGGCGCTATCTCAGCTCACTGCAACCTCCGCCTTCCAGGTTGAAGCGATTCTCCTGCCTCAGCTTCCCGAGTAGCTGGGACTACAGGTGCCTGCCACCATGCCCGGCTAATTTTTTGTATTTTAGTAGAGACGGGGTTTCACCATGTTGGCCGGGATGGTCTCGATCAGGCGTGAGCCACTGTACCGGTTGAGATGGAGTCTTGCTCTGTTGCCCAGGCTGGAATGCAGTGGCATGATCTCATCTCATTGCAACCTCTGCCTTCCAGGTTCAAGTGATCCGTGTTTCAGCCTCCCCAATAGCTGCGATTGCAGGCTCCTGCCACCACTCCCAGCTGATTTTTGTATTTTGTTTTGTTTTCTTTTTGAGATGGAGTCTGGCTCTGTCGCCAGGCTGGAGTGCAGTGGTGCAATCTTGGCTCACTGCAACCTCCAACTCCCTGGTTCAAGCAATTCTCCTGCCTCAGCCTCCCGAGTAGCTGGGATTACAGGCACATGCCACCACGCCCAGCTAATTTTTGTATTTTTGGTAGACACAGGGTTTTATCATGTTGGCCAGGATGGTCTTGATCTCCTGACCTTGTGATCCGTCTGCTCAGCCTCCCAAAGTGCTGGGATTACAGGCATGAGCCACCGCACCTAGCCTGTTTTTTTTTTTTTTTTTTTTTTTTTTTAAGTAGAGACAGGGTTTCACTATGTTGGCCAGGCTGGCCTCCCAACTCCTGACCTCAAGATCCGCCCACTTTAGACTCCCAAAGCGCTGGGATTACAGGCATGAGCCACTGCATCCAGCAGAAAATTTAAAAATTAATATAGATTATTGTTTATATATAATTGCATGCATTTAAAAGTTCGATCTTTAACATAACTTTAAAAACTGATTCTTAAAAAATAAATTATCCTATTAAAACAAAAAAAAAACACTAGAGACAGCTTAAATGTCCATCAATGAACAACAGTTGACTACCATGTGGCTTAGCCTTGCAAAGAAGTTACTGTGAAGTTGTTGAAAAGAATGCGGCAGAATCGTATTTTACATAAAAATAAATGTTAAGCACGTATTATAAAAAGTCATAAAATAGTATTAAAGTTTAAAAATAAACAGAAATATAGTTTATGAAAGACATTGATATGATCATAAACAAATTTAAATGTATATATATTATATAATTGTAGCTTTATAGACAATTCCTGGAAAGATAAACTGCCTAACAATGAGAAATAAAATTAGCATGTCTGAAATACTTTTACTTCTTATTTTATCCCCTTCTATTCTGTTAGTTTTTTTTCTAGTAAGCACATATTACTCTCTTAAAAACAACAACAAAATGAATGATAACAATAATGAAAAAATGATTTTGAAAAGTCTTTTCCAACTGTAGCTTTCCAAACTGGGTTGGAAGATCACATTTTACATTTCACACTTTTAATATGTGTACTTTGTTATTTACATTTAATATTTGCTGCAGTGAGAGTTTACACATATGTATGCAAGTAGAGCATATTAATATGTACATATGAGGGGGTATTAGGAACCAATAAAATTAGCTCCTTGTTCTAGATGGGTGAAAAAAAATCTGCTGAATATTTTTTACTCTATTTTAAATCATAGTCATGTTTGTCACTTAAGAATAAAAGACATTCTCTGATAATATATCTGATGGCAAAATTGTTAGTTAAATTCTGGATCTGACTACCACTAACCTACCATGAGGCATTCCTGGGTCTTAGCTTTTTCATCTGCAGGGAGATCAGTTTCTAGACTTTTTCTTCATCACCAGGACCCCTTTTCTGTTCTCCTCCCAATCCCCCATGGACTCCTACACTGAGATACAGCACAGTTAAGTGGTTAAGGGCATGGGTTCTGGATCCAGACTGCCTGGATTTGGATCCCAGATATACTGCCTACTAGCTCTGGGTTCTTGAAAATATTGCTTAACCTCTCTGTGCTAATTTCTTTATCTGTAAAATGGGCATAATGATATCATCTGTGAGAATTAAATAATTTGGTATAAGTATTTGCTAATATTATGCTTTATTTTAAAAGTATTTTTTTCGGGGAGGAGTCAAGATGTCCAAATAGGAATAGCTCTGGTCAACAGCTCCCAGCGTGAGCGACGCAGAAGACGGGTGATTTCTGCATTTCCATCTGAGGTACAGGGTTCATCTCACTAGGGAGTGCCAGACAGTGGGCGCAGGTCAGTGGGTGCGTGCACCGTGCGCGAGCCGAAGCAGGGCGAGGCATTGCCTCACTTGGGAAGCGCAAGGGGTCAGGGAGTTCCCTTTCCTAGTCAAAGAAAGTGGTGACAGACGGCACCTGGAAAATCGGGTCACTCCCACCCGAATACTGCGCTTTTCCGACAGGCTTAAAAAACGGCGGACCAGGAGATTATATCCCCCACCCGGCTCGGAGGGTCCTACGCCCACGGAGTCTCGCTAATTGCTAGCACAGCAGTCTGAGATCAAACTGCAAGGCGGCAGCGAGGCTGGGGGAGGGGCGCCCGCCATTGCTCAGGCTTGCTTAGGTAAACAAAGCAGCTGGGAAGCTCCAACTGGGTGGAGCCCACCACAGCTCAAGGAGGCCTGCCTGCCTCTGTAGGCTCCACCTCTGGGGGCAGGGCACAGACAAACAAAAAGACAGCAGTAAACTCTGCAGACTTAAATGTCCCTGTCTGACAGCTTTGAAGAGAGCAGTGGTTCTCCCAGCACGCAGCTGGAGATCTGAGAACGGGCAGACTGCCTCCTCAAGTGGGTCCCTGGCCCCTGACCCCCGAGCAGCCTAACTGGGAGGCACCCCCCAGCAGGGGCAGACTGACACCTCACACGGCCGGGTGCTCCAACAGACCTGCAGCCGAGGGTCCTGTCTGTTTGAAGGAAAACTAACAAACAGAAAGGACATCCACACCAAAAACCCATCTGTACATCACCATCATCAAAGACCAAAAGTAGATAAAACCACAAAGATGGGGAAAAAACAGAGCAGAAAAACTGGAAACTCTAAAAAGCAGAGTGCCTCTCCTCCTCCAGAGGAACGCAGTTCCTCACCAGCAACAGAACAAAGCTGGATGGAGAATGACTTTGACGAGCTGAGAGAAGAAGGCTTCAGACGATCAAATTACTCCGAGCTACAGGAGGAAATTCAAACCAAAGGCAAAGAAGTTGAAAACTTTGAAAAAAATTTGGAAGAATGTATAACTACAATAACCAATAAAGAAAAGTGCTTAAAGGAGCTGATGGAGCTGAAAACCAAGGCTCGAGAACTACGTGAAGAATGCAGAAGCCTCAGGAGCCGATGTGATCAACTGGAAGGAAGGGTATCAGCGATGGAAGATGAAATGAATGAAATGAAGGCTACAAGCCAGAAGAAAGTGGAGGCCAATATTCAACATTCTTAAAGAAAAGAATTTTCAACCCAGAATTTCATATCCAGCCAAACTAAGCTTCATAAGTGAAGGAGAAATAAAATACTTTACAGACAAGCAAATGCTGAGAGATTTTGTCACCACCAGGCCTGCCCTAAAAGAGCGCCTGAAGAAGCGCTAAACGTGGAAAGGAACAACTGGTACCAGCCGCTGCAAAATCACGCCAAAATGTAAAGACCATCGAGACTAGGAAGAAACTGCATCAACTAATGAGCAAAATAACCAGCTAACATCATAATGACAGGATCAAATTCACACATAACAATATTAACTTTAAATGTAAATGGACTAAATGCTCCAATTAAAAGACACAGACTGGCAAATTGGATAAAGAGTCAAGACCCATCAGTGTGCTGTATTCAGGAAACCCATCTCACGTGCAGAGACACACATAGGCTCAAAATAAAAGGATGGAGGAAGATCTACCAAGCAAATGGAAAACAAAAAAAGGCAGGGGTTGCAATCCTAGTCTCTGATAAAACAGACCTTAAACCAACAAAGATCAAAAGATACAAAGAAGGCCATTACTTAATGGTAAAGGGATCAATTCAACAAGAAGAGCTAACCTAAATATATATGCACCCAATACAGGAGCACCCAGATTCATAAAGCAAGTCCTGAGTGACCTACAAAGAGACTTAGACTCCCACACATTAATAATGGGAGACTTTAACACTCCACTGTCAACATTAGACAGATCAACGAGACAGAAAGTCAACAAAGATACCCAGGAATTGAACTCAGCTCTGCACCAAGTGGACTTAATAGACATCTACAGAACTCTACACCCCAAATCAACAGAATATACATTTTTTTCAGCACCACACCACACCTATTCCAAAATTGACCACATACTTGGAAGTAAAGCTCTCCTCAGCAAATGTAAAAGAACAGAAATTATAACAAACTATCTCTCAGACCACAGTGCAATCAAACTAGAACTCAGGATTAAGAATCTCACTCAAAACCGCTTAACTACATGGAAACTGAACAACATGCTCCTGAATGACTACTGGGTACATAACAAAATGAAGGCAGAAATAAAGATGTTCTTTGAAACCAACGAGAACAAAGACACAACATACCAGCATCTCTGGGATGCATTCAAAGCAGTGTGTAGAGGGAAATTTATAGCACTAAATGCCCACAAGAGAAAGCAGGAAAGATCCAAAATTGACATCCTAACATCACAATTAAAAGAACTAGAAAAGCAAGAGCAAACACTTTCAAAAGCTAGCAGAAGGCAAGAAATAACTAAAATCAGAGCAGAAATGAAGGAAACAGAGACACAAAAAACCCTTCAAAAAATTAATGAATCCAGGAGCTGGTTTTTTGAAAGGATGAACAAAATTGATAGACCGCTAGCAAGACGAATAAAGAAAAAAAGAGAGAAGAATCAAATAGACGCAATAAAAAATGATAAAGGGGATATCACCACCTATCCCACAGAAATACAAACTACCATCAGAGAATACTACAAACACCTCTACGCAAATAAACTAGAAAATCTAGAAGAAATGGATAAATTCCTGGACACATACACTCTCCCAAGACTAAACCAGGAAGAAGTTGAACCTCTGAATAGACCAATAACAGGAGCTGAAATTGTGGCAATAATCAATAGCTTACCAACCAAAAAGAGTCCAGGACCAGATGGATTCACAGCCGAATTCTACCAGAGGTACAAGGAGGAAATGGTACCATTCCTTCTGAAACTATTCCGATCAATAGAAAAAGAGGGAATCCTCCCTAACTCATTTTATGAGGCCAGCATCATCCTGATACCAAAGCTGGGCAGAGACACAACCAAAAAAGAGAATTTTAGACCAATATCCTTGATGAACATTGATGCAAAAATCTTCAATAAAATACTGGCAAACCGAATCCAGCAGCACATGAAAAAGCTTATCCAACATGATCAAGTGGGCTTCATCCCTGGGATACAAGCCTGGTTCAATATACGCAAATCAATAAATGTAATCCAGCATATAAACAGAACCAAAGACAAAAACCACATGATTATCTCAATAGATGCAGAAAAGGCCTTTGACAAAATTCAACAACACTTCATGCTAAAAACTCTCAATAAATTAGGTATTGATGGGACGTATCTGAAAATAATAAGAGCTATCTATGACAAACCCACAGCCAATATCATACTGAATGGGCCAAAACTGGAAGCATTCCCTTTGAAAACTGGCACAAGACAGGGATGCCCTCTCTCACCACTCCTATTCAACATAGTGTTGGAAGTTCTGGCCAGGGCAATTAGGCAGGAGAAGGAAATAAAGGCTATTCAATTAGGAAAAGAGGAAGTCAAATTGTCCCTGTTTGCAGACGACATGATTGTATATCTAGAAAACCCCATTGTCTCAGCCCAAACTCTCCTTAAGCTGATAAGCAATTTCAGCAAAGTCTCAGGATACAAAATCAATGTACAAAAATCACAAGCATTCTTATACACCAACAACAGACAGAGAGCCAAATCATGAGTGAACTCCCATTCACAATTGCTTCAAAGAGAATAAAATACCTAGGAATCCAACTTACAAGGGATATGAAGGACCTCTTCAAGGAAAACTACAAACCACTGCTCAAGGAAATAAAAGAGGATACAAACAAATGGAAGAACATTCCATGCTCATGGGTAGGAAGAATCAATATCGTGAAAATGGCCATACTGCCCAAGGTAATTTACAGATTCAATGCCATCCCCATCAAGCTACCAATGACTTTCTTCACAGAATTGGAAAAAACTACTTTAAAGTTCATATGGAACCAAAAAAGAGCCCACATCACCAAGTCAATCCTAAGCCAAAAGAACAAAGCTGGAGGCATCACACTACCTGACTTCAAACTATACTACAAGGCTACAGTAACCAAAACAGCATGGTACTGGTACCAAAACAGAGATATAGATCAATGGAACAGAACAAAGCCCTCAGAAATAATGCCGCATATCTACAACTATCTGATCTTTGACAAACCTGAGAAAAACGAGCAATGGGGAAAGGATTCCCTATTTAATAAATGGTGCTGGGAAAACTGGCTAGCCATATGGAGAAAGCTGAAACTGGATCCCTTCCTTACACGTTATACAAAAATCAATTCAAGATGGATTAAAGACTTAAACATTAGACCTAAAACCATAAAAACCCTACAAGAAAACCTAGGCATTACCATTCAGGACATAGGCGTGGGCAAGGACTTCATGTCTAAAACACCAAAAGCAATGGCAACAAAAGTAAAAATTGACAAATGGGATCTAATTAAACTAAAGAGCTTCTGCACAGCAAAAGAAACTACCATCAGAGTGAACAGGCAACCTACAAAATGGGAGAAAATTTTCGCAACCTACTCATCTGACAAAGGGCTAATATCCAGAATCTACAATGAACTCAAACAAATTTACAAGAAAAAAACAAACTACCCCATCAAAAAGTGGGCAAAGGAGATGAACAGACACTTCTCAAAAGAAGACATTTATGCAGCCAAAAAACACATGAAAAAATGCTCAACATCACTGGCCATCAGAGAAATGCAAATCAAAACCACAATGAGATATCATCTCACACCAGTTAGAATGGCAATCATTAAAAAGTCAGGAAACAACAGGTGCTGGAGAGGATGTGGAGAAATAGGAACACTTTTACACTGTTGGTGGGACTGTAAACTAGTTTGACCATTGTGGAAGTCAGTGTGGCGATTCCTCAGGGATCTAGAACTAGAAATACCATTGACCCAGCCATCCCATTACTGGGTATATTTCCAAAGGACTATAAATCATGCTGCTATAAAGATACATGCACATGTATGTTTATTGCAGCATTATTCACAATAGCAAAGACCTGGAACCAACCCAAATGTCCAACAATGATAGACTGGATTAAGAAAATGTGGCACATATACACCATGGAATACTATGCAGCCATAAAAAATGATGAGTTCATGTCCTTTGTAGGGACATGGATGAAATTGGAAATCATCATTCTCAGTAAACTATCGCAAGAACAAAAAACCAAACACCGCATATTCTCACTCATAGGTGGGAATTGAACAGTGAGAACACATGGACACTGGAAGGGGAACATCACACTCTGGGGACTGTTGTGGGGTGGGGGGAGGGGGGAGGGATAGCATTGGGAGATATACCTAATGCTAGATGACGAGTTAATGGGTGCAGCACACCAGCATGTCACACGTATACATATGTAAGTAACCTGCACATTGTGCACATGTACCCTAAAACTTAAAGTATAATAATAAAAGTATTTTTTTCTCCTACTTTATAAAACGAGTAATTATGTAATACCTAGGAGTCATTATTAATGTATAATTATCATTAGCCATTTGGAAATTTTAGAAATAGTTCATTACTAATTAGCTAACATTTATTATATGCTTATTGTGTGCCAGGCACTGTTTGCTAAGTACTTTATATACACTACTTTATTTAATTCTTGGAAGAAACTTTGATGTTGAAACTACTAATATCCCATTTCACAAGTGTGGAATATGAGACTTAGGTTAAGAAACCTCTGTATCTCAAAGTCATATAGCTAGTAAGTATCAGGAACTGTGAGGGGTCTGGCGTTTTACCCTATGTACAAACTAATAAATTAGTCACTGTTTCTTGGATGCTGGGTCAAAGGACACATGCAAAAGAAGTAGCCAGTGCTTCAAGTTTGTGCCAATTTCCCAAGCCCCACCCAGTCCAACAGGGGAAACACCAGTGAGTCTACATGGATGCTTGCACATGGGGAATTTACTGCTTTTACAGTAAACCAAAGAAAGCCTGCTCTTTGTTTTGGGGAAAGAGTTTATCTCAGCTGTTGCAGTTTCTCGGTGCAAACAGAACCCTGAGAAATGGTCTGGGTAAACAGTGGTCATGGCCTTGCATTTTTGTCACACCCACAGGAACATGTAGGGACACTCAAGACCCATGGCCGATTGCTTCTTTCAACAAGAAGTTGTTAAGTCTAGATTCAAACTCAGGTGGGCTGGCTCCAGTCAGCCCTTCTGATATTCCACTTTAGGAAACCAAAGCTGAGAATCACTGTACTGCATGGCAATGAAGTCATGACTTAGAAACCTTGACATTTCTTATTTTTAGGTTGAATAAATGCTTATCACTGCTAACCATCATAAACACAGTTGCTAATCACCCTTTTTATAAACAACTAATGTCTTGAAAACATGTAGTTATTTGGGTCATTCATATCATTAATTAAGGACCTATGAACCTTAGGCACTACTATACATACAATCTACAGGTTACAGAGAACTGTGATCTCTGTGTGTGTGTGTGTGTGTGTGTGTGTGTGTTTATTTAGACAGGGTCTCACTCCATCACTCTGGCTGGAGGGCAGTGGTGAGATCTTGGCTCACTACAATCTCCACCGCCCTGGCTGAAGCGATCTTCCAACCTCAGCCTCCTGAGTAATTAGAATTGCAGGTGCGTGCCACAATACAATGCCCGGCTAAGTTTGTATTTTTTGTAGAGACAGGGTCTCACTATGTTGCCCAGGCTGGTATTGAATTCCTAGGCTCGAGAGATCTGACCACCTCGGCCTCCCAAAGTGCTGGGATTACAGGCGTGAGTTACTGCACCCAGCCCTCATTTTGTTTGTAAGGAGATAGATTGCTTGGAGGGGAGCAATCTAGGACACCTAACATACTAAAATTAGGGTGAAATAAATATAAGCATTAGAAACCATAGCAACTAGGAAATGGAGGCAGACACATTGAGGAGGAAGATGGAGGGGTAAGGATTTATCCAGTACCTATGAAAGGAACTTTATAATATGTGGCTTCCGTTTCTGACTGCATTGATTTCACATGTCTCATGGCTTTAAATACCATAGACTTCTGACTCTCCAATTTCCAGGACAACATCTTCTCAGAACTTCAAACTGCTAACCCAGTGTCCAATGGGCATCTCAAACTCAGCATACCCCAAATCAGACTGATCTAATTTCCATGCATACCTCAGGCCTCCTTTATTTGAAGTTTTCCTTATTTCTGTAAATGTAGCTCTATCCTTCTGGTTACTTGGGCTAAAAATGTTAGCAGTATCCTTGATTCCTCTCTATCTCATAGCCCACATTTAGTTCATCACTAAATCCTTTCAGCTGTATTTTAAAAATATATCCAGAATCCAGTCAGCACTTCTCATCATCTCCTCTACTGTCACCCAGGTCCATTTCACCTCATGTCAAGGTTACTACAATAGATTCCAGTAGACTCCTAATGTCCTACCAGCTTCCCACTCCCCTACCTTCCACAATCTAATGCCCTCTCCCCACAACCTCGTCTCTAGCTTCATCTTCTATTGCTCTTTTCTTAACTCACTGCTCTCTAGCCACATAAGTTGACTAGCTAGTTATTCCTCAGATATGTGATGCTTCTCATTTCTCCATTTGTCCTCATGCCTTGCTTATTTTCTCAGTTCAGCCTCCTGCTCAGATGTCATTTCAACCAGAGAGGCATTCCTTCCCCACACATATACTTAGCAAAACTTGCCACTCTGCTCTGCCATACTCTTTCCTGATAGTCTCATACTTCCTAGCCACCTTCTTTGCTTTATTATTTTGCTAGCTCTTTATCTGATCCAATGTATATTTTACTAATTTAGTTATTACTTGTCCATTTTCCTCACTAGAATATAAGCTTTTTTTAAACTGCAGATCAAAATCTCTGCAGTAAAAACTGCAAACTACCAACCAGATCAAAATCCCTGCAGTAAAAAAAGCTTATATTCTAGTGAGGAAAATGGGCAAGTAACAACTAAATTAGTAAAATATATACTGGGTCAGATAAAGATATGTATCAAATAATCACGTGTGTCCAATAAATATGTGCAATAATTGTGTATCAACAAAAATTTAAAAATTTTTGAAAAGCCTTGTCCATGGCTGTGTGTAGAAACATAGAAGTGTCTCTACACACAGCTAAAAGGGGGACTGGTAATGAGTAGGTACCCAATAAAAATTTGTTGAAAGCATGAATGAATTCAGCCATGGCCAATGCTTTTCAAAAATTTAAAAATTTTTGTTTATACATAATTGTACATATTTATTGAGCAACTGTGATATTTGATACGTGCATACAATTTGTAATAATCAAATTAAGGTAATTAGGATATCTGTTACCTTGTCATTTCTTTGTTCTGGGAATATTCCAAAACTTTTCTTCTAGCTATTTTGAAATATAAAATATTGTTAACTATAGTCACCGTACGGTGCTATCAAACATAGAACTTACTCCTTCTATGTAAATGTATTTTTGAACCCCTTAACCAACCTTACTTCATCCTTCCTCCCTCCTGCCCTTCTCAGCTTCTGGTAACCATCATTCTACTCTCTATCCTTGTGAGATCAACTTTTTAAGCTCCTACTTTTGAATGAGAACATGTGATATTTGTCTTTCTGTGCCTTGCTTATTTTACTTAACATAATGTCCCCCAGTTTCACCCATGTTGTTGCAAATGACATAATTTCATTCTTTTTTATGGCTTAATAATATTTCATTGTGTGTATACATGCCACATTTTCTTTCTTTATTCGGTGGTAGACACTTAGGTTGATTGACTATTGTGGATAGTGCTGTAGTAAACATGGGAGTGCAGATATCTCTTCAATATGCTGATTTCCTTTCTTTTGGTTATATACCCAGCAGTGGAATTGCTGGATTATATGGTAGAACTATTTTTAGTTTTTTAAGGAAACTTCCTGCTGTTTTCTACAATGGCTGTAGTAATTTACATTTCCCGCTAACAGTGTACTACCATTCCCCTTTCTTTGCATCCTTGCCAGCATCTGTTATTTTCTTTTTGACAATAGCCATTTTAACTGGGGTGAGATGATGTCTTATTGTGGTTTTGATTTGCATTTCTCTGATTATTATTGATGTTGAGTATTTTTTCATATACCTGTTGGCTATTTTTATGTCTTCTTTTGAGAAATGTAGTGATTATATTGATGAAAAAAATAAATTAGGGGGTATTTGAGGTATGATTAGGGAGGCCTCCCTGGAAACTGAGACATGGAAGATGAGGAATTAGTCATAAAGATTTGTAGTAACAGGCCAGGTGCAGTGGCTCATGCCTGTAATCCCAGCACTTTGGGAGGCTGAGGTGGGCAGATCACCTGAGGTCAGGAGTTTGAGACCAGCCTGGCCAACATAGTGAAACTGTGTATCTACTAAACATACAAAAATTAGCCAGGCGTGGTGGTGGGCGCCTGTAATCCCAGCTATTTGGGAGGCTGAGGCAGGAGAATTGCTTGAACCAGGAGGCAGAGGTTGCAGTGAGCTGAGATCGCACCACTGTACTGTAGCCTGGGTGACAGAGCCAGACTACCTCAAAAAATGTTTGTAGTAACACATTTCTGACAGAGGAAACATAAAATGCAAAAGCCCCAAGAGGGAGATCAGCCCTAGATATGGTAAAAGGTGGGGTTGTTTAGAAGATGAGGTCAGAGAGGCAGGGGCTAGATCATTTAGGACCTTGAAGGCCATGGTGAGTAGTTTGGATTTTATTCTGGAAAGCATTTTATTTTAGAGGTATTTAAGCAAGTATGAGAGGGGCATGGCATGATTTTCTTTAAAAAATATTTTTCTGGCTGCTGTGAGAATAATGGATTTTTTTGGCAGGGGTTGGTGGGGTAGGAGTTTCAAGAATGAAATTAAGATAACCAGCTAAGAGACTGTTGCAGTAGTACTGTCAAAATATGATAGGATGGCAGAAAAAAGTAGACTGAGACTAAATTTTCAGGTCAGTATTGACAGTGCTTTTTGAGTGGCTGGATAATGGGTGAGCGAAAGAAAAAAAAAATAAAAGGATGACTCTAAAAGTAGACCTTCCTTGGTTGTGTTATATTATTGTTTTATTATACTGTTAGATATAATTTACTCATGTTACAGTTATGAAATTTATTATCTTAGGCCTATTGGATCAACTCTCATGCCCTGGTGGGCATTCAAGCTGGTTTAATCCTTTTCAACCTTATTAGACAGATATAGGCATGGCTTGCCCTTTAGGTATCTATACCTTCGGACTGCTTTTAAGTGTTGTGTCTGTTAAATGGGGCCTTGTTCACATTGGGTAGTGTCAGATGGAACCTAACAAAGTTTCAGGGCATAGGTGAGCAAGCATTGTTCTTGCTGGCTGTAGGAAAGACAATGTAATTGCTGTTGTGAAATGGTTATTCTTACTACATAGCTATGAAAATAATCACTAGATACTGACTCTCAGAAGCTTTTTTGTTGTTGGTCCATGGATGGTTCTGATTCCTCATGGAAGACAGTTCCCTGTGGTTCTCTAGAATTTCTGCTTAAGAGACACTGACAGCTTTGTTTTGAATTTTGTTTTCAAGGGTATTTGTATACTGAACAGTCTTAAAAGATATAGGGTCTCTTTCTTTTTTTTTTTTTTTTTTTTTTTTTTTGAGATGGAGTCTCGCTCTGTCACCCAGGCTGGAGTGCAGTGGCGCAATCTCGGCTCACTGCAAGCTCTGCCTCCTGGGTTCACGCCATTCTCTTGCCTCAGCCTCCCGAGTAGCTGGGACTACAGGCGCCTGCCACAACGCCCGGCTAATTTTTTTGTATTTTTAGTAGAGCGGGGTTTCACCGTGTTAGCCAGGATGGTCTCGATCTCCTGACCTCGTGATCCACCCGCCTCGGCCTCACAAAGTGCTGGGATTACAGGCATGAGCCACAGCGCCCTGCCGATATAGGGTCTCTTTCTAAAGCAGAGGTCAGATTTATCTGTCTAATATAATAACAATGATATATTCCCCCAAGGCAAAGGTTAGGCATATTTGCTTGCAGTCCATTATAAAGGATTGGAGTTTCTAAGCTTGGGGTTTCTTAGCTGTGATGCAAACCCACTGTGTGTATGGCATCTAATTGGGCATTCCACATTGTTCCTCTGGGATTTGGGGGCACAGGGATCCTATGTGAATATAAAGCTCATGCTATCTGCTGTGCCATGAGTAATAAAGTCCTTTTTCTCTGGCCCAGGAGTCTTATCTATTCTGACAGTATTCATGAAACTATGGCAGGCTAAATTGTTAGCTTGTAGGTAGGATGAAATCTCAGACCTGTCATAATTTTTAGTTCCTATTCCTAAAGAGGCTTTACCACTCTTGATCACATATTCTCCCAGCCACCTTGTGTTTTCCCTATGATGTCTTATCTAATTTTTAAAACAGGTAATACATTTATATTGTTTAAAAATATTAAAAATAATACATTGAGAATTCTGGAGCCCACCCTTGTTCTGGCTACTTCCTACTCACCTTGCCCCCCATCAGATAACTAGTTTTCTTAGTTTCTTTCATACTTTTCTGAGTGTTTCTTTATCCAAATAGAAACAAACATGAATATATATTCTTATTTCACCTTCTTTCTTTTTCTCACTTAATAAATCTTGGAGTGTGACTTCTGTCAACATATAGAGTACTTCATCCTCCTCTTCCTCTTTCTTCTTTTTGATTTGGCTTCTTTATTAAGTATAGCACAAAATCAGAAAGCCACATAAAACACATTTACAGATTAATGAATTATGATAAGATAAATGCCCTTTTTATCATTTTCACCCCCACAACAGATATGACAAATGATTGTTTTGTATTTCTGTGTGTGTATGACTTTATGACATTATTTTTATACAGCCAAAGTGCATTTATATTTACCCATGTATTTTCACTTTCTTTGCTATTTATCATTTCCTATACTACTGACCTTACATCTGGGATCAGTTCTTTTTCCCTGCCTCGTCGATTTTCAAAAATTGTTATTGTTATTGAAATTCCTTGAGTCTTAGTCTTAATAGCACACTTTTTTTCCCCCTACTGAAAGGAGCATTAATTGCTTTTACTTTTTGTCATCTTTCTAGTAAGGGATAATCTAGACACATTAAAATTTGCCCTCTTTAGTCTGCAGTGCTATACATTTTAATAAACGCATATAGTTTGCATAACCACTACCACAATTGAGATTTTGAGTGTTTCCATCACGTAAAAAATCCCCACATCCTTCTGTAATCAACTCTTATCTTTACCCTTAGGCTTTGGTATGTTTTCTAACCCTAGGATTTGTCATATAAATTGAGTCAATAGTACACAGCCTTAGTAAAGCTGGCTTCTTCACTGAGCATAATTTGAGTTTCATCCATGTTGTTGTGTGTACCACTTGTCTTTATATGCACTCACTAGCACTTGCTATTAGAGAGCTTTAAAAAATATTATTTTAATTATTCTAATAGGTATGTAGTGCTATCTCATTGTGATTTGAAATTCCATTTTTATAATGAGTAATGATATTGAGCTTATTTTTATGTGTTTGTTCTCAGGGCTGAGACTAGGGTGATGCAAATGATGTACCTAGGCCCAAAATTTTAGGAGGCATTCATTTTCAGACATGAGTACAAGTGTAGAGCAGTTAGGCACTTCACTTGCCTCAACCTAGGCCTGGCCCTGCTTAATTGCCTTCTATATGTATTCTTTGGTGAAGTGTCTGTTTAAATCTTTTACCCTTTTTAAATATTATTTTTTCTTATTATTCTCTATATAGTCTGAATATAAGTCCTTTATCAGATATGCATTTTGTGAAAAGTATCTTCCAGTCTATGATTTGTCTTTTTATTCTCCCAGTTGTGTTTTCTGAAGAGCAGAAGTTCTTGATTTTGTTGTTATTGCTGTTTTTAGAAGATACCATCTTGGCTAGTTTGGGGTGTTGGCTAATATGTTGCTAGGAGGTAGGGCTTTGTTATGATATTCTCTTTCTAATTAGGCCATTAAGCTCTGTTACAGGAGAAAATAATCAAAATGGTGTTTTTGTGTGTGTGTTTTTTGTTTTTTGTTTGTTTGTTTTTTGTTTTTTGTGGTGAGAGCCTGAAGAAGTTTCTTGATTTTTTTTAAAATTGAGCTTTGTTCAGGTTTTTCTCATTCCACTTCTTTCCCTCTTGATTGTTTTGAAATTTAAAAACTATGTTTCTGTTTTTTATTGCTTATAGTGAGATTTAACTGTGCATATTTAAGTAACAAAGTCTAAGGTTAAGAATATGTCCCCCTTGGAATGGGAGGCCATTATTTTAAGTGAAATAACTCAGAAACAGAAAGTCAAATATCACATGTTCTCACTTATAAGTAGGAGTGAAATAACATCTATACCTGAACATAGAGAGTGGAATAATAGACATTGGAGACTTGAAAGAAAGGGAGCATGGGAAGGGTGTGAGGGATGAGAAATTATTCAGTGGGTACTGTGTATACTATTAGGGTGATGGCCTCAATAAAAGCCCAGACTTCACCACTACACAATATATTAATGTAACAAAACTGCACTGTACTTGTACTCCCTAAGTCTATACAAATAAACAAATTATAAACAGTGTAAGGATTTGAGAGAGTTTGGTCTGTTTTTTTCCCTTCTCAATTATATATTATTGTCTAATATTTCAATTTACTATCATTTTGTATTAACAGTATTTGTTTGGATTTACCCATATGTTTATGATTTTTCACATTTACCTTTCCAAGTTGCACTTCAGACATCCCTTGAAATCATTTTCCTCCTTTGAGTATATTCTTTAGAAGTTCCTTTAGAGCAAATATCTTGGTGGTAACTTAGTAACTAACTTGTAAATGCTTCTGTTTTCTTTCTTGAGAGGTAATTTTGCTGGGTGCACAATTCTAGGTTGATAGTTTTCTTCTTTCAGTTAGCCTATTGTTGCATTGGCTCCTATTTTTCTGATAAGTCTGCAGTGATTTTACTTTTCTTTGTATTAATGTCAGCAAATTAATATGATTCAAAACAGCAGATGTTATATTCTTTATCATTGTACTTTCAGGACCTTCTCTTTGTCTTCGATAGTCTGTAATTTCATTACAATGTATATGACTATTAATTATTTTTATTTAACCTGTTTGGTATATATTTATGTTATGCTTCCTGGATCTGAGGATCCGTATTCTTTTATCAGTTTTGAAGAGTTCTCAGCTATAACCTTTTAAAATATTTTTCCTGGCTGGGTATCATGGCTCATGCCTGTAATCCCAACACTTTGGGAGGCTGAGGCAGATGAATCACTTGAGGCCAGGAGTTTGAGACCAGCCTGGCCAACATGGCAAAACCCCATCTCTACTAAAAATTCAAAAATAAGCTGAGTGTGGTAGCACATACCTGTAGACCCAGTGACTCAGGAGGCTAAGGCAGGAGAATCACTTGAAACTGGGAGGTGGAGTTTGCAGTGAGCCGAGATTGGACCACTGCACTCCAGCCTGGGCGACAGAGCAATACTCTGTCTCAAAAAGAATAAATAATACATAAAAATATTTTTTCTCCTCTATCTTTCTATTTTTCCTTCTGGGACTCCATTTTGACATATGTTAGTTCAGAAGCTGGCAAACATTTTATGAAAAGGACTTCACAGGTTTTTTTTAGACTGCAAAGACCGCACATAGTCTCCAATGCATCTTTGTTGTTTTTTGGTTTCACAATACAAAATCATTCTTAGCTCACAACAAAATATATGCTTAGCAAAAACATGCTAGGCTTTCTTTTCCATGGCTTTTAGTCTCATATTTTTTGTATCTTATCTGTTTGCATCATTCTATATAAAATCATTTTATTTATCTTCCAGTTTACTAATTCTCTCTTCAACTCTCTCTAATCTTGTATAGCTTATTCACTGAGATAAACAATTATATATTTTTATTGCAGATATTTCCATTTTTAAAAATTTATAACTTAGTAGCCAGAGAATTCCACTGGCTGTGGGTGAATTTATTTTCTCCATAAAGATTTGTGCTCAAAGTAGAAGCCCCAGAGAGAGCTTTTCCACCTCACTACTGTTTCAAGGTTTCATATTCCCCTTGCCTTTGCCATAGAAATCTGGTCTGGGGGCTACCTTCCCTATTTTCCCTTCCTGACTTCTATAGGTGGGCTCCCTGCTATATTGGACATTTGTTTCTCTGATTTAGCTCCTGCATCTGCAGCCCGGCTCTGGCATGCCTTGGACTATCCTGGCCCAAGCTTTTAGATGCTGTCATCTTGTCTTCCAGACCCAAGCTCGTGGTTGCTATAGCTGTGGGTCTAGTCAGCTCCAAGCTCAATCCATATTTGTTGTAATAGGTTTATTTGGGGGGAGCAGAGGTCACTGTAGACCTCTGCTACAATTTGTAAGAGCAGAGCTACTACAAAAAGTGTATTCTGTTCAGGGTACACTTGCTATAGAGCTGGCTGGTTCCTTGGAGCTTCTAATCATTTGTAATGCTAGAAGCATCCATCAGTTTCGTATTCAGAAAAAAGAAATTCAAAAAGTCTTTTCATGAGGCATTCTTCATTAAATAAGGAAGTTTCAAAAAATATGAGACTAAAATAAGGAAGAAATAAGAAATGACAAGATATTAAAAAATGTTTTTCCATATATTCTTTGCAGAGTATTGTCAAATTTATTGTTTTGAGGTTCTTTTTTTTAACCTGATGCTATTACTAAGATAAACATTTTTTTAAATTGAGCAACATTTTAGTTGAATATTATGAATGTTACTCTATACTAGCAATGAATTTGATTTTTTGTGTAGAAACTTCATCTATGTAGTAAATGTGTTTATTTTTCTTAATTCAGGAAAATGTCTAATCAACAGGAGAAGTATGAAGCTCAGAATATAGTCAATTCAACAGAAGAGAGTGATGATGCTTTTGATACTGTCACTATTCCAGTTCCCTCAGAAGAGCCTCAAGAGTCAGATCAAACTGAAGAGCATGAATCTGGAATAGAACAATTCAGTGAGAGCCATGCAATACATGTTGAGGAGCAGAGTGACCAAAGCTTTTCAAGCCTGGAACCAGACAATGAACAACTCATGGAAGAGGTTATATCACCAAGACAAGTTTCATATACTCCGCAACATCATGAAAAGCAATATGCAATGCAGAGGCCAAATGATGATAGTTTGGCATTTCTGGATAAAATAAAGTCTGTAAAGGAATCTTTGCAAGAATCAGTGGAAGATTCTCTAGCAACAGGTACTACCTAAGGAAGATAGGCTATTTCATTTTCTCATTTTGAAGAATGAATGCGTTTTCTTGTTGGCTTATTTTTGCTTAAAGATTTGTTTTATATTTGATATTCCTTTCCCTTTCCCTTATCCACCAAACTTCCAGAGTTACATAGCTTGAATCTCTTAACTATTTGTGAAAGCTTCTCTATTCTGCAGTATCTATTTTTCGTCAATGAATGAGCATCATTAAATTTAAAAATTGATATTTATACATTTTTTCAAAGAAAGTAGGTTTTAAAAATGTTTACCACCTTGGAAAATGATGGAGAAATTATTGACTAAAATGGGAATTATTTTACATGCCAATTTGGAATTAATTGTTGTACCTAAATAGCAAGAGGTGCATGGGAACTAGACAATGGATTTTTCTAGTTTCGTATCCAGTGCTCGCTTATTCTACATATCATGTTGCTTTTACATATTTCTATAGTCTGTTTAGTGTTAACTTATATTTTCCTTCAGAAAAATCATTGTTTTTCATTGTAGGTTAATTTTAAAGACACAAAATAATGTTGATAGCATACAGTAGTTATTATTATATTCTTAATAACAGCAGAGTGGCAGCAGCAATAAGGTGGTTACACAGAGAACCATTCTAGTTGCATGGTTAACTGACTGCTCCTTTTCCGTCTTGTGAATGAGTTTTGAGAGAGTTTCTGCCTACAGAGTGGAGAACATGAGCCATGATTTAACAACAATAATAACAGCAGCTTAGTTTGGCTGGTAAAATGTAGCTTTTGAATCTGGTGGTGTAGTTTACCCTTGTGTGATGTGTCCATATAAGTAAAGAAAGAAAAGAAGGAGAGAAAACTACGTAAGCCCAGTTATACCTGACTGAAGCAGGTATCTCTCAATTTTAGTATTTAATGTAAATTTGGGTTTCATTTTTGGGTATTTCTGTCATTCCCTGATATTATAACTTAAACACATAGTGATTTTTAAAAAAATGTTGTCTTGGTCCTTTACCTCCTGAACTTCACAAATCCCTTGACACATTTCCCCTTCCCAAAGCTTAAGAAGTCACTACTATGAAAGTTTTAAAATTTATTAATTAAAATAACCTTCTTATATTTGCCATCTGAGAAAGTATTCTCTTTGTTGATAGAGAACTGTGGAAACAAGTTTTAACAAGCTCAAAGAACCTTCGCATTACCAATGCCTACTTAAATTTTGTCATGTTATTGATAAATGTCTTATTTTTAGCTTTACGAAAACTGTAATTTCAGGAATCTAGAAATATACAAAACTTTTTTGATCCACAGTCTTTATTCTATACTACTTCTTCTTACATCTTCTCCATTAAAATTTGAAGTCTGTAGATGTAAAACAGTTTACCCATATTAATTACTTTTTACATACTGTATTTCCCTCCTATATTCATGAACAGATAATCATTTTATAATAACATTTAAAAATTTTTTAATGTGTAAGTATCTTGATTCTCTCTTTTCTAGAGGGGATTGAGCCATATAATGTCCCTCTTTGTGAAAAGTAGTTATAGTGCATTTCTAACTTCTGGGACACTCTCTCTGTCTCAGGTCTCTCTTTCCTAAATTCACTATGCAAAAATGCGTGATTTCCTGAGATGTATCCTATGCTTATATCTGAATGATACATACCAGGTATTGAACATTAGAGCTAATTTTTGAGATTATGGGTTGATTTTCAAAGCAACTAAATATTGGCTACTTCTCCTTATAGAAAATTAAAAGTAACTGTTATCATTGGGGCACAGCAGGGAAACACTAGCAAGAACAACTTGTATTCTATGTAATTAAAAATTAACACATAATTCTGTATCTGTTTGTGGACTGTAGTTTGCTGACCTTTGCTATATTTGACTATAATTCTTTCTTTTCTATTTAATTTACAGTAAAAGTTGTACTTATTCCAGTGGGCCAGGAAATTGTAATACCTTTTAAGGTTGATACCATTCTTAAATATCTTAAGGACCATTTTTCACACTTATTAGGTATCCCACATTCTGTACTGCAGATAAGATACTCAGGTAAGTTTGGAGGCTAATAAAACATATCAAGACTTTTCTAGTTTTAACATGTAAACAATCAAGATCTTTGATTTTAAAAACTAAATATCTTGGTACTAATTGAACATTATATTGTGGTTATGCATTCACTCATTCAATACATATTTAGTAAGGACATACTTTGTTCTAGATACTTTGCTAAGAAATGAAGATACAGAGAAATGTGAAGTAAGATTCCTGTTCTGAAATTGTTTACAGATTAGTAAGGAAGAAGATGCATGCAGTAGCTACCATGTAATGTGTAAACGCTTCCATGGAAATATGCACAAAAAGCTGTGGGAACAGGGGAAGGAACTTGGTAGATTCTAGAAAGTTTCATTTAATAAAAGTGATAATAATTGTGCCAAGTCACAAAGAGGTGAGAAAGTGTGGAAGTTTCGGGAAGTGGTAAGAAGTGTTGAGTGGCTGGAAATAGATTATATATGGGTAGCGGGAGGAGATGAGATTGAAAAAATGGATGATGAAAGAGAATGTGTAGAACAGGAAGAGGACTGAAAATGATTTATGAGTATTCTGTACATTAAGGTCAATGCACATTTCCATGATGATAGGTATATTTATATTTTGTGGATGATATTGAACAGCGCACTGAAGTTATATTAATCTTGTGTCCTGAGAGGACATAGTCTTTATTAACTATTACAGTTGATCAGACTAACATACCTAAATATATGTTTTTATAGAATATGTCTGAACAGATCCTAATATTTTAAACAGTTTTGATATTGACTTATAATGATGCCACAAAAAGTTTCCAGAGAAAAACAATTTAATTTCCAAATTATTTAAAAAAATCTATTATAGTAAATGTAAGATGTTCATGTGTTCAGATAAGTGATTGTTAAAACTTGATTTGCTATACAAAAGCTAAAATTTAAATAATTATTAGTAATAATGATTATGACCATATTGTTGGTGTTGGTGATTAATTTATTGACCATATACTGTGTGCTAGTACTTCCAAAAAATGTTTTGCCTACATTATAATTTAATCCACACAGCAGCCTTTTGATGTAGGAATTACTAGTAACTCTTTTTTGGGGAGAAGGAAACCCAAAACTCAAGAAACTTGTGCAAAGTCACAAAACTTGTAAGTGGCAGAGTCTGAACTTAAATGTAGGTATGACTCCAGAGGGAATTTGAAACTGCTGCACATTAACTATAAGGTGAAGTTCAAAACTGGATGAGAGAGCACTTTGAGATTGTAGTAACCAGCTAGTGGTACTTAAGGATTTCTCTGTTCTTTATACCTCATGACCTTTCGTCTTTAGGTACCAGGCATCACCACTGGGTAACAGGCTTATGCCAGCAGGAATTACAAAAGAGCTTGACTCTATGCCAGGCATCCTCTAAAGTGCTTTCTGCTAGTACTAGAACTTGAGCTCCAGTTTGGTGGGATTAAGCCTATTACAGAAATAAGTAGAGAAATAAAGGGGGCTCTGGGGACCCTGTATTGGTTTCTTATGGCTGTTCTAACAGTCACAAACTTAGTGGCTTAAAGCAGCACATATATTTCGCTTATAGTTCTGGAGGCAAAAAATCCAAAATTAATTTCATTGAGATAAATTCAAGGTGTCTACAGGGCTGCTGTCCCTCTGGAGGATCCAGAAGAGAATCTGATTCCTTGCCCTTCCAGCTTTTAGAGTTGCATTTCTTGTATTTCTTGGCTTATTAGGCCCTTCCTCCGTTTTAAAAGCCAGAACTGTAGCATCTTCAAATCTGTCTGCTTCTGTCATATGGCCTTCTCCTCTGTCATCAAATCTTCCTCTTCCTTCCTCTAATAAGGGGACTTGTGATTACATTTACGGCCCAACCAGATAATCCAGGAAAATCTTTCCAACTCAAAATTCTCAATCAAATCTGCAAAGCCACTTTTGCCATATAAGGTAATATTCATAGGTCCGGGAGATTAGGATGTAGACATACTTGGGGCAGTTATCCAACCTATCATAAAGTCCATATGACATTCATGTTAATTTTTTTTTTTTTTTGAGATGGAGTCTCACTCTGTTGTCCAGGCTGGAGTCAGTGTCACGATCTCGCTCACTGCAACCTCCGCCTCCCAGGTTCAAGTGATTCTCCTGCCTTAGCCTCCCAAGCAGCTGGGACTACAGGGATGTGCCACCACACCCGGCTAATTTTTACATTTTTAGTAGAGACAGGGTTTCACCATATTGGCCAGGCTGGTCTCAAACTCCTGACCTCATGATCCACCCGCCTTGCAAAGTGCTGGGATTACAGGTGTGAGCCACTGCACCTGGCCCTCATGTTAATTTTTTAACTGAAGAATTTAGGGTGTGAAGTAGAAACTCAAAGATCTTAGAATGTGCTTTCTTGAACATAGCCAAAATAGACTACAGATGCTCCTCAATTTGTGATTGGGTTATGTCCCAGTAAACCTGTCATAAATTGGAAACATCATATGTCAAAAATGCATTTAGTAAGCCTAACCTACCAAACTTCATAGCTTAGCCTAGCCTACCTTAAGTGTGCTCAGAATAGTTACATTAGCCTACAGTTGGGCAAAATCATTTAATACAAGGACTCTTTTATAAGTGTTGAATATCTCATGTAATTTATTGCATACTGCACTGAAAGTGAAAAACAGAATGATTGGGTGCTCGAAGTGTGGTTTCTACTAAATGTGTGTGGCTTTTGCATCATCATAAAGTCAGAAAATTGTAAGTTGAGCCATTATCATTGTAAGCTGGAGAATGTAGTGGTGTCTGATGGATTTCTAAGAATAAGTAAACCTTTTGCAGTGTTCACATTCCTAACTGCAATTTAGAAGGGCCATAAATTTGAAGATTAATATAGATTCCATCAATAAAGTTTCCATGACACAAAACAGCAGCCAGTCACATAGTTACATTTTTGTATACCTTAAAATAGAGAAAGAAAATTAGTCAATTTCTGAATACACCAGTGGCTGGGCAGATGGGGGAGGAGTGAGTAGAAGTTAAAACAATAGCATCATAAAAATTAAGCAATGTATACTTTTTCTAGCACAAAACTGGCTTACCTCTACCGTGGCATGAATTAATTTATATGAGTTTCTGATTATGAAAAGAGAGAAAGTAAGGGATTCTGCATATATGCTTCTCTGTTCTGGGGGCGATGTGGTTTGGATTTGTGTCCCCACCCAAATCTCATGTTGAATTGTATTCCCCAGTGTTGGAGGAGGGGCCTTGTGGGAGGTGATTGGATCATGGGGGCAGATTTCCCCCTTGTTGTTCTTGTGATAGTGAGTTATCATGAGATCTGGTTGTTTAAAAGTGTTCAGCACCTCCCCCTTTGCTCTCTTCCCCCTGCTTCAGCCATGTAAAACGTGCCTCCTTCTTCACCTTTTGCCATGATTGTAAGTTTCCTGAGGCCTCCCCAACCATGCTTCCTGTACAGCCCATGGAATTGTGAGCCAATTAAATCTCTTTTCTTTAAAAATTACCCAATCTTAAGTAGTTCTTTATAGCAATGTGAGAACGGACTAATACAGAAAGTTGGTACCAAGAAGTTTGGCATTGCTGTAAAGTTATCTGAAAATATGGAAGCAGCTTTGGAACTGGGTAATGGGCAGGTGTTTGGAGGCCTTTGAAGAAGACAGGAAGATGAGGGAAAGTTTGGAGCTTCCTAGAGACTTGTTAAATTGTTGTGACCAAAATGCTGATAGTGATATGGACAGTAGAGTCAAGGCTGAAGTAGTCTCAGATGGAAATGAGGAACTCATTGGGAACTGGAGTAAAGGTCACACGTGCTATGCTTTAGCAAAGACACCCGGCAGCACTGTGTCCTTGCTCTAGGGATCTGTGGAACTTTGAACTTGAAAGTGGTGATTTAGGGTATCTGGTGGAAGAAATTTCTAAACAGCAAAGCATTCAAGATGTGGCCTAGCTGGTTCTAACAGTATATGGTCATATGTGTGAGCAAGGAGATGATCTGAAACTGGAACGTATATTTAAAAAGGAAGCAGAGCATAAAAATTTAGAAAATGTGTAGCCTGATCATTTGGTAGAAAAGAAAAACCCTATTTCAAGGGAGGAATTAAAGCAGGCTGCAAAATTTATATAATAAAAAGGAGCCAAATGTTAATGGCCAAGATAATGGGGAAAATGCCTCAAAGTCATTTCAGAGACCTTCATGGCAGCCCCTCTTGTCACAGGCCTGGAGGCCTAGGAGGGAAAAGTGGTTTTGTGAGCTAGGCCCAGGGCCGTTTGGGACACTTCTGCCTGCATCCCAGCTACTCCAGCTCCTGCTCTGGCTAAAAGGGCTCCAGATATGCCTCAGGCCATTGCTCCAGAGGGTGGAAGCCATAAGCCTTGGTGGCTTCCATATGGTATTAAGCGTGTGGGTGCACAGAAGGCAAGAATTGAGGCTTGGGAGCCTCTGCCTAGATTTCAGAGGATGTATGGAAATGCTTGGATGTCCAGGCAGAAGTTGGCTGCAGGAGCAGAGCCCTCATGGAGAACCTCTGCTAGGGTGGTGCAAAGGGGAAATATGTGATTGGAGCCCCCACACAGAGTGCCCACTGTGGCACTGCCTAGTGGAGCTGTACCTGTGGAGTCTTCCAGACTCCAGAATGGTAGATCCATTAGCAGCTTGTACTGTGCACCTGGCAAAGCCGCAGACACTCAGTGCCAGCTCTTGAGAGCAGCCATGCGAGCTGAGCCCTGTGGAGCCACAGGGGTAGAGCTTCCCAAAGCCTTGGGGGCCCACCCCTTGCATCACTGTGGCCTGTACGTGAAACATGGAATCAAAGGAGATTATTTAAAGCTTTAAGATTCAATAACTGCCCTGCTGGGTTTTGAACTTGCATGAGATGTGTAGCCCCTTTGTTTTGGCTGATTTCTCCATTTTGGAATGGGTATATTTACCCAATGCCTATATCTCCATTGTATCTTGGAAGTAACTAACTTGTTTTTGATTTTATAGGCTCATAGGTGGAAGGGACTTGCCTTGTCTCAGATGAGACTTTGGTCTGTGGACTTTAGAGTTATTGCTGAAATGAGTTAATACTTGGGGGACTGTTAAGAAGGAATGATTGTATTTTGCAATGTGAGGACATGAGATTTGACAGGAGCCAGGAGCAAAATGATATGGTTTGGATTTGTGTCCTCTCCCAAATCTCTTGTCAAATTGTAATCCTCAGTGTTGGAGGAGAGGTCTGGTGGGAGGCGAATGGATCATGGGTGCGGATTTCCCCCTTGCTGTCTTCTTGATAGTGAGTGAGTTCTCATGACATCTGATTGTTTAAAAGTGTGTAGCACCTCCTCCTTCACTCTTTCTCCTCCTCTGGCCATGTAAGATGTGCCTTCTTCCTCTTCACCTTCTGCCACATTTTCCTGAGGCCTCCCCAGCCATGCTCCCATACAGCCTGTGGAATGGTGAGCCAGTTAAACGTCTTTTATTATTTTTTTTCGAGACAGAGTTTTGCTCCGTCGTTCAGGCTTGAGTTCAGGGTGTGATCTTGGCTCACTGCAACCTCTTCCTCCCGGGTTTAAGTAATTCTCTTGCCTCAGCCTCCCGAGTAGCTGGGATTACAGGCATATGCCACCACGGCCTGGCTCAGTTTTGTATTTTTAGTAGAGACTGGGTTTTCCCATGTTGGACAGGCTGGTCATGAACTCCTGGCCATAGTGATCTGCCCACTTTGGCCTCCCAAAGTGCTGATATTACAAGCATGAACCGCCATGTGTGGCCTAAATGTCTTTTCTTTATAAATTATGCAGTCTCAGGTAGTTTTTTATAGCAATGTGAGAAAGAACTAATATGGGGGGTAGGATGGCTATTAAAATAATTATCCTTCCTCTTGATATGGGTATGTCCTGTACTTACAGTTAACACATTGCGTTTTTTTAATAGAATGAATGTTTAGCATATTATTCTGCTCATACCATAGAATGTCTTTATTTTTTAAATGTTTATGGAGTTTCATGGTTGTTATGTATTTATATTCCTGATGAACTGAGAGTAATGTAGTGTTATTTATAATGCCGAATTCCTTCTCAAGAATGCCACTAAAACTCTTCCTATTATGGAGTTTTTTGTACTAACATCAGAGCAAGAGGTAGAAACTATTAATACTATATTTAATAATTAAACGATATGTGTTCCTATGAGTAAATATATTAATAGTATATTTAATAATTAAATGATATGTGTTCAAAGTTTCAAAGTTCACCTTTGATATTTTCCATCTCCTTAAAATGAGAATGTGTAATTAGCCATTTCTAGAAATGGTGACTATAGTTAATAATAATATATTACATATTTGAAAATTGCTAAGAAAATAGATATTAAGTGTTCTTACCACAAAATGATAAGTATATGAGGTAATGGACATGTTAATAGCTGTATTAAGCTACTTCACAATGTATACATAGTTCAAAGCATGCTGTACACAATATATACAATTTTTATTTGTCAATTAAAAACAAAAAATAAGATCAATGAATAGCCATTTCTTTGTCATAAAACTTTTAAAAATTTTATTTCAATTTTTAGGAAAAATTCTTAAAAATAATGAGACTCTAGTACAACATGGAGTTAAGCCACAGGAAATTGTACAAGTGGAAATCTTTTCTACAAATCCAGATCTGTATCCAGTCAGAAGAATAGATGGATTAACTGATGTCTCTCAAATCATAACTGTCACTGTCCAAACTGGTTCGTTATTTGATGTCTTTTAGATAAAGTATTTTTGAGTCCCTTCTTGGTTGAGCTTTCATTGAATCTTGGTGTTATCTCTCAGGACTTGATCAATACCAGCAGGTACCTGTTGAGATTGTCAAATCTGACTTTCACAAACCATTTCTTGGTGGATTCAGACATAAAGTAACAGGAGTAGAGTATCACAATGCTGGAACACAAACTGTACCTAAAAGGATTCCCGAAAGACTCAGTATATTTTGTAGGGATACGCAGGTAATGTTTTTATTTGTCTCTTTAGGTTTTTGAAGGTATAGACTCAATAATTGTACTGTATGACTCTCTCAAATTTCTCTTAAGTAATTATATGGCAATTAATAAAAGAAAATGAACTCACATATGTAGAAAAACTCCCTTATGTATATATATAGGGGATACTGATTTAAATTTTTAATGTTTTCTTTTAGACAGTTTTTCAGAAAAAAAATCTCCAACAAACTACAAATACAACATCCACACAGATGACTAACATTGGTGTATATGTATCAAATATGACTGATAAACTGGTAACACCAGGAAAGTATTTTTCAGCAGCAGAATACCATGCTCAAAGACTAAAGGCGGTGAGATAACTTTTATTGTGGATGAATACTAAAAATTTGATATATAAGCCAGTTGTTCCGAGTGTGTCTCTTTCTCCAAGCCACATTTGCTTGAGAAAGAATGCTCATGAGTATGGGTCATATTTCACTGCTAACAAAGCAGTCTTTATCTCCAGTATTCCCCCATGTAAAGAACCAGCATCCTAAATGCTCCTAATCCTTCCTTTTCTCTTAGGGAAACCCAGCTTCTTTGTGTATTGCCTTTGGCCATTATTAGCCTTCTCAACACTGCTGTCCCTTGGCCTTAAATCTTGTCACAGTAGAATCACCAAGGGAACTTTCGAGACTAATTGAAACCAAATAGGACAGTAGTCGATTTTCTCTGATATTAACATAGCCGCTCCAACTCTGTTTTATTTTTTTGCATAGTCTCTCATTTTTCATTCTTTTACTTTCAACCTATTTGATCTACCTCCTACCATCAATTTACTGTGAGTAAAAATGACCTGAAAGCAGTGACTTTAAGAGATTTTGCTTTTCAAATGACAAGAAATCTGGAGCTAGGCTATTCAGCCCAAGACCTTTAGAGACAAACTTGTAGTGAAAAAAAGTTAAGTCTGTTGACTTAATTGCCCTGAAGGAGACAGTATACCAGGGGAACCATGGGGTTAACTTTATAGCAGGCTTTATCAGTGCCAGTTATTCCAGCCTGATAATTTTTTACTTTTTCAGTCCAAACTAAATTTCACCAAATAAAGGAATATATGGAGTTATTATATAATTTGGGGAAGAGTGAAGTTTGAGTGGGATTTAGGGGAAGCAGTATTCTGATTGTCTCAATGCAAAACAAGGGTGTGTATAAATGGGCCAACATTAGGTCTGGACTGTGAAGTAGACCAAGGTCACGTTCCTTTGGAAACAAAGTTAAAAGAGATGGGAAATGTTTCTTAGAAGTTCTCTGAAGTTCAGCACCTTGGTTGTATAATTGAGGCTGCTTCTCTCTGTCAAAGTGACGTGCAACCTCTAGGCAAGAGTGGAATGTTTGTTTCTTACTGATCTAATTTCAGACAGGAAAGTTTCTGATAGTTTCTGAATTTAGAGAACGAAGTTTCTCAGTGAGTAAGAAGATAGCAGTCACTAAAAGAAGGGGATTGTTGAAATATTTTATAGTTGTAGAGTGTCCTTGGGAGAAATACTGTTTTTGTTAATTTTGTAGCTGACCTGATTAGTGCCTGTTATTCCAGCCTGACAATTTTTTACTTTCTCAGTCTTAATTAATTTTTACTTTCTTACTATACTGGGCATGGGTGGTGACTCTATGATGTCATCAGAATCATAAACTCCTTTCATCTTTCTACTCCATTAAGCTCATCATGAGCTTGTTACTGTATGAAGATAAAATGGTTGACTAACTTTCATCATGCCTGCATTCCATGTGAGAAGAAGGGAAAAGTCAAGGCAGCATGTTCCATGAATGCCACCTTCAAGGATTTCCCCGGAAAGCCCCACCCAGTGACTTCTACTTGCATCCCATTGGCTTGAACTATGTCATGTGACTATCCCTACTGCAAAAGTGTGTGATAAATGAATTTTTAAAGTAGCATATCATTGCTCCTCAATGAGATTGCAATCTTAGTAAGAGAAAGTAGGGCAAAATGGATATTAAGTAAGGAAATGGAAATTTCTGTCATTTTCCAAACTCCAAAAAATGATATTGAAAGAATAAAAGTATAAATATACAAGGACAAAGAATACATGAGAAGAGTAAATGTGAGTTGTGTTTTTTTTTTGAAGTTTTAAAGCAGATGGAAAAGTGTTAACTTGACTTAGTAGAGCAGAGGAAGTGAAAATCTAAATGCTGCCAACGAGGATGGCATCAAGAACCAAATAGATTTGCCCCATAGAGTCTTGAAAGGTGAATTGGAGGTTCTGTGGGAGGTGGAAGTGAGGTGTGACCTGTTAACAGAGGAATTTGTTAAAAGCCGGTATAGGGAGTACATTTCCGTTTAATAAGTTCTTTTAACCTTGATTCCTTTCTACTTGGGTCATGTTTATTTTATTTTTTTAATAGGTTTTGAGTTCACTGCTTACTATTTTAAATCTTTCTTGTTTCAAGAAAGATGATATTTTGCGTGACTACTGATATTTTTGGACTCATTCTTGCTATTTCATTTTGTTTTATTTACTAATTATTCTTATTTGTTTATGCTTTTTTTAGCCTTTTCTTTTTGTTGGTTTGAATAAATGTTTCTTTTTTTGTTCTTTCATAGTTCAGAAATAAGTATTTTGTTTTTTCTAGTGGTTATGTTACAGAAAAGTGGTCCCGATCCAGACCCCAAGAGAGGGTTCTTGGATCTCCCACAAGAACTAATTCAGGGCAAGTCCATAGAATAAAGTAAAAGCAAGTTTATTAAGAAAGTAAAGGAACAAAAGAATGGCTACTCCACAGACAGAGCAGACCTGAGGGTTGCCTGGTGCTGGTTGCCCATTTTTATGGTTATTTCTTGATGATATGCTAAACAAGGGGTGGATTATTCATGCCTCCCCTTTTTAGACCATATAGGGTAACTTCCTGATATTGCCATGGCATTTGTAAACTGTCTTGGCGCTGGTGGGAGTGTAGCAGTGAGGATGACCAGAGGTCGCTCTTGTCGCCATGTTGGTTTTGGTGGGATTTAGCTGGCTTCTTTACTGCAACCTGTTTTATTAGCAAGGTCTTTATGACTTGTATCTTGTACTGACCTCTTATCTTATCCTGTGGCTTACAATGCCTAGCTGTCTGGGAATGCAGCCCAGTAAGTTTCAGCCGCATTTCACCCAGCTCCTATTCAAGATGGAGTTGCTCTGGTTCACACGCCTCTGACAGTTACTCATACACATTTTTTAACATAACTAATTTTTTTATACCAAGTGCATATCTAATCAGCCTATATATCGTTTCCATGAATAAGTCAAGAACCTTACTAGGCTTTTCTTCATTTTCTGCCCCCTCCTTTCTTTGTTTCCTCTTTCTAGAAGCTGTCAGGATTTTCACTTTATCCTTGGTATTTGGTAATCTTATTGTAATATGCTTGAGACTTGGTGATGTACCCTTTCCGAGAGTCCATGTCTTGCTGTGGGAAATATACCTCTATTATGTTTTTATGAATTTCTGTAATCAACTTTCCTTATTTTATCTGGAACTTATCTCAGAAATATTTTGGGATGAGGCCAGATGCTGAGGCACATGCTTGTAATCCCAGTACTTTGGGAGGCTGAAGTGGGCAGATCACTCGAGGCCAGGAGTTGGAGACCAAGCTCGGCAACTTGGTGAAACCCTGTCTCTACTAAAAATACAAGAATTAGCTAGGCATAGTGGCACGTGCCTGTGGTCCCAACTGCTCAGGAGGGGAAGCATGAGAATCACTTGAACCCAGGAGGCGGAGGCTGCAGTGAGCTGAGATCACACCACTGCACTCTAGCCTGGGTGACAGTGAGACTTCGCCTAAAAAGAAAAAAAGAAAAAAAGGAAACATTTTGGAATGCTGGGATTTATCTTTTGTGTCTCTTATTTTTCATTCATTCATTTAAATTTTTATGAGCCTTTGTCCTGCATGCTAAAAGATTTTCTCACCTAATTTTCTTACCTACTTATTACTTCTTATGTTCTACACATTCTGCAGATCAGCTTACAAGAAACTACTAGTTCTCTGTCAATACCCATTTTTTCCCTTCTCCTATTGTAATAAAGCTTTATCTGAGCATGTGGCTGTTCCACTGATGACCACATTTCATCACTTCCCTTGTGTATCAGTGAGGCCATATAACTAAGATCTGGACAGCGAGATGTGAGGGACAATGTGAGCCACTTACAGTTATCATTCTTAAAATGCTCTTTGTTCCTTTTCCCTCTATTTACTGGTTGGAAGATGGTAAGTGGACCAGCCATCTGGGACATATAAGTAGGAAGCCATTTGTTAAATATGACAGAGCTTTCCTACGAGCCCTAAACTGCTTTGCTAATCCCTGGATTGTCATGTGAAAGGGAAAAAACTTCTGTGTTGTTTAAACAACTGTGTTTTGGTGTTTTAAATAAGTTGAACAAGTTTAATAGCACTCAGGCTAATCCATATTCTATTAATTTTTTAAATTTCAAAAATAAAATTTTTGCCAGTCTTTTTTCTTGGTTCATTATATTATTTTATACTGATAGCCTTTCCTTTCTCTGTGAAAATATTAACTATATCTAGTCTGCTCTTGTATTTTGTTTTGTTTTGATTTACTCTAGTAGTTCTAAAACTTTACTATAAGCATCATCTGGAGGGCTCATGAATATATAGAATGCTGTGCTTACCCAGGAGTTTCTGATCAATAGCTCTGGGGTGGGGCCTGAAAATTTGCATTGCTAATAGTTTTCTAGATGCCGCTGATGTGTTTGAGATTCTTAATGTCCAGTGTGCCAATAGCATATTGGTTCACCCAGTCTGACCCCATGATTTTAGGGGAAATGTAAAGCTTGATTATGGGAGAAACCTAGTTTTCTGGATAGGGGGCTTTTTTTTTTTCATCCTGGGTGTCACCTTCTGGGACACTCACCACTCTTGCCTAGGGACAAATATCTCTGTTGCTCCTTGCCTAATTATTTTAGAGGAACCTATCCCTTTTGCAGTTTTTAAAGTCACCTGGTTAGTGGCCACTCTGCTCAGACCATCCATCAGTTTTGGGCTTAGAGCAGTCCTAGAGCCCCTTGTTTTTTCTGACTTGCTTCTCCAGTGCATGATTAGGTTACAGACTCTTTCTTCAATTAATTCTACTGGCCTCTTTTGTTGAAGGGATTCTTCAAAGTTTCTATTCTTTTGGGGGACCCCTTCAGTTTGATCTAGTATCTTTGTCGATATCTGCTTTACATAGTTTTTCTACAATTATTAGGCATTAGGATGAGAGTAAGGGATGCATCAGCATAAGCTCTATCATCAGTCTTGATCCGGCCTCTTCACATTTTATTTTTATTTATGAGTTTAATAAATAAAATTATAAACTCTCAGAAAAAAATGATAAACTCTCTCAGCTATATCATAAACTTTTTGAGGGTTTAGTACTATGGTGTACTTTCAAACATATTCATGTTTCATACAAGTTAATAAATATTTGTTTGCTTCAGTCTCCATTTTATCTAACCTGCCTTTGGTGGTTTCCACACATACCTACCTGATGTGTATTTAGGAAAACACAGTTTTGTTATAAACATGAGCCTAAGCTAGTGGCATTTAAGATAAGATGGAGATAATTAATATGTATGACAATAATAGTATTTATTGAGGACTCATGATGTACCAGGCTTGGGTTAAGCACTTTATATGTATACTCTTATTATCACTGTTTTACACATGAGGGTACTAAAGCATAGAGATGGCAAGTAACTTATCCAATCAAACAACTAGTGAGTAGCAGAAGGAAGATTCAAACTAAGTTTTACTCCAGAGTCTATTCTGTTAAGGATCGTACAAACATCCTTCTGGGAAGGTATATTTGCGAGATGTCAAAGTCAAATAGCAGTCACATGCATTATACATGTTTTTTATGTTAGTGTTTGTGAAAATATGTATTTGGAGCTAAAACTAGACTCAGTTATTTTGTTGTGGAATTGGAATTGAAATAATCATCATTGCCTTTATTGTCTGATCAAAAAGTTGATGATAGGCACTTTCTATTTCCTTTTAATTTAACTATAGGTGATAGTGATACAGACTTACTACAGGCAATGGCATGCTAAAATCTTCGTAGAGAATTTAAGAAGACAGAAAAGCTTAAGACTGGAATGGGAAACACAGCAAGAACTAAGGAAGATAAGAGAAAAAGAAGAATGGATAAAATTGGACTATCACCGGAGGCATAATCCTAAAACAAATGAAGATTTTGAATTTCTTTATAATGCATTAGAATGTAAGTTGGACACAGGCTTTGCAAAAAATATTTTTAAATTCTTCATTAATAGGAAAAACAGATTTACTGCAGACAAAAGGAAGGTGTTATTATTTTAGGGAGATGTCTTGGAAATTTGCAGTAGAGAATTTTGAAAGATGAATACCACTTTATATTTGGAATAAGAATTAAGGCTGAAATGAAATTAGAAATGCTTTTATATTAACAATTAAAATGTACATACTGCTTTGTGAATTATGCAGTTTTAGTATATTATTTCATTTGATCCTCATTCATGTGAGATAAAGAGAGAAAGTACTGTGTAATCTAGTTTTCTTGTGGTTTGGGAATTTTGAACTCAGAGTTGAGCTGTTCTTTAATCCCTCAATCCAGCATCCTGTCTGATTTTGCTCTTTAGAGAAGGGGCTTGGCAATATTTTTAAAATTCCCCCTTATTAATAATACTATATAAATGTATATTCTCTACACCTTGACTTTTATACCTTATTTCTTCTACAGTGTGTGTGCTAGTCATGGATAAATTAAAAGTTTCAGTTATTTGAACAAGCCAGGCACTCTTTACCCAGGCAGTAGATACACGATTCCCCTTCTTGGAGGTGTTTCTCCATTGCCCACCTTTGGATCTCAGGTTAAATGTCACCTGCTTAAAGGTTTTTGTGAATGACAACATAAGTTGGATATTCTTTTGTCATCTTATGGTCCTCATTGCACCTGAAACTTTTCATTTTTATCACCACAGTTGGTAATACTACATCTTTTTTTCAGTCTCAGTTATTTCTTTAGTAATAATACATCTTTTGTTTAACATTTATTTCTGCCATGAGGGAATAATTCATTTATTTTTTGATGAGCTGCCTTTTACTGTGCTTAGCTCATATGCCCAACAAATGTTCATAAAATGAATGAATGAATGAATGAAAGGAAGAAATCCAGGGTTATACTAATGCAACTGTCTCTAGCTTCTGCTTTGCCAGCAGTACCTGGTAAGGTGGAAATAACTGGAGCAGAAGAGTTACTTAATACACCAGATATCTGAGAGTGGAGAAATTAGACCCTTATGAAGACACAGAAAAATTTAAAACCTAGAAATAGCCTCAATTGGCTTTTGTAGTTGAATGGGATATTTTAGTCCAAGGAAATAAATTTTTGACCTCTCTCTGATTATTTATAACACTAAGCAAATTTTCTTCCATTTGTTTGTTTCATTACATACTATTTTTTTTGTGGATGTTATATGTTCTGTTCCTCAAGTTGCAGTTTCCTTTCTAATTGGCTACATTTTTAAGCATCAGATATTGAGTCTTTTTATAGCTATAAGATAATATGCTATTTACCAAAAATAATATAATTAAACATTAGGGCTAATAAACAATATTAATAAATTCATTTTCCTGGTAACGTAAAAATTGAGTGGCTTTAGGAATATTTATAGCTTATGGTAAATATTTACAACTACTATGGTAGTATTTGAGGTAACTGTTAAGCCTGCTCCCTAGAATTGTGTGTCTGTTTTCCATTTTATCCTAATCATTGTCCTCTGGAAATACTGCTTATTTTACTTTAAACTTCACTTCTACTTCCATTTTTTCTGTCAGATGATAACAAAGATTATTAAGTGTCAGTACTTCAATAGAGAACATCGTTAGCCAGGTATCTATGAAAGGTCTTATTGACAAGTTTAAAACTAACATTCTGTTAGAGCAGAGCTCTGTTAAAATAATATTCTAAATTCTTATGTGACTAAAGGATACCATTGTTATCTTTGTGTGGTTAACAGACAACTGTGCAAAATAATAGAAAATATGTTGAATGAGCTTCTGCCTGTTCTACTTATTAGTGGTGTTAATTAGGACAAGTTTCTCACTTATCCTAAACCTCGATTTCTTCATCTATCAAAAGGAATTAATAATTTTTGGCCTGTCTACTTCAGAGGGCTTAATAGAGTAAAAAGTATAAAATATTACATTTATGAAAGTATTTCAAAAAGTACAAGGACCTATACATATGCGAGCTATTGTTCTATGGCAAATGATTTTATACAGAATTTTCATACTAAAGTAGAACAGATATATTTTATATAAGTCCACATATGATTTATATATGGAGGAAAATGAAATCCATGAAGTTTCTTATATAAAAGAGACATCTTTCGGGTTTTTCTAGTTCTAAAATTCCAAATTAAAAGCCTTGGAATAATAATTTTTAAGTTCTGTTAAAAAATCTGTGGTTTACAAGCTCAATAATTTATATTGCTCTTCTGTAATTTTCTTCATTTCATATTCATAACTCCATTCCTTGGAGCTGCTGCCCTCTTGTGGCTCATAATGATAATTGTATACTTTGAGCTATAATTCATAATATGAAACTTAACTTTTCCTCGAGGTAGTCTGTTCTTCAGTAATAAAAGCAAAATGATATTAATTTAAGAAAATAAACTTAGCTGTATAAGGTAATATGTCAAAGAGGAGGCTATCTCCAGGCAATAATATTTGATTTTCATGTCTTTTTATAGCAGTATGTTGAGGGTGATCTCTTTTATCGTTCTGAATTGTCACTAGGGCCATTACTTGGAAAAAAAGGTGCTAAGTATCCCATATTCTAAATAGAATAATTGGGGTTGTTTTGTCTATTTAAAAATTTTATATAGGCAGAATTATGCAGAATATAATTTTTTGTTTGTTTTTCAAAATTCAATATTATGTCATGAGACCGATCCTTGCTGTTGTGAGTAGTTGCCCTTTGTATGCCATTGCATGGATGTGCCATAACTTATGTATCCATTTTACTGTGGATTTGGTCCTTCCCACCCCTCCTCCCTGCCCCCCCAACTAGTTTTTGGCAAATATGTGTATATGTATATATATTCACCAAAAGATGTTTGTAGTAGTACTACTTGTGTATATGTATATATACACACATGCACACACACACACACACACACACACACACACACACACACACACATACACACACATTTCTCTCAGGGTGTAAACCTAGCAGTGGAATTGCTGGTTCATAGGATATACGTAATTCAGCTTTAGCAAATCCTGCCAGATGGTTTTTTAGAGGTTGTACCATTTTAAACTCCTATGAAAGAGTATCAGAGTTTTAATTGCTGTCATCCACTCCAACATTGGACGCTTCTGTCTTTTTCATTTTAGCCCTTCTGGAGGGTGCTATCACCCTGCCTTATTTTTGACTGAGGCTCCAATAGGTGAGATATCAGGATACCAGAGTCAATGAGAGTCAATCTCTCTCTCCCTCATAAAGAATTTACAAACCAAGTAAAATAGGACCTATTTCTTGGCTCATGGGTCACTTAGCAAGATAAAACATATAAGAAGGGCTAGGAGAGATTTGAAGAGGTTAGTAAGGTAGGTTTTTTTTGGAGAGAGCCATTGCTATGCTTTGGGGTTGGGGTGGGTAGGTTGTGTTATTTTCTGACCAAATGCCTAGTGAAAGGAGCTTCAAGGGAGTATTCCTGGTGAGCTTGGAAATGTTCCCTGTGTTTGGGGGACAACGAGGATTGTTGCCTGAACCTTGACCAGGATGGTAGACTGGGGTCTGAGTCCAAACAAAGAAACCTAGAGAACTAGAGGAGGGCTTTCAGACTTCTTTGATATTGGAGAGTGCTGCCGCATTATTTATAGCACTCCCAGGATTTTTAAAACAGAGATGTATCTTTGTTTTCTATCAAAAGGGGACTATACAGTAGAGAATACAAGAGAGATTGAGCCTGCAACAGGGCAATTTGAGGTGCTCTTGGTCCTGTTTAATAGGACCAGCTATAGAAGTGAAGGGATCTTGTCAGAAAGAAGCTTGAAGTGAACAGCTAGATTATCCCTAAGTGGCTACCTAGAGTGCAGATACATCTGTCTTGGGCCAGGGGAGTTGCGGTTCAGCTCAAGATCCTCAGGATGGTGAGTTTGAATCATCTGAGAGGCCTGGAGAGTGGGGTGAGTAAGAACTACCCCTTCTCATTCACTCATCTCCCAAAGGAGTACAGAAGAGAAACAGCAGCTAGTGGTGAGGAAAGGAACTGAGAGGTGAGGGTGTGTTCAGAGGATCTACCCTTTCCCCGCTCAGGCAGGTTTCCATTCTTTCAGTCTTTGGCATGTCTTTTCATTCTCTTAACAGTGTCTTTCTTAGAGCAAAAGTTTTTAATTTCAATAAGTCCTATTAGTTTCTTCTCGTGTGAATCATGCTTTTGGTGTTATACCTAAAAACTCATCACCAAACTTAAGGTCACACAGCTTTTCTCCTATGTGCTCTGGAAGTTTTATAGTGTTATATTTTGAATTTAGGTATAACATCCAGTTTGAAATAAATTTTGTATGAGATGTGAGATATGTGTTGAGATGAATGTTTAAACTTTTTGCTTTTGAACATCCAGTCGTTCCTTTAGCATTTGTTGAAAACACTGTCATTTCTCCATTGCATTGCCTTTGTATCTTTGTTAAGTTCGTAGTCCATTCAGGCTACTATAACAAAATGCCATATATATAAATAACAGAAATTTATTTTTTAGAGTTCTCAAGTCTGGGAACTCCAAGGGCACCAGCAGACTCAGTGTCTGGGGATGGTTTGTTTCCTGGTTCATAGATGGTGCCTTCTCACTGTGATCTCACATAGCAGAAAGGATGAAGAGCTTTCTTGGGTCTATTTAATAAGGGCAATAATCCCATTCATGAGGGTTCCACCCTCATTACCTAATCACATCCCCAAAGGCCCTGTTAATGCCTTGTCTTTATGTATTGTCAGACTTGATTTGCCAAAATTTTGTTTTGGAATTTTTGCATCTACATTCCTAAGGGATATTGATCTGTGACTTTTTTTTCCTTGTTATGTTACTGTCTGGTTTTAGTATTTGGATAATGCTAATCTCCTCTGTGCTCTTCAATTTTCTAAAACAGTTCGTGTAGAATTAGTAGGATCTCTTCATAAAATGTTAGGAATTCAACAGTGACACCAACTAGGTCTGGAATTTTCTTTGTGGGAAGGTTTAAACTATAAATTCAATTCTTTAATAAATATAGGGGTATTCATGTGACTTATTTATCATTGAGTAAGCTTTGATAGTTATTGTCTTTAAAGGAATTGGTAATTTTTTTCTGAGTTGTTGGATTTATTGGCATAAAGATGTTAATAATGTTCCATGTTATCCTTTTAATACCTATAGGATCTATAGTGATGTTACCTCAATTACTGATACTGGTAATTTTGTGTTTCCTTCTTTTTTTCCTGATCAGTCTGCCTAGGGATTTATCAGTTTTATTACTCTTCCCCTGATTTTTCCCAGTTCTTTTTCTCTGTTCCATTTTGTTAATTTCTATTGTTATTTATTTCCTTCATTATGCTTACCTTTGGTTCAGTTTACTCCTCTTCTAGTCCTGTGGTGGAAGCTGAGGTCATTTGATTTGAGACCTTTCTTCTTTCCTAATTATAGGTGTTTGGTGCTGTAAATTTTCCCTTAAGTACTGCTTCAGCTGCATCCTCACATTTTGATATGTTGAGTTGAAATTTTCTTTCAGTTCAAAATACTTTCTAATTATCCTTTTGATTATTTCTTGACCCATGGGATACTTAGAAGTAGGTTATTTAATTGCTAAATAGTTGGGGATTTTTCAGATATCTTTCTGTTATTGATTTCTAATTTTATTGTAATGAGAGAATGTAATTTTGTATAATTTGAGGTTTGAGGTTTGAGGTTTGTTTGTTTTTTTTTTTTTCCAAGATGGTGTTTTGCTCTTGTTGCCCAGGCTGGAGTGCAATGGCATGATCTTGGCTCACCACAACCTCTGACTCCCGGGTTCAAGCGATTCTCCTGCCTCAGCCTCCTGAGTAGCTGGGATTACAGGCACTTGCCACCACACCCGGCTAATTTTGTATTTTTAGTAGAGATGGGGTTTCTCCATGTTGGTCAGGCTGCTCATGAACTCCTGACCTCAGGTGATCTGCCCACCTCTGCCTTCCAAAGTGCTGAGATTACAGGCGTGAGCCAATGCACCCGGCCAATTTGAGTTCTTTTAAATTTATTGATACTTATTTTAACAACTAGAATACAAATTACATTGGAGAATATTCTGTGTGCATGTAGGAAGAATTTGCATTCTATTATGGTTGGGTGTAGTGATCAATAAATGGCCATTAGATCAAGTTAATTGATAATGTTGTTTAAATTTTCTTTATTTTTACAAATTTCCCATTTATTTGTATATCAGTTATTGTGAGGGGGTATTGAAATCTCAGACTGTAATTGTGAATTTTCCTATTTGTCTTTTCAATTTTATCAGATTTTGCTTCATGTATTGTGAAACTTTCTTATTAGATGTAAAAACATTTAGCATTACTATGTCTTGTTGATGAATTGAGTCCTTTATTTAAATGACCTTCCTTATTCCTTATGATATTTTTTGCTGTTAAATCTACTTTGCCTGATATTGATATGTCCTTTCCATTTTCCTTTTGATCACTGTTAGTTTAGTATATCTTTTTATATTTTGTAATTTTTAACTTCTTTGTGTCTTTATATTCAAAATGTGTTTTTTGTAGGCAACATATAACTGGATCTTATTTTAAAAATCCAATTAGATGATCTCTTCCTTTTAATTTGGATGTTTAGACTATTTACATTTAATGTGATTATTAATATGGTTGGATATAAATTTGTCATCTTTCACTGTTTGTTTTATATTTGCTCCTCTTATTATTTTTAAAGATTTATTTCTTTTTTATACTTATCTGTTTACTATTATGAATTTAAATTTCCCTTCATTTATTTTCATCCTCCTTGGAATTTTGTTGCATTATGTGCTTGAGAATATGTGATTTTTATAAATTCTGGATAATTCTTAGCCACTATCTCTGATATTAACTTTTCTCCATTCTCTCTAGTTTTTCATCTTGAAAATCCTAGCAGATATATGTTGACATTTTTAACACTGTTTTTCATTTTATACTTTTATCTCTTATGTTTTTTTTTGCTGCTTTTGGGACAGTTTCTTCATATGTATCTTTTTGCATACTAATTTTCTTTCAGAGCTTCTCTAAACTCCTGTTTAACCTATTTCCTAAGTTTTAAATGAAAAAATATCAACATAATATGTGGAAGTTTTATTTGGCATTTTTCAAATGCATTTGAAGTTTATTATATTTTTAATATTTTTTCCATTTTAGTATATATTTTATAGTTTTAAATAAAATAACTTTGTTATCTGAATTTCTTGAGAAGTCTACATTCCTGCTGATTTTTACTCATGTAGTATCTTTCTTCATATTTAAAAAATATGAGAGTAATATCCTACTCTATATTACATATTGTAAATGACTTTAGCTGTAAAGGAAAACCTGCACATCACTTCACAGAGTTCCAATTATTCTATTCCAGGGAGTATGAGTTCTTACCATGGTTCTCTGTTATATCAAAATAGGATTTATGCCAAGGCTTAAGTGTACAGCTTTATGACTTTTTACATATGCAGACATATATATAGCAACTACCCTTACTAAAAGGTAGGATATATTTATGCCCCAGAATGTTTTCTCATGTTATACATAGGTCCGCATCCCACTTCCACTCCTGCAAGGTAACCACTAGTCTGACTTCTATCACCATATATAAATTGTGCCTGTTATTGAGCTTCATTTCATACATTTTGTAGTATATTTTATTTCTGGCTTCTTTGCCTCAAGGTTATATCTGAGATTCATCCATTTTGTTGCTTATAGGACTAGTTCTTTTAAATTGCCACATAGGATTCCATTGTATAAATATAACCACAATTTATTCATTTTCCAGTTGCTAAATGTTACTTCAACATTTTTGACTTTTATGAATAAAATTGTGATTAATATTTCTTATATATGTTTTCTGGTGGATATATGAACTCTCTTCAGTATTTTTAAACATTGCATTGCAAACTTATATGAGCTGTAATATTTTTCTTATTTGTTTGGAATTCTTGCAAGGCTTGGGGTAAGGCAATTTTCCCCAAACAGGCCTCATACTGATTGCTCTTTCTTGGCCTGTGGGTATTTTTTGAGTGTACTGAAGGTAGACTCTTTGAGTTTCCTGATTCTGTGTGTATGTAGGGTGGAAGATGGGAGTAGGGACTCAGTCACGTTTTCTTACGTTTCTAAGTTTCAAGACCTTTTCATCTGTTCACTTCTTCCATGGCCTTTAGGCCCTTTGCCTTTGGAAGCAGCTGCTAGCAAATGTGCTCAGGGCTCTTGAAGCTGTCAGTACCTACCTCCCACCACGGATTCTACCTTCCTGATTTTGCTATTTGACCTGTAGGGGTTTACTGTACTTTCTTGTGAGCTCAGCTTTTCTTTTTTTTTTTTTTTCTTTTTTTTGAGACAGAGTCTTGCTCTGTCACCCAGGCTGGAGTGGAGTGGTGTGATCTTGGCTCACTGGAAGCTCCGCCTCCTGGGTTCACACCATTCTCCTGCCTCAGCCTCCCGAGTAGCTGGGACTACAGGCGCCGGCCACCGCGCCCGGATAATTTTTTTATTTTTTGTATTTTTAGTAGAGACGGGGTTTCACCGTGGTCTCGATCTCCTGACCTCGTGATCCGCCCGCCTCGGCCTCCCAAAGTGCTGGGATTACAGACATGAGCCACTGAGCTCAGCTTTTCTTTTAGAAAATTGTTTGTTATGCTGTCCACGTGTTTAATAATAGAAATTTTTTTCAGACTATTAATAAAAGTTTATGTTCTACTGTTTAATGATATAGTTACTGCTGGTAATTGGTTTTAACTTATTTCAAACTACTCTGAAAGGAAATCACCTAAAAAGGCCTGTGGATGAATCCTATATGACAAAAATATTAAAATACTCTCACTCATGGGTAACTTCTATAGTGAGAGCTTTTACTATGAAAGCAGTATACACATATGGAAGTGTGTATACATGTGACAGCCAAAAGTGCCTTGTTAGCTAATATTCTACTGAAGTTCGGCAAGTTTGTAAGTTGTAGCCATATTGGCATTTCTGCTCTTAATGATTTACTTTACTTGCTCTATCGGTGAATAGAGGACATGGAAATTGTGTTTTAAAAAAGATTAAACACAAGCATAGTTTACACTTTTGCTAGGTTTGAAAAATTCTCTGGTGTGATAATATCCTCTATTAAGAACAGGAACTATTAGTTACTACATATGATTTAAGACAGAATGTCATCACAGGCATACTCTAATAATGTCTTGATTAATGGTGGGTTTAGCTGTAAATGAATACCTGCACATCACTTCACAGAGTTCCAATTGTCCTATTCTAAGGAGTGTGAGTTCTTACCAGGGTTCTCTGTTATACCAAAATAGGACTTATGCCATGAGTCTTTGAAATTGACCATATAGTATTTTCCTCATTGTTTTAACCAGTTCTCACACTGCTATAAATAACTATCTGATACTGGGTAATTTATAAAGAAAAGAGATTAAATTGACTCATAGTTCCACAGGCTGTACAGGAACCATGGCTGGGGAGGCCTCAGGAAACTTCGTGGCAGAAGGTGAAGGGGAATCAAACACCATCTTCATATGGTGGAAGAGAGAGAGAGAGTGAAGAAGGAGGTGCTACACACTTTTAAACAACCAGATCTCATGAGAACTCACTCACTGTCTTGAGAATAGCAAGGGGGAAATTCACCCTCATGATCCAGTCACCTCCCATGAAGTCCCTCCCCCAATTTTGGGGATTACAATTCAGCATGAGATTTGGGTGAGGACACAGCCAAACCATATCACTCATCCTTGGGCAAGGTGATGCTGCAGAACTTTTTCTCAATTTACCAATGTTCTAATAACACTTATCAGGCTGAATAAGCTTATTACCTGCACACAACTAAGGTCCTTTGAAATATCCTAAGGACTACTCCAAAGCCCAGGAGTCCTGATAGAGCATGTGCCTTCATTATTCTTGACTTTCTACCTCCTCAAGAGTATAGTGTAGTCCTAGGAGAGTAAAGGGCAAATTAAATGAAATCTGTAAAACAGTCAAGATTCTGTCTCATATTTCCTAAGTACTCAATATGATAGTGTTAATTATAAAAAGGATTCATGTTTATTTTTACCGAATCTCTTTAGACTTGAAGTTACCTTTATCATTATTTTCCCTATTTAATAAATATTTACTAAGGACAATTACTACGTACCAATTAATTATGCTACAAACCAGCTACTTGGTAGCAAGGCTAAGTCACATTCACAGTGGTCATTGTACAAGGTAGAAGGGATAATTTCTTTAATAGAAAAATAAGTAAAGTGCTAAACACTCAGCAGAGTTAGGTAGATGACTTCTGTGCCAGGGTATTGAGAAGTTGTTAGGGAAGGCTTCAAAGGGTGTGCAGGATTTTTTATTTGGCTGAGAAGTCTTTCTGAAAGTAACCTGTCAGATCAGGGATTCAGTGCATGTCACTGTGTTGGAAAGCATTATTATCACTGTTGGGTACATATTTCTGTATGTTCACGGCTAGTCTATATCTGAATTTTTCCTTTCTTCCAGTTTCAAGTAATTGGTGGTCCATACTGTGGCCAGAGTGATTTATCAAAAATATCAGTCTAACGTAAAACCCTTTCGTGGTTTCTTCACCTACACAATCATGTCCAGGAGATGGACTCCTTATACCTCTCCAGCTGAATCTCTCAAGAGTCCTGACTTCCAGCTGTTTGTGTGGCTCCCTGACTTTATCACTCATGCTGTGTTTGTCATCTGGAATATCCTTCTACCTTTCATTGCCTGAATGACTCTTATCTCAGACTCAGCATTGGAGTAATGATCTTCCAGAAACCTCTCTTGACAGCACAGATTGGGCTTGAGTCTCTACTTTTTGATTACGTTTCTCTGTACACACCACTGTCTTAACTGTTCAAGAGAGGCTTTTAGTTGGAATCTTGCTTGGTTCTCTCCAGTTAGACTTCTAGTCTGTGATGAGAATTTTAACATGCAGATGCATCAAAACTGCCAATGGTAGACAAAATATTGTATGTTCTGCTATTTCTTGCTTGGAAATTACAAGGTCAGGTTTCAGAAATTTAAAATGAATATGGGCTTTAGATGCTAGTCCTATTCTCCTTTCATTTTATGGTTGAACTTCAAACCCTGGAAATCAGGTGGTCTGTCTAGGAAGATGAGAAGACAAAGTGAATCAATTTTTTCAGATGAACCAATTCCTTTAATATCTTTTGCTTAAAAATATTTGTGGTTATCGATATCTGTAATGGGCTGACTTATGTTCCCCCCAAATCCATATGTTGAAATCCTAACCCTCATTACCTCAGAATGTGACTGTACTTGGAGAGGGCTTTTAAAGAGATAATTAAGAAAAAATGAGGTCATACAGGTTGGCCTTAATCCAATATAACTGGTGTACTTATAAGAAGAGGAGATTAGGACACAGGCATATGTAGAGGGAAAATCATATGAAGATACCAGAAGATAACCAACTGTAAGCCAAGCTGAGAAGCCCTCAGAAGAAACCAAGCCTGTTGACATATTAGTCTTGGACCTTTAGCCTCCAGAATTTTGACGAAATAAAGTTCTGTTGTTTAAACCACCCAACCAATGGTACTTTGTTATGGAAGCCCTAGTAAAGTAATATAGCATCTCAATTTTTTAATTATCATCCTTTAGAGAACAAGTATTTTAGGAAAGGAGTCAGACTCTCTCTTGTCCTCACCCAGTGTCTCTTCTGTATAGTTCTAGAAACCATCAGATTAGATAAAAATCAGTTTTGTTTAGCTGCTCCTGTGTCTTCTGTTTTTCTATTCTTTGTTACTAGTTGGGAAATAGTGCTTTTTACTGACATATGTCATCCCTTACTATAGATTTACAGGGAAGTTATTCATCTAATAGAGAATTTTACTGGAATTAAGGTCTTTTATTTTCATTTCTCGTCAGCTTGGTTGGGTTGTTTCCTTTTTAAAAGCCCTACTGACAATCTAACGAAAATGGAGAATCTGAATGGATATGAGTATGTGTACTTGAATACACACTTATGTATCTCCAGATTCATCCAAGACTTAAATATTTATCTAGAAAAGTAGTATATTATTCTTTGATTTTTTTTGAGAATAGCTAAAATAATAACTTAGTGCTCTACCCAAATTTATTATTGATTCTAAAGGTTTCTATTGTAAAACTGGGAAATAAAATAGGATTGCTAATATCATTCCATTTTTATTCACTTTTGCAGTACATCCATATAATCTGATATAATTGTATCAGATAAATAGTCTCAGTTATCAGACTATCTGATATGATCGTATCGGATAAATTGTCTCAGTTATTTCTGCAAGCCAGCAATTTTTCTCTTCATTCATAAACTGCTTTTTGGTATATAGATTTTATCATAGTTCTTAAAGTTCTTTTGGTTGGTAAAGTTATCAGCTCTTAAATAACAAACTCATCAATCATAGATTTTTTAGACTTTCATAACATAATTTAGCTCTTAAATTTACAATCTTTTTGCTAAACATAATTTAGCTTTTAAATTTATAAATCTTCTTGCTGGACAGACCATGCTGTACAGTTTCTGAATGATGTATTCCTGATAAAGGACAGAGCGGATTCTTTTAAAGAACATGACTGGCAAGTGTTAGACCTGACCAAGATGAATTCAAATTGAAATTGAAATTTGAGAAGAGAAAGAAATACTCTGATAAAACTATAAAACTAGATATTATGAAAGGCAGTGGCCAGATACAATACTTGTGGCCTCAGATATTTATCTTCTAATGCATAGAGACTGATTTTAAAGTAAACCTGAAATTTTTATTAGAAGAAGGCAAATATAGTTTCCAATTATATGAATTAGTCCTAAAACTTAGTGAGAAAGTAATCATGTCTGGAATATAACAATGCAAGAGTATATTTTACTTGATTGAATTGTATATAATGGAAGACCAAGGGTAAGTAATCTGCCAAGAATAGATCTGCTCAAAGGAAGTCTTTAAACCTAATAGTGAAAATGTTGGGCTTTTAGGTGAAGATAAATGAAAAGAGAAGTAGCAATTCTGTTCCTGTGGAAGGATTTTATAGTATGTCCAGCCAAGGAGAGGCAGGGAAACATATTAGTTCCTCTAAGAAGGAATTATGTTATTCTTGCTTTTTTATGAACCATAGAACCAGTGTCCTTTCACATAATAATTGCTCAAAAATTATTGAGTGTTTTGAATTGGGAATGAAGTGATAGGGTTTGGGCAATTATAATAACCATATCAGAGAAATACGCTTCTTAGAATTCAGAGAAAAAATTGGTTTGATTCTATGGCCAGGATGTAGTTCATGAGACTGTAAAGCTTCATTATTCTCATAATCTAATAATAATCTCCATCTGAAAGATTTAGATGGTTTATTAAGTAAATGTAGCCCTCCAGTGGTAAACCAGCTGATAAGTCCACACTGAAAAGGACTGTGTGTAATGAAAGGATGACATGGTTTGTGAGAAGTGGGAGAGTATGTTGAATAAAGCTAAAGCTATGTAAACCTCTGTGGATGGAAGAGAAGCCTACTGTCTATGGGGAGGAATCCACGAGCATCCTGCTTGTGGAAGTGCAAGGACAGAATTTATTCTGCGAATTGAAAACCACATGTGAGAGGCACAATAAATAAGGAGAACTATAAAATGTGGCACTAAGTATTTTTAGGAATAGTTCAGAAAATCCAAAAAAACCTGGAATGAACTGAAACTTATGATACATGCTGATGAGTAAAGTGACTTTGGGAATATTTGTTCAGAATAATGAGCAGTGGGCTGCAGTTTCAACCTGTTTTGCTTTCATGTCTGTGGAGAGCATAGCACAAACATGGCTTAAGTGAGTTTGGGTTGCCAGTCCAGATGTATATTCCAAGGTATGAGAGTAATGACCAAAACTGTTCTCAGTAATCTTTAGTCATGAAGAATGGGCAAAGTACCCAGAAGACATGCTCTTTCAGAGAAGACTTGTGGTTGATTATTACAAACATTACAGTTTTTTATAAATCCCTCCTACTTTTGACAGGTACATGACTGACATTTGAGGATTATTTATGCCAAATTTCCCCAAGTTTCCCTTGCTGAAATTTTGGTTGCATCCTACGCATTTTCACATGTAGTGTTTTTTTCTTAATATTGTTATACTTTTTACTTTTCTTTGATTAAATTCTTATTTTTGATGATATTTCTTCAATTAACAAGCAATTGGAATATTTCTATATAAACTTTTGTTATTAGTTCTAGTTTAATTGTTCTGTGGTAAAAATGTAGTTTGTAACATTTCTGGTTTCTATTACAATATGATATGTCTATATAAATGGTTTATTGAACTTGGAAAATGAGGTTACATTTTCAGCTTTTGGTGTTCGGAGCTTGATGTATGACAATTTAATTTTTAAAAAATCATTGTTCAAATATGCTTTTAATTTTTTTTACTTGGCTCTGTCTTAGATTAATGCATTTTTATTTTATCTATTTTTTAAATAATATAAAACATACTCTCCAACATTGTGTTTATAATTGATAGAATTTTTTAAAAACATATTTGATGGTATATGATTTCCTGTATAAACATTCATGACAGTCAGACCTTTCATCATAAAATCACCTTGTACCTAAAAGACCTCAGTTTTGAGGTTCTCCCCCCCAGTTTTATGTTTTAATATTGCTATTTCTGCTTTCTTTTTTGTTCATATCTGCTAACCGTTTAAATTTCACCTTTCGTGTCACTTTTTTTCAAGTGTGCCATCTGAAAACATCATGTCACTAGAATTCTACAAAATTATCTTATTTTCAACAGAAAAATATCTGTATAATCATTTCATATTTTAAACATAACTGTTACGCTTTGTTTTGCTTTTCTCATCTTGCTTTCTGCACTATTTAAAATATTTTTTCTTTTTTTGCATAAACTCATAGTTGTTACTATCTTCTGCAGTGATTTGAAATGTTAGGCATTCTTCTGAAAGTTTTTCAAAGACTTTCTTAAAGCATGGTAAACTATCAAATAGCTTGATAGGCTACCCTTTTCTCTAGTTCCAAGTTGCTTAAGTTGGGGTTTCCCATCTTCTGCTATGATGTTCACTTTCTGAGATGAGAAGCAGAAGTTTGGTTAACATTTGTGTGCCTTTTTGACAGTCTTTCATTTATTTGGTAGTATCTGCACTATATCTTTTAGAAATTCCCCAGGGTTTCTTACATAGGGATAAACTCCTTTCAGATTTTTAGTACTGATTCAGGTCTCTCTCATTTCTCCCGTCTTTCATATTTCTTTTATCGTTTTAGCAGTGACATAGGAGAGGGGAGGTAGCAGTTTGTATAGAAGCTTCTATCTTGACAGAAATTTGGTATGCCATATCTTAAGAGGTACTATGATAAATCAGAGGAGCTTGACTTACATGGACAGAAAATGAGTCAAATGATGCACAATTGAAGAAATAGAAATATTTATGTCTTGAGAAGATAAAACATAAGTGGGGGGTGATGGCTCCCTTCACATACCTAAAGGAATACCATGTGGCACAAGAAACAAACTGACGCCGTGTTGCCTCACAGGCTAGTATTAGAACCAGGGCGGGCAAATTAAACCTGTTCAAGCTGCTAAGAGAAGGATACTTTCTTAAAGGTGGGGTTGAACAATTTAATTTCTCAAGTTATTTCCAACCCTATTCTTTTGTTAATGTAAATAAGGTTGACATTTTTGAAATGTGGGATACAAAAGAGTTTTCTTTTCCAAATTTAGTATATGTAAAAATTAAATGGAAAACTTGGTAAAATGCATGTATCTATCTGAGCTTGGAAATTTTGATTTATTTAAGTTTGTGCAGCACATTTTTTATTGATAGTAACCAGGGCTTTAAAATATCATAAATATTATTATAACATAATGCATTAGTTTGAATAAACAGTAAATGCAATTACTTTATAACATTTGTGACTATAATTTAGAGTTTTGTAAATAAATGGAAAATGGCACCTAAGTGAATGAAGGAAATGACTGAAATCAACAATTCTACATAAAACTATATCAATTTGGGTCCTTGGGGAAGCAGACACCAGGATGTAATTGGAAGTGAAAGATAAAGGGGAGAGGGAGCAGAGGAAGGAAAAGGAAATCTTCAGTTTGAGATGAGATTTGACACCTCATCAGTTGAGAGAGGGAAGGAAAGAAGATGGGGTATGGAAAGTCTTAGCTCTAAGGAAGGCTAAGCCAGCCCAACAATTGACTCTGATATGATTGACTACAAAAATGTCCACTGTTGGGCACATATAGTCAGGCTCTGACTCCCACATGGTGCTTGGTCATTGATGAGAGCTTTGTAGGCAGAGTGTGACCTCAGCTTCAACAAGGCAGCAGATCTGAAATGCTGTAGTTGGAACTGTCAATTACCTTTACCCGTTGTGACAAGTACTCTCTTGAAGGGAGATGTGAACAGTGCACGCTCATGGCTGCCACAAAGTGCAAGTCATATTTTTGTCAATGCTAGGCAGTATGAATGCTCACTTGGAGTTATAATTTGACATCAACTGTACTGTTTCCCTTTGGCTTCTGTTTCTTTGGCTCTACTTTTATTAAGTCTCTCTGCTTCCATTTCGTCACTTTTTTCATGCATCAGGTGTACAATAGAAATGATTCTATCTGTGTATACTTTTGTTTAAATTGATGTAAAAATAAAATACTCCTCATCAGGATGTGATCATTCAAGATGGGATTTTTAAAAACTCAAGAGTCTATTGTGTTATTCCTCTAGTCTGGCGGCAAGAAGAACTTACACGTATTAACCAATCTTTTACTGGAGCTGAAAGGAAAGCTGCTCTGTGTGAACTTCTGGAAAAAGAGACTCAGATAATTGCTTCCATTGGGAGACATAGATACATTGCTTATATGGCAAATCAGGAAGCAGCAATACAAGCTTTTTTGGATAAGGTTAGTGAAGTGACTACTATTTAAATATGAATGTATTCTGAGTTAAAAAATGTAGAATAATGTACCAGACAAGAGACTTAGATTGCAAGAACTTACATGAATTTTGTTTAGGATTTTGATGACATATTTCTTAAAATTTGATTTATTTTTTTCTGGTATAGCTTTAGATTTTAATAGCAGCCTAGAGTAAAAATTGTTAGGTAATATGAAATCCATACATTCTTAATTAAGGGGATTGGCCATGAAGGAAAAGATGGAGACACATTTCTTGTGACTCTGTTCATTTAGATTTAGATTGGCTATATAAATTAGATAAGTTGTATACTGTGATAAAATGCAGAGTATCAAAGTCAGGAAACATCTAGGTCTGGGGTGCTCTGATGGTAAGCAACCTGGGAGAAATAGCTATAGACTAGTATTTTTGCTTTGGCTCACCACATCATTAACTGACTTCAAATTTCTGACCTAAAGAATATATGATTATTGAAAACCATGAAAACATATAATTAAGGAAAAAAACTAAAGTAATTACCACTTTTGTGGTCAAACTGCCTGTTTGATATTGAATAGTCTGTTTCCATAGTGACCAATTTTCTTTTATAAACCTAGTCTTTCCAAACAATTTAAAGTCAATTCAGCTACGAAGAAAAGGGGTGCATTTCTCTAAGATGTTAGCCTGTAGTGCTTCTATTTCTATGGTTCTTATTATTTGAGGACATTTGTTCTTAAAAACCATATTTTTGATATTCTAAATGCCCTCCTCTCATCTTCTTCACTCCTTTATTTGATCTCAGTTTATCTGTGGCTTTAACTACTACCTGCATCCCAGAACTCCCTATAGTTCCATGCCAGATCCCTTTAAGGAGCTTCTACATCATATATCCAATGGCCTACTGTCACTGCTCTTTGGATTTCCCAAGATTACACTTCAAGGAGACATGATGAACCCTAAGTCCTATCACCTTACCATCCCTTGCCCCCTCACCTGTAAACTGATCTTGTTCTGTAGCATATAACCTATCTGTATGAAATTTCATCATCTACTCGGTTGCTCCAGACAGAAACCTGGGTATTATTTTTGACTTCTCCATCTAGCCACCAACCTGTTTATTCTATTGTTTAATACCTCCTCAAATCTTTTTTTAAATCCTTGGTCAATTATTTAATAGTGATTTTGAGCACTTACTAAGTCCTCTGCTTTAGCATACATTGTTTCTTTTTTTTATTACACTTTAAGTTCTAGGGTACATGTGCAGAACATGCAGGTTTATTACATAGGTATATATGTGCCATGTTGGTTTGCTGCACCCATTAACTCATCATCTACATTAGGTATTTCTCCTAATGCTATCCCTCCCCTGCTTCCCACCCCATGACAGGCCCCCATGTGTGATGTTCCCCACCCTGGGTCCAAGTGTTCTCATTGTTCACTTCCCACCTATAAGTGAGAACATGTGGTGTTTGGTTTTTTGTCCTTGTGGTAGTTTGCTCAGAATAATGGTTTCCAGCTTCATCCCTGCAAAGGATGTGAACTCATCCTTTTTTATGGCTGCATAGTATTCCATGTTGTATATGTGCCACATTTTCTTAATTGATGGACATTTGGGTTGGTTCCAAGTTTTTGCTATTGTGAAGAGTGCCGCAATAAACATACATGTGCATGTGTCTTTATAGTAGCATGGTTTATAATCCTTTGAGTATATACCCACTAATGGGATCACTAAGTCAAATGGTACTTCTAGTTCTAGATCCTTGAGGAGTCGCCACACTGTCTTCCACAATGGTTGAACTAGTTTACACTCCCACCAACAGTGTAAAGCGTTCCTATTTCTCCACATCCTCTCCAGCATCTGTTGTTTCCTGATATTTTAATGATCGCCATTCTAACTGGGTGAGATGGTATCTCATTGTGGTTTTGATTTGCATTTCTCTGGTGACCAGTGATGATGAGCATTTTTTCATGTGTCTGTTGGCTGCATAAATGTCTTCTTTTGAGAAATGTCTCTTCATATCCTATGCCCACTTTTTGATGGGGTTGTTTGTTTTTTTCTTGTAAATTTGTTTAAGTTCTGTGTAGATTCTGGATATTAGCCCTTTGTCAGATGGGTAGATTGCAAAAATTTTCTCCCATTCTGTAGGTTGCCTGTTCACACTGATGGTAGTTTCTTTTGCTGTGCAGAAGCTCTTTAGTTTAATTAGATCCCATTTGTCTATTTTGACTTTTATTGCCATTGCTTTTGGTGTTTTAGACATGAAGTCCTTGCCCATGCCTATGTCCTGAATGGTATTGCCTAGGTTTTCTCCTAGGGTTTTTATGGTTTTAGGTCTAACGTTTAAGTCTTTAATCCATCTTGAATTAATTTTTGTATAAGGTGTGTAAGGAAGGGATCCAGTTTCAGCTTTCTCCATATGGCTAGCCAGTTTTCCCAGCACCATTTATTAAATAGGGAATCCTTTCCCCATTTCTTGTTTTTGTCAGGTTTGTCAAAGATCAGATAGTTGTGGATGTGTCGTGTTATTTCTGAGGCCTCTGTTTTGTTCCATTGGTCTATCTCTCTGTTTTGATACCAGTACCATGCTGTTTTGGTTACTGTAGCCTTGTAGTATAGTTTGAAGTCAGGTAGCATAATGCCTCCAGCTTTGTTCTCTTTGCTTAGGATTGTCTTGGTAATGCGGGCTCTCTTTTGCTTCCACATGAACTTTAAAGTAGTTTTTTTCCAATTCTGTGAAGAAAGTCATTGGTAGCTTGATGGGGATGGCATTGAATCGATAAATTACCTTGGGTAGTATGGCCATTTTCATGATATTGATTCTTCCTATCCATGAGCATGGCATGTTCTTCCATTTGTTTGTGTCCTCTTTTATTTCATTGAGCAGTGGTTTGTAGTTCTCCTTGAAGAGGTCCTTTACATCCCTTGTAAGTTGGATTCCTAATACCTCCTTAATTCTTTACTTCTTCCTTTCCAAACCCACTACCATTGCCTGTAGGGAAAAAGCTCTGCCCTGGTGTCCTGATGACTCTGCATATATCAAATAGGCCTTCCTATCTCCCCTGGGAGGATGTCATGAGACAGGTCTTGCCTTATCTTGTATGCATGAGCTCGACCCTGACATAATTGAATCTGGATTTTCTTCTCATCTGGATTTCTTTATGTTTCCAAATTGAGCTGCTGCCTCCAGTTTCACGTCTCAATTCTCTCCTCCATTATCTATATCACTGCCAAAGTGGCCTCACTAAACACAACTCTGACCCTGTCCTTCCTCACTGCCCTTAGGGAACAAGGATTTTCATGTTTGCAAACCTCACTTATCTCACTGTTGTATCACTGCCATCTCTCCCTGAATACTATACCCACACTGCTTCAGCCATGCTTGATTACTTGCATATCCCAGAAAGACCAGGTGCTCTCGATCCTTTTGCATTGGGTGCCTTTACATGGAACATCCTTTCCTTCCTTCCTCAGTAGCTAGCTATTGACCCTGAAACAAGCTCAGATGCCTCTTCTTCCAGAAAGCAAATGCTGGTCCACCTACTCTAGCCTGTAGTATATGCTCTCATGAGACTGTCTCATCTCTGTCTTTGTACATAGTATGCAATCTTTATTGTACCTACATGCCTGAATTCTTTCCAGATTTTGAACCTTTAAAGGAAAGAGTTGTCATTTATCTCTGTATCCTCATATCTTAGCACAGTTCTTACCACAGTGTCAATAAATGTTTGTGGAAGAAGGTAGGGAGGAAGAATAAGGGACAGAAATAGTGGTTGTATAATTTTGTATTCCAAGTATCATCAAGAAATTATGTAATGTAGATACTGTCATTTTAAATGCTTAAATATATTAATTCTAGGAAAGATGAATTTACTGTAGGAAAGCTATAATATTCATACTTCTCTGGAGTCATCTTTTGAAATAAACCTATTTGTTTAGCAAATTGCTTTACCTTGCATCCTGCTTCATCACTGGGATACTTAATTGTTAACCTCACCAGAGAAGAGAGTATGGGCCCAGGGCAACACAAATATTCAAAGGAGCTGGAAGCCTCTGAGTGTCCATGGACAGGGAAGATGGGTGTCACCTTTCTTTATTTGATGCTGAGCCTTCTGTAGAATTTTCCCACTAGTGCCATCATACTGTTTTCTATTTCCTGCAAACTATTTAAAATTCTATTGTTGTATATACTTACACAATATCTATTCTTCTTTATGCCCAGAACATTCCCTACCCCAGTCCCCATGTCTAGCATTGTCTGTAAACATTTAACTAAACTTCTTGAAATTATGGAGTATCCATAAATGGATCAAGGCCCAACATATGAAAGTGATTCCAGAGTCAGTTGATGACCACTACCCTTTCTCATGAGGTGTGGCACTCTAAGATGGTCTTCATGTAAATCTCACCAAAAAAAAAAAAAAAAAAAAAGTGAAATGGAGAAATTTTAAAATTCTGTTTACCAGAATTCCTAGGAGGAAGGAAGATCTATTTTTTTGTGTTTGTTTTTTTGTAAATACTTTGATAAGCTGTTGGGGTGGAATTTGAGACTCTGAAGGATCCTGAGTACAGAAAGAATTGTTCTGTTCCAGGAAAATGGAAGTTTTCAAGAGTTGTTCTAGAGGGAACTAGATAAGGTAAAGTGAGGAGAGAATTGGAAGGCAGTGGGTGTACAGTGTGACTTTTTGTGACTTCTTTAGTTATGTGACTAAATAAAGGAAATATTAAACGCAACATAATTTTATTTTTGGAAAGGGAGAGGAAACCAGATAAATAAGCTGGGCTCCATGTCCAGATGGATACAGGGTAACACACAAAGGTGAAAGGCAGAGAATTGAGGGAAGGATGAAGTTAGCCACAAGAATTTGTAGAAATCAAGGCAGAGGTGTTTTGTGGGTCACATGTTTTAGAATTGGAGTTCTAAACCCACAGTTACCCCAGCTGATAAACCAGTTAATCTCATCAATCTCCAGGCTAAATTTTAAAGGAAATTGACATTTTAGTTGATACAATGGGACTTTCCTTCAGTTTTGACTAAAGACTTGTATTAGGACAGGAAGAACACACCACAATATGGATCAGCTACACTTGACGATAACTCCCAGTCAGTGCACATAGCCTAATTAGTCCAGTGTTTAAAAATGTTGACTAACAGTGACTTCTGGCCTGCTTTTAGCCTGCTATAGTGAATTAAAAACTCACTGTTACTCTAATTCAGAATCATTTAAATCACCTTTTTGTATATGATTCTATACTAAGAAGACGATTAAGATAAATTTTAGTCTTTTGATGTGAATACTTATAAAATGTCTGTTTTTCTCTATGCTTGTCAACCTCCCCCACCCCCAAGCCTAGTATTATCTCTAATATTCAGGAGGAGTCAGTGTTGATTTCATAAAACTTGAATGAAGTAACTTATTATTCTAAAGTTTTTGATTTTTAAGAAAAGATAGCTTATAATTAATCCCTGCAAGTAGACAAGGTCAGAGTTTTTTCAGATGTCAAAATTAACAAACAACCAGTGCCATATGTGAATTTGAAGATCTTCATTTAACACCACAATATACAGATACATCCAGAGAAACATTTACTTTCCTTTAATTTGGAAATAACTTTGGAGAATACAATTTTATATTTTAGTTTCAGTTTCACTTTTTTGAGTCCAAATACTGTGTGGTTTATTGAAACAATATTTTATTTTTAATCCTTTTTTCCTGAACATAGAATGTCTCTGAATAATGAATTATACAGTCTTAAATTTGTCCAGTCAAAGCATTGAACTAATAGATTATAATAGGCTCTATACTAAGTCCTCATTCTTAATAAAAGGCTAACTCTAAAGATTTTTAAAGCATTAAATAATTAGTAATTTTAAGTCACCAAATATTGACTTCCACAGAGTATCAAATATTAAAAACTTGGCTGGGCATGGTGGCTCACGCCTGTAATCCCAGCACTTTGGGAGGCCAACGCAGGTGGATCGCGAGGTCAGGAGTTTGAGACCAGCCTGACCAACATGGTAAAACCATGTCTCTACTAAAAATACAAAAAAAAAAAAAAAATTAGCCGGGCATTGTGGCGGGTGCCTGTAATCCCAGCTACTCGGGAGGCTGAGGCAGGAGAATCACTTGAACCCGGGAGGTGGAAGCTGCAGTGAGCCGAGATTGCACCATTGCACTCCAGCCTGGGCAACAGAGTGAGACTCCATCAGAAAAACAAAAAACAAAAAACAAAAAAACAAAAGAACTCACAAAGCTTGACAGAGGTGAAGAAATTCAGGTCAAGAAGTTTGAATCAAAAATCATCAGCTGGTTTCTAATATATCTTTGGGTTTATTTACCCAAACTCTGTAGAGACCATTTGAATTTCTGTAAGATGTTTTTCCTTGAGTCAAGGCCATTTATTTATTTGATGCCTGTTGATTTGTACACTATTCACAATTGCAGGCTTAAAGAACTGCAATCCATGTTAGCTGTGTCTTTTAAATGCTTTTTCTCCATACCCAGGTAGCTAACAGTTAATGGGGCAGGAAAGTGCCATGGCCTCTTTCTGAACTCTGCATGAAATAAGAGTGCTGCTATGGCTGAGCAAAACCCCTGTGCTGTGTAAAAGAAAGGTTGATCACTATATAGTAGCTTCTGCGGGGAGTTAGGGCTATTCTTAATTTGTGTCCTTAGGGGCTTGATAATTAATTTAAGAGGAAGAAAATATCTACTTTCCTAGTGCAGTCATTTCTTCTTTTTTGTGGAAGCCTGCTGCTCTCCAGGTTCTTGTTATTTCTCCACCTTCCTTTCCCTGAAATGTGTCTTCCTGCTGTTCTTCTGTTTCTCTCTTCCAGGGTCTGTGCTGTCTCTTTTGTTGGCAGCTAAATGGAATTTATTATGCTCCTATTTTCTGAAGCAATTTAAGTACATGATTGTTGTATATCTGTTATCACAGCCAAAGCTTTCAAAGAAAAAAGGAAATAAGGAAGAGAAATAAGCAAAGTTGACATTTTTCCTGCGTCAGAGTTAAAAACACCTTAAGCCCTGAAATCAAAAAAGCCTAGGCTTGAAGATCAAGTTATCTGTGTTGGCAGAAATACATCTAAGTATAAAAACAGCTTTGCTGAACAGATTTTTTAATATCTTTTCAGTGCCAGCTCTAGGGAACTTGAACTTCAAATCTAGGATTCTTTGATTGTATCACTCGGTTCCCTTTAATCTGGCTAACTCCTAGTTATTCTTCAGATTTCATCTTAGATACTTTCTTTTTACCAGTTAAGTGCTTCATAGCAACCCATAGTTACCTATTTATCTACAGTCATCAAGCGTACTCATCTTTTTTTCTAATTACTCATTTTCTTACCCTTCCATCCCATGAGATTTGAGAGTTCTTGAAACCAGGATAGTATTTTATCTACTCAGTGCCTAATACATTGATTAATGTATAGTAAACACAGTAAATATTTGTTGAATGAATGAAAGAGTATTGTAGACACTGTGAGATATATAGAACTACATGAGAAATTTCTTTCTCTTTCTTTCTTTATTTCTTTCCTTTTCTTTTCTTTTTTCTTTTTTTTTTTGAGTTGGGGTCTTGCACTGTTGCCCAGGCTGGAGTGCAGTGGTGCAGACTTGGTGCACTGCAACTTCCACCTCCTGGGTTGAAGCAATTCTCCTGCCTCAGCCTCACAAGTAGCTGGGATTACAGGTGAGTGCCACCGCACTCAGCTAAATTTTGTGTTTTTAGTAGAGATGAGTTATCACCGTGTTGGCCAGGCTGTTCTCGAACTTCTGACCTCAAGTAATCTGCCCGCCTTGGCCTCCCAAAGTGCTGAAATTACAGGTGTGAGCCACCGTGTCCGGCCGAGAAATTTATTTCTCATACTCTTTTGGGAGAAATGGAGTTAGCAAACATAAAACAATTATAAAGTAATTTGGATCCAAATTTCATTGCCTGTAGTCACTGAAATAGAGACATTGTATACTTGTGTGTTTTTACAAGTGCAATAGGATTTCACATACAAGTGATATAATTGTTTCAAACTATAGTAGTTAGAGGAATCTTTATGGAAGAGGTAGGGTTTGAGTTCAAAATGGAAAGGTGGAAAGGACTTAGATGAAGAATGTATTTGGAAACCAAGATCTAACCACATTATGCTATATTTGTTAGGCTAAAAACTTGGGGGGGAAAACAGAGTTAAATCAGTCTATCAACTGAAAAATACAATGTGATAGGTAAAGTAGGTGTTTCATAAAAAGGTTATTGTATTTGAATTATTACAAATGAAATAATTTACCACCATGCAGATCAAAAGGTGTTGTCCAAATTACTGGAAGAAAAGCAATTGCATTTAATACAGCAAACCTGAGGAAAATTGTATGCAAAGATTAAGACATTGGTTAGACTTTAGAATATTACAGCATGAAACTTAGCCCTAGCCTTTAAAAACTTTTTAAAAAGAGCTTTAAAATAAGCATCAAACTTCAGTAACACTCTGAGGCCTACCCAAAATAAGGCTATATGCATTTAAAAATTATTTTATTCCTAAGTGATGAGAATTGAATGATAAAATATTTTATTATTGAGCTATTTTCCTTATAAGCTTTTAATCAATCTTAATTATATCGGTCTGATAATAATACATTATTTAATATTGAATTTATGCTGTAACAATTTAAATTAATTATAGGGCTGCAGCTTCTCATTTACTGGATTGAAACTGGAGCTGAGAATCTAAAGTTTCTGATGAAGATTCCTACCTCTGAATAACATTCATTTTGGCTTTGATCTGAATATGATGCCATTACTTTGAGAATATATCAAATATAGTTGTTTTTAAGAGGTAGCTTTGCAGTTCTCAATGTGATTTAGCTAATGTGAAATATAAAAAATTAGTTGTAAATTGATGTTACAACTAAAATTCCCTCCTGATACTGTCATTGTTTTTTTCTTTTTTCTTTTTTTTTTTTGAGACAGAGTCTTGCTCTGTCACCCAGGCTGGAGTGCAGTGGCGCGATCTCGGCTCACTGCAAGCTCCGCCTCCCAGGTTCATGCCATTCTCCTGCCTCAGCCTCCCGAGTAGCTGGGACTACAGGTGTCCGTCACCACGCCCGGCTAATTTTTTGTAGTTTTAGTAGAGACGGGGTTTCACCGTGTTAGCCAGGATGGTCTCGATCTCCTGACCTCGTGATCTGCCCGCCTCGGCCTCCCAAAGTGGCTGGGATTACAGGCGTGAGCCACTGCACCCAGCCTACTGTCATTCTAAATACAGTTTTATATAATGTCTCTATTTGGTTAGTCCATATTCCTGATGATCTGTTCCAATACATAGAGCTTCCATTTAAACCTTACATTAGATCACATCTAAGATTTAAATGTTTGCAAGTATGGTGTAAATTGTATTACAAGGACACCAGAGCAATTACAGTTAACCTACAAAAACATCCAACATGTTTTTGAAGAATTGTCATGATCAACATAGTCTTGTTTCTGAAAAATTATCATTAGGGAAAGAAACTGAGCAGCTTTGTACCCTAAAGTGGAAGAGCTAATAGACAGTAAGTGTTCACTGTGAAATTTCTGGGTGAATGCATCTCCTCTAAATGTCCCTGTCAGAGGGAACAGAAGCAGTGGCAAACACAGAGGTATCATCATTAAAGATTATCCTGTTTCCTGAGTCGGTAGAGGACTAATTTCACCTCCTGTCTCTAATCTCTGAATTCTTAGCCTGGGAGTCCTCAGATGAGCTTCAGGGCAAGTGAACTTCATTTTTGGCCCTTCATTTAGGAGGTGGGCTAGGTTGGGAGGCACCAAGCCAGATTTGGAAATAGGAAGTGAGAATCTTAGCCAGCATCAGGGAGGCAGGAACCACAGCCCAGCACAGTTAAGATAGCAATATAGCTCTTTCACTATGGACATCTGCTTTGAGAAGAATTTTGAACTTCTTATAGAAGTATTTTTATAGGACATTAAACCATAACTCACAGAGTCCCTTTTTGGTATATCTTTAGGTCTAAATATATTGAGGATTGTCATAATTACTCTACAAAAGTTATATTCAATTGGCAAGGCAGGATCAAGACATATTTATATACACTCAATATAATTGAACCAAGCAAATAATTGTCCTCATGGGGTTAATGAGTAATTCCATACATCTCTCAAACAATTCAACATAAAAAACTAGTAGCAAATCCTGAATATTGTAGAAGTGTATGAACTTCTACAGACTGAATAACTGTCATTCTTATTTGTTTTTTTCTAAAATATTTTACTTTTGCCTGATCTGCAAATTCTTAAATTAATTTTCATAAGCTTTAGCAATACTTTAGTTATAAAGCACATGATATTAAGGTAGACTTTTAGTAGAAGGAGCAAAATTGTTATACGTAGTTTCTAATTAACTGATAATTATAAACATAATATTATTTTTAAGTGTTCAGCTCCAAAAATATGGAGAACCCCTAATGGCAAAACAATTGAGATGGATACGCAGTTCACCATCAGAGCCAGAGAGCTGCAAAATATCTATAAGTGCATTATGCTGAAAAATATCTCCCAAGATGAGAGGCTGGATGTGCTGTTAACTCTTAAACACACTGTAAAGGTATGTTAACTTTCTCTTAGTTTGGGGGTAGAGTTCACTGTCAATAAAAAAAAATTAATGAAATACTAAAACAAGTAAAGTGTTTTACATTAAGAATTGTTTTGGTATAATTTGGGAAGGATGTGGTTTATGCATTAATATTTACCTAAAAGTTCTCAAAATATAATACATAATAAATGTAAATATAATGAATGTAAATATATCTTTATGCAATGAATGCAAATATATGCAGTATAGCATGAGATTAGTAATTACATAAACAGCAATTATAATCTACATATTTTGACATTTTTCAGTGAAAAATTGATTTTTAGCAGTTTTAAAGCAGCACCATTGTATTTTTATCTTTTTTCTCATCAATTATTGATTTTCTGTGTTCTTAATCCTACTTTTAATGAAAACAAAGTTAGTGGATGTCACAGATCAAATTTTCCCAAGAAACAAGAAACAAACTCAGAGATGGGGTTTATATTCAGGAAGTTTGTTGGAGAGTGCTATCAGGATAATTCCTGTGAGGCAGTAGAGAAATCAGAATCGGGAGGATAGAGAAATTAAATTGTGGTGGATTCTGAACAATGACTTCAGCCAGTGTCACGGGGAATTCTAAAACTGGAAAGGCCATCCAGAGTTGTCCTGAATTTAGGCAAGGGGCCAGGACAATTTTGACCACGTATTGGATGGGCTGCCCCAGAAGGGCATAGCTTTGGATGAGATAACTTTCTTTAATAGAGAGCAATTCTCAGGAAGAGCCTCGCTTGAGAGTTGTCAGCCACCAATCTGCCAGGATGGGGAGAATACACACGCTGCTGCCTGGATCCACTTCATGTTGTAGGTTTCAGGATTAGCTCCTCTGGATTTAGATAGGCCCCAAAGCAAGGTTAAGAAAAACTGCAGCCCCTAGTGTAGTCATTGGCTTTAAGGCCACAAGAGATACTCACTGTTTCCTTCCTCTACTATCTATTTTAGATTTCCTTCTCCCTGAACTAGCATCTTGACTGGTCCAGGTGACCCACTTTTTGGAGTGACTTGCATCTTGAGAGGTCTGAACCACAGGTCACTATGCTTTTCTCAGTCTGAGGCTACCAGACTTCCATTTACTGTCAAAATCAAGCAAAGATATACCAAGAAATGCCCATTACCTGGGTGCCAAACATATTCTTCTCTGTCCCTATTGGGTAATAACTGCACCATTGCCTTTTGAAGATCAGAGTCAGTTACCTCTATAAGCAAGAAAACACTTGCCTTGCCCGCAGGTCTCTTGGCCTGCGGAGCTTAGGCATTAGTTGTAGCTCAGAGTTTAATAGGACTTGCGCTATGTCTTACATTAGAAGCATTTTTCCTCCAGGAATTAGGACCTCTAAACTTGAAGAGTCCAGAGTTACAGGGGCAGGAAGCAAACATTTCCCAAGTAGTAATTGGGGCCATTTTTACTTTCACCTCCTCTGTTCCCAGACAAGGGCAGTTCAGGGGCTTCCACTTGGTCTTCCTCATCATGATAGCTCTTACTCCACAGGTCAAGAAATCAAGGGTAGTGAGGCTGTGCCAACTATAAAGTATTCTATTCCAGTTATATATTCAAGGACCAGGGAAATAAATGCTGGGTGGCCCAGTAGATCCATTATGAGCTGGACCTGGGCCAGGACTTGATTTAATTTTTGTTTTCACATACCCCAGACTCTCACAGGATCCTGGGTCTTTATACTGCCACAACAATTAGTCATTTGATTCAGGATGTCCCTGAGAAGAAACATGACCTTAGATGAGGCAGTTTGTTTTCAGCTGATGGTAGCTGTCTATCTGTAGGCAAGATGGCTCTCTTCAGCACAGGGAATTGTCGGAGAGAAGCTCAGTGGAGAGCTATCAGCTACCACAACCTGCCGCTGAGAGTCTGCTTCAGTGCTGAAGTAGGGCTGATCTGGGCAGCACACTCAAACATTCATTACAATGAATATGTTGTCTACATTCCTAATTAAAAGGGAAACCCTACTGTTATTAGGACCATTGGTATAGCTCTTGCATTTTATAGCTCAAATTAAAGGAAATATTGAGCTTACATTATGGTCAGTGTAAATAAATTAAATAATTTATATTATTTTATTTAATTTATCCTGACCATAATGTAAGCTCAATATTTAATGTAAGCTTATATAATAAGTGGGCAATACAGGTAAAAAGTATTTGGGTTCTGAATTGTGCTTGTGAGTTCTCAAGTTAATAAGACACTTGGCAGATGTTCGTTCAGTATAGCATAGAAATATAGGTTGTTTCTGTGTGATCATCGGTATTAACTAAAGTTTATACATAAGCAATGGATTAGGTAACTGCATGGTCAGTCTATTTTGGTCATCGATATGGCCCAGATTGCCAGAACATATAGGCATAGATATTGTAATGAAAATCAGTGGTTCACTATATATAACAACTGAAAACTATCAGCCATATTTAGGTCCATCTAAGTGAGCTACATGATTACAAACCTGAGAATTTCATAAGCATAACATTTTGATACCCTGTGTAGGTTTCTTTACTCCTAACTGTAAAGAACGCTCTTTCTGTGGATGAGTTTGTGTGTCTGTCCTCCAAGGCACACAAAACTCTTAAAACACATTAAATAATTGGGTAAATGGTTCTTCCAGGGAGACAGATCTCCATAGCAGCAGAGGCATTGACTGCCTTTTCTCTGGACTACCTTTTCAAAGATGTTTGTGTAGTGACCCACCTTGAAAGACAGAGATAGGTAGGGAGGGAGAAGCAATAGGTCCAGAGGTAGGAAATAAACATGATACTTACAGAGGGCAGTAAAAAGACCAGATTGGCAAAAAGAGAGTGCATAGGGAATACAATATAAATCCTGACATAATTAGGACCAGTAATAAAAAGGCCAAAGGATGGACTCATAAAAGGCAAATTATGCATATCTTAATATGTTTAGTATGAAATATTCATATATACATTTACTTGAAAATATTTTGATGGAGGATTAAAGTCTTTAAGTACAACTCAAATTCTGACTCTATTCATTTATGGCTGCACAACCTTAAAATAAGTTAATATTTATGAAAATCAGTTTTGTCATTTGTAAAATTAGTTGCTTTGAGAATATGTGTGTATCTATCTACATGTATGTAGATATATATACACACACATATATAAACATAAAAACTTAATATAGTGCCTTACAAAGAGGAGGGCCTCAATAAATAATAGGTGTTATTTTGATGATAGTTACTAATACAGACCAGTGAATTTTAAACCTCAGTACATATTAGAATCACCTGGAGAGCCTGAGAGAGGGACAGCATGAATGAATATGAGCATAAATGAGTATAATACCTAGGCCCCACTTCAGAGCAGTTAAATTAGCTCCTCAGGTATGAGGACAATATTAAAATTTTTAAAAATCTCCCTCAGGTCCTTCTAAAGTGCCTCCAGGTCAAAGGACCACTGATGCAGACTCTCATATTAGCCTTACCAACTATGTAGTACAAAGTACGGAAGAGCATTATTTTACAATTAATGACTTTATCTTCTGACTCCTTCATTCAAGCTGTGTATCTTCCAGTTTTCCCTTGGGCAATTGGAGGACCTTATAAATATTTCTACATTAATCGCTTGTTACTTGTGGCTTTTTCATCCAACCACACTCATTTCTATTACTTTATAAAAAATATTGTGACCTATAATAAATAGACAGAAAAGTGAATAAAATATATACGTACAGTTTAACAAATATTAAACAGGAAGTTGCCAATGTTTCTGGTGTCCTCTTTTCCCTTCGAATTACAATTCCTCTTGTCATCTCTTAGAAGTAACTATCATACTGACTTTCATGGTAGTCATTTTCTTGATTTTTCTTCATAGTTTTACCACCTCTGTATAAATCTTTAAATAATATGGTTTAGTGTTGCTTATTCTTGAATTTTATTTGACAGAATTGTACTGTATCTGTTATTTTGTACCTTGAGTATTTTGCTTAAAATTAATTTGTAAGATTTAAGTTTTTGTTGTATATAGTACAATACTATATATACAACAAAACTATATATACCACAAAAAATGAACTATTAGTTTTGCCAATTTATACTCCTATTGACAATGTTTCATTTCTTTAGGAATGTAGATTTTGGTTTGTTTTGGTGGCAATTTGAAAGTGAACTTAGTGATTTGTAAAATTTTATACCATATATTTTTGTGTTTTATATAGGAACATGAATGTAAACTAACTCAGGAAATTCTAGAATTGATTGACAGAGAGGTTGACCTTATGATGAGAGGAGTCAAACATCATAACCTTGAAGGACTCAGAAAAAGAATTGCGACACTCTTTTTTCATTATATCAAAACACCTCTGTTTAATCCTGAAGTTGCAAAATACCTTAAGGTATTCTACATTTTTCTCTATATTCCTGTTTCAAAATCCTAAGATGTGGTATAGTAAATTGAAGTATATTCAAATTTTGCTTTAACACTTTACTTGGGAGTCCATGTGGAATACCATCTTATTGGTAGTATCTCCTTTGAATGATATTTTGTTATGTTGGTAAATTAAACTTACTCATTTGACTTATGTGTATTTGCAACCTTCAATTATTTCCTAATCTCTTCACCAACTTTCCAACTGAATATTGCATTACGTTGAATGTATTATGATTTCTCACGCCTCCATGGCTTTGTACATACCGTTGGTTTCCCCTGGAATGCTATTCACTATTTACCCAGCCAATTCCTGTTCATTTTCTAAGACTCAATTCTCATCTCATCTCTTCTCCTTCATGAGGCCTCACAGGGAGTTAAATTCTTTTTTTCTGAGATTCCATGTTATACCTTGTTGGTGTTCCTTATAACACTTATCACAAAGTTATAATTATTACTGAACAGGTCCATATGGATATTCTGAGAGAACTTCAAATGTAACATATTTGAATTACACTATCTTCTCCAACTCCAGCGTCGTTAGGCTTCTGTGGCTCTCTAAAGCCAAGACAAATGCTTCATTGCCTTCTTACTGTGCAGAGCTATTTAAAACACTATTAGCAAAACTCTTGGGGTAGAGTATGTTGTCAGAGAATTATAGTTTTATTTCAATGATTATATTCAGTTAAAATTTACTTAAAAAGCTGACTAAACATCTTTAGCTTTTTTGAAAAAACAAATTCTCATATTTAGTCAAAACTTCTAGAAGAATAAAAATTGTTTAATTTTTATATTTTTTAAACTGATTTTTAAAAACCTGATTGTATTGCAAAAAGAATATTAAAATATAACAAAAGTCCAAGGGAAAAAGTTCCCATTATATTATTTCTTACTCAAACCAGTGTTTCATTTGTCTGAGCCACCTTCTTTCTCTGTAGACTTATTCAGTTTATATTTGGAGTAATACAATTGATAGAGTTTCTACAATTTTACATAATGTTATATCATTTTATTTATTTTTAAAATTTGTCTTTGGTAAAATTTACTCTTTTTGGTAAGTTCTGAAAAATGTATAGAGTCATGTAACCAGTAGCACAGTCAAAATAAGAAATGGTCCTATCAGCCCCCAGAATTCTCTCATGCTGCCACTTTGTAGTCAGCTTTTTCCCTAACTTCCCAATCCTTGGCAAACACTGATATGTGTTTTATTTTTATAGTTTTATCTATTTCAGAAGGTCATATAAATGGAATCATACTATATGTAGTCTTTTGAGACTGACTTCTTTCACTTAGCATATTGCATGGATTCACCCATGTTTTTGAATGTGTCAGTGGTTTGTTTTTATAGCTGAAAAATATTCTAATATCTGGATATACAAGAGTTCTTTAAAAATCCATTCACAGTTGTAGGACATTTGGATTGTTTAGAGAGTTTTGGTCTTTTATGAATAAAATCATTACAAGCACTAGATATGAGTTTTTGGGTAAATTGATTGTTTTGGGGTAAATTCCTAGAAAGTGGCATATTGAATCACATGGTAAATGCATGTTTACTTTAAAAAGAGACAACCAAGCATTTTTTTCCAAACTGACTGCACCATGTTGCATTTCTGCCTGCAGTATATGATAAATATATTAATTAAGATAAAGTATTTAAAGTTTGTTCTTGAATCTAGGACACATCTATGGATTATCCTGTACTTCTTTTTTGGGGGGAATATACTCTTTAATATCTCAAACTACTGGCTGGATTTAAAAGTTACTGGCTTTAAAAAGGAATGGCTCATTTGCACATTTTTAGTTTGCATAGTGGGAGAAGAATTTGAAGGAACACCACTACCCCCACAACCACTTTTTGGGAGTAGGTACACTGGAGAATTTGTAGAGTTTAATTCTGTAGCTTAAATGGAGCCCTCTGTCATCATAATCATAATAAGAATGAGTTATTTTTTTCTTGCACAATTTCAGATGGGTGGAGAATATCTTTCCATGGCATTATAGTAAATGCTCCATCTATAATGGAGACGTGTGCTAACGTGTTTTCATGAGGTTGACTGATATATTTGCTAATTTAATGCCTAGGAGGCATGAAGATAAAATAATCATTCAAGATAAACAAAATGTGTAAATCTCAGAATAAGAAAAGGAACCAGATAAGTTGTCTTCTTGATCTTTGATCATACACCTAGATCACTCTTCTTTTCTCTCGAAGAATTGACTACCTTTTAAATTTACATATTTTCTTATCTCCCAAAATTACAAGACAAGGGACAATGAAGTTTTCAAAGAATATTACCCTTTGGGAAGATGGAGTGTTTAGGAAAAGTAACGCAGAGTAGAGGGGAAGGTGCAGAAAGGTAACAGATAGATATTCAGAACAAAGTAAAACATTAGAAGAGATTATAATGGTAAATATTTTAAATCCACATTGAGTAAGAGAAAAAATTTATAGAACATTGATGTCCATTTCCTTCTTTATAAAAATATTTTTTGAAAGTCTTATATATCACATGCAAACTCTGTTGCTGCTTGATCTTTACTTTCATGGAAACCAGAGGTACCATAAATTAGGAAAGACTGGCATATATATGTCTTGATTCAGTTTGTGTTGAAATGTTCACAATTCACTCATTCATTCATGGTACTTTAGCCCATAGTAAATAATTGGGTTGATTATTTTATGGTAGAATTACTTTCTGTCTATTGCTTTAGACATAGAATTTCAAACTTTGAAAATTAATCATTTGAACTAATCTAAATTTATTTTGAAGATAAATTAAACGAGAAGAACAATTGGGTTAGTGGGTTTTTACTTATATGCGAATCTAGCTATAGAAATAACTAATGTAATATAGAACTGAAAAAAATCTAAATTTTCCTAACAATAAAAAGCCTCTTCCTACTATTTTTTTCAGTCAATTAATTTTATAAGTGATTTTACCACAAATATCTAAGAACTGATGAATAACAGATTTTCAATATTTTGGCAGGATGAATAAATACTGCTTGAAATTTAGATTTTCTGTAGGATAAGAAGTTCAGGGAAAAATAAAATTTTAGAAATTAGCCAACTTTTTTTTTTAAATCTCATTCTAAGATAAGTAAGTTAGCCTTTGATGCTTCCATTGGTTAGGATCATATTTGGCCTGGCCTGGCTTTTTAGACCTTTTTTTTCTTTTTTTACTATTTATTTAGGTCCCTCAAGACCCATTGAAATTTTATAAGAAGATTTACTTTTGCCACAGTTGCCAGCTTTATTTGCCTTCTACAGAATTTTCTGTATCATCCACCTCACGCCGCATATACCGGTGTCGTAACTGCATTAACCTTCAGAATGAGGCTCAAAAACGAGAATCATTTTTGAAGTACAAATGTTTACTTCAACAGCTCTACTATACAGAAGCTGATTATGAAGATGATTCTAAAATTGCTTTCTTGATGCAGGTATGGTCAATAAGGGGTGCCAATTATAGCTGAAGCTTGTCAAGGAGGCTATCTTGCAATCTTATGTATGTTTGTGTGTGTGTGTGTGATTGTTTAATGACTCTCTATTCCACTAGACTGTAAGCTCTGTGAGGGCAGGAGTATGCTTTTTTTCCCTCCTGCTCACCATTATACCTCTATAACCTAATACAGTACCAAGTTTTTATTTAAGGCCCTCAATATTTGTTGAATGAATGAATGACTTTTACAGAAACTGATGTTACATATACACATACTAGTGTTTACGAATAACAGTAATAATTAGTGTAAACCAAATGTGACCATAATGGTAAATAACACCAAAAGTGAAAGCTAAGGCTTATAGAAAGTAAAAAAAAAAAAAAACCTTAGGGAAAGGCTTTGATACTTGTCTATGTAAAGTGTTGATATGATACCACACAACTGGAAAGTTTCTGGCCAGAGTTCTTTTGGATGAATCATTGCATTGGATCATTGACCCTACGTAATCTGCTTCTCGTAAGAACTTCTAGCTCTGTGAGAGGGTGGAGCCTGTGAGATCAGGAATTCTGACCTGAATTCCTAACTTAACCACTACTTCGGTCTCTTTGGTTATTCCATGTCTTCTATTGGGTTTAGGCCAGAGGATAGTCTGTGTCTCTACAAAATAAAAACAAATTCCTGACACTGTTTGGACTTAGGTAAGCAAGTGAGAAAACAGAAGGACTTACTTGTTGTTGATATGGCTACCCAACATTAGCCACTTATTAATAAAAGTATATTATAGAGCACAATTGACCTCATTAATGATATTTGTGTTCACAGACTGTCAAATAAGGGCAAATTTTCTGTAAATTAGTTACTAATTAAAATGAACTAAATTGTATTTAATACCAAATAGGAAAGTAGGCACTACTATGAATAGAAAACTTTATAGAGATTAAAAAAAAGATACCAAATGTGATGTGCTTTGTTAAAAAATTCTTCTAAATCCATAGCTTTCAAACTTTTAAATCTCAATCTATAGTAAAAATGTATTTTTATGACAACCTGATATAGGCATGCATGATAATTCTCAATACTCAGTACCTATATGGCTTTACACACTTTATTGAGTTAATCAGCACAAAAATCCTATCAAAATAGGCATTATTTCCATTCTGCAGGTGAGGAAAGGGAAGCACTGAGTGGTTAACTAACTTGTCCAAGTTTACGCTACTAAGTACCAGCACCAGGATTGAAAACTAGGCAGTCTGATTCCCAGCATCCGTACATGTAAACACATGCTGTTCTGCCTCAGAAATAAAAGTTTCCAAAATAGTGTTTATCTTTACCCCTATGGATGTACTCTGATATTTTCTATTCAATCTCAGTCTACTTATTCTGATTTCCATTTGGAAAACTTTGGTATCACCCAAGAGGTAGCAACCCACAGTTTGAAAAGCACAAATTAAAATGATTACATATTTTGTCCAATAGAATGAATATTTTGTTAATAAATTTGATGTTTATTTCAGCTTAAATTCTTATTTGCTACTTTTATTCAGGAATTATTGACATGACAGATGTATATTTCCTTGTAGAGAATCTTAGATGTACTAGGGCTTTAATGTAAGTCACCAAGAAGTGCTGGCTCAATATTCCATGTTGTATTAGTCAGATTTCTCCTGAGAAACAGAACCAATAGAAAATGTTATACATATATGTTATATATATATACATATAAGGAGATTTGTTACAAGGAATTTGCTCACATAATTGTGGAGGCTGGTAAGTCTAAAACCTAAACAGCTGATGGCCCAGTTCAAGTCTGATGACCAGCAGGCTGCTATAGAGCCAGGAGGAGCCAGTGTCTCAATTCAATGGCCATTAGGCAGAAACAGTCTTCCTTACTTGGGGACAGGGTGAACTTTTTGTTCTATTCAGGCCTTCAACTGATTGGATAAAGCCCACTCACATTATGGAAGACACTCTGCTTTACTCAGTCTACTGACTTACTTAAATGTTAATCTCATCCAAAACTACCCTCACATAAACACCAGAATACCGTTTGACCAAATATCTGGGTATCCGGTGGCATCATCAAGTTGATGTAAAATCAACCATTACACATATTGAATGAAAAAATTCTAGGGGAGCATTGTAACCTTTCAGATAAGGATAATCTCCATTAGATGTGATTTAATTTCAGTACCGTATCTATGTAGGGTTTTGGTCTATTACTTTTCCAATGTCTAGGATTAGCAGACAAATATGAGTGTCCAGTAGCTTCCCCCCCCTTGTAATTGGTGTAGTTTTGATTAATATTTATTTCAGTAATAGTATTTGAGGCATAATTTGAATGTTTGAACATTCTCATAAATAGTAAATCTTGTGGACAACAGCAAAGATTAGCATATGTTAAATGTGAACATGATGCCATGTAAAATGAAAAGGTGAAAGTTAATATATATAAAAAGTAAACATTCTGCTTAGACAAGAGATTTGAGTGTTGTACTAGTCACCTCGTTTATCTGTAATGCATACAAATACTGCCTAATATAATAGGCAATAGTATTGCTCTGTTACTGCAAAAATTTCAAGTACAATGACTACTTGAAAGGTAGAAAGCTCTTAGAGACTGTCAACCACACTTATGTGCACATTTGACATTTACATGCAAATAAACACGTTATTCTGTATGATACAATTTCAAAATTATTAGTACAGTTGAGCAACTAAATTAAAAACAAAAATGTAAACAAGATGCATTTTGAATGTAAGTAAAATATATAAAACATTGAATTTTAAAGGTCTATAAATTTATTTTTCATAGCAGCTGTGTACAGAGTATTGTCTTTTTTAGCATTAAGTAAAAGCTAGAATGCATTAGTTGAGCTTAATATATTGAATTACCAATTTATGAAATACTGTTGTAGCTGATGATGACAGGTTCTTTTTGTTTTTTACTTTGGCAGATTGTTTAGGTTTTGTGTACTCATTTTACAGAAAATATTTCTGCTCTCACACTTTTTCACAGAAGCTTTTTTAAAAAATATTCTTTTTACATGCTTATACTTTGTTGAGTTTGTCCGTCTCTGGCAATTCTAAATTTATAATGCAGACCCCATGATAAAAAGTCATTCCAAGAGTTTTAGCTGATAAGATTTACGTTTTTTAAAAAGTTTTAAACAGCTATTTCATTACCCCTCTTTTTGATTAAAACAACCAAGTCTTTTAATTAACACTAAGTGAATTACTTATCTTTATTAAATCTCAACTTCCTGTGTTTGCTTCAGCAGCCCATATACTGAAATTGGAACCATATAGAGAAGATTAGCATGGCCCTTGGACAAGGATGACATGCAAACTTGTGAAGTGTTCCATATTAAAAAAAAAAAATCTCAGCTTCCTCATTTGTAAAATGGCAGTAAAAGGTTTTAAAAGGTCCCTACAATGGCCCTGAAATTAAGATGGTACTTACTAATGAATTTTAAAGATCATTCAATACCATATGTTTATTATGGTAACATTATAGTATTATTAAGATTATATTCAGGTAAAATTAGCATACTGAAATGAATTTATACTGCTTACTCTGGTTTAGAGATGGGGACGCAACTGTGAGACTGATAATGTAGTTTAGGCAAAATGAACAGAAGTTTAGTGAAAAATAAGGGGCTATGTGTCATTGAAACCTAGTGAATAATAATTCACTTAAAAATACTCTATAATTTAATTATTTGCTCAAGTAATATAATAATCTTAAACAAATTTAAACTACATTGTTTTTAAAACTTGCTTTGACATGCAGCTACAAGACATTCAGTACCTGACAGAGAACATCTGGGCGTCCCAGTCAGTCCTCAGTGCTTGCGACAATCTCAGTGATCTGGTCATGGTCAGATGGAATAAATCCCTGGAGTGGTCCCCCTGGAACTGCATTCTTCTTACCAAAGATGAAGCAGCTGCTCATCTCAAGCTAACAAGTATTGAAGAGGTAAGAAAGTTGAATTTTATTTGGGAAGTTAATTTAATCATTGGAATTATTAGCGATAACTGGACTGCCTTCTAATATATTCCATGCTTAAATACTTCCATCAGATTAAGAAACAGAACTTATGGATTAACAACAAAAAAATTTATGGATGGCATATATGGCACAGATTAAATAAAAGGTATATATAAGAGATTTGAACATATTACAAGTCCTAAACATCATACCAGTCTCTCCTAATAGTAAGTTTAAGCACATTCCACGGTAAATTCCATGAAGGCAGTGATTTTGTTTGGCTTATTTACATCTATTTCTCTAATACCTACAATACTGCCTGTCACAGAATGGAGTTTATAAGTATTTGTTGAATGAATAAATGTGCATTACCACCAGATAGGTATTATGGAACCCAGAATCTGTCCTTCTTTGATTAATTATCATGAGTCTGCTTAAAAACACCCAACTCTCAAATTTTGTTCATAATTTTGTGCTCTAAATAGCAATCATACTGATGGGGTGTAGTTCTGATGCTCCATTTTTCATTTGCTTCCAACTTGCTGGGAGTGGAGCAAGCACTGTAAACATTAAATGCCATTTACTGTAATTTTAGTAACTTACATGATGCAATCTGTAAAACATTTTGATGGGTAAGTTGAGGGACTCCTGAAGAGTTCGTAGAGAGCTCCATTTACACTAGGTCCAGGATCCCGAGAGTTAATACTGATTCTCTGCATTCTTTAATTCCACACAAGGTGTCAGCTAAAGGAAAGTAAAGAAATGACAAAATGCAGTAGTCGTTTAAAATAGTGTGATTCCCTGTTTGTTTTTTTTCAGTGGAACAAGGGGTGATGAATATAAAGATAAGAAACTAGCTAAAGTTTTAGTTTTTAAATATTTTTTTAGTTTTAAGAAGCCAGGCTAAGAAAAATTTCACTCTAGGGATTGAAAGAAAAGGTAGCAATAAGTTGAAGCTGTATTAAATGTTATATTTAGTAAACTAAGCTGCCTCATAAATATTTAATCACAGGAAGCATAGTCAATACTAGCAATATCATTTCATCTAGGACCCATGATGAGATTGAAGTTCATTCCCAAAGCTGATATTCCAGTGCTTCTTCAATTAATCCACACAACTCCCTTTGTGCATTTAATCAAATTACTGCAGTATCAAATTAAATGTTCTATTCACATGCATTTCTAATTTAGAATGCCAGTCTTATCGAATTTCTGTAAAGGGCACCAAGATTTGCAAGCAGACAAACTGGAAAAACATTTGCCTTTTTTATGGTTTTGGGCTGATACAATCTTTTAACTATTAACTTTCAGCCCAGTTAAAGAGTAGTTTATATCTTGCAGAAAGATGGAGCATTTTCAGAATTTTCTTAATGTTCAGAGATATTTGCTTTCTTAAGAAGTTAAAAAAATACTTGCAAGTTAATATGAAACAGGTATAGGAAACGTGGAAAAACACTTTCGTTAATGTGAACTTTAAGTGGAGCAGATTGATCTCTCCTTGTGTGCACACTGGCCAAAGTAGGAACAATCATGGACTTAAAATCAGTAATCCTGACCCAGTTAACTCAAATCTCTGTCACTGACAACTTTACATTAAAACCTTCCCTCTTTGCTTCATAAATTTTTAGAAAGATTAGCTAAATAAGTGGAATCAGTAAAGAGGATAAAAGCAGCTCTGGCTCTGAATTCTAGCTTTACCATTCATGAGCTGGGAGAAATTGGACAAATTTGTGAATGTCTCAATGACCCAGCTTTCTCGTCTATAAAAAAGAGATAATGGTATCTCATCATAGGGAAGCTTTGAGTAGGCCATTATTTAAAGCTTTCTGCATAGTTTTTTTTGGCATGAATAAACTTAGGTAGTAACTATGAAAGCACTTTAAAAATTTTTGATGCATTTTATTTTTAATTTTAAAGCAATATATTATTGGCTTAGAATCTGAACAGAATAAAAAATGTAATGTAGAAAGTAAAGGTCTCAGAGGTTGAGGGAACAGGGAGAGATTTGTTAAGGATACAAAAATTATAGCTAGATGGGAGGAGTGAGTTCTAGTACTGTTCTGTGGCACTGTAGGTTGTCTATAGTTAATTACAATATATGGTTTCAAATAGCTAGACGCAGCATATCGAATGTTCCCAGCACAAAGAAATGATAAATGTTTGAGATGAATATGCTAATTACTCTGATCATGATATATGTATCATCCCATCACTATGTACCCCGTAAATATGTACAATTATTATCAATTTAAAAAATTTAAAAAACGACTGAATGAATAAATAAAGGGAGGCAAATAGACAAATCTCCCATGTAGAATTCCAAATAATTTATGTAGATACTCTCCACTCTTAAGGAGATGGAGAATAACTCTCTACCCTTTAAATGTGGGCTGTACATAATAACTCCTTTCCAAAGACTATATTATGGATGGAAGGGGAGGACCTTTACAGTAGAGAAACTTGACAAACACTACCTCAGCCAGGTAATCAAGATTAACAGCAGCAGTGCTGTCATGCTGATGGTGTGTACCCTTGATATGATGTGAGGAGAAGGGCACTTCACCCCTGTGGTCTTCCTCCCCAAAACCCATCCCTTCAGTCTAATAATAATGAAGAAAACACAGGACAAACCCAGATTGAGACACATTCAGGAAAATGTGGGTGTGGGGTATATGGGACCTTTCTGTAATATTCTTAGAACTATTTGTACACCCAAAGAATTTGTGAACATAGTTTAAAACCATCACATGGCTATTTCAAGAGAATGGACCTTATTTCAATGGGAAAAAAGGTCTCTTGATGTCCACCCATCCCTATCTCCATGTTGCAATGATAACTACTATTTCTTAGGTATATAATAATCTATTGAAATCCTTCTGGAAGTTTTCTATGTGTATGTAAGTATATATACTTTTACTGTAGCAGGAATTTCATATTAAATGACTCTGAGACTTAGTTTCTTTGCTTTACTTAACAATATAAATAATATAATATGGAAATATATTCAGTTATTTAAGAGTTACTTATTAGTGCCTTGAACACATATATCATAATTTATCTCATCTTTAATAATTTATAGTACTGTAAAGGCACCTTGAAAACCTATAAAGTTCTGTACATGTGTAAGTTAATATAGCATAATAAAGTGTGTTAGTTTTTCTTGAATGAAATATGGGCTAAGAAGTGGTAGAAACAAAGTTAGATTAGCTCAAAAGATGAATATTTTAACCTAGTAAATTTTTCTGTTAAGAGGAAATTTTAATAAGCCCAGGATACTCCTATATAATGTTTTCTGCTCTTTTGGTCCTTTCACCCAGGACTTTCTTTTATCTTTGATTTGACCCTCTGAAGAGACCTTTATTGAGGGAATGTCTTATTCTCAGAAAATAAATTTTAGGAAGAAGTATAGGTAGTATTTGTGATTTGATTGAAAAGAGGGCCAATTAAGATTAATAGGTAATAGATTATATTTATTAATTTAACCAGAATTTACTTTTGAATGTGCCAAATACTGTACTAAGTAATTACAGAGAAACAAGAAAATTTAATGAATATAACTTTTTGTTGTCTCAGTTGCATTTAGGTTCAGCTACAAGAACAGAAAAAGCAATTTATAATGATTTAATCAAATGTGGGTTTAGTTTTCTTATGTAACAAGAAAGTTCAAAGGTTGGCAGTTTGGGGCTAGTATGGTGGCTCCACCTTGTTCTCAGAAATTCAGGCCATCTCACTTTTTCCTCAGCCATATTTAATCTTCAGCTTTCTCTCTCATGCTTGGTGGGCTCTTAGTGATAGGATAGCTAGTTCATCTTCTTCATTACATGTACCTCTCAGTAATGGCAAAAGGCTAGAGGTGCTTGATAGGTGAGTCTTCCCACTCTCAAAAGTCCCTTTCAAAGGCTTTATTCAATTATATATATATAATTATATAAGGTTATATATATTGTGTATAATTAAATAATCTTGGAAGATATTTAGTTATCTCCTTAGATTCTTCTTGGTGGTGACAGTTTCTCAGACTTCCCTTGTTTTGTTTTGTTTTTATTTTTGTTTTTTCTCACCTCAATATCTATAACATTAATAATATATATATATATATATATATTCTAACTAGATACCCCCAGTTAGAATAAGGGCTAAGAAAGCTAGACACATCACACCCTATACAAAATCAGGCCTCTGGCTCAAATGGGAGAAAGAATGAATATTGAGTTGATAACTAGCAGTGGTTTAAACTTAGAGAAGTCAGAGGGAGAGTTGGGGAAAACTTCCAGGTTAAAGTATCATAGGAGCTGAGTCGTGAATGATGATAGACAACGTGAGAAAAATAAAGGTAGTCTGGGATGAAAGAATTGACAAGCAAAGGCACCGAGGCATGACAGTATTTTTACCTGGCAAAATATATCTGTGATATTTACTAGAATTTGATTTTTTTCTTTGCAGGGATATGAACGCTCATTTATTCACAAGATCAAACACAAACATATCCTGGCTAAGAACTATTTTTCTCAGGTTCCAGTGCTGGCTTCATTTATACTTGATGATGGTGAAATTGATGAGATCAGATGGAAGTATCACTCAGACACAACACCTAAGATTATAGAATCCCAGAGGCCTCCTCATTAGGTGATCCAGGAGTATTTGTTTGATGATCGGCATTTTGTTCACTGCTAATAGGGTAATACAGAGGTCACAGAGTATGGAAATGGAATTTAATCTGTTTATTGATTTTGTTTTTTGTTTTTCATAGTATTTTGAGTTATATAAAGAGAAAACATTTCTATATAAGTAAGTATTCTTTGTTAGGAAGTTGGTGCTAAATTGAAATGCAATTTTGTTACTGAAATTAATATTTTGGGGTAAAGAAAACATTTTAAAATGTGTTTTCACATTAAATTTTTTAAATTTTTTCAAGTATATTAGAGTTAAAATCTAACAAACAGCCAAATAAAAACTAGACAACTTTCAAGTTATTTATTTTAGATAGAATGTAGTTATAGGAAGCTAATCAGTATGTGGAGGGGAGGAAACATTATAAAGTGCTCTTTCTTGAAAACTTCTTTAAGTAGGATAAAAAAATTTATATTTTAGTATAGGCATTTGAATCTTTGCAGTTTATCGTCTGCTTTCACCTTCCATCCTTCTCATAATCCCAATAAAACAACACTTGAAACTATTTATAAATAAACAAAAAACCTTCATTCTGGGTAAACAATGGAGCTATTAGCATATGCAAGAAAAACTCCCTGTGGGCAATGGTGAAACTATAAGAAGAATAAACTGGTTAAATAAACCATAACAACGCCCTTCTCCAATAAACCAAAGGAGTGACCTTGACCACATATAAGTTAGGGACCTACAGTGATGAACAATGGTTTGCCAGTCAGTCTTAACAGGAAATGGATGGCACACTCGAAATAGCTTAAGCCAAGGAGAGTTTATTTACAAAGGGCCTTATTATAAGGTGTGGGTAGTGTGTAGGGAAACTAAAAGAATAGTGCAGGAACCCAGGGCTAGTATCAGACAGGCTATCTCTCCCTTTAGTCTCAAATGAACTTGGGGAGAAAGTCTGAGAACCCAGGAAGAGTGTAAAGAAGATAACTGAAAGGATCAATGACCAGCTGTAAAGGGAACGGCCAGGCATAGGGGAATCTCATGAACTAGAGAAATATACAATTTCATACTTCTTCCTTTCTCCAATGTCCTGCTTGGGTTTCCCGCTGGCCAAACCCAAAAGGAAAGCAGAAGGGGTAGGAGTCAGTTGACATAATTTTTAGGGCTTCAAGGCAAAGAGCAGAGTATGTAAGGGGAAGAGTAGATCTGGAGGGCTAAATAGAAAGTATCCAAATGGAGAAAGAATTAAAAGTGAACATCTATAATCAAATAGCAATATTTTACTCACTATCACACACAACATAGTTATATATACATAAAACATATGATTTTTCTCCTAATTCCAATCAGCAATTAATGAGGCTCTTCTCTCAAGTTTAGTTATCCAGTTATCAAGTTTAGTTATCAAGAACTTTTAAATATTTGTTCTATATAAATATTTGACAACATTTCAGCCACACATTTTGTAGGATAGCTAAAATTTTTCTTTACTTAGCCAGAGCACAGCACATGGCAGTTTTTAAGAAAGTAAACATCAGGGCGGGGGGAGGAGCCAAGATGGCCGAATAGGAACAGCTCCGGTCTACAGCTCCCAGCGTGAGCGACGCAGAAGATGGGTGATTTCTGCATTTCCATCTGAGGTACCGGGTTCATCTCACTAGGGAGTGCCAGACAGTGGGCGCAGGTTAGTGGGTGCGCGCACCGTGCACGAGCCGAAGCAGGGCGAGGCATTGCCTCGCTCGGGAAGCACAAGGGGTCAGGGAGTTCCCTTTCCTAGTCAAAGAAAGGGGTGACAGACAGCACCTGGAAAATCGGGTCACTCCCACCCAAATATGCGCTTTTCCGACAGGCTTAAAAAATGGCGCACCAGGAGATTATATCCCGCACCTGGCTCGGAGGGTCCTATGCCCACGGAGTCTCACTGATTGCTAGCACAGCAGACTGAGATCAAACTGCAAGGTGGCACCGAGGCTGGGGGAGGGGCGCCCGCCATTGCCCAGGCTTGCTTAGGTAAACAAAGCAATCTGGAAGCTCAAACTGGGTGGAGCCCACCACAGCTCAAGGAGGCCTGCCTGCCTCTGTAGGCTCCACCTCTGGGGGAAGGGCACAGACAAACAAAAAGACAGCAGTAACCTCTGCAGACTTAAATGTCCCTGTCTGACAGCTTTGAAGAGAGCAGTGGTTCTCCCAGCACACAGCTGGAGATCTGAGAACGGGCAGACTGCCTCCTCAAGTGGGTCCCTGACCCCTGACTCCCGAGCAGCCTAACTGGGAGGCATCCCCCAGCAGGGGCAGACTGACACCTCACACGGCCGGGTACTCCAACAGACCTGCAGCCGAGAGTCCTGTCTGTTCGAAGGAAAACTAACAAACAGAAAGGACATCCACACCAAAAACCCATCTGTACATCACCATCATCAAAGACCAAAAGTAGATAAAGCCACAAAGATGGGGAAAAAACAGAGCAGAAAAACTGGAAACTCTAAAAAGCAGAGCGCCTCTCCTCTTCCAAAGGAACGCAGTTCCTCACCAGCAACAGAACAAAGCTGGATGGAGAATGACTTTGACGAGCTGAGAGAAGAAGGCTTCAGACAATCAAATTACTCCGAGCTATGGGAGGACATTCAAACCAAAGGCAAAGAAGTTGAAAACTTTGAAAAAAATTTAGAAGAATGTATAACTAGAATAACCAATACAGAGAAGTGCTTAAAGGAGCTGATGGAGCTGAAAACCAAGGCTCGAGAACTACGTGAAGAATGCAGAAGCCTCAGGAGCCGATGCGATTAACTGGAAGAAAGGGTATCAGCGATAGAAGATGAAATGAATGAAATGAAGCGAGAAGGGAAGTTTAGAGAAAAAAGAATAAAAAGAAACAAAGCCTCCAAGAAATATGGGACCATGTGAAAAGACCAAATCTACGTCTGATTGGTGTACCTGAAAGTGACGGGGAGAACTGAACCAAGTTGGAAAACACTCTGCAGGATATTATCCAGGAGAACTTCCCCAATCTAGCAAGGCAGGCCAACGTTCAGATTCAGGAAATACAGAGAATGCCACAAAGATACTCCTCGAGAAGAGCAACTCCAAGACACATAATTGTCAGATTCACCAAAGTTGAAATGAAGGAAAAAATGTTAAGGGCAGCCAGAGAGAAAGGTTGGGTTACCCTCAAAGGGAAGCCCATCAGACTAACAGCGGATCTCTCAGCAGAAACTCTACAAGCCAGAAGAGAGTGGGGGCCAATATTCAACATTCTTAAAGAAAAGAATTTTCAAAACAGAATTTCATATCCAGCCAAACTAAGCTTCATAAGTGAAGGAGAAATAAAATACTTTACAGACAAGCAAATGCTGAGAGATTTTGTCACCACCAGGCCTGCACTAAAAGAGCTCCTGAAGGAAGTGCTAAACATGGAAAGGAACAATTGGTACCAGCCGCTGCAAAATCATGCCAAAATGTAAAGACCATCGAGACTAGGAAGAAACTGCATCAACTAACGAGCAAAATAACCAGCTAACATCATCATGACAGGATCAAATTCACACATAGCAATATTAACTTTAAATGTAAATGGACTAAATTCTCCAATTAAAAGACACAGACTGGCAAATTGGATAAAGAGTCAAGACCCATCAGTGTGCTGTATTCAGGAAACCCATCTCACGTGCAGAGACACACATAGGCTCAAAATAAAAGGATGGAGGAAGATCTACCAAGCCAATGGAAAACAAAAAAAGGCAGGGGTTGCAATCCTAGTCTCTGATAAAACAGACTTTAAACCAACAAAGATCAAAAGAGACAAAGAAGGCCATTACATAATGGTAAAGGGATCAATTCAACAAGAAGAGCTAACTATCCTAAATATATATGCACCCAATACAGGAGCACCCAGATTCATAAAGCAAGTCCTGAGTGACCTACAAAGAGACTTAGACTCCCACCCATTAATAATAGGGGACTTTAACACTCCACTGTCAAGATTAGACAGATCAACGAGACAGAAAGTCAACAAGGATACCCAGGAATTGAACTCAGCTCTGCACCAAGCAGACCTAATAGACATCTACAGAACTCTCCACCCCAAATCAACAGAATATACATTTTTTTCAGCACCACACCACCCCTATTCCAAAATTGACCACATACTTGGAAGTAAAGCTCTCCTCAGCAAATGTAAAAGAACAGATATTATAACAAACTATCTCTCAGACCACAGTGCAATCAAACTAGAACTCAGGATTAAGAATCTCACTCAAAACCGCTCAACTACATGGAAACTGAACAACCTGCTCCTGAATGACTACTGGGTACATAACGAAATGAAGGCAGAAATAAAGATGTTCTTTGAAACCACCGAGAACAAAGACACAACATACCAGAATCTCTGGGACGCATTCAAAGCAGTGTGTAGAGGGAAATTTATAGCACTAAATGCCCACAAGAGACAGCAGGAAAGATCCAAAATTGACACCCTAACATCACAATTAAAAGAACTTGAAAAGCAAGAGCAAACACATTCAAAAGCTAGCAGAAGGCAAGAAATAACTAAAATCAGAGCAGAACTGAAGGAAATAGAGATACAAAAAACCCTTCAAAAAAGTAATGAATCCAGGAGCTGGTTTTTTGAAAGGATGAACAAAATTGATAAACCGCTAGCAAGATGAATAAAGAAAAAAAGAGAGAAGAATCAAATAGATGCAATAAAAAATGATAAAGGGGATATCACCACCGATCACACAGAAATACAAACTACCATCAGAGATTACTACAAACACCTCTACACAAATAAACTAGAAAATCTAGAAGAAATGGATAAATTCCTCAACACATACACTCTCCCAAGACTAAACCAGGAAGAAGTTGAATCTCTGAATAGACCAATAACAGGAGCTGAAATTGTGGCAATAATCAATAGCTTACCAACCAAAAAGAGTGCAGGACCAGATGGATTCACAGCCAAATTCTACCAGAGGTACAAGGAGGAACTGGTACCATTCCTTCTGAAACTATTCCAATCAATAGAAAAAGAGGGAATCCTCCCTAACTCATTTTATGAGGCCAGCATCATCCTGATACCAAAGCCAGGCAGAGACACAACCAAAAAAGAGAATTTTAGGCCAATATCCTTGATGAACATTGATGCAAAAATCCTCAATAAAATACTGGCAAACCGAATCCAGCAGCACATCAAAAAGCTTATCCACCATGATCAAGTGGGCTTCATCCCTGGGATGCAAGGCTGGTTCAATATATGCAAATCAATAAATGTAATCCACCATATAAACAGAACCAAAGACAAAAACCACATGATTATCTCAATAGATGCAGAAAAGGCCTTTGACAAAATTCAACAACCTTCATGCTAAAAACTCTCAATAAATTAGGTATTGATGGGATGTATCTGAAAATAATAAGAGCTATCTATGACAAACCCACAGCCAATATCATACTGAATGGGCCAAAACTGGAAGCATTCCCTTTGAAAACTGGCACAAGACAGGGATGCCCTCTCTCACCACTCCTATTCAACATAGTGTTGGAAGTTCTGGCCAGGGCAATTAGGCAGGAGAAGGAAATAAAGGCTATTCAATTAGGAAAAGAGGAAATCAAATTGTCCCTGTTTGCAGACGACATGATTGTATATCTAGAAAACCCCATTGTCTCAGCCCAAACTCTCCTTAAGCTGATAAGCAACTTCAGCAAAGTCTCAGGATACAAAGTCAATGTACAAAAATCACAAGCATTCTTATACACCAACAACAGACAAACAGAGAGCCAAATCATGAGTGAACTCCCATTCACAATTGCTTCAAAGAGAATAAAATACCTAGGAATCCAACTTACAAGGGATGTGAAGGACCTCTTCAAGGAGAACTACAAACCACTGCTCAAGGAAATAAAAGAGGATACAAACAAATGGAAGAACATTCCATGCTCATGGGTAGGAAGAATCAATATCGTGAAAATGGCCATACTGCCCAAGGTAATTTACAGATTCAATGCCATCCCCATCAAGCTACCAATGACTTTCTTCACAGAATTGGAAACACTACTTTAAAGTTCATATGGAACCAAAAAAGAGCCCTCATCGCCACGTCAATCCTAAGCCAAAAGAACAAAGCTGGAGGCATGACACTACCTGACTTCAAACTATACTACAAGGCTACAGTAACCAAAACAGCATGGTACTGGTACCAAAACAGAGATATAGACCAATGGAACAGAACAGAGCCCTCAGAAATAACGCTCTGTATCTACAACTATCTGATCTTTGACAAGCCTGAGAAAAACAAGCAATGGGGAAAGGATTCCCTATTTTATAAATGGTGCTGGGAAAACTGGCTAGCCATATGTAGACAGCTGAGATTGGATCCCTTCCTTACACCTTATACAAAAATCAATTCAAGATGGATTAAAGACTTAAACTTTAGACCTAAAACCATAAAAACCCTAGAAGAAAACCTAGGCATTACCATTCAGGACATAGGCATGGGCAAGGACTTCATGTCTAAAACACTAAAAGCAATGGCAACAAAAGCCAAAATTGACAAATGGGATCTAATTAAACTAAAGAGCTTCTGCACAGCAAAAGAAACCATCATCAGAGTGAACAGGCAACCTACAAAATGGGAGAAAATTTTTGCAACCTACTCATCTGACAAAGGGTTAATATCCAGAATCTACAATGAACTCAAACAAATTTACAAGAAAAAAACAAACAACCCCATCAAAAAGTGGGCCAAGGACATGAACACACACTTCTCAAAAGAAGACATTTATGCAGCCAAAAAACACATGAAAAAATGCTCACCATCACTGGCCATCAGAGAAATGCAAATCAAAACCACAATGAGATACCATCTCACACCACTTAGAATGGCAATCATTAAAAAGTCAGGAAACAACAGGTGCTGGAGAGGATGTGGAGAAATAGGAACACTTTTACACTGTTGGTGGGACTGTAAACTAGTTCAACCATTGTGGAAGTCAGTGTGGCGATTCCTCAGGGATCTAGAACTAGAAATACCATTTGACCCAGCCATCCCATTACTGGGTATAATACCCAAAGGACTATAAATCATGTTGCTATAAAGACACATGCACACATATGTTTATTGCGGCACTATTCACAATAGCAAAGACTTGGAACCAACCCAAATGTCCAACAATGATAGACTGGATTAAGAAAATGTGGCACATATACACCATGGAATACTATGCAGCCATAAATAATGATGAGTTCATGTCCTTTGTAGGGACATGGATGAAATTGGAAATCATCATTCTCAGTAAACTATCGCAAGAACAAAAAACCAAACACCGCATATTCTCACTCATAGGTCGGAATTGAACAATGAGAACACATGGACACAGGAAAGGGAACATCACACTCTGGGGACTGTTGTGGGGTGGGGGGAGGGGGGAGGGATAGCATTGGGAGATATACCTAATGCTAGATGAAGAGTTAGTGGGTGCAGCACACCAGCATGTCACATGTATACATATGTAACTAACCTGCACATTGTGCACATGTACCCTAAAACTTAAAGTATAATAATAATAATAATAAAAAGTAAACATCAAGGAGGAAATTGCCATAATGTAGTCATTTTCAAGGTCTCATAGACAATTCTGGGAACTCTCTAAACAATAAATTACAGATGGGACTAGATTGGGGACCATTCTGATTACTGATAAACTGGCAGCAATTTAACACAGACAAATGAATGTTTACACTGGAATGTAAATGGCTAGATTTTTTGTAAGACACTTTAGGAGAATCCCATAGCTCAGAGAAGAAAGGGTTGGGGAGGGAGGCAGTGAGAAGAAAATAGCCAGAGAGGGGGGAATAAAGGACTTTAGAATTCCCCAGTTGACCTAGGGGTGAAACAACTGGAATGGAAGACTTATGGAGTAAAATGGAGAGGGGAGGACAGGAAATTTGAAGTCTGAAAGAAAGAGATGAGGGTATGTATTCCCTTGGTTTCTCCTATCTGCTTTTTGGTCTGTTGTCAGTGGCTGCAATTCTCTACATAAAACCACGGCTCTGGTTGAGTGGTAATCCCTCTTGCACCATGACTGTCTCTGAATTTTGAGAGTCATTCTTTCCTTTTCCTCTTTCGGCTTACACATGAAAATGGCTTCCTTTTGTGTAGCTAGGTTAAGATGCTTTATTTTTCTTATTGATTTTGTCAGGGTCCTCTCCATTGTAAAGAATTATTTTATTAAATACTTCTTAAATTAAACAGTTTGAGTGTGCCAACAGATTTCTGCTGGACCCTGACCCAAGCAGTAATTGGTACCAGGAATGATCTCAGGAAACTGAGCTTAAAATGGAATCCTAGGGTTGGGTTACTCCTACATTTGAACAGCATATGGATAACCTCCTTACCAGGTGAATGGAATCATTATTCCAGATAATGGAATAATCTGCAGCAAGTGGTAGCATCATGATTACTCACATTATCACCAATGGTGGCATAGAATGGGGTGCAGATTGAGGGGGAAAGCATATGGAGATCCAACGGCTGAGGCAATTTGTCCCTTTGATGACAAAAATTGTGGGATAGGATGGGTGTATTTTACACTAGAGAGGGTCCATAGAGAAAGGGATAAATTGAAAGTCTCAAATGTCCAACTCAAGGCCCAGATAGATATTCAGAAAGTCTTTATGACAAAATTCCATATCTCCTGTCTTATGCTATACAATATTGTGCCTATAGTTAACAATGCTGTATTTTACACTTAAAAATATGTTTAAAGGGCACATGTGAGTGAGGATTAAGTCTGGAGCCTAATTAAACTTTGCAGAGCTGTATTGTCAATTAAATGTCAACTCTTATTAGATCTTTTGCTAAGGTAAGAATACTAGTGAGGAAGAAAAAGGTGTGTTCTGGTATGAGTTAGCTTGAACACTGGAAGACCTGCAGGATCTTGCACTATTTTATAAAGAGCCAGGGGAGCATGTGTAAGAGCATAGTCTAAGGGTATTAGGTGATTTTGAAAGGATAAAGATTATGTCAACCCAAATTTGTGTTTCTGCCTAGAATTCAGGATTTAATGTGTTGCCTTAAAGTGCTGAGAATTGCTAGATGTGTTAACTGATGCCTGGACTCAAAAGTGGCCTATACCAATGAGTTTGAAATGCCAGCATTTCCCTGGAAAACATTACTCAGGACGATGGGTTGTTGGAATAGATCTACTTATTATATGCCACCTTCTCAGACACCTCCTATAAATAAATACCTGTACCCCATAGGAGAGGAAAATCCCTAGAAGCCCTATGGACAAAATAACAAATCACAACAAATGATGCTGGGGTTGTGGAGAAATTGGAACCTTTGAACACTGTTGGTGAAAATGCAAAATGGTGCAGCTACTATAGAAAACAGTTGTGTGGCCGGGCACGGTGGCTCATGCCTGTGATCCCAGCGCTTGGGGAGGCCAAGGTGGGAGGATCACAAGGTCAAGAGATCGAGACCGTCCTGGCCAACATGGTAAAACCCTGTCTTTACTAAAAATACAAAAAAAAAAAAAAAAAAAAAAAAGAAGAAAAAGAAAAAAAAATCCTGGGCATGTTGGCACATACCTGTAGTCCCAGCAACTCGGGAGGCTGAGGCAGGAGGATCGCTTGAATCCGGGAGGCGGAGATTGCAGTGACCAAGATTGCGCCACTGCACTCCAGCCTGGTGACAGAGCGAAACACCATCTCAAAAAAAAAAAAAAATTTTTATGGAGGTTCCTCAAAAATTACAAGTAGAATTACCATATGATTCAGCAATTCTATTTCTGGGTATTTATCCAAAAGAATTGAAATAAAGATCACAAAGAGGTACCAGCACTGCCATGCTTACTGCAGCACTATTCACAATAGCCAAAATTTGGAAAAAACCTGAATGTTCGTCAGTGGATGGATAAAACAAATGATATATGCAATATACATGCAATGGAATACATGCAATGGAATATTATTCAGCCTTAAGAAAAAAGGAAATCCTGTAATATTTGACAACATGCATGAACCTGAAGGATATTATAATAAGTGATATCAGCCTGTCAGAAAGAACAGATACTGTGTGATTCTGTTCATATAAGTATCTAAAATAGTTACACTCATGGAAGCAAAGAATGGAATTGTGATTGTCCGGGGCTGGGAGCAGGGTAGGGCGAAATAGGAGTTGCTATTATCAATGGATATAATATTTCAGTTATGCATGATGAATACATTCTAGAGATCTGTGCGATATTGTGCCTATAGATAACAATGTTGTATTTTACACTTAAAATATGTTAAAAGGGTAGATCTCAAGCTAAATGCTCTTACCATGATAACATTTTAAAAGAAACGAGTCACTATGGATAGAGTGGTTTGATCCTGCAGGGATTTGTAGCAGCTGTTAATTGATCATCATATCCACAGGAATGAAATGGGCAGTTGTAGTAGCTTACTAGGACTGTCATAAAATTGTCACAAACTGGGTGTCTTAAAACAACAGAAATGTGGCTGGGCACAGTGGCTTATGCCTGTAATGCCAGCACTCTGGGAGGCCGAGGCAGGTGGATCACTTGAGGTTGGGAGTTCAAGACCAGCCTGGCCAACATGATGAAAACCCATCTCTACTAAAAATACAAAAATTGGCCAGGCGTGGTGGCAGGTGCCTGTAACTGCAGCTACTCGGGAGGCTGAGGCATGAGAATCGCTTGAACCTGAGAGGCGGAGGTTGCAGTGAGCCGAGGAGATGGCACCACTGCACTCCAGCCTGAGTGAAAGAGCAAGACTGTCTCAAAAAAAAAAAAAAAATACCAGAAATGTATTCTCTTAACAGTACTGGAGGCAAGAAGTCTGAAATCAAGGTGTCAGCAGAACTGCTCTTTTTCTGGAATCTTTATGGGAAAATCCTTCTTTGTCTCAGCTTCTGGTGCCTTCTAGCATTTATTGGCTTCCTTGACCGTATCACTCTAATCTCTGCTTCTGTGGTCACGTTGCCTTCTCCTTTTCATGTATCTATGTCTTCTGCCTAAGAACACTTGTCATTGGACTTAGGGCCCACTGGCTAACAATACAGGATGATTTAAGACCCTCAATTTCTTTATAACTGCAAATACCCTTTGTCCAAAGTAAGGTCACATTCACAGGTTCCAGGTATTGGGACATGGACATATCTAAAAAGAGGCCACCATTCAACCTACTACAGCAGCCTACTATGGTTCTGTTTGACATACATAAACAGAGAAATTTCAACTCTGGAGGACAGAGAAAATTTTACTCAAGGTGCTGTAATGGGGAATATTTTATAGAGTGTGTGTATGTGTTTTATAGAGTTCTCAGACTTGAGCCATTTCACAGACCTAGAGCCTCTTGATGGAAAAAGAGGCTGTCTATCTTTAAGGAATGACCCCCCTCTACACACTTACAAATGGTTACCATGAATGTTTCTTTAAGTCATCTCTAGTGGGACCTTGGCCATTTTTCGGGGGACAGTGGCCTGGGGAGAAGCAAACACCCAGACCTTCCAAGGGTTCTTAGATACTGGCTCTGAAATGACTCAGGTCCAGAGATTCAAAACATCACTGGAGCCCACTGATCAAAGTGAGAGTCTTTGATGACTAGGTATTTGATTCTTGGACTAAATTTATCCAGTAATAAGTGCATTGCAAACCATAGACTCATTATGTTCATTTGTCCAATCCCAGTATATAAAGACAGATATATATATATATACACTTAGTAACTGGCAGTATTTCATACATAGGTTTTCTGATCTATGCAGTGAGGATTATTATAGTAGGAAAGGTCAAATGAAAGCCCCTGAAACTGTACTCCAATCCTTTCCTTCCCCAGAAAGAACAACAAAAAACAATACTGTATCCATAAGAGAATTGATGCCATCAAATACTGGAAAGATAATGATTCTTATCATGTTTCCATTTAATTACCCTTTAGGCTGGTGCAAATTTTATTCAAGTTGTAAAGCTGTGGATTATCATAAAGTTAATCAGAGGATGATACCAATTGCAGCTATGGTTACAGATGTCTTGTCTTTATTGGAGCAAGTCTATGTATCTCCACCTCTTTGCATATATCTATTGACCTATTAAATGTTTTCAACTCCCACTAGGAAAATATATAATATGTATTTAGTCTTCATGAGTCAGGGACAGCAGTAAGTCTTCACCATCTTACCTCAAGTCTCTGTCAATGTTCCTGTTCTCCCTCATAATGCAGCAGGGTCTTGACTGTCTTGATATTCCACAGAATGTCATGCTGCTCCATTACATGGTTGATATTTGCAAATTGGACCTGGCAAGCCTGAAGTAGCAAGCATCCTTTGTGCCTTAGTAACACATCTGCATGCCAGCGGGTGGGAGATGAATCCCAATTACTAAGGAGAAATCATGGTGATGCTATACAATGGGGGCCAAGGAGAACTATGTTTGGAATCCAAAGGATTCTCTGGGGGCTTTTTAATACTTGTTTTCTTAATAGAAAAGGTCAGTGGAGAACTATAGCAACCAAATAATACATGACTGAGAACTCAGACACTTCAGTGATAAAGATTTTGGTTTCATCCCCATAAAGAATCCTGACCAGCTGGTGTTGTCTGAGGGCAGTGGAAAAAGGAAATCATAGATAACAACTAACGCCCTGTGACCAATTACAGAAATGAGGGCTCTAGTAGCTTTGTGTATTGTCTCTTATTTATTATCTGTAGGTTTTTATCTGTATATGCCAATCAGTTTCCTTTTTCCCATTTCCATTTTATATATAAGTTATTGCAGGTTACATTTAAAATTTATCCTTTAGGTAACAGAATTGAGTCAGACTGTAACTGAATTTTAGAGAGAAATCATATAACTAGTGATGGAATAACTGTTGGGACCGAGTCTCCTAATTTGGAAGAACGGGTAAGAAAATCATCTTTTCTTTGAAGGATAGCTTTTCTTGACAGGTGGAGGCATAGGAAGTTCAAATGTGGGTAGAAGGTTGTATATAGGAGCCAAGAAGCCAGAGGAGTTAGCTGTGCCAATTCTTATTTTTATTGCCTCTCAGCTCCCGTGATGTACTTCTTTGCCCTGCTTGCGATACTGAAGCTGAACCCTGTAAATGTTTCTCCTTTGCCAGCTGGACCATGTTAAGTATTGCTACTGGAGGGAAATGTAAGGAGAATTTAGTGAGGGGCTTATTTTCTTGGTTCCCACGTGCTTTTTTGAATCCTTATTCCATGTGGTGAGCAGTGGGCAGAACACCCAGTGGCACCCCCCCCCTCCAGTGAGTTTTGCCAGCACTTCTGTGTGTGGCTGGAATACCCAGTGGTGGTGTTCACTCTCCCATGAGTTTTGTCAACACCCCAGTGATTAGCTCCCCAGTGAATCTTACCAACAATCTGATGAGCAGTTTCCTGCTCATCAACCCTGGCTTGTGGCATTACAACACACTTCTCTGTCACATCTACACCTTCTCCATCAAGGTCTGATTCTCAGCTTTGGGTAGGGCATGCTTTCAAACTTGTTTCTTCTTTGGGTGATCTGCCTCTACCTTAAAGGTGGACAGATCCCTGCATCTGCTGTTCCTGTATTCTTAAGAGGTCTCTCAGTAGTAGTTAATCCCTTGTTACTAGTCAATAAGTCTTTATATTAAAATTTCCCAGTTCAAATTACAGTGTTGCTTTTAATCTCCTGACTGGACCTTGACAGATACAGGAGAGAATGTTCAGATTTCCTCTCTAAAGTAAGAAACCATTTGCTGTACTTTGTATTACCCACCGTTAAGAAAGAGGCATAATGCTTAGCAGGCTTCTTAGATTCTGGGGGCAACATAAGCCACATTTGGATATGGGGCTTTAAACTATTTATTGAATAAACCTTAAAACTGCCAGTTTTAAGTGAAATAAAGGCACTTCTTCTGCTTGGGCCATGTGACTTAGCAAACCCTATACCTGTAGTATAAGAAATATGCTATTTTCCGCCAAGTGTTCTGATCTTCTTTTGGGTCGTGGTGGAAACTGAATACCCAGTCATGATTCACTAAATGACTGTGTTACTCAAAATGCCCATAGTAAACTGTGAGTTATCAGATCCACACGATAATAGAGTTGACCATGCACAGCATCATTCCTGTAGAGATTATATGAGAATATCCTTTAAGGTCTGGAAGTTACAAGTAAACTTCATGAGGTAGATAGTTCAAACTCCCTTGGTATGTTCTCCTTCTGCTTTTCTATTTACCCCTCAACTAACAACTGTGGATTCTGGCCAGGTGTGGTGGCTCACGCCTGTAATCCCAGCACTTTGGGAGGCCGAGGCGGGTGGATCATTTGAGGTCAGAAGTTTGAAACCAGCCTGGCCAACATGGTGAAACCCTGTCTCTACTAAAAATACAAAAATTAGCAGGGTGTGGTGGCAGGTGCCTGTAGTCCCAGCTACTTGGGTGGCTGAGGCAGGAGAATTGCTTGAACCCTGGAGGCAGAGGTTGCAGTGAATGGAGATCATACCACTGCACTCCAGCCTAGGTGACAGAGACAGACTCCATCTCAAAACAACAACAACAACAACAACAAACAACTATGGACTCATGAAGAGTTCCCTATGACCACTTAAATGAAAGAAAAAAATGAACCAGTTTATAGAAGGATCCGTACAGTATGGTGTCAGAACGTGATCTGGTTGAGAGACAGGTGTGCCCTTATGCTGCCCACTGTATTACAACTCCACTTGAGATGGTCATGGGAGACAGTGATAAAGAGAATTCTATCAGAAGGAAAAATTTCAGGTGGTACATGTTTGTGGGATGAGAGATGGCTGCTAGTATAGATCTACAAAGATCCATAGGAAGCAGCCAAAAAGTTGTTCAACAGAAAAGAGACTTGGGAAGAATAATAACTAAAAAATTGGTGATAAGGAATTCTAGGGGAGCTGCATGTGGATAGGCATGCCCTAGGTAAGTGTGCTCCAGGTGGCGCTGACTGCAGAGGAAACTGTCAGTATTCAAATGGACAAGATGATTCCTTCTGTGGATGTCAGTCAGCTTCTTTTGCTATCCTTTCTGGTGCTTACTCAATGGGTCCATCTACAAAGTGACTGTGACAATATAGATGGAGCTTACTCATGGGCTTAACCACAGAGGTTTTTTTTCACAAAGGCTGCTTTGACTACCACCACTGCTGGGTGTCCAACCTACCAACAGCACAGGCCAATAAAAAGCCACAAAACGATATTATTCCCCAGGAAATCTATCTGGCCATCTGGTGACTGGTTGATTATGTTGGATCCTTTCTGTTACAGAGTGGGCAGACTTGTTTTTTTCTCATGAATATAGATATTTAATAGGCATATGGATTTTTTTTTCTTTTCTTTTCCTTTTTCTTTTCTTTTTTTTTTGAGACGGAGTCTCACACTGTTGCCCAGGCTGGAGTGCAGTGGTGTGATCTTGGCTCACTACAAGCTCTGCCTCCTGGGTTCACACCATTCTCCTGCCTTAGCCTCCTGAGTAGCTGGGACTACAGGCACCTGCCACCATGCCCAGCAAATTTTTTGTATTTTTTTTTTGTATTTTTAGTAGAGATGGGGTTTCACTATGTTAACCAGTATGATCTCAATCTCCTGACCTTGTGATCCGCCCACCTTGGCCTCCCAAAGTGCTGGGATTACAGGTGTGAGCCACCGTGCCCGGCCAACATATGGATTTTTTTCTATGTTTACAGTATTTCTGTCCACACAATCATTTATGTATGCACAGAAAGCCTTACTCATCACTATGGTATTACATATTACATTGTCTTCAATGAAGGTACTCATTTTACAGAGAAGGAAGTGAGACAGTGGATTCATGCTCGCAGAATTCACTGGTTTTACCATGTCTTTATCACCTACATATATATGCCTTGATAAAGTGAAATGAAATAGCCTAGTAAATGGTGAGTTATGGCACTGTCTGGGTGACAACACCCTACGAGGTTAGAGTGCTTTCTGACAGGATGCAGTGTATGCCTAAAATAATTGGCTATGTGCGGTGCTGTCTCCTTCGCAGCCAGAATTCACAGGTTGGGAAATCATGGGTAGAGCTGGCTAATAAATACTGCTGTCTCTCCTATTTTCAGAATGCATGGAACTGGAGACAAAAGGATAAAGCAGAGAGTGACCTCTTTCACTGTTATACCATATAACCTACATAAAGAATTATCATTTCCCATCCCTCAGTTTTGGACTTAATGAACTTGGAGGTCTTAATGTCCAAGGGAGGAATTTCTCCTGGGAACACAGTAATATTTCCACCAAATCAGAATTTGAGACTCACAAAGCAATTATTTAGAGAGTCCAAATAGTTTTTAAGTGTGTCTTCCTAAATGAACAGGCTACAATTTCTACTTTCCATAGATTGAAAGCTACAACGTCAACCAATAGCTGGTTGAAAACACCATTTTCATATTTTTTTGTTATAAGATTATCTCATTCTCATCAATTTTCTAAGTTATAGTCCCTGACAACTCCAAATGATATTCCAGGAATGTACCATGGTGCCCTATTAGATGTGATACACCATATTGCTTTACTGGATCCAAGAGCTGCCTATGGGGATAATAATATGTCATTACATAATGAGCATCATAAAACATCATTTTGGATTCCAAAAACTAACACACACTATATTTTGTAGAAAAGTAATATATATTTCAAAGTGAGACTGTTTCAGAGGGAGACCTGACAAAGAATTGAATCAGGAAAATAGTATGTTAGAGGCTCTTGGCTGGGAGAGAGTTCTGATAATCCTTTTACCAAATTAAATTTAATGCATGGCAGATTAAAAAAACCCAATTCTTATATTAGATACCTCTAATACACATAGAAGACAGATCAAAACATTATTAATGAATTTAAATTTTAAAACACACTTATACTAAATTTTTGCTCTTGATAATTCAGAAGGAAATATTTCTATAAATATTATACATTTATATAATCAGGAAAGGAAAATGTATACTAAACTATGAACCTTTCAAATATGAATAATTTGCAATAATGACAGAGTCAATGTCTGCTTTTCATAGCAACTTGTCAACGGTTGTTATGCTTGTGAAACATAAACGGAATCTGAATTTCTTCACTTTGACATACAATGCAGAATAAATTCCAACATACGCATGCTGTGATTGTTCTCAGATTCTGGAGAGTTGACATTTTTATATCATGTCAAAACAAATTAAGAACATACCAAAACTGAATTCAGAAATGTCTAATTATTGCTGACTCAAGTCACTTAGTGTGAAGATGACTATGAGGGATGCAGAAACAAATAGATCTTGAACAGAGTATAAAAGTTTTTGCACCAGTCAGAAGTCTGTATTTTTCTGGCTCTGACAAAGTAATTTACTGGAGTTGGGTTTTTCATGTCAGTATTGGATTTGTGAATTGAATTAGGTACAGGCACAAGTAATGAAAGAAGGAGATTGGATTATTTCTTCCTAATAGCTTTTCAAATGATTGTTATCATCTATACTTATAAGCCTATCTCTCTTTGGTAATATGCATTTCCACATGCTGGGTTCCCCTCCCCACCCCACCTCCCCCATTATTTTTTTCTACGTTCACTTCCCTGCTTCTGCTTATTCCAATCTTATGCATTTTTCAAGATCAGCCCAATTGTACCTCATTCATTCATTTACTCACTTATTTCAAAACATACTTATTGAGTTTAATATGGGCTGCTTGTTACACCTTGGGGCTACAATGTCAAGTAAGATATTATCCATACCCTTAAGGAACCCACGTAGACAGGCTGACAGTTTTTGTTCCTCTATCTATAAAGTGAGGATGGCAATATTTCAGTAGCAGGATTGTTAAGAATTAGAGTGTATATACCCAAAGGACTATAAATCATGCTGCTATAAAGACACATGCACATGTATGTTTACTGCGGCACTATTCACAATAGCAAAGACTTGGAACCAACCCAAATGTCCAACAATGATAGACTGGATTAAGAAAATGTGGCACATACACACCATGGAATACTATGCAGCCATAAAAAATGATGAGTTCATGTCCTTTGTAGGGACATGGATGAAATTGGAAATCATCATTCTCAGTAAACTATCGCAAGAACAGAAAACCAAACACCGCATATTCTCACTCATAGGTGGGAATTGAACAATGAGAACACATGGACACAGGAAGGGGAACATCACACTCTGGGGACTGTTGTGGGGTGGGGGGAGGGGGAGGGATAGCTTTAGGAGATATACCTAATGCTAAATGACGAGTTAATGGGTGCAGCACACCAGCATGTCACATGTATACATATGTAACCTGCACATTGTGCACATGTACCCTAAAACTTAAAGTATAATAATAATAAAATAAAATAAAAAGAAAACATATGGGACACAGGGAATGTGTAATGTCTTTTAAATGAACAACATTTGCTTGTTTACATTGTTTTGTAAGACAGCATGATTTTTTTTTGTTTCTTTTATTTTATATGCAGTATGTGGGATGAAAACAGGCATAATTAGGTTTGCCTTCTAATGATCGGTCATTTCTCTTAGTGGCCTATGTAGTTATGAACCCTAGAACAGTGACATGACACTGTGGAAATTTGCCCAACAGCCCTTGTAGCCTAATTCCAGTTTAGTATCATCCCTTATCCTTACTGTTTCCTTTTGATGTATATGAAAACTATTGAAAAGAGACAGACCTCTGCTTTATAAAGGTGAAGGTTCCAGGTGTATAAAGTGGGAACAGCTACTGCTGATACTCTGCAGCTATGAATTGCAAGAGTTTATTACAAACTTCCTGTGGCACTTCCTCAGAAAAAACTTCCCCACATTCACAAGAGCTTTATCTGTAAATGGATTGTGCAGTTTCTCTCCTCCCACTGAGCCTGGCTACTGTTTGGCAGCTTCCAGTGATCTTCCTAACCTGCATTTATCTTTCCCAAATTAGAGGCAGCTGGACAATTTTAGGCAGACAACAATTCAGTAATTCTCTCTTTTCTAATTTGTAAAGCCAGTAATTTTCTCAAACTTCAGGAGACTGATTGGCTTGGAAACAAAGAACTGTAATGTGATCTTAAACTTTTCAGGCTTAATTGTTTTACAAATATTCTATAACAATGTGAAAGTTAAAAAAAATCAGTTATTAGAATAAGTAAACACTACATATTGTGATAGCTCTATTCTTTTTACCTGTTTTTAACCTGATATGAATAGAACCAACTGGAGTTGATTTCCCATTGTAAGTAAGAAACTAGTATTTAATTTCTATTATGCAGAGCAAGTAGCCAGGAATGGGACCCTTGAGTTGAAAAAGTACATTTTTAAAAGTTGCTTTAGAATAAAGAATAAGAAATTATCTACCTGCTAAACAAAACTCCAGTTGTTTTGTATTTATATTACAAAGTATATTTTTGTAATTGTTTTCTTTGGAGAAAATTCCAGAGATTATTTTTAGAACAAATTTGATGTCTGCTGTTTTTCCTCTGCTTTTAAATTACATTATTATTTGACCTACCACATCTTGAGGTGCCTTTTTAACCATCTTTTCCACACTCCTTTGGAATAATTCTTAGAGCTAAACTTCATTCTGTAAACAAAAATGTCCATATTGGTTAGGCTTTCTTCATGAAGTGTGGAGTGTGAAGGAAAGCAGCCTTGAGTATTTGATAAGTCATAACAATACTTTGTTTTAAAAACATTAATACACTAATATAAATGCTATGAAAAAATAAAATAGCAAAGTGTTATTCTTTTATTGAAGACATAAATTTGACAACCTATGACAAGACACTCATAAAGAGGATCCCAACCTGTTAGAATGTTTTATTTTCAAGTCTTTTGCTCATTCTTTATTTGGGTTGTTTGTCTTATTACTGAGGTATAAATGACCTTTATATATGCTGGTTATAGGTATTTCGTTAGGTGCATGTATTGTAGATACTGTCTCTTGCAATCTGTGGCTTTCTGTTTAACTTTATTAGTCATGTTTTTCATGAATCACGGTTTTCAATTTGTTAAACCCCAGTTGATAAATTGTTTCTTTCTTAGTCAATGCATCTTATATCCTCTTTAGGAAAATTTTGCCTTCTCCAGGGTTAAGCAGATACTGTGTATATACAGAATTTCTGCTGATACAACCTCCTTTATTTCTGATATTGGTATTTTGTGTTTTTTTCTCTTTTGTTGAGCAAGAAGTTTATCTTGCTGGGGGTTTATCTATTATTATTATTATTATTTTACTTCACAAAAAACAAGCTTCTGATTTGAGATTTTTCTGTTATTTGTTGTCTATCTCATTGATTTATTCTTGTATTTTTACTAATTACTTGATTCCACTTTCTTTGGTTAATTTGCTTAACTTTTTCTAGTTTCTTGAAGTCAAAACTTACATAATTGATTTGAAACCTTTTTCTTATCTCATAAAAACATTTCATGCTATAAATTGTCTTATAAGCAGTGCTTTAGGTATATTCAATAAATATTCAATATAATTTTATTTTGTAAAAAATGCAAAGTAGTCAAGTGCTATTATTTTAGTGAAAGCAATATTTTCCAAGAAAAATACTTAGTCACATATTTTTTATTTATTTGATGCTGCTTATTATGTTCCCAGATTCACACATAAACTAAAGGCACACTTTTTGAGAATGAAAGTTTGAGTCAGGCTTTTATTCATATGTAATTATATATGTAATGCAAATTTAACTTTGGGCATAAAAATGACTTTCTCTAAAATAATTTATAAAGGCATCACACCAGCTGAATTTATTAGATTTTAAAAACTATTCCATCTAAGAAATGAGTGTTTACTCAAGGTAAATTTATTTTATTAATAATAGTTTGCTCATCTATAAAATCCAGATAAATGCTTTTAAATTTTAATATTAAAACACTCTAAGATTGGTGTCTCCTCCCCCCTACTCTCACCATTCTCTGAATTGTTCTGATGCTGCATTGTGGGAGAGGCTAAATATGTCTCAGAAAACTCTATACCTGTTGGAAAAGATCAACTCTATGCCTGGGAAGGTAGTTACAACCAGGAAACAAAATAACACCATCTGTGCAATGATCTGTATTTTCACTTTCCAGCATTACTCAGAAAGGCAAATGCAATCACACTTCACCTGTCCCTAGAAGGAATGCCAATTAGCATTTCTGACTTTAACATACATTACTCACTATATGTTCGTCTCATATACAAATACATTGTCTAGAGTAATGTGGCTAACCTCACAGGTGGCACAGGAAATCAAACTTAAGATTTTATAGTGTTCTCATACATGTTTAGGCAGGAACATATATGCACACCATAAGCTAAAAATCAGAAGGTGTTACTGAAAAACACTGACGTACATTTGAGGAGGCTTCAGTTTTAATGCTCATGTTGTGATTTTGGATAAGTAACTTAATATCTTAATGCGTATAATGAACCATTTGGCCCAGATAATCTCTATGGTGCTTCCCATCACTAGTACTTTAGGTCTACAATAACCATGAGCCACATAGGAATTTCAATAGGCTCCATAGGATAACATCGGAAACATTTTGTCAGTGCTCTTCGATTTGATTCAATTTAGCAAACTATAGCTGATCACTGATCATGTGCCTAGCACTACTTGTACCAACTGGGCTCTAGGAGCAGAATATTTTTGATTTACATATATCTTTAAAATGATATTGAGTAACTTAATTTTTTATTGGTTTCTTTTCACCTTCTGCTCTCAAGTTTTCCAGAATTATATAAATACCATTAATTTTATAGTGTAAATGAATTGTGTTTTAATATTTTTGTTGGTATTCATACCAAAGGTAAAATGTCATAGGCTCTCAGTGCATGATTTTTCTTCTTGAGCAAAGGAAAGTCTTTTACTAAACTTTGCCTTGGACACGACGGTTTCTATGATTGCCAGCCTCTCAGCTATCATTTACCTTTTTAAAAGCTGTGAGAAATTGACTTTGGTCTCTCAGCCTTTAGCAACTGTAATCCCTGTCCCTCCATCACTGTTGGCCATGACCCTGTTCTGGGGCTTTACATAGTAAAATTTGTCAGTTAAAAATCTGTATTTAGATACCAGATTAAAAGTAATAATAATTATTAAACAGATCAGTTTCTCTTCTAATTTTAAGAAGTGTTTCAGGTTAAAATTATTTAATTTTGTATATTTAATTCTAAGTATAATCATAGACCTAGGTAATAATGAAACAACAAATCCATCTATAAATGAATTCAGGTATATACCTTATAGTACATACTTCTCTTTATGCTGGAAAAAATTAAAGTTCTTGAGTTATTCCTAAGAGTGCTATGCATAGCCATTGGTTTGCTGTACACTGGAAGCTACACACCCACAACAAAAAGAATTTGTGTTCCCTCATTTACAAATAATGAGCACTTGAATTGGATCCTCCTGATGGATTTTGTTCTATATATTGCTAAAATCATAAGAATTCTGAAAATAAAATGAATATTATAGTATAGCTAGTTTACCCAACGCCATCAATTTATGGAGATTGAAAACAAAAGGTTAAATGGCATCTTGGTGACATGAGGTATTGGTTGTGACCTGTAATTCAGATTTTCTGTCTCCTACTCCAGTGTTTTGTATTTTTTTTCCATAGGCAAATGTTTATTGAGAACTTATATGCCAGGCATTGATACAGACTGGTAATACAATAATTAGTAACAAGCATGTTCTCTCCTTTCCTGGAGATTGCATTCTAGGGGAGGTGATAATGCAGCCAGAAAAATGGCAATGCTTTGTATAAGGTGTAAGGAAGGGATCCAGTTTCAGCTTTCTACATATGGCTAGCCAGTTTTCCCAGCACCATTTATTAAATAGGGAATCCTTTCCCCATTGCTTGTTTTTCTCAGGTTTGTCAAAGATCAGATAGTTGTAGATACAGAGCGTTATTTCTGAATGCTCTATTCTGTTCCATTGGTCTATATCTCTGTTTTGGTACCAGTACCATGCTGTTTTGGTTACTGTAGCCTTGTAGTATAGTTTGAAGTCAGGTAGTGTCATGCCTCCAGCTTTGTTCTTTTGGCTTAGGATTGACTTGGCGATGAGGGCTCTTTTTTGGTTCCATATGAACTTTAAAGTAGTTTTTTCCAATTCTGTGAAGAAAATCATTGGTAGCTTGATGGGGATGGCATTGAATCTGTAAATTACCTTGGGCAGTATGGCCATTTTCACGATATTGATTCTTCCTACCCATGAGCATGGAATGTTCTTCCATTTGTTTGTATCCTCTTTTATTTCCTTGAGCAGTGGTTTGTAGTTCTCCTTGAAGAGGTCCTTCACATCCCTTGTAAGTTGGATTCCTAGGTATTTTATTCTCTTTGAAGCAATTGTGAATGGGAGTTCACTCATGATTTGGCTCTCTGTTTGTCTGTTGTTGGTGTATAAGAATGCTTGTGATTTTTGTACATTGACTTTGTATCCTGAGACTTTGCTGAAGTTGCTTATCAGCTTAAGGAGAGTTTGGGCTGAGACAATGGGGTTTTCTAGATAACAATCATGTCGTCTGCAAACAGGGACAGTTTGACTTCCTCTTTTCCTAATTGAATAGCCTTTATTTCCTTCTCCTGCCTAATTGCCCTGGCCAGAACTTCCAACACTATGTTGAATAGGAGTGGTGAGAGAGGGCATCCCTGTCTTGTGCCAGTTTTCAAAGGGAATGCTTCCAGTTTTGGCCCATTCAGTATGATATTGGCTGTGGGTTTGTCATAGATAGCTCTTATTATTTTCAGATACGTCCCATCAATACCTAATTTATTGAGAGTTTTTAGCATGAAGTGTTGTTGAATTTTGTCAAAGGCCTTTTCTGCATCTATTGAGATAATCATGTGGTTTTTGTCTTTGGTTCTGTTTATATGGTGGATTACACTTATTGATTTGCGTATATTGAACCAGCCTTGTATCACAGGGATGAAGCCCACTTGATCATGGTGGATAAGCTTTTTGATGTGCTGCTGGATTCGGTTTGCCAGTATTTTATTGAGGATTTTTGCATCAATGTTCATCAAGGATATTGGCCTAAAATTCTCTTTTTTGGTTGTGTCTCTGCCTGGCTTTGGTATCAGGATGATGCTGGCCTCATAAAATGAGTTAGGGAGGATTCTCTCTTTTTCTATTGATTGGAATAGTTTCAGAAGGAATGGTACCAGTTCCTCCTTGTACCTCTGGTAGAATTCGGCTGTGAATCCATCTGGTCCTGGACTCTTTTTGGTTGGTAAGCTATTGATTATTGCCACAATTTCAGCTCCTGTTATTGGTCTATTCAGAGATTCAACTTCTTCCTGGTTTAGTCTTGGGAGAGTGTATGTGTTGAGGAATTTATCCATTTCTTCTAGATTTTCTAGTTTATTTGCATAGAGGTGTTTGTAGTAATCTCTGATGGTAGTTTGTATTTCTGTGTGATTGGTGGTGATATCCCCTTTATCATTTTTTATTGCGTCTATTTGATTCTTCTCTCTTTTTTTCTTTATTAGTCTTGCTAGCGGTCTATCAATTTTGTTGATCCTTTCAAAAAACCAGCTCCTGGATTCGTTAATTTCTTGAAGGGTTTTTTTGTGTCTCTATTTCCTTCAGTTCTGCTCTGATTTTAGTTATTTCTTGCCTTCTGCTAGCTGTTGAATGTGTTTGCTCTTGCTTTTCAAGTTCTTTTAGTTGTGATGTTAGGGTGTCAATTTTGGATCTTTCCTGCTTTCTCTTGTGGGCATTTAGCCCTATAAATTTCCCTCAATTCAAGATGGATTGAAGACTTAAATGTTAGACCTAAAACCATAAAAACCCTAGAGGAAAAAGTAGGCATTACCATTCAGGACATAGGCATGGGCAAGGACTTCATGTCTAAGACAACAAAAGCAATGGCAACAAAAGCCGAAATTGACAAATGGGATCTAATTAAACTAAAGAGCTTCTGCACAGCAAAAGAAACTACCATCAGAGTGAACAGGCAACCTACAAAATGGGAGAAAATCTTCACAACCTACTCAACTGACAAAGGGCTAATATCCAGAATCTACAATGAACTCAAACAAATTTACAAGAAAAAAACAAACAACCCCATCAAAAAGTGGGCCAAGGACATGAACACACACTTCTCAAAAGAAGACATTTATGCAGCCAAAAAACACATGAAAAAATGCTCACCATCACTGGCCATCAGAGAAATGCAAATCAAAACCACAATGAGATATCATCTCACACCAGTTAGAATGGCAATCATTAAAAAGTCAGGAAACAACAGGTGCTGGAGAGGATGTGGAGAAATAGGAACACTTTTACACTGTTGGTGGGACTGTAAACTAGTTCAACCATTGTGGAAGTCAGTGTGGCCATTCCTCAGGGATCTAGAACTAGAAATATCATTTGACCCAGCCATCCCATTACTGGGTATATACCCAAAGGACTAGAAATCATGCTGCTATAAAGACACATGCACACATATGTTTACTGTGGCACTATTCACAATAGCAAAGACTTGGAACCAACCCAAATGTCCAACAATGATAGACTGGATTAAGAAAATGTGGCACATACACACCATGGAATACTATGCAGCCATAAAAAATGATGAGTTCATGTCCTTTGTAGGGACATGGATGAAATTGGAAATCATCATTCTCAGTAAACTATCCCAAGAACAGAAAACCAAACACTGCATAGTCTCACTCAGGTGGGAATTGAACAATGAGAACACATGGACACAGGAAGGGGAACATCACACTCTGGGGACTGTTGTGGGGTGGGGGGGGCGGGGGAGGGATAGCATTGGGAGATATACGTAATGCTAGATGACGAGTTAGTCGGTGCAGCGCACCAGCATGCCACATGTATACATATGTAACTAACCTGCACATTGTGCACATGTACCCTAAAACTTAAAGTATAATAATAAATAAATAAAAATAAAAATAAAAAAAAGGAAAAATGGCAATGCTGGGATTAGAATCTAGTAAGGCAAATGCTATACTGCCTCTCAGCTAATCTGGATTCCTTGAGTTTATTTTTAACTTTTTTTTCCAAGTTAATTTTGGACTTGCAAAAGAGTTGTAAAGATCTACACCAAGTTTGCATGTGCCCTTCTTCCAACTTGTCCAGTGTTAACATCTCAAATAACCATGATACACTCATCCAAACTAAGAAATTAACATGGTTACATATAATAGTATTAACTAAACTACAGACTTAATTTGGATTTCATTATTTTTTCCATTAATGTCTTTTTTTCTGTTCCAAGAGCCAGTCCAGGCTTCCACATTACTTTTAGTGGTCATGTTTCCATAGCCTCCTCCAATCTTAAATAATTTCTCAGACTTTCCTTGTCTTTCATGGCTATTTACACTTTTGCAGAGTATTGCTCATACACTATTTATTAGAAGCAAGATACAAAGTCCATACCACACGTGGAGAGGAGAATTAAGCTCCACCTCCTGGGAAGTATCAGATAATTTATGGAATATGTTAAAGCTACCACAATAGTTAATAAATTTGAGTGCAGAGGAGACACTTGGAAGCTATGCAAATACTCTGTTTGTTCTTAAACTTTGACCCGCTAATGTTAGTATTCATTGGTGGATCTTGCCGATAGCAATTATTATTGATGTTCTAATGATGATTTTCTTTTTCTTCTTTCCTTCTATATTTTTTAATTAAAATTCTTCTGAAGGAGAGTTTTGTTCTTCTCCCCCATTTACTTATTTATTCAATCATTTATTTATATGAGTATGAACTCATAAATATATTTTACTATTATTTTTTGGCTCAGGTTATTCTAGCTTACCTATTGGGAGCTCCTTTTGACATGCGTATGATCTCTTCTCTCTCTCCCTGTCATTAGATCCTTACTTTTTGACACTTTAAAATGCCCCAGACTCATATTTTCTGTACCTCAGCTTCAGAATCAGCCAATTCTCTAAGAAGCTCTGATTCCTTTTACGAATAAGCGTATTTATAAACCAAGATCTGAGTGCTAAGAATGCTTGTTGATGTTTGTCACTGCCTCTAGGCCCTCACATACAACAGAGCTAGAAAATATATGGATGTATGAACCCACGTACACACTTCTAAATTTCTAAATATATCATCCTATAAAAGTAAGGCTGACTTTACACTGATACTTTAGATTTCAGTCCAATATCACAGTGTTCATTTTACTATTCTTTATGTGCTTATTTGTAACTTATTTCTCTGATGCATGTCTGGCTCTCATTGTCTATAACATATTTACAGTGATACATTGCTTAACTATGGGGATTTCATCATTGTACAAACATTGAAGAGTATACTTCCACAAACCTAGATGGCACAGCCTACTACATACCTGGGCTATACAATATAGTGTATTGTTCCTAGATTACAAACCTGTACAGTATGTTACTGTACTGAGTACTGTAGGCAATTATAACACAATGGTAAGCATTTGTGTATCTAAACCTATCTAAACATATGAAAGGTACAGTAAAAATATGGTATAAGAGATAAAAAATGGCACACCAGTATAGGGCACTTCCCATGAATGGAGCTTGCAGGACTGGAAGTTGCTCCGGGTTAGTCAATGAGTGAGTGGTGAGTGAATGAGAAGGTGTAAGGTATCACTATACACTGCTGTATACTTTATATACACTGTACACTTAGGCTAAACTAAATTTATGTAAAATTTATTTCTTCAGTAATAAATTAACCTTAGCTTGCTGTAATATTTTTATTTTATAAACTTATTTTTTAAAACCTTTGGACTCATAATAACCTTTAGCTTAAAACACAAACACATTGTACAGCTGTACAAAAATATTTTCTTCATGTCTTTGTTTTATGAGTTTTTTTCTATTTTAAGTATTTTTGTTTTTTACTTTAAAATTTTTTTTAGTTAAAAACTGAGAAACAAACACACACATTAGCCTAGGCCTACACAGGGTTGAGAATTTCAGTATCAGTCTTCCACTTCCACATCTTGTCTGGCAATCTGTCTATCTATCTATCTATCTATCATCTATCTCTCTGTCTATATATATCATCATCTATCATCTGTCTCTATCTCTAATCTAGGTATCTATCTATACACACACATACACACACAGACTAATACAATTTTTGGTACCAGGAGTAGGGTGCTGTTTCTCACCTATATCTAATTTAGATGAGACTTACACTTTAGAATTGATGCTGGGATGAGTTAAGACCTTTGGGACTGTCATAATGGAATGAATGTTCTTTGCATACAATAAAGACATGAATTTTGAGGGGCCAGGGGTGGAATGCTATGGACTGATTTGTGCCCATACCTACTAATTTGTTATGTGAATCTCTAACCCCTAATATGACTATATTTGGAGGTAAGGCCTATAAGGAGGTAGTTAAGGTTAAATGAGGTCATAATCCTGGAGCCCTAATATAATAGTGCTGATGCCCTTACAATAAGAGGAAGAGACACAAGAGCTTTTTCTCTTCACCATGTAAAAACACAGGGAGAAGGTGGCTGTCTAAAAGCTGGGAAGATAACCCTCACCAGGAATTAATTAGCTGGCATCTTGATCTTAAAGTTCTCAGTCTCTGGAACTGTGAGCTGTGAGAAAATAAATTTCTGTTATTTGAGCCACCTAATCTATGGTATTTTTTTACAGTAACCCTAGCACTATATATATGTGTGTGTGTGTATATTTGTGTGTGTGTGTGTGTATGTCTGTATATATGTGTATACATACATACACATATGAATGCTTATATATATACATAATATACTATAACATATTACATATATATATCAAGTACTAAACTGAGTGTGTGTGTATATTTATATATACACACAAATATATATATATTTATATACACACACACTTAAGTATTTTTTATTTTGTTTTAAAATTTTGTATTTTTTGAGATTCTTGGATTTGTGGTTTGATATCTGTCATTCATTTTGGAAAATTCTTGCCATTATTTTTGTTCATTTTTTATTCTTCTTGGTCTTTGTTGGGTTGGTTTAATTTGAAAGCCTTGTATTAGAGCTCTGAAGTTCTTTCTTCTACTTGTTCGATTTTATTGCTGAGACTTTCCAGTGCATTTCTGCATTGCTCTGTGTCCTTCATTTCTAGAGTTGTTGATTGCCTTTTATTTATGCTGTCTAGTTCACCGGAGACTATTCCATTTATATTCTGTACCATTTTTTAAAAAATTTCTTTGAGTTGGATTTCACCTTTCTCTGGTGCCTCCTTGATTAGATTAATAATCAATCTTCTGAATTGTTTTTCTGGCAAATCAGAGATTTTGTCTTGGTTTCGATCCATTGCTGGTGAGCTAGTGTGATCTTTTGGGGGTGTTAAAGAACCTTGTTTTGTCATATTATCAGAATTGTTTTTCTGCTTCCTTCTCATTTGGGTATACTATGTCAGAAGGAAGATCTGGGATTTGAGGACTGCTGTTCAGATTCTTCTGTCCCATAGGGTGCTCTGTTGATGTGGTATTCTCCACCTTTCCCTAGGGATGGGGGTTCCTGAAAGCCAAACTTCAGTGATTGTTATTTCTTTTCTGGATCTAGCCACCCACCTGAGCTACTGGGCTCTGGGCTGGTACTGGGGCATGTCAGCAAAGAGTCCTGTGATGTGAACCATCTTCAGGTCTCTCAGCTGTGGATACCAGCACCTGATCTGGTGAAAGTAACAGGGGAGTGAAGTGGAATCTGTGAGGGTCCTTGGTTGTATTTTTGTTTAGTGTGCTGGTTTTGTGTTGGTTGGCCTCCAGCCGGGAGGGGTCACCTTCAAGAGCACATCAGCCGCGATTGTATAGGAAAGACAAAAGCTTGACCTAGGGTTGCCTTTGGATAAGTATTCAAGTTTCTCAGGTTGTGGGAAGAGCCAGAGAGCTCCCAGAAGATTATGTCCTTTGTCTTTGGCTACCAGGACGGGTAGAGAAAGAACATCAGGTTGGGGGAGGCATAGGCTGTCTGAGCTCAGAATTAGCCGTGTTGCCTAGGCTGGTCTCACACTCGAGTTCAAGCAATCCATCTGCCTCAGCCTCTCAAAGTGTTGGGATTACAAGTGTGAGCCACCATGCCTGGTTGAAGGCATTCTTTATCTCTGTTACTGTGTTTTTGATTTCTACCATTTCCATTTGGTTCTTTCTTAAAGTTTTGATTTCCCTTCTGAAATTATATATCTGATCTTGCATATTGTCTACCTTTTAATTAGTGCCTTTAATATATGAATCATAGCTATTTTAAATTCCTTGTCTGATAGTTCCAACATCTGTGTCTTATTCTGATTACAATTATTGCCTCTTCTTTTGAGGGTGTGTTTTGTTTGACTTTTCATTTGCCTCATAATATTTTGTTGAAGCTGGACATCTTGTTTAGGATAAATACTGAGGTAAATAGTAAATATTATCACACTTAGAAATAAGGATGTCTTGGCCAGGCGCGGTGGCTCATGCCTGTAATCCCAGCACTTTGGGAGGCCGAGGTGGGCGGATCACGAGGTCAGGAGATCGAGACCATGCTGGCTAACACGGTGAAACCCCGTCCCTACTAAAAATACAAAAAATTAGCCAGGCGTGGTGGCAGGTGCCTGTAGTCCCAGCTACTCGGGAGGCTGAGGCAGGAGAATGGCATGAACCCAGGCGGAGCTTGCAGTGCGCCGAGATCGTGCCGCTGCACTCCAGCCTGGGCGACAGAGCAAGACTCCATCCCAAAAACAAAACAAAACTAAACAAAACAAAAAAAACCAGAAATAAGGGTGTCTTTTCTTCTGCTAGACCTTTGGTTTGGTGAGTTTTGTTAATCTAATGGGGAATTGGGCTGTGTTTGGGGTCTGTTGTTATGGTTACCCTTGGTGTACCATATGCGTCAAGTTCCTCTAGTGGTTAATAGCTTCGAGGCCATTTTCTCAATATCTGCTCCTCCTAGGCTTTGGATCTTCCCTTTTCTTTGCACCTGTGATATAGTATATCTCTTACAGCTATCCTAGATGTATGCAACTGTAACAAGAAAAATCTTAAAAAAAATAAGGTCAAATGAACAAGTTTCCTTTAAGCAATCAGAAAACTGAGGGCAGGTTAACACTTGTTAACCTGGTGGTGGGAAATGAGAAGGGTGTGTTCTGATTAAGCATCAATTTCTGTTAGTGACTGTGGCTTTTGTTTTCAGGAATATGGCTTTCCAAAGTATTCCTGCCCCTCCTCCAGCAGTCATGCTGGGTCTATCAGGTATTCCTATCTGTACCACAAAGGTGGAACTATCTCCTCCATGTTCCGTTCCTCCAGCTATGATGGGTTTCCCTACATGTTCTAAGCTGACATATTTGTTTTTATTGTTGCTTTTCTTTTCCCTATAAATTATGGGGACACCAGGGAGATAGGTCTGGGTGGCATTTCAGCAGTGGCCAAACAGCAACCCAAACAGCACCCCTGGGGAGATTTTTCTGGATTTGTGTCAGTCATTTCTATGTCTGTTGGGTTTATGGAGAAAAGGCTGCAAGAGATTAGGAAGCCTCATATATCTGTGGCCCTCAGGAACTTCACATTGTTATACTAGGCTACACTCATCCTTTTGTAATTCATTAAAAATTTTTAGCTGACCCTTTTACTGGCCTTGTGGTATCTTTTTTTTTTTTTTTTTTTTGAGACGAAGTCTAGCTCTGTCACCCAGGCTGACTTTGGGTGGCAAGATCTCGGCTCACTGCAAGCTCCACCTCCCAGGTTCATGTCATTCTCCTGCCTCAGCCTCCCGAGTAGCTGGGAATACAGGTGCCCACTACCATGCCCGCCTAATTCTTTTGTATTTTTAGTAGAGATGGGGTTTCACTGTGTTAGCCAGGATGGTCTCGATCTCCTGATCTCGTGATCCACCCGCCTGGGCCTCCCAAAGTGCTGGAATTACAGGCGTGAGCCACCACGCCTGGCCCCTGTGGTATCTTATAGCACCTGTTCTAGATAAGCAAATGCTTCTCCCTTCAGGCACCTGTCTCATTCCAAGATTTTAGGTTAGTTCTTTGCCTTGTGCCCTTGGTTGTCTGATTGGTTAAAGGAAACTTGTTAATTTCACATTTTTGTTTTAGATTTTTCCTTTTGCAAGAGTGAGATTAATGCTCTTTCCAGTTCTCTAAATCTCCAAGTCAAAACTGATATAATAGTGATTTGATATTCTTCATGATCGGCTTAACCGAATACCTTTTCAGTAGTATGATGTGTACATGATGTACTTTCTCAATTCTACTTTATTCACAGAATTTTATCCTACTATAGTATACATTTATGCTTGAAAGTCTTTTATTTATCATATATCAAATTTCTCTGCAAAAAAACATTCATATAAACTGGAATTTCAAGTTTTTGGCTATGTCACTTAATTCCTTAAATGCTTGAATTGTATCCCAAAATCATATAGTGTTCTAGTCTCCAAAAATTATTTTAATTTAAACATCAGCTGATGACTCAATTAGGTTCTTCTTTCATTTTTTTTAAAGGCAAAGAATGGAAAGCCACCTGACTCACAACAGGATTCATTACTCAGTCATTATAATAATTTATTTTCCTAATCCTGATAATTAATAAGACTTATCAAATGACTGTTAATTGCAACTATTAGTTTTTCACTTGGAGACACCTTTTTAATCCAATATACCCAGAAAAGTCTGTGAAAATTAAAATATTATTCATTTAAGAACAGCTTTGCCAATACAATATTTTGGTTAAGAATGCTTTTATCTTATCACGTATTTTAAATACCTTTTTTTTCTGAAAAAATAAAACTATAAGATTATGGATTTAACTCATTCAGTTTTCCACAGCTATGGAACATGCCTCTCAGATCTCTTGGTGTCGGAAGCAGACTAGACTGATAGTCCCAGCTGGTACTCTGTGGATCCACCACTGGGCTTGCATAGAGGCTTTACTTCCCTTGAGCTGCTCCCAACCAGTGATGGGTTTAATAATGCTGGCTTGTCCCTGAAGGTATGGGATTCCTCTAAGAGGAAACGTTAGCTCAGGGGTTTCCTTTGCCCTAGCCAAAACTTTCACAGAATTACACTGCTGCCTGAGACTCTTCCTATCCTATAATTCTTTACCACTCATCTTTCACATGTGTCAGACCTACATTGTGGTCTGCAGGCTGTGCTGACATATCTTGCTCCTTCCCCTTTATTGTCTGTAGGATTTTACCCCCAATTAGTCACTTGTGCATCTAACCATGTCTTGGCACATCTTCATGGAAGACCTGAACTAATACAAATTTATGCAAAATGCCTACCATATAATGTAATTATCAAAGCCAGTTCTCTCAGTCAACACAGTCCACCAAACTAGACTTCATTTCTATCAGAAACGTCTGGCTTCCTTTTCCAATTTTCATAAACCTGTTAATATAACTTTTTAAAATGTAATAAAATGCCCAAGATAAATTATTATATCTCATAAAAGATTACTGCAAATAGTCAATTCAAGATTAAAATGATTTAGGAACTAACATAATTAATACTAATATAACTGTGATTTGTGTCTTTGGAAGGTTATAAGAACAAAAAGTTTATGTTCTTATTCATTACTTAATTTTTAGTAATGTATGAGCAGCTGAAACTAATTTTTTTATGAGGTAAAGAGCATGCTAAAAGTCATTGTATTCCTTGAGTAAGTGTCCATGCTTATATTAGACTGTGATGCTCAGCTTTTGGGAATGATTAAAAAATAATTGTGTATGAAAAGTCAGAACTAACTCCATGATATGGTTTGGCTGTGTGCCCTAACCCAAATCTCACCTTGAATTGTATTATAATAATCTCCACGTGTTAAGGGCGGGACCAGGTGTAGATAATTGAATCTTGGGGGGCGTTTCCCCTGTGCTGTTCTTGTGATAGTAAGTTCTCACAAGAGCTGATAGTTTTGTAAGGGGCTTCCCCCTTTGCTTGGGACTCATTCTCTGTCCTGCTGCCCTATGAAAAAAGTTCCTTCTGCCACAGCTGTAAGTTTCCTGAGGCCTCCCCAGTAATGTGGAACTGTCGGTCAATTAAACCTCTTTCCTTTATAAATTACCCAGTCTCAGGTATTTCTTTATTAGCAGCATGAGAACAAACTAATAAGGTAAATTGGTACTGGCAGAGTTGGGTGCTGCTATAAGTATACCCAAAAATGTAGAAGCAACTTTGGAACTGGGTAACAGGCAGAGGAGGTTGGAACAGTTTGGAGGGCTTAGAAGAAGATAGGAAGACATGAGAAAGTTTGGAACTTCCTAGAGACTTGGAGGGCTCATAAGACAGGAATATGTGGGAAAGTTTGCAACTTCCTAGAGACTTGTTGAATGGCTTTGACCAAAATGCTGCTAGTGATATGGACAATGAAGTTCAGGCTGCGGTGGTCTCAGACGGAGATGAGGAACTTGTTGGAAACTGGCAAAAAGTTCACTTTATTATGCTTTATCAAAGAGACTGTTGGCATTTTGCCCCTGCCCTAGAGATCTGTGGAACTTTAAACTTGAGAGAGTTGATTTAGGATATCTGGCAGAAGAAATGTCTAAGCAGCAAAGCATTCAAGAGTTGACAGAGCATAAAAATTGGGAAAATTTGCAGCCTGATGATGCAATAGAAAAGAAACCCCATTTTCTGGGGAGAAAGTCAAGCCGGGTGCAGAAATTTGCATAAATGACATGGAGCCAAATGCTAATCACCAAGGCAATGGGGAAAGTGCCTCCAGGGCAGCAGGCCCTCCCATCACAGGCCTGAAAGCCTGGGAGGGAAAAATGGTTTCCAGGGCAGGGTCCAGTGCTCCCCTGCTGTGTGCCCCGTATCCCAGCACTCTAGCCATGGCTAAAAGGGGCCAAGATACAGCTTAGGTCATTGCTTTAGACAGTACAAGCCCCAAGCTCTGGCAGCGTCCACGTGATTTTGGTTCTGTGGGTTCAGAGAAGACAAGAATTGAGGTTTGGGATCCTCCACCTAGGTATCAAAGGATGTATGGAAAGGCTTGGATGTCCAGGCAGAAGTTTACTGCAGGGATGGAGCCCTCATGGAGGCCCACTGCTAAGGCCATGCTGAAAGGAAATGTGGGGTAAGAGTATTCACACAGAGTCCCTACTGGGGCACTGCCTAGTGGAGCTGTGAGAAGAGGGTCATTGTCCTCCAGACCCCAGCATGATAGATCCACTGACAGCTTGTACCATGTTCCTGGAAAAGTTGCTGGCACTCAGTGTCAGCTGTGTAAGCAGCCAGAGTGGGGCTGTACCCTGCAAAGCCACAGAGGCAGAGTTTTTCATGGCCTTGGGAGCCCACCTCTTGCATCAGCATGCCCTGGATATGAGACACAGAGTCAAAGGAGATCATTTTGGACTTACAATGTGGTGCAGGAATTGGGTAAATATACTCATTCCAAATGGGAGAAATTGGTCAAAACAAATAGCACTTTCAGAGGCTGAGGTGGTCAGACAACCTGAGGTCAGGAGTCCTAGACCAGCCTGGCCAACATGGTGAAACCCTGCCTCTACTAAAAATACAAAAAAATTAGCCAGGTGCAGTGGCAGGTACCTGTAGTCCCAGCTACTCAGGAGGCTGAGGCGGGAGAATGGTGTGAACCCAGGAGGTGGAGCTTGCAGTGAGCTGAGATTGTGCCACTGCACTCTGCCTGGGCAACAGAGCAAGATTCCGTCTCAAAAAAAAAAAAAAAGTTAGCTGGGTGTGGTGGCTCATGCCCACAATCCCAGCTACTCAGGAGACTGAGGCAGGAGAATCACTTGAACCGAGGATGCAGAGGTTGCAGTGAGCAGAGATCGCATGCCATTGCACTCCAGCCTGGGTGACAAGAGTGAAACTCCATCTCAAAAAAAAAAAAAAGATGAAATAAGAATGAATATAGTTGGAATAAGCCTTCATTATATACACATCATATAAAATATATATTTCATTATATATTTTGGATAACATGTTAATTGTATTACCTTTTTATATGCTTTAATTATAGAAAATGTAAATGATTTCACATTAAATTTGCATCTGCAGGTTTTATTTATTCTAGTTAGAATGTTGTGGTACTTCTTGTTCTTTGGTTGTTTGGAGGTGATTTCATTCCAGATAATTATTCCTTCTGATAATGAATGCTGAGAAAAATGGAAAATAAAATGCTCACATTTAAGTTAAAAAAAATCCATTTCAGTCTTTATATATTTTTTGCATTACCTACTTGCTTTGCTTACCCCTTCCTGAGCAATTACTTCTTTGCTAATAGTTTAAGGATTGAGGGTTCAAAATTATAAAGGTAAAATCACCACTTCTTTTGGCCATGGGTCTACAATACATCTGACTTTTGGCCATCCTAAGAAGCTCCAAAATAAACCAAATTCTTCATTCTTACCCCAAATTGATACAAAACTGAAGGCAGGCAGTTTTAATTAAATGGGGTTAAATTACTGTTATTACTCAGTAAAAAGGTTTCCCAATAGCAGTATTTGTAATTTCTCCTTAGCTATTTACCTTGGAAGTTGTTACTCCCCTGGAGAAATGTACTATGGTGAAATTCCTAATTGCTAAAGGTATGACTTTTATTAGGAGAATGATATTGTGAAAAGGGAGATGGATTACAGAATCTACTTGATGCTAGAAAAGAATGTTGAGAGTATGGAAAATTGATTCTTTTAAAACTATTAGTATCCTTGCATTTCTTGAAAGTCTTCCCATGCCCACTGTACCCCAGGGCCATGCATTCTTTAGGTTGAAGATTGCTGACTTTGCTGTCTTTCCTTTTACTGTTGCTGGCCTTTAGCTCCTCTTGTGTAAAAGTTCTGGAGTCAACATTGGCCTAACTTTTGTAGACACTTCAGTTTGTAAATCCATAGTATAGTCAGAGGGGGCAGGAGAGAAGGAAAGAAGAAAGGAGATAAAGACAGGGAAAAAAAGAAAATGAAAAGTATAAGATCATATTATCAGCAAACAGAGACAGTTTGACTTCCTCTTTTTCAATTTGGATTCCCTTTATTTTTTTATCTTTCCTGATTGCTATGGGTAGGACTTCCTGTTTTTCATTTTGATATGTGTGTTTGGATGAGTTATAACTTCCCTTTGAAATTATCGATCAAACTAGTTGTTCCCAAGTAGGAGTCCATTAGAATCACCAAAAGAACTTTAAAAAATGTAGAATCAAGCCATTTTTTAGATCTACTGAATTAAAATCTCTGGGTGTAGAATCCTGGAATATCTAGAGTTACTTGAACAACCTGTTTGTTTGTGTGCATTATTGCACCCTTATCAGATACCTTCAAGGTCCAGGAAATGGGAATACAATGTAGTGACAATGGGAGAGGATGACAGAGAAAGGAAGAAATAAAAAAATTGTCAGGAGTTTAAAAATGAACAAATAATGATAGAACTTACTTTCGTGAGCATATGTGAGAAAGCCAACCAAAAAAAGACCAATATGAATGTAGACCTCCCGTAATTTGTGAGTTTTGAGGGATTTAGATGAGAGAGAGACTTAAATAGGTGTGCAAGGGTGCTGGGGGGTTGGGGCCTGGCAGACCAGGAAGCAGCGCATAGCAGCCAGAATGAGAGAGGGAACTTGGAGGTGAGCTGAGCTACCAGCAAACTTTGTCTAAACATACCGAGACCTAGACAGTCCTGCAGATTCTGCCTCTCCTCTCTTTCAAGTCTCATCCTGGAGAAGTGGGGCACCCAGATCCAGTCCTCCCGTTTCCCTCCAAGCTCTTACTTCTAGTGTCTGTCTCTCTTCTGTCCACTGCCTATCATCTCACAACCTTTCTCTTCTCCTTTCGGGTTTCTGTCTCATAACATTCACCCACTGTGTCTGCACAGCTTTCTATTTCTACAGTGAGCCTTGTTTTTCCCACAATTGTTGGAGGTGAATCTTCTCACCTGCCTCTTAATTGGGGAATAAGGTGGTTCCTGGAAGGAACATTGCAAATAGCCACTGGGCTAGTAACCAAGCGTATTTTCCTACTTTTCGCTCTAAAAGACAAAATATAACAAAAACAAAAACTACTTTCCTATGGGTGAATATAGATTCCAAAATGCTTTCACTAATAGAACCCCAATACCTTCACTTGTTAACCCTGTCCACTGCCTCCTCCCTGTTAGGAAATTTCTGAAATATAACTCACCTCTTTCATGTTACAGACAAGGCCTATGTCCTTCTGTTATGTTTTCAATGAAGATGGAGACCCATCTTTATCATTTGTTTGTACAACATTCTCTCATTTAACGTGTAGAAATTTCAGTTAATTTTTTTTACCAGACATGTATTTCTTATTTCCACAGATGTTATTATAATACATTTTGAAATTTCCTTATATAGGAACATGCCACAGAAATCTTGTTTCACCTTACTCCCTTTAACTCCAGCTTAATTATATGGGAGGTGCCACAGGAAAGTTTTCCCCAATGCCATGCCTGATCTCAGGTGACAAAACACAGGCCACTTGCTATGGGTATATGACTCATGCCTTGTATTCCTTAAGCCCAAGTCAAAATCAGTTCCTCTGTAAATCTCCTTCTTCGAAGCTAGATGTTCATAAAGGATATCTAAACTAATGTGAGGCTGAGTTTTTTTCAGCACAAGTAATTTCTTAAACCTCTTTTTCACTATTCTTTATTCCAGCTATTAAAATTCAAAGCAGCAAACTCTATGAACACTGGATCTATGTGGGCTGGAGGTAAATTTAGGCCTTAATGGAGGATGTCACTCACAAGGCAAGATAATTTAGGGATGGTCTCTTTGTATTTGAATTTTAAAGCACTACACAGGAAGAAAGAAATGTTGCCAGTGTAAATTTATGTATGGATATGGCTTTTGAAAAGTATCTTTAGAATCAACATATGGATCACCAAACTCCTATAATAAGCTTGGGTAATGAAAGATAGCTTATTTTTATTTCAGTTTATTTTTAAAGATAAGTTTATACATCTTAATATCCAAAAGAGCCAAAGTTATATTTTCATGGGAGAAAGACATGTATGATAATCCAAAAGCTTGAAGCCAATTATCTGCTGCCAAACTTAAAGTTACAGGACGATCTCAATTGACCCTCTGGGAATACGATATTAAATAGATAAATTCTAAACAGTGGTCATGATCTGCAAAATTAATGGTTTTCCTCTAATTGTATACTATGTCCTAGATAGGATGACAATAATACTAAAAAGTTAATTTTGACACATTTATGCATAAAGAAAAATGTTAATACATATAGCAAGATGTTAAGGTCATTTATCTTTAGTAATGTGACCAAAAATTAATTTTTATTTATTTCTTTATATATTCCGATTCTCCCCCGTCCACCTTCCATGAGTATGTATTAGTTAAAATTCCAAGGAATTTTCAATAACTTCCCATTTTGGACCTACCAGATGACAATGGCATAGGATTCAAAGGAATACTATTTAAAACATCAACTGGTATAATAATTATCATTAGATTGTTATGATTAATAGACAAATAAATAACAAAATAAAATATAGTGGCTTAAATGAGATAGATGCTTATTTTTCCTTCATCTAACAATTCAGATAGGCAGTCTAGGATTGAAATGGTGGTTCAGCTCCAGACAACCCTTTTGAACATGGACTCTGTACTGTAGCTCTTGTCTCAATGGCCCAAGATGGTAGCTAGAGAGCTAACAATCATGTCCCCGTTTCAGCTAGGGCAATAGAGATAGGGACAAAGAAGAAAGGGGCAAAGGGTAGTCAGCAGCTACCTTGTAAATAAGGTCTGTGTATGTTGCTAAATATTTTCACTTTTGCTTTGTTGTCCAGAGCTTAGCCACAATGGCCAAAGCTAGATGCAAAGGAGCCTGAAAAGTATAAACTTTAATCTCAGACCAAGTGACCCACTAAAAATTGGGGGTCCTAAACTATGAAAGAAGGGGCAAATGGTTATTGAAACACAATTGGTACTGCCTGCCATAAGGCTATAATTTATTTTATTCTATAATCTAATTTATGTACTACACTGCTCTTCAAGTATCTCTACTTTGTGAAGGAATATTGACTATTACAAAGCATTAGTACAAAGGGGCATCTTGAGGGAGATGAGGGATGATGGAACTGTTCTGCTGTAGGGATGATGGAATTTGTACTGGATACATGACTACGGAAAAAGCTACAGAGCTGCACACCACAGAGAGAGAATTTTATAGTATGTAAATAAAAGAGAATTTAATCAGAATATGGAGGAAATTCAAGATGGAAGGTAGACTGTGACATTTTGCCAAAAATAATATCATTTCAACTGTTTAAACATGATACGAAATTTTAGATTTGAACATAAACATGTGCAAGGAGCACAAAGTTTTCAACATTTTTTAGGAGGTATCTAAGTATAAACATTTGAAGTCTTGGCCCAGGCGAGTTGTCTTAACTGCCTTTAGCTCACTAAAAGCACTAATTATTTATTTAGTTAGACTATATGTTTATTTGAGTGGCTTAGGGTTGCTGTTAGAGATTATTTGAAGGGTCAATGCAATCTTAAACCACACCTGGGCCCCAACTGTTGTACTTGGCAGGTAAAATGAATGAGTGAAGTTGAGCAAATATAAAAATAACAACAATGCAAGTGTATTGGTTAATGGCGAGTGGCACCAGGCCTCTGTGTCTGGGGGACAGTATGGCTAAACTGGAATGCACATACTAGACCTAAAGAGAGCAACTGCTACCCAAGGCTTGGGATGGGGGTTGTGGTGGGGGACAAAGATCTGATTTGTCAAGAGAAGCCAGAATTCTATATAACTATGTGAATTCCCCCAGTTTTAAGTGTTGGAAAATAAACATTTATAAAAAGTGTACAGGTCAAGTGAAACACATTCCCTTGTCTTTTTCTTTTCTTTTATCAAGTTTGTGTTCTTCTCTCTTAGTCCTTTTCCTTTTCCATACATCCCTCTGTAGCCAATGTAGAACTGAAGTGTAGATATTTTAAGTATTTGAGTAAAAATTGTATATGCTCCTGTTATTACTTTCAAGAGCAATTCCTAAAGTTAAAAATACTAAACAAACCCAAACCAGGGACATTTGGTTAAGTTTTACTGGCAAATAATCTTCTAATAATCAATCAAATGCATTGATTTAAACAATTCACCATCTCTTTAGCAATAATAACTAATTGAATACTTTCTATGTGTGAAACACCACTTTGTATAGCATTATATAAATTAAATCATTTAATTCTCAAAACAATCCTATGAGGTAGGCTTTATTATTAACTCATTCTGTAGATGAGGAAACTGAGGCTTAATGAGATTAAATTATTTACTAAGGTTACAGAGCTGTGTCTAGAGCCATGTTCTTAAGGATGTCCTATAAGCAAGAGCCCTACAGGACAGAGTTGCCAACAAACAAACAAACAAACAAACAAACCAGAATGCCCAGTTAAATTTGAATATTCATTTGCTGTATTTTTATTTACCAAACCTGGCAACTCTACCATAAGGGTAATGCTTCGGCATTTTTGTCCCAATTCATTTGGCAAAAGGTAGAGAATTGAAGAGCACTTTCACTGGATTGAAACCAGAAAAATTTTTTATATTATGCACGTATTTTTTGTTTGCTTGATTTTGAGACAAGGTCTTGCTCTGCTGCTCAGGCTGGTCTCAAACTCCTGGCCTCAAACGATCCTCCCATGTTGGTCTCTCAAAGAGCTGGGATTATAGGCATGAGCCACCATGCCTGGCCTATTATGCATATATTTTAATAAGCTTTCTTACTCTGTTTCCCTTTTCTTTTCACTCTCAAAAGCTTTAAAGTGTAGTAGAACAAAACCATATAGAACATGGTAAAATTCATTAATGGTGTTCTAATTTTATTTCTCTAATGTCCTCTGTTAAGTGTCTTATGCTTTGAATAAATTTATAAAACATATGCAAGTCCTGTTAACTAAGCAGCCAGGAAACCGAACTCTTAAAGGAAGGTTCATTGTCAAGGAGGACTTCAGGGATGTGTTTCACTTTTATGTGGAATTTATATCTTGTTCTTGGCAAGGCACCAAGGAAAACAAGCTCAGCCTCCAAGGTTAGGGAGGGAGAAGGAGGGAATGAGAGAGAGTATCAGATGAGAAGTGAGGTCATCTAGGAGAAGTTATTTTAGAAGAAAAGCCTCCTCAGTACATGCCAGGGAGCAGCTGTTGGAGCTATGCTGTTGCTTGTGCTGGCCAGGCTGACTTGGATTCCTAGCTCTTTCCTTTTTCTGATGTTAATGCTACTTGCCATGTCATCATTCTAATTTTTATCCTCTCCACCACCTTTTTTCCTTTGGAACTGATCACTTGTTCACTATATGTACCTCCAGGAGACTTCCCTGCAGTTATTATGGGTGACAGTGATTGGGAAGGGAGGATAGGCAGGGGATTTCACAGTTAGTCATTCAACCACAGTTCTGTGATATTTTTATCTTTAGCATATTTTATTCTTGCTACAGTATTTGGAAGTAAATGTCTTCTTTTTTAAAATTTTAGGCTCAAGTTTGATGTGAGTCTATGTAGAGTTTCCTCCTTGAAAATCTCATAAGTATACCAAAAGCATTTCCTATTTGATCCAAAACCCAAAATGATTTGCCAAAGGGCCAATTCCAGGCAAATCAGAACCTGGAAAAGTGATCAAGGCTCCTCTTTACCTTCTCTTTGTATCCTTTCCTCCCCCACTCTCCTAGCACTTCTCTGACCTCAAATACCAGAGTCTGATATCCTAATATTGCATTCTGTTTTCCCACCATGGAACCCCATCTGAGTCTTTACGTCTTTACCTTTTTCTCCTACCCATTGATTCATCTGTTCATTCGATTATTTATTGTTTCATTTTGCAAGTAATGATTGAGTATCTAACATGTACCAGGTTGTTCTAGGTGCTGAGTTACAGCAGCAAATAAAGCAACGGGCTTGCCCCCTCATGTGTATGTGTAAGATAGGAGACAATGTATAGGTGTGTAATATCAATGGATGGGTATGTAATATATAAGTATATAAAATATAAAAATATATATGTATAAGTATATAAAAATAGATAAATACCATTAAGAAAAGGCAATCAAGGTAAGAAGAGAGAAGCTCAGTTAGTTACAGTGATCAGGAAAGACCTTTTTGATGGGGTGAGATTTGAGGAGCAACCCAGCTGAAGCAGAGAAGCAAGCCAGACAGATACCTGGGGGTGGAGAGTTCTAGGCAGAGGGAACAGCAAGAGTCGCAACCTTAAAGTTGGAACAGCAAGAAAGCCAGTATGGGAGGAGATGAGATCCAAATGGTAGCCAGGAGCCAGATCACACAGGGGCCCTGTAGGGACTTTGGGATTCCTTTGGTGTGAAGGGAAGCCATTGAGGGGTTTTGGATGCAGGAAAGTAACAAGGTGAAATGGATATTGTGAAAAACCTTTCAATAATATTTCCCACAGAGAGTAGAATGGTGGTTGCCAGAGGCTGGGGGCAGGAGGAGTGTGTGGCAGAAAATGGGGAGATGTTTATCAAAGGGGACAAAGTTTCAGTTAGAATCAATAAGTTCTGGAGACCTATGAATCTATTGTACAGCATGGTGACTATAATTAATAATAACGTATATATGAAAATTGCTGAGAGATCTTACATGTTCTCAATACACAAAAAATGATAAGGAGGTGATAGATATATTAAATAGCTTGATTTAATTATTTCACAGTATACATATATCAAAACATCACATTGTATACTGTAAATACATAAATATATACAATTAAAATACTGAAATGATACTGAAAATAATTATCTTTTCCTACTATTTGCATTAAAAACTAAAGATCACTGTGTAAAAACAAAAGAGAAAGAGAGAAATACCAGTCACTCCAGAGCCTTTCACACTGAAAGAAAACAGTATTTCCCAAACTCGTCATATTTTTTTTGGTGCATCTGTAGCTTTGCACATACTGTTTCTTCTGCCCTCTAATGTTCTCCCTCACTTCATCTTTATGCCCCATTGTATTTTGCATATACAATATATCTGTTATATCACATTATAATATGGCCTGAAGTTGCAGATGAGGCCATGGTGTCCTCAGGCATTATCCACAGAAGTTAGAATAATGCATATAGCCTATCCCTTATGAAACTGCTGAATGGATGAATAAATGATTTATTTCATCTACTTGTTTCACTAAGAAGTAAATTTCCACATTAGAAAATTCCTTCAACTCTGAAGATTAGCTCAATTCCAAACCACATGAATTTTTCCAGTAAACAGAGTTTAAAAGCTAGTTGGAGTTAACTGCCTGTTTTATTATGTATCATTCTTTAAGAATTTTTTTTCTTGAAATGATGTAGAGTTCTTATATTGAGTATTTTTTATTTGTATTAACCCAGAACTATTAAGATACAAGCCTGTTTTGATGACATTACTTTCACCTGATTATTTTCTTCTTAAAATCTGTACATACGCCAGGTACTGTCCGCTAGCACTCAAACACAGAATGTTCCATGCTGTCTTTGTTACCTCATTATTTTCTTCTTAAAATCTGTACATACGCCAGGTACTGTCCGCTAGCACTCAAACACAGAATGTTCCATGCTGTCTTTGTTACCTCATTATTTTCTTCTTAAAATCTGTACATACGCCAGGTACTGTCTGCTAGCACTCAAACACAGAATGTTCCATGCTGTCTTTGTTTCCAGAAAGATTGAAACCACTTTCCTAGAATGTCTTGACTATTGGCTTTTAGATAGGTGCCACCCGTGGGAGGTACTGAAGCAAAATTAGAAGGCAGGAGGAAGGGAGACACTTCTGCTTCTGGCTGTGACAGGCAACTCCAGGTTTCTCAGTGGTAGCCTTGGCTCCAGCATCCTCAGTGAGAGCTGAGGATATCATAGAGTTAGCACAGGGGTCTCCAGTAAAGGGATCAAGGGCAGCTGCTTCTTAGCTGCAATGGCTGAATCCCCAGCAGAGTCAGTGATGAATCTAGTCTCGTAGCTCTGTCCCAGCAGTTGTAGCAGCTTCCTGATCTTGGGATAATATCCTCCCTTTTGCTCGGTCAACCTTTGTAACACATTTGTTACCAATTCCCTATGTTAAATCCCATTGTTAGAAATACCTAGAATGATTTATGTTTTCCTCATTGGATACTGACTGATAAGAAAAGCAGTAGGCTGTATTTCTGCATTCAGAAGTATTCACCAAAACCTAGCCTTGCAGTCATGTTCTTTGCCTACCTTTTGTTTCTAAGTGTAATACTTCTGTCCTATGTCATTCAAAATGATGCATTTTTAAACTGAGCAACATTCCTCCTATTTCCAGATTTTTTTTTTTTACTTATAAGAATATAAAATCTTATCTTTACTTCTGTTACCCCACAGAGCCTAGCATGGTGCTGAGTTAGAATTACATATCCAAAAATATACTTGTTGAATTGAAAGTTGATTAAAATACAAATGAAACTATAAGTCACAAAGCTAATAAGAATAATCTGAAATGTGTCCTCCTGATCAATACAGAAAGTTGAGCGTGTAAGAAAGAATGGAGGTAACTTTGACTATCCTTACTTTAGCCTTATCTGTTGTCTATGGAAATAAGCAAAATGATTTGCAGATTTTCCGTTTTATTTATATAAATGTTCAACTTCAGTAGGTGAGTGATTGCTTAGTGTGCTTCAAACCTAAAAGCCTGGGTTTGTTAAAGAAGGTGGAATTTATAGAGGTGTAAGGATGTAGAAGGAAGATTGAGACTAAGTGCCTTAAATGTCCTTCTATTTCACAAGTTTCTAATACATTTTTAAATATCTCTATTTAATAATAGAAACATCTGCTATTGGATTGGTTAGTCATGATTTTCTATGCTTTATTCAAGCTCACCCTTCTTCATCTACTCTTAAGAGTTTACTGCACACAGTTTTAAAGAGGTTTTCCACCTGTAAAAAGAAAACTCAAAGCAAGGACAATAGATTTTATAAAATTCAGAAAGATATAACAAGGAGTATTTATTTTAAAAAAGTAGAAATGCCGAAGAATTTTCCTCTAGTGTGTGAATCATCTATAATCTCTAATACCCAGCAATTCTAATGTTAATTATAGTTACAAGTAGGGAGACAACAGCAGGCTTATATGAGAGTAAAAAATTTGATTTTAACATGAAGGCATGACTAGTAATGACAAGATGAGCACTGAAACATTTAAACATGAATCTTTTGATGTGAGTGTGGAAAGAGCTGGGACTTAAACTAAAGAGCTTTTGCACAGCAAAAGGAAGAGCCAGTAGAGTAAACAGACAACCCACAGAGTGGGAGAAAATCTTCACAATATATACATCTGATAAAGGACTAGTATCCAGAATCTACAACAAACTCAAACAAATTACCAAGAAAACAAACAAACAAACAGTCGCATCAAAAAGTGGGCTAAGGATGTGAATAGACAATTCTCAAAAGAAGATATACAAATGGCCAACAAACATATGAAAAAATGCTCAGCATCGCTAAGGATTAGGGAAATGCAAATTCAAAACCACAATGTGATACCATCTTATTCCTACAAGAGTGGCCATAATCAAAAAATAAAAAAATAATAGATGTTGGCATGGATGTGGTGAACAAGGAACACTTCTATACTGCTGGTGGAAATGTAAATTAGTACAACCACTGTGGAAAATAGTGTGGAGATTCCTTAAAGAGCTAAAAGTAGAACTCCCATTTGCTCCAGCAGTCCCACTACTGGGTATCTACCCAGAGGAAAAGAAGCCATTATGCAAAAAAGATACTTGCACACACATGTTTATAGCACCACAATTCACAATTGCAAAAATGTGGAACCAACCCAAATGCCCATCAATCGACAAGTGGATAAAGAAACTGTGACATATATATATACAATGGAAGTCTACTCAGTCATAAAGAGGAATGAATTAATGGCATTTGCAGCAACCTGGATGAGATTGGAGACTGTTATTCTAAGTAAAGTAACTCAGGAGTGGAAAACCAAACATTGTATGTTATCATTCATAAGTGGGAGCTAAGCTATGAGGATGCAAAGGCCTAAGAATAACACAATGGACTTTGAGGACTCGGGGAAAGGATAGAAAGTGGGTGAGAAATAAAAGACTACAAATTGAGTGCAATGTATACTGCTTGGGTGATAGGTGCACCAAAATTTCACAAATTACCACTGAAGAACTTACTCATGTAACCAAACACCATCTGTTCCCCAATAACCTATGGAAATAAAAAAATTAAAAAAAAATAAAACTATGTGATGTGCATTTAAAAAACTCAATAAACAAACTAATGGTTGCTTGCTATGTATTTCTGTTGACACAGAAGAGTGCATTCTGCATTTTATCTAGTTCGAATTACTGGACAACCTGTGGGAAAAAGTGGCCTTATCCTTTTTCACCTCTTTGCGTGCAGTGGCTTCAATGGGTCTTATTTGGTTGAGATCATAGCAGGATTCTATTTGTATTTTTTTAAGCTCCTAAAATCTCCTTTGGAGCACTGTGGCCAATCACTGCTTCTAACTTTTGGATTAATTTGAGGGTTTAAGTTATAGGAAAGTGATTATTAAAACCCGTGATTTGTTTTCAGCAGTAGTAGAATTTATAAAATACCAGTTACAGGAATTGACTTTCTGAGATGAAAAAGCAAAAGAAAAGGAGAAGTTCATTCTGAAACAATAGAATCTTAATTGTAGAATATGTTTTCAATATGTAATGATATTTGCCTCTAAATATTTAAAAGAGAGCTCCTTTCATATTTTCACTAATTAATAGTTGGCAATTATTTGCAACTTCAATTTATTGCAGTTATTTGTGTAGACTGTCATTTGTACAGAGTACCAGAACTATGTTTGTATGTAAGTAATAGTATCTAATATGGTTGAAAGTGTTCTCTTAGGTAAAATGCTAATTTATTACGTTATTAAAATATTGATTTCCAGTGTCCTATGACCAGCTTTTGGAAAGCATCCCACGTATCTAGTCTGTCAAGTAAGCACAATGACAAGATTTCATCCTTCTTCTCACCTCACCATTCATTTTTTGAGTGTTCATTTTTTAAAACTGTTAATTAGTAACCCTTTATGTACTCTATCACATAATCAAACATCACAAAAAGGTAGTGAATTTCATTGCTCTAGTGGTTCATTTGCCTGACCAATTCACTTACCAAAGCAGTTGTCAGTGGAATCTGGAAATATATACATATATATATATACACACATACATACATATATTTATTTTATATATGTTTATATACATATATACATATACACACACACACACACACATATATATATATACATGTATTTATTTTACTTTAAGTCCTAGGGTACATGTGCACAACGTGCAGATTTGTTACATATGTATACATGTGCCATGTTGGTGTGCTGCACCTATTAACTCGTCATTTCATTTACATTAGGTATATCTCCTAATGCTATCCCTCCCAACTCCCCACACCCCCTGGCAGGCCCCGGTGTGTGATGTTCCCCACCCGGTGTCCATGTGTTCTCACTGTTCAATTCCCACCTATGAGTGAGAACATGCAGTGTTTGGTTTTCTGTCCTTGCAATAGTTTGCTCAGAATGATGGTTTCCAGCTTCATCCATGTCCCTACAAAGGACATGAACTCATCCTTTTTAATGGCTGCATAGTATTCCATGGTTTATATGTGCCACATTTTCTTAATCCAGTCTATCATTGGTGGACATTTGAGTTGGTTCCAAGTCTTTGCTATTGTGAATAGTGCCACAGTAAACATACATGTTCATCAGCACTGAGTTTGGGACCTGAGAACGGACAGACTGCCTCCTCAAGTGGGTCCCTGACCTCCGAGTAGCATAACAAGGAGGCACCTCCCAGTAGGGAGGCGACTGACACCTCATAAGGCTAGGTGCCTCTCTGAGACGAAGCTTCCAGAGGAAGGATTAGGCAGCAACATTTGCTGTTCTGCAGCCTCCGCTGGTGACACCCAGGCAAACAGGGTCTGGAGTGGACTTCCAGCAAACTCCAACAGACCTGCAGCTGAAGGTCCTGACTGTTAGAAGGAAAACTAACAAACAGAAAGGACATCCACACCAAAACCCCATCTGACGTCACCATCATCAAAGACCAAAGGTAGATAAAACCACAAAGATGGGGAGAAACCAGAGCAGAAAAGCTGGAAGTTCTAAAAATCAGAGTGCCTCTTCTCCTCCAAAGGAACAGAGCTCCTCGCCAGCAACGGAACAAAGCTGGACAGAGAATGACTTTGACAAGTCGAGAGAAGAAGGCTTCAGATGATCGGTAATAACAAACTTCTTCGAGCTAAAGGAGGATGTTCGAACCCATCGCAAAGAAGCTAAAATCCTTGAAAAAAGAGTAGACGAATGGCTAACTAGAATAAACAGTGCAGAGAAGTCCTTAAATGACCTGATGGAGCTGAGAACTACGTGATGCATGTACAAGCTTCAGTAGCTGATTTGATCAAATGGAAGAAAGGGTATCAGTGATTGAAGATCAAATGAATGAAATGAAGCAAGAAGTTTAGAGAAAAAAGAGTAAAAAGAAACAAAGCCTCCAAGATATATACATATATTTTATACACATGCATTAGAACTGTTATTCAAATTTAGATATCTGATCCTTTTGCAATTTATCCTTGTGTGTAGTGTGAAGAATGGATTCAATTTTATCTTTTACATTTAGTTATTGTCTCACACTTTATTAAAGTCCCTTCCCCACCCATTTCAGATGATGCCTTTATCATATACTGAGATTTCATATATATTTTGGTCTATAATCAGATATACTATATTGGGTCATTGGTCTGTTTATGCACTAATCCCACACTATTTTATTTATAGAGACTTTATAGCATATTTTAAAATTTCATCTTGTCATCCTTCCTCTCACTGATTTTCTTTCATAAAGTTTTACTTTTTATCTATTTTTATGAATAAGCTAACTAATCAGCTTGTAGCTTAAGACAAATATGGTGTTTTATTAGGATTATTTTAGGTTTATAAATTGCCCCAGTGAGAATTAACATCTTTATGATGTTGAATATTCTAAGGTAAGAACCTGATGTGTATTTCTGTTCACCGAGATCTACTTTTGTGTTTTTTTCCAGGAATGCTTTATAGTTTTACTCATGCAAATTTTGCACTTCTGACTTTAAGGTGATGTTTAGGTATTTTATTTTTTGCAAAGTTGTGAATGTGTCCTGTTTTTCTATCATTTCTTCTAACTAAATTTTGTTTGTAGAGGCTATGGATTTTTATGTTTATATTCTGCTACTTTATTAAATTCTTTTATAGTTTTTAGTAGTTTTTCCAATGGATTCTTTTGGATTTTCCAGATATTTAACTATATAATCTGCAAATAGAGATGTTTTTTCTTCCTCCTAAGTTCATGTTTTCATTATCTCTAATTTGATTACGTGAATTAGTGTTTCCAATCCAAAGTTAAATTGTGTTGAAAATAATAGATCCTGGTCTTATTTCAAATTTTACTAGGAAAACCTCTAGTGATTTTCCATTATATAAAGATTCTGGCTTTAGGGCTGAGGTAACTGCACATTTGCATGTGGTGTGAGTGTGTGTGTCTGTGTGTGTGTGTGTATGTCTGTGTATCTTTAAAGGAAGTATCCATAATTCCTTCTTCTTGGACTTAAAATAATTTAAACAGCTTTAGCATTATTTGATCTTAAAAATATCATAAAATTCCCTCATGAAGCTATATGGGCCTGGTACTTTTTAACCTGAGAGTTATTTTGTAATGTTTCTAATTCTTTTATGGAAAATTATTTACTTGGAGTTTTTTATCTTGTTTGGGAATTTTGCTAACTCTCTTTTCCCTAGAAAATTACCAGTTTCTACTAGAATTTCAATTTTAGTTGCATAGAATTGTGGAAAGTTACCTAGTCCATTTGTTAGCTTTTTGTTTCTTGATCATATTTTCAATATAGCTTTACTTTTAAAATTCATCTAAACTAACATTTTGTATTCAGTATGATGCCTTATGTGGTGCCTAAATGTTTTATCTTTTCTTCTGATTCTTTTGCTAGCTTATTTGCTTACATTTGATAATTTATTATTTTGAACTCATACCTTGCTGAACTTAATTGAAAAGGAAAAATTAAAGAAATATTTCTCTCCAGAAAATATTTTCTATTGTGAGCCCCCAGAGAGCACCATCAGCCTGAGTCTATGTGGTAGACATGGAGAGGCAGCATACAGATCCCCCTTCAAGAAAGAACTTGCTGCTTAACTCTGTGGCGTATGCTAAACCAGGGGTCCCCAAACCCTGGGGCACAGATTGGTTGGCCCATGGCCTGTTAGGAACTGGGCCACACAGCATGAGGTGAGCCGGTTGGCAAGTGAGCAAAGCTTCCTCTGTACTTACAGCCACTCCCCATTGCTCACATTACCTCCTGAGCTCCGCCTCCTGTCAGATCAGCAGCAGCATTAGATTCTCACAGGAGCATGAACCCTATCGTGAACTGCACATGTGAGACATGTAGGTTACGAGCTCCTTATGAGAATCTAATGCCTGATTACCTGTCACCATTTCCCATCACCGCCAGATGAGACCATCTAGTTGCAGGAAAACAAGCTCAGGGCTTCTATTGATACTACATTATGATGAATTATGTAATTATTTCATTATATATTACAATGTAATAATAATAGAAATAAAGTGCACAATAAATGTAATGTGCTTAAATCATCCCCAAACCATCCCCCTCCACCCCCTGGTCCATGGAAAGATTGTCTTCCATGAAACCGGTCCGTGGTTCCAAAAAGGTTGGGAACTTCTGTGCTAAACAGATAAGCTCCACTTATCCACTTGGGGTCTACCTCAGCTGCAAAGAGCCACTGCACCTGAGGTCATGAAGCAGGTATAATAGTTTGGCTATCATGGACCACCTCGGACACCCTGATGAACAATACTCTGTATCTCTCTGCTTTTTTGGCTGGGGCTTTGTTGGGCCTGCATCATTATTCATCTTTTCCTTCTGCCCAGTCCTGCTCCCTCGTGCTTCCTTTCACAGGCTTTGATCACTAATAAACAACTGTGCCTCAATCTCTTACTCTTGTTCTTCTGCTGAAGAGCCCAACCTGTAATACACCACTTGAAAACAATTTATTGGCATAGATCTTTCACAACCTTGTAAATAACTTACGTTTGAAACCTGGCCCAATCGTGGGCTAGTCTATGGTTAGAAATTCCAAGAGGAGACTATTACTATTTCATTTTTTCCCAGTCAGAACTATGGTGGACATAGAGAAGTTTAATTTTAAATTCCCTTTGAGGTTTTTCCTCAAGTAGGCAGATTTTCCTCTAGTATATACTTTCACTGAAAGTGTGACTTCTCTGTGAGGGGGGTCTCAGATTTCTCTCCCTTCCTTTCCACTGTGCAAAAACCTAAGGCCTAAGTCACTGGCTCCCACACAGACTGACATTTAAACCCCTAAACACTGGGATCTTAGCAAACTCCTACTTAGCTGAATTTAATGGTAAGTAGGCTAAAGTGAAAATGCTTCTCTCTGTAGATAATTTATCTTTGCTTCTGCCAGATGCCTGGAGTAACTCCCAGTCAAGAGTACCATAAACTGGATTTTCACCTTGGGATATTAGGACCTCACTGGAAATGTGAATTCCAGCCCCAAGTCCACCCAAGTGTGAGCTTATGATTATGAATTCTCAGGATGCAGTCTCTCTCAGCCAACAACTATGACTGTTTTAGTTCACTTGGGTTGCTCTAAAGGAATACATGAGATTGGATAATTTATAAAGAAAAGAGGTTTATTTGGCTAATGATTTTGCAGGCTGTACAAACATGGCACCAGCATCTGTTCCTGGTGAAGCTTCAGGAAGCTTCCAATCATGGCAGAAGGCAAAGGGGACGCTGGTGTATCGCATGGCAAGAGAGGGAGCAAAAGAGAGAGGGAGGAGGTGCCAGGCTCTTTTAAACAATGAGATCTCACATGAACTCATATAGTGGGAACTCATTTCTGCAAGGATGGCACCACCATTCATGAGGGATACATCCCCGTGATCCAAACACCTCCCACCAGGCCTCACCTCCAACATTAGGAATTACATTTGATCATGAGACTTGGAGGGGACAAACATCCAAACTATATCACTAACCAAGGCTGAGACACATTTTCTTGCCTGCTTCCTTTGGTGTTTATGTTGCCTTGATTTTTAACTTTATCTATCATGCATGTTGACTTTTGGAGGCATCATACTTATCTAGATCTTTGGTCCATCTTTCCACATGATGAAAGGTCTTGATTTTGTCTTCTAACATCATTATGGTTCATTAAACCAAAGGCTCCCAGGGACTGACTGACCAAAGTCTGCAGAGAAATTGCCAGCTTCAGTGTATGCTCAGCTTTCTAGATTTGTGCTTTTTTATGTGGTTTGGGGCCTCTGAATTTCCTTAACTTTCTCATTGGCAAAGCTTTGACTTAAAAAGAGTATTTTTTATTTTTCCTAGCATTTCCATTTGTTTTGAGCTGGAGGAGCTTTTGCTCTGTGGATATTCCATTTTCCTTATTCTGGAAAATAGAAATGAATATCTAAATTTTCAACTAATTCAGATTGAGTCATGAGCTCTGAAGGGAGGCATTAAAAGGAATACATTCTAAGATGCTGATAGATATTTGAAAATATATTGACATAAGTACCATCTCTTTTATTGGAGCAGTCTGTGGCTGATCAGCTATGCCAAAGGACTTGCAAGGAGAAAAGCACTGGCCTGGATCCAAAAGGATAGTTATGTAAATGAAGTTCTGAGAAAACATTCAGAATTTTCTCAGGGGAAAAAATGTAATCACTCACAATTCTGGGATGTAGTTCATCTTCAGGGACTCCTGCCTCTACCACCTGTGGCATCATCATGCTGACACTGATGGGTGAGGGAAGATAAATGCCAAAGTAGAAGATGGCTGATTAGGAAAGAAAATTTTTCTTTCAGATGACAAATCAATATTTCAGAGCAAGACTCAATAGTTAGCACTTGATCACAAAAGATCACGAAATATTGTGGTGGTATTTTGTGGCTACTTCAACAAAAAACCCTAGGAAAAAAACAAGTTAAATCAAACCAGCTTTTTTTTTCCAGTGGATTTAAAAAAATGTTTTTAAAGAAAACAGGCCCAGTGGACTTAAAACATAAATTATTAACATGAAAGGCTTACAAATTATACGTAGGACTTGGAGTCGAGCTGTTACTGTGTGCAAAATAATGAGTAGTTTACTTTGTATATGTTGTATTGATTTTCAAACACAGGTAATGGCAGCAGTTGGACAGAGTGTACTTCAAGAAGTTTATATTATAAAAACAACAAACATTTCTTATGTTCCGCAAACATTCTTGCTCCTGGGACTCTGTTCTGAGTGAGCTCTGGGTTAACTGATGAGAACTGATCTTGTTTCTGCTCTTTTTTCACTTTTTCCCATGATATTCTGCTCCTTGCTCCTCTTCCCATATGTCTCAGCAAATGCTGTAAGAGGCTTGATGGGCGATGTGTGTGTGATATCTTGCCTAAAATGAAAGTGTAACATATATTCTGAGAAAAGCAACAGTAACCACACTTTGGGAATTAGCAGAGGTGACAGATGTTGCAAGGAAGGAGGACTGTATTTTTCATGGCTACAGAACACCATTCCCTCTGGCCAACATTATGTTCCCTCCCAATGCACCATGTATCAATAACTCCAAATCCTCCCTCTGTGACGGAATAACAGAAGCACTGATCCCTGCAGCTGTAATCACTCTGGCTGTAATTGCTCTTGTTACGGTACACTCAGTGCCATCTACAGTGTTTTTCTTCCTGGTGGATAAGAGCTTTCACAGCCATGTAGAGGTTCTGCTCTCTTCTGCTTCCAGAGTCTTGTGTTTACATGCCAAGTCCCCAGTCTCCCACTCCGAGATCACTGGGCTGAACAGCGAACAGGACTGTGTGATGTAGGTCCTGACTTGGCCTTGACACAAAATTTTCTGGGTTGAATCAATGTTCATCGTTGCTGCCTTTCTCCATGGCAGGGGTTGGGGCGTGTGGGGAAGGCATTGTTGATCAATGCAGAATTATTTTTCCACTGATTTTCTTGGAAAGATTTAAATTCCGTCCTATTTTTCTCTTTTCATTTCCCATATATTTTTATTTTTTAATAAAAGCTAATCTATACTGTATTTTGGACTTCATCCATCTGGCCACACTCCCCTGATCTACCTTTGAAACACAACCTAGAGAGATCTGCCTTCCATACAAAGCTTGCTGTCCCCAAGATCTGCTCCCACCTTTTCTCCTGGCCACCATACCAGTAACTAGGCCCACCAAGTGAAGGACAGTACTCCAGGCCTTCTTAGAAACACAGTCAGTTGTGAGTTTTGGGGACTTACATAATAGGTACATTCTGGCAAGCCCACTTCCCTGAGCCTTTAGTCCTTTTCCACACTCTGCCAGCGCAGTTCTAGTATTGCTGTTCTTTTAAGGGGAGCTAACACTTTTCCAGGCTGCTGTGAGCCTTCCCAGCAGCACATCAGAGTTCTTGCCAGGGCATGTGATTCTGTCTCACAGGAGAGTGCCCCTGTGTCAATCAACTCTGCTTTATTCTAAACACTTGCTTCAGCACCCAAGCATCACTCTCAGGCACAATTTCCTGGTTCCAACCAACATACCTGGGGCTTATACCTCCTTCAGAGTGAAATCCGAGAAAGGGAAACAGTATAGAGAAAAAGGAACGGGGAGCTATGGCGCAATGTGGTTTCAGAAACAGTCCAGTGTCAATATGAACCAATGGGGAATGTAAATTGCACCCCAGACACTATCCCACCTTAGACAAAGAAATGGGGCTTTCGTACCCCCATTGAATCAATTACTGACCTTTGCCAATGAGGTAAGTGGAGGCAAGACAGCTTCAATTGGCCATGGGTATTCCCCAGAGAATGCTAATCATGCAAACTGTCTGCTGATGTACCCCACAGCAACTAGGGTCTAGGATTATCAGTCAAACCAGTAAAAAGAATGGCAGGGAATGAGAGCATGCCACCAAGATAGTCTGTTAAACCATTTATCAAAATGTTTCTTCTAGCATGTTAATGCTCAGCTGAAATTATAATTTCTGAATCTTCACTAATATTTCAATCAGAATGTGTTGCTACCATCTTCCTATACTTATGTTATTTATAACCTATTTTAAATGGATTTAAAGATTTTGAGTTACAGTTAGTTGGGTAGCTCTATCCATTCCTAGTTGTAAATTCTCCATATTACCTTGCAGAGAGAGTTACACATGACATTTAATAATTTAAAAAAAATGTTTTTGATGACATGCAGCAGAGTTAGCAGGAAAAAATGTGTAGCAAATCATTTTATAAAGAAAAAAATTACCAATGTATCTTTATGTAAATCTGAATCTCCATATGTTGTATTTGTGGCCGTGTGTCTCAGCAAAGGTCCTTGGAATAAAATGGTTACATATGTGTACAACTGGAACAAATTCAAAAGGGTATGCTTTCTACTTGAGAGACAGTTGATCAGTTGATGATAATATTTTCAGGGAGACCTGTGGTCATGTTCTAGAGGAAATCTTGGAAGAGGGATTAATTAAAACAAACATGGAAATAAAGTGTACTAAGGCAAACTTTAGATTTGTTTTTCTCCATCCTTACTAACAGATACCACAAACTTGGTCTTCATTGAAAAAAAAATCTGTGAGCCCATAAAGATCTTTCAAATGTACTCAGCTAAATGAAAGTATCTTTAAGCTAGTTTGGTAAAAAACAAACAAACAAAAAACGTATGCCACCAAATAATATCAGTAGAGTAGAAACAAACAAGCAAAAACAATGCTTTGACAAGAAAACCATCACAAATGGAAAGAAGCCATTTCAGTTGTTAAAAGGCAGATGGGATGGCATATGAATTAAACCAATTAACTTGGTAATACAAAGCTTCTTTAAGGCACGAATTAAACAATTTCAGTAGTTCATTTTTTAATAGTTGGTTGCCTTTGCAATGTAGTTTAAAATTATTTTTCACACACATGTTCTACCTTAGATGCTCAATTCATTATTCAGACCAAGACACTGAAGTAGGGTTAGTAGGCAACTTACCAAAAACCTGAAGAGTGGAACAATGATCAGGGCCCAAGGCTCTAAGGGATGGTTTGCTCTTTGTGTGGTGCACCGGACTGTCTCCCTGATGCGACTCCATCACCTGCCACAATTTTCCAGACAGTCTTTGAGTCTTGAACAAACTAATTTGGAATTGGGTCATCCCCTTCAGCATCAAAGAAAAGCCAAAAAAAGGACCTATGGGCTATATCTCCTGCACCAAGTACAGTGTACTTGTTAGGCAAGCTATAGTCATTGAATAAATACATAAAACTGCTCTTGCTTTTATGATAATATGAATTTTACACATGGATGCCATAGTGATAAACATTTTATTTTACTATGTTATTTAAATTTCTAATTTAAATTATGAATAGATAAATATTAGGCAATGGGGATTATCAAAGATTGGAATACTAGCTTAAGATGGTTTGAGTTAGGTGAGTGCATGTGTAAAGGTCTTTATAGGCTCACAAATAGTTTTTTTAGTGAAGGCTAAGTTCTGGGTATCTGTTAAAAAGGGATTGGGAGAATAAAAATTAAATTCTTAGATAGAGTTCACATTTTGTCATATTTAGATCTTTAAACTAAAGCTAGATATACTTTCAAATCTGCTGTAACCTGAGAACTCTCAGGTTAACTGCTGAGGCTTATCTTTACAAGTCCACAAACACCAGCTTTCCCTTCTTTCAGGAGGCTCCACTTTCCCCATGTTGTTCACATTTAGACAGAACTAAACTTCCATATATCATGAAGAATTGGAGGAAGCAAACTATACCAGTGAGGCAAGCTTCATGTATTTCTCTTTTCTTGGCATAGGTTTAAATCATGTCATAATCATTTTAAGTCCCTCTCTATCATTACTCCGATTTTATAAAAAGGCATTTTCTTCCATCTTCCATTGTTATCCACAGTTTAGTGAATATCTAAGGTGCAACCGTACATTTACAAACATCCATTAGAAATAAATCTCTCACTTGGCCGGGCATGGTGGCTCATGCCTATAATCCCAGCACTTTGGGAGGCTAAGGCAGGCAGATCACTTGAGGCCAGGAGTTCAAGACCAGCCTAGCCAACATGGCGAAACCCCTGTCTCTACCAAAAAGTACAAAAATTAGCTGGGTGTGGTGGTGCACGCCTGTAATCCCAGGTACTCGGGCAGCTAAGGCATGAGAATTACTTGAACCCAGGAGGTGGAGGTTGCAGTGAGTTGAGATTGTGCCACTGCACAACAGCCTGGGCGACAGAGCAAGACCCTCTCTCAAAAAAACAAAAAAAAAAGGAAAAGAAAAGAAATAAATCCTTCACAATATTCTTCAAATTTGATGTTAATACCCAGTTTTATAGATGAAAAAATCAAGTTTAAAGAAGTTTGCAAGCAAGTGGGAAAAGTAGAACAGGAATCTTTATTTTACTCTACAACCATATTCTTTCCAGTAATATTCCATGCAGATGTACTAGATCCTAAATGATAAGTTTATGCTTATTTTGATAGTATACTCTTAATTCCACCTTTCAGCTTCAGGACAGTCTTGTTTTTCTCTGTAGTTTAGTCTCTGGGAGAAGGTTCTTTCCTGTATGACTCCTAGGTTTACACACCTTACTCTTAATTGACTCATATATTCTAGAATAGAGTAAGTGCTGAGTTTCAAATTATCTGCAGCAACTCCTTCCCCCAACTCTCACAGGAAATTTGAAGTTTGTAAGATATGTGAATGGCCAATTTTGAACTCTAGAATTAGGCAGACTTAGACTTACCCACCGTTTCCCTAGCAGTGGATTGGGCAGACTTCTCTTCCCCCTCCTCCCAACACAAGGCTAGGGTTCTACAAAGCTTACAGCATGGACGACAGAAGAAAACATGTGTACTCTGAGAGGAGGTGCTCTGAAAAGGAAAAAGAAAGAGCAGAGCTGAGCCCTGTGTGGGTCGTTCTTCCAAATTTACAATTCATGTAAATCAGCAAACCTGCATAGGGGTAGAGTGAATTAAGGCCAGAGAGGGGCCGGTACTTGAGCTTGTTTTTCACATCGGGAGAGGGGAAGAAGCTTTCCTCCAATTATAACGCTAATATAAGAACTGCAATGCAATTGTCTATATCTCAATTTCAAGCATTTCTCTCTGAGACTATCAACTCCTCTCTGACCAGTTCGCTGCCTTTGGTATTTTCATTTCAACAATCTTTTGATCCCTTTAGGACCTAGAATCCACTGACACTATGACTTTGTCACTATCCCTCATTGACTTCTTTTCTACTCCTCTTTATTGTCTCAACTGAAATTCCACAGTCAATCATATAATTACACCTTTAGATAATCTCTCAAATCCCTTGCTTCTTTCTCGCTTTATTATGCTGGTCTTCTTAAAAAGCAAATGGCATAAAAATGTATTCTAGGTAATCTTAGCAGGAAAGTAGTAAAATAAATCCATAAGTAACGTGTGCATGCACATACTTATAAAAAGTATGGCCAATAACTCACAAAAACAGAACAAAAGTCACTTGGTGGGTGACTTTGCCACTTTAAAGTCTTTGGGTCCCTCTCTTTCTAAAATGTGCCAGAACACTTTAGAGTGGTGCTATGGTTTGAATGTTTGTCCTCTCCAAAACTCACGTTGAAATTTAATTTCCATTGTGACAATATTGGGAAGGTGAGACGTTTAAGAGGTGTTTAGATTGCGAGAGCTCCACCCTCAAGAAAAGACATGCCATTATCTCAGGAGTGGGTTCATCATTGAAGGAGTGGGTTTGCCCTGTCTTGCACGCTCTCTCTATTTCTCTCTCTCCCTCCCTCTCTCTCTCTTTTTCCCTTTCTCTTCTCTTCCGCTCTTCAGCCATGTGATACCTTCCACTATGTTATGGTGCAGCAAGAAAGCCCTTGCCAGATGCCAGTGCTTTGATATTGAACTTCCCAGACTTCAGAACTATGAGCCAGTAAATTTTGGTTCATTATAAACTACCCAGTCTTACGTATTCTATTATAGTTGCACAAAACAGACTAAGACAGTGATACGGGAGACTGTTCTAATTTAGCTTCTGTCTTCCATTGGCCTCCACCTGGCCATTCTTACTTACTTCTCCCTATCGTCCAGTCACACTGACCTAAGCTCACTTCCAATAATGGTCTCCTTTCCCAGGTATATCTTTTTGCCTGGAATAGCCGTTGTCACCTGTTTTGCCTGGTTAACTTCTGTTCATCTTTCTGGACTTAGTTTGGAAATCATCTGATACATGAAGCTTTCCTTGACCTGCCTCTCCCCTTACACCGTGCCTGGTGTGCGTGTCATGTTCATGGGACTCCCATTGCATCCTTGTTACTTCTATCAGAGCTGTCCTTACATTGTAATATAATTGTCTCAACTGTTTGTTTCCTCAACGTTTTTAAGGGCAGGCACTACATTTTATTGATTTTAAAATTTCATTTTTGTGTATCTTATGTGCCTAGTAAAATGCTTGCTGCCTAGAGTATTTTTAATTAATGTCCCTTGAATAAGTGAATTAATTGATAAATGAAAACATAAATTCTTTTGCTAAAAGTAGTGTATCTGTTTTGGGTTGAAGAGTGGAATCAAGAAGCGCACCCTATACTCTATGTTTTTGTTGGACATTTTAGTCTTTGTCTTCTCCCTGTCACAAACTGATGTTAGAGGATAAATAAATTAATGTCTTAAAGGACTCAGGGCTTTTAAAACAAAGGTCCAGCTTATGTCTTTACTACTCATTAAAAACTAATCTGTTAAGCCTGAGTTATGGATGGAAGCACACATTCTAGAATGATGCTTCTAAGGAAGGTTTGACCAAGTCAAAGACCATAGTCATGGCATTTCCTGGAGCATCTAAGAAGTTTAAAGGAAAGTATTCACTTAACTTTAACTTTCAGGCACAGAGACATAATCAAGAGAATACCAAGAAGTTCTGAAACCTTAGTGGTTTGGTGGGCAAAATTGTTGACTGCAGTTTCTAGATTGACATTCATTTTTCATCAGAGCACTTTAGGGTGTCCAGCCCAAATGTATCTGTGTGTACCCTAAAGGCTGTGGACCACCATGGTGATGGTCTATGAAGACAGTCATCATTATCTTATTAAAATTCTAGTCCAATTGTCATTAGTACTAATTCTTTTGTCTGTCATTGTTGCTATTAATAGCAATATTTTGGTGACAAAAAGTTTGATATTTTTGTTAAGGATTTTAACAGAGATTTTAACTAGATGTACAGACATTGACTTCAACACTAAATCTATTCTCTTGTATCCATACTATCAGCATTTTGATAAATCTGTAGATATATATCCACATATAGCATTAGTAAGTTTAAAATATGTTCCGAATCTCTAACAATACCTAATGCAAACCAAATTAACCAGTGAACCAATATAAAGAGGAGAATTTTTAATCTCACTTATTTTGGTGATGTTAGTGTTCTTATTATATAGAAACATAATTTTTAGAATAAGCCTTTGATTCCTTCCGCTTTTTAAACAGGATTTCCATGGAGTTAAGTTAGTTTTAAATCTAGTCTCCATCATTTAGAAAAGGATGACTGACCAAAACAGTGTAAAATTGTCTTTTCAATTGGTTTAATGACATTTGAAAAACATTCTGTCCATAAATACAGCTCTATAAAAATTTTAAATAAAATATTTTATCTAAGAGTTTTCTCTAAAAGTTTAAAGGATATTGAATAAAAAGAAGGCATTATAAATAAGATAAAATATATTCTGAGATGATTAACACTTGAATGTAGTACTTTCTTTTTACTAACATTTTCATAAAAGTGGTTTTGGCTAATTATGATGTCTGTATATATAAATGCTTCTCTGAGAATCACGGTATAGCACTAACTGTTAGTGTTTTACTCTCTGTGATAGTAAATCTTCAACTTTGATAATAACTAAATGAGCACAATTGCTAGTTTATTTGCAGCTCATTATGGAAACATTGGCCTTCATTTAAGAGAGGGCATACCACAAAGCAAGAGTGGAACATGTCTCCATGCCTACCTTTAATGCAGAATTCCCATACATTCTTATTTCATTAACATATGGTAGTTTGTTTTTCATTTTTTGTTTGTTTGTTTTTTGAGACGGAGTCTCACTCTATCGCCCAAGCTGGAGTGCAGTGTTGTGATAGAGTCTCACTCTATCGCCCAGGCTGGAGTGCAGCAACCTCTGCTGCCCGGGTTCAAGCGATTCTCCTGCCTCAGCCTCCCGAGTAGCTGGGATTACAGGTGCCTGCCACCGCACCCGGCTAATTTTTGTATTTTTAGTAGAGACAGGGCTTCACCATCTTGGCTAGGCTGGTCTTGAACTCCTGACCTCGTGGTCTACCCGCCTCGACCTCCCAAAATGCTGGGATTACAAGCATGAGCCACTGTGCCCGGTTTTTGATTTTTTTTTTAGGTTCGGAAGACCATTCTTTTTAGTGACCAGAGATATCCTTCTGAACTGTGATATTTATGTCTTTTTTTTTTAAGGAATTGAAAGTTTATGCAGCAAAGTAAAGAGATTTCATAAGGCATCTTGCAATATTTTAATCAATTATTTCTCTTCAGCATGCTATATTCCAACGGGTTTTTAAAAAATAATATTAGAGATGAATTGTAAAAATTATGCTTGACTGACAAATGAAATCTCAAGTAATGAGCTTGTGGCTGAGGGAAAATAAGTATTAAAATTTCATTCTGAGATAATTTTTTTTGCAATTTTTACCCAAACTCATCTTCCAGGATGTTTCTTATGATACACAACACAAACTATAAAAATGACATATTGAATATTTCCAAAAGTCACATAATTCCAAATATCCATGCGTTCACTGAAATTTTTATTTGTTTCATTCCTACCAAAGCTAGGACTTAATCTTAAAGCTTGCCAAAATAAGACAAGTTTTACTTCTGGGAGAATGAAGGCAAAAACATTAATTCTGAAAGTTGAAAAATATATCGTGACTTAATATAATAAACTTATAGTTGACATCTTCACATAGATCTAATGGATCACATATTCAGAGGACTGTCTATATTAAGGTAAACAGATACTGGCCCAGTAGATTCCATCTTGGATTATTGACACACTAATTGTCATTTCAATGGGGGCACCAGAATCTTTCTTTGTGTTGATTTATGCGTAAATAAAGCATTTGGTATAACTGCAATTCAGTGTACTTTTTTAGGCTTGGTGGTTGGGGGACCAGCAGACTCCCTGAGACTTTTGGATCTTTGGCTAATAAGAATCAGTGTTTTGGCAAAGAAGTTGCTTATGTGGCCACCAACTCCCAGATGTTTATCTGTTGGTGAGCAGACATGAAGGCTTCCACTTCTGATGTGTCTCTGACTCAGTCCCCTCATTCATGCCTCATTCATGTCATTACTCCTCTAGATCACTGACAGAGCATCATTGCAGAGTTCCGAATGCCTCTCACTGCTTGTTGGAAATTGGAAGCTAAATCTCTATTTGCTCCAGTCACTGAGACAGTAGGTCTCCTCTATGGAGGGTATATCACCTCATAACTGGAGCTTTACCTGTTTAATATAAGTGTTGTATAAATAAAATAGAGGAGAATGTCAGGAAGTGGGGTGGGGAACATATGTGTGAACATACTTGTAGAAGAGAAACTCAGAAGGACGTTTATGGTTTTCCTTATTCATATCCTAAACATACATATTAACACTATATACATGGTATGTTGAGTTTCTTCCCACTGTGTGCTGGTTACTTAAACATTCTTTTATATTCCTTCACAACCCTATGAAACAGTGATATTATTATCCTGTTCAATGGATAAGGAAGCTAAAGCTTAGGAGGTTAAGTAACTTGCCGAGGTGACGTGGCTGTTAAGCAGTGAAGCCATATTGGCTTCCATCCACTCACTCCAGAGGTTGGCTCTGAACCGTTCTGCAGAGATGCTGCAAATATAGTCTATATGATTCAAAGTGCACCCCTGGGGTTGTGCAAATGGTAGCCCTTCCACTCTGCTGTACTGCACTGGGCAAAGGGAAGAGTAGACTTAAACTTATAGCTCATTTTGTTCTCTATTGAATGACTTTTGTCTGTAAATAGTCTCCATTATTCATGCTCTAAGGTCCTTGAAGGAATGGCAGCACTGGGAAAGAGATGATAATTTCAAACCTTTGTTGTTCCTGTTTAGTGGTGACAGTTTATTGCAAGTCTGGATTTTTATAGGGCAATAACAGATTGATTTATATTCTTTTCTGCAATAGAAAGAAAGGAAGAGAAATTTTATTTAAAATGGAAAGATTCTTAAAGTCTATGGGAAATGAATAGGATTTTTAAAAAGGTTAGAAATTTTCTCTTTTGACATTTTCTGCTATGTTAACGTTTCGGTGGTGTTTGGTTGAGGGTGAGACCTTTTCTGTTTTGCATTGTTTATATTTGTCTCAAATAAATCAAGCCCTTTGTTTTAAAATTTTTCGGTTTTTTTCTTTTCTTTTTTCCCCAACTTTTGTTATAGTTTCAGGGGTAGATGTGCAGGTTTGTTAAAAGGGAATATTCTTTCCTACTTTTTAAGAGCATGTCTCCCTAAGAAAATACCAAGTTGTTCTTTAAAGTTAAAATACAGTTGTTGAAATGATGTTTGCAGTTTTTCTTTGTTAAAAAAGTTACACTAGAAATATACGTATCCCAGAAGAGAAATGAAGATTTCTCTGTGTGTGCATTTTAAGTTTTTTTCTTCCTGTTTTAAAGTATTTTAAGTACTTAGCTTCTGAAAAAAAACACAATTATATGAACATGGAAGCCCATTATATGAACATGGAAGCCATGTTTATTCAAGATATGCAATTTTGTCATTATGCAAGACACTCAATTTTTGTATGCATAAATGGATAGTCCAGGCCAAAACTCTTCTTTGACTAAAGAAATATCAACATAGAATTTCACTAAGAAGCATGAATGAAGGCTCCCAAGCTCAGGCTTCAAGGCTAATATTCCACATTCTGTTGGGTTCCTACATTAGTAGTCATAAGGACCCAATTGTGTGTATAACTGCCTGACTGCATAATTTTTCTGGTTTAAGAGTCACAGAATTATAGAATTTCAAGAATTGGGCTATTAGCTGGTTTTAGTCTCCCGTTGAAGTAAAGCACACATATTTTGATATATTTTTTCTTTTTCTTTTTTTAAATTGACATTTTGCATATTACAATAAAGAAAATATCCTGTGCAATCTTCCCCTTTTGTATATGCCCTCTTGGCACCTGTTTTAGTTTCCTAGGGCTGTCAAAACAAAGTACCACAAACAAGGTGGCTTCAAACAACAAACATTTATTTTCTCACAGTTTAGAAGGCCAGAAGTCCATTGAAGTGTTAGTTGGGTTGATTCCTATTGGAAGATTTCAGAGAGAACATGTTCCCTGCCTTTCTCCTTGCTTCTGGTGGTTGCTAGCAATCCTTGGTGTTCCTTGGCTTGTAGACCCATCACTCCAATCTCTGCCTCTGTCTTCACATGGCTTTCTCTCCTGTGTGTGTCATTGTCCAAATTTCTCTGTTATAAGCACACCAGTCTATCAGATTAGGGCCCACCATATCCCAATATGACCTCATTTTAACTTGCTTATGTCTGCAAAGGCCCTATTTCCAAACAAGGTCACATTCACAGGTACTGGGGTCAGGACAGCAATGTATCTTTTTAGGTGACACACTGGTACCCAGTGTGATACATTGGAAGTAAAATCCTGTACTAAGATGAAGTTCATGGTTGAATGGACATTCGATGAAATGCTATTTATGCATTAGTTCCATTGCTGCAAACCTTAAAGAACTATTCAAACTATTGTTTTCTCTAGAATACTGACTTGAAATGATTCAGTGACAGATTGGCATGTGAAAATATCATGCATAATATGGTGATTTCATATTATTATTTGTTGTAATAAGACTTAAAAACTGGTGGTTTTAGTGGTCTAAGTAGTTGGTAAACATTAAGAAAATGAGTCAGATATACTCTGTGGCCAGAGGAAGGATTCTGAACTCAGAACTTCTCATTCCCCAAGTTTGCTTGAGGAAATTTAAGGCTAGTCCAAGAAGCCACAGCAGAGGAAACAGACTGAAGTAGGGGTAGGGCCTGAGGGTTGGCATTGAGGGCACCGGTGACATTACTCTTGGGCAAGGGCAGCTCTGCTCTGCAATTTTATCCAGCTATCAATGTGCTGAAATGCTTCAGTGAGGACTTCTATATATCCTCAGCCAATACCCAAGTGCCCAGAGGAGTATGGGGATCTACATGAGAAATAGAAGCCTACATGTTAGGGTCTGTCTCTGGGCAGCAGAGAAAGTAGAACAGTGGGGAGGATTCCATTGCCATAAGGGCTCTGCCAATAAAGGGAAATATGGAAGATGCTCTGCAAACAGCTCACTAAGGAAGGATGAGGAGTTCCCCAACCAGGACCCCCATATCATTGGCAAATACTCATGGTCATACATTGAGAAGCTGTAGGGAAACCATAACTTGCTTAATGAAGGAAACATCTATGAATTTGTCAACACTATTAATTAAGAGTTTCTTATGATCTGTACTGGCTCATATACCTATATGTTAAGGAATTTAGGGCGATTTACTAAGCTCTCCAGTGGACAAATTTTCTCCAGGTGTTCCAGGGGAGGATAGAGCCAAGAAGAGTTTCACTCAAATGAAGTGGGCCAGGTCTTTTGTGCCAAGGACAAATCACCTGAATGTTACTCTGTGGTATGCAAAGTTTCACGTAAATTTTTAATATATACTTTTTTGGGGGGATGAAAGTCCATAACTTCTATTTGATATTCAAAGGTCTTCATGATATAAAAACATAGACATAAAAGTATCTAATTTATGAGAATGCATGATCCGACCCTTACCCACTCCTACTTTTCTGACCTTCTCTCTTTTCAATCACCTCTGAGTTCAGTGAACTCTTACTCCCCATGGGCTCCTTCTCATACTTCAAACCTTAAACTTCATTTTTTTGACTTTCTTGTCTAAAACAGATTCTCTCCTTCCTGATTATTCTCTGCTGAGTTCTCCATTAGTTTCCTCTAAAACACTTATCAATACATATGCATAATTTGTTTATTTTTATTCTATCTCCCAAAGGCAATAGTCTTGTCTATTTTTTTTCCTTTCAAATTTCACATGCCCAGCACAGTTCCCAGACATAAAAGTTTTTCAGGAAATATTTGCTGTATATAAAATACATGAATAAACATACTCTAACATGCAGTGGATTTATAGAATCATAATCCTAAAAGACATTTCCAGATATTCAATTTTTCAGCTACATTAGCAATTATTTATGCTGATGAAATCAGCTTAATTTACCTTTGCAAAATATATGGTTTCTTAAAGTTTTTTTTCCAATCCAGATATTAGCAAGCAGTGAAGCAAACTCTAAACTAAAATGAAAATTAGGGAATATTTTCTTCAACATAATATAACTTGCAAAACATAAATGAGCCCCAAAATATTTCTTGTTATTAATATCTGCATTTCTGAGCATGTAGAAACATGATGTATTCTGTTACTGCTTTATGTAATAACCTCAAACCTAATGGGCATTGATTCACAAAACAGTGTGCTCAGAAAAAGTGGGTCAAGAAAAACTGACCTCATGCTCAATTCATTTGGTGGCTAAGTCTTTCTGTGCCTTCCTTCCTTCCTTTTTTTCTTTTCTTCCTTACTTTCTTTCTAAACCTAGAAATATTGGCCTGACTTTAAATACTTTCGAATTTCCAGTCAGTCAGTCAGATAGGATATGTGAATCTGTATGTTTGTACTTATCTGACTTCATTGTTTTTCTTCTTCTTAACACCTCTTTTCAGGAAAACATTAACCATGAAAGAACTGACCATTCATCCAGGGCAATTGTTATACTCAAGACAGCTGTCACTGATGTAATGGCATTTCAATACAAGCAACAGAAAGCTTGCTTTATACAGATTATTGTTCCTTCATATAAAAATAAATTGTAATTGCACATCAGAAAGGACTGTTAAAGCTTGATTACCCAAGAAATATTTCACAGAAAGGTCTTTCTCCAGTCCTTTGCTTTAGGAAATGTCCTAATTTTTCAGTCAATGATGTCTCAACTGATTGCACAATTTGCTCAGATTATAGCTATACCTGTAGACATCTGAGTTCAATAAAATATTATTTTAGGCTGGGCACAGTAACTGTATTAGTCTGTTCTCACACTGCTATGAAGAACTGCCCAAGACTGGATAATTTATAAAGGAAAGAGATTTAACTGACTCACAGTTCCACGTGGCTGGGGAGGCCTTGGAAAACTTACAATCATGGCAGAAGGGGAAACAAACACATACTTCTTCATGTGGCAGCAGGAGAGAGAAGTGCCAAGCAAAGAGGTACAAACCCATTTTAAAACCATCAGATCTCATGAGAACTCATTCACTATTACAAGAACAGCAGCATGGGAGTTCCTGTGATTCAATTACCTCCCACCAGTTCCCTCCCATGACACTTGGGGATTATGGAAACCACAATTCAAGATGAGATTTGGGTGGGGACACTGCCAAATCATATCATTCTGCCCCTGGCCCCTCCCAAATCTTATGTCCTCACATTTTAAAATACAATCATGCCTTCCCAACAGTCCCCCAAAGACTTGACTTATTTCAGCATTAACTCAAAAGTCCAAATCCAAAGTCTCATTTGAGACAAGGCAAGTCCCTTCCACCAATGAGCCTGTAAAATCAAAAACAAGTTAGTTACTTCATAGATAGAATGGGGGTACAGCATTGTGTCAATGTTCCCATCCCAAATGGGAGAAATTGGCAAAAATGAAGGAGCTACAATTGTCCAAGTCCAATATCCAGTGGAGCAGTCAAATCTTAAAGTTCCAAAATGATCGCCTTTGACTCCATGTTTCACATTCAGGTCACACTGATGCAAAGGGTGAGCTCCCACAGCCTTTGGCAGCTTTGGCCCTGTGGCTTTGCAGGGTGCAGCCCCCTCCCAGCTGCATTCATGGGCTCACATTGAGTATCTGTGACTTTTCCAGGTGCATGGTGCAAGCTGACAGTCGATCTACCATTCTGGAGTCTGGAGGATGGCGGCCCTCTTCTCACAGCTCCACTAGGCAATGCCCCAGTGGGGACTCTGTGTTGGGACTCTGACTCCACATTTCCCTTCCACAGTGCCCTAGCAGAGGTTCTCCATGAGGGCTCTTCCCCAACAGCAAACTTCTGCCTTGACATCCAGGCATTTCCATACATCCTTTGAAATCTAGGCAGAGATTCCAAAACCTCAATTCTTGACTTCTGTGCACCTGCAAACCCAACACCACATGTAAGCTGCCAAGGCTTGGGGCTTGCATCCTCTGAAGCAATGGCCTGAACTTTATGTTGGCCCATTTTAGCCACACCTAGGACACAGGGCACCAAGTCCTGAGAATGCACAAAGCAGCAAGGCCTTGGGCCCAGCCCATGAAATCATTTTTTTCCTCCTAGGCCTCCAGGCCTGTGATGGGAGGGGCTGCCATGAAGACCTCTAACATGCCCTGGAGACATTTTCCTCATTGCCTTGGTGATTAACATTTGGCCCCTTGTTACTTATGTAAATTTCTGCAGCCAGTTTGAATTTCTCCTCAGAAAATGGGTTTTTCTTTTCTATTACATCATCAGGCTGCACATTTTCTGAACTTTTATGCTCTGCTTCCCTTTTAAACATAAGTTCAAATTCCAAACCATACCTTTGTGAATATATAAAACTGAATGCTTTTAATAACACCCAAGTCACATCTTGAACACTTTGCTGCTTAGAAATTTCTTCCACCAGATACCCTGAATCATCTCTCTCAAGTTCAAAGTTCCACAGGTCTCTAGGGCAGGGAGAAAATGCTGCCAGTCTCTTTGCTAAAACATAGCAAGAGTGACCTGTACTCCAGTTCCCAACAAGTTTCTTATCTCCATTTGAGACCACCTCAGCCTGGACATCATTGTCCATATCACTATCAGCATTTTGGTCAAAGCCATTCAACAAGTCTCTAGGAAGTTCCAAACATTCCCACATTTTCCTGTCTTCTTCTGAGCCCTCCAAATGCTTCCAACTTCTGCCTGTTACCCAGTTCCAAAGCTGCTTCCACATTTTCAGTTATCCTTATAGCAGCACCTTGCTCTCTGCAGTACCAATTTACTGTATTAGTTTGTTCTCACACTGCTGTGAAGAACTGCCCAAGACTGGGTAATTTTTAAAGGAAAGAGGTTTAATTGACTCACAGTTCACATGACTTGGGAGAACTCAGAAAACTTACAATCATGGCAAAGGGGAAACAGACATGTCCTTTTTTACATGGCAGCAGGAGAGGGAAGTGCTGAGCAAAGGGGAAAAATTCCTTATTAAACCATCAGATCTCATGAGAACTCAGTATCACGAGAACAGCAGCATGAGGGTAACTGCCTTCATGATTCAATTACCTCCCATCGGGTCCCTCCCATGACATGTGGGGATTATGGGAACTACAATTCAAGATGAGATTTGGGTGAGGACACAGCCAAACCATATTAGTGGCTCACACTAGTAATCCCAGCACTTTGGGAGGCCAAGGTGGGAGGATCAGTTAAGCCCAGGAGTTCAAGGCTACATTGAGCCATGATTGCCTCTGCAGTCCAGCCTGGGTGATGGAACAAGACTCTCTCTCTCTCTCTTTCTCTGTGTATATATATATATGCGTGTATATATATATATATATATATATATATGTGTGTGTGTGTGTGTGTGTGTATATATATATGTGTGTGTGCATATATATATATATGAAACATAATGTATTATTTTAGAGCCAAGTTTGTATTTATTTATCCCTGACTGATTCTTTTATAGACAATATAAGGAACTATATTTTAAAAATTAAAAATAACATTATTTTTCTGACAAAAGCACTGCATGATCATTGCAGAAAATACTAAATATATGGATAAATGAAACAAAAGAAAGCATGCTCTAATAAAACTGTGATGAACATCCTTTTGATGATATACATTTATCCATTTTGAATTTTCTTTTCAATTTTTTTTAAATTGGCAAGTAAAAATTACATATATTTGGGGGGTGGAGGGCTAAGGAAGGGATAGCATTAGGAGAAATACCTAATGTAGGTGACGGGTTGATGCGTGCAGCAAACCACCATGGCAAGTGTATACCTGTGTAACAAAACTGCACATTCTGCACATGTACCCCAGAACTTAAAGTATAATAAAAAAAAAAGGAATGGGTGAGGAGAGGCAGAGGGTCTGTAGGTAGATGAGCATATTCTAAAAACTGTTACCTACCTATACTTGGTTGGCTTCAGTGATCATAAAGGGATTCACCAGACATGGATGAGACAAAGTAAATGGAGTTGCCTACTCCTTGAATGGAAACCGAGGAATATAAGGTTTGGACAGAAGAAAGGAAGGTGGACAAACAGACTGAGGGGCAGAACATCAGGAGCCACCAAAGTGGAGGACAGGAGCCCTTAAAGTGGTATTTCATCTTCACAATCAGCAGATAAAAAAGGAAGAAACTCAACAAAATGCATATACTGAGTTATCGTTAGAAAATGTTTACGATAGTGTGATTGGCACAGCACAGAAATAAAAATCTGTTCATGGAAATAGTTTGAAGTAAGCCTACACAATTTCTTCATTTTAAAATTGTACTGAGATGTTATTGCTAGTATTATAAAAATATTAAGAATTAAAAGTTTAATAAAAAATTACATATATTTATGGTGTACAACATGTTTTGCCATTTGTATACATTGTAGAATGGCTGAATAAAACTACTTAATATATGCATTACCTCACATATTTATCACTTTGTTGTTGTTGTGAGAAAAGCAATGTTTAAGTATATAATATGCTGTTATTAACTATGATCACCATAATGTACAATAGATTTCTTGAAATTATTCCTTCTGTGTAACTGAAATTTTGTCTCCTTTGACCATCTCCACAATTCACCTGCTCCCTAGCCTTAGTAGCCACCATTCTACTCTCTGTTTCTATGAGTTGAATTATTTCTTTAGAATAAATTTCTAGTGTGTAGAAATTTTCAAGTATATTATACATGTTTAAAACCATGTATTTTTATACATGTTTAAAACTATGTTTAAGTATTATACATGTTTAAAACTATGTATTATTGATACTTGCATATTATGAATGAACCAAATGTAATTTTTCTTTAACAAACAGTCTAAGCTATTAGGATAAAGATAAAGCCAAATCAACTGAAAAAGATAAAAAGGGTAACTTATTCCAAAGTATATTAACCAGGAAAAAAAGTCATTTAAATCATGTTAACTTAATTACAATTATGTTCAGTCTCCATGAGGACAAAGATTTCTGTTCACTACTTAATTCTCTGTTCCCAGAGCAGAACCTGCCATATAATAATACTGAAAAATCATTTGTTGAATGTTGGATGAATTAACCAACAAAATGTAATAAAACTACGGTTTGTATGCAGTCTATAGCTCTTTTTGGCAGAACTTTTTCATTAGTATCTTTTATGTTTGAAGCCCACAGATACCTACTTTCAGTTAACATGTGAGGAAACCAGGGCTCATATGTATTAATCTCTCTGGTTTTTTCTTGCTCTAATAGTCCAGCAAAATTAAGAATAGAACTGGCCCACACAAATGAGAGATAAGTCTTAAATCAACTGATTTTTACTAGCTAAAGATATCTAAAACTGAGACCTATATTTTAGATATAACTTACTAGGAAATGATTCTTGAAACAGAGGGTGATTTTAAAGGTTGGAAGAAACTCACTGAAACCCTATGTGTAGCATTGCATCTGGGCCTTATTATTGTGCACTCTGAGTTATGTTGCCAATTTAACTTCATTCTCATTTAGATTATTCATCTAGTAGGCTCTGGGCTTGTTTATATTTTCTGTTTAGATTGAATAAAGATAATTTAAAAAATATTTCCCCGTGTTCAACTTTAAAAAGGAATGCTAACCACTTGGAAAATGCCATTTTGAAATTTGTTGAACCAAAATCCAGTTTAACTGTTTGGTTAAGTATCATTTTTAATTTTTTTCCCTCATCCAGATAGGCCTCAGTAACTCTGCATACTATATGATACTCCTATGTTCTTCCTCCAGCAAGAGTAGGCAAAGCAAAACCAGCAAAACAATAACAACAACAACAACAAAAATCCAGCAGCTGACAAGTGCCCCCAGCCACTGATAGCTGCTCAGAGGGGAACTTTGCCAGCTTTCTTTTGGAAAACTCTAGTTTTGCTGTGAATATTACACAATGTCTTAAAGTTTATCTATCATTATAATTTTCTTCAGTCCAATAAGGTTTATCTATCATTATTCTTCAGTCCAATAAAACTTTAGTTAAAATCAGGCAACCTGATTAAATCAGGGAGTAGTGGATTGACAATTTTGAGTTTAAATGTTGTATGGAAACATTACTGATCTTGATTACAGAGTTTTTTGGTGCTCCCTTAAATTTTGCACACAAGGCAGGTAGGTGCCTCCCTCACCTCTAGTCATGGCCCCCACTCCTCTCCTACCCAGAAATAAAAATTATGTATCCTCTGAGGTCTCTGATAAACTAATGTTTTAGTCTTAGCTAAACATCAACCCATCTCTCTTCTTAATTCCCAGTTTAATTTTTTAAAAACCTAAATTTCAATAGATATGCATGTCATGAAAAGCCAGTAAACAAAAAAAAAGTTACATATCCTACTTCTTTGCTTCTTCCTAACTGCAGAAATCCTGTAGGTTAAATTACACATTTATTGTTTAAGAAACTCAGAAGTTCAACCTTGAGAAGTGAATTTTTGCCTCCTCCCTTAAGACAGAAAAAAATGAGAGTTGATGTCTCTCCTTAGGTCCAAGACACTTCCCATGTACACCTTCAGACTCTACATTGGTCTAAGTTGAAGGACTTGTGATCTTTATAGGGACTTGCAGCTCAAAAACCAGTACGAGAGCTTTGTGAATTAGGCCTAGGTCAAGCTGCTATCTTAAATAGAATTCTGATTTTTTAAGTCTGTGCACTGATAAAGGAGACTAAATAGTAAAAGGCTATCTTGGCATAAGTAGTGCCATTTAGTGGCTTGCTTATTCTTTAAAGCTGACCATCGCTATTGTGGAAATGGAAGAAACATAACCCCAAAGTGAGCATGGCACAGGAATGGTAGAATACCTAACCTAAAGTGTCATGATAGGCTAGAATTGAAAATTCATTGTATACAGTTGAAAACACTTTTTAAAACATGTTACTGCACAGAGAAACTCAAATCTCTCCATTCTAGGGACACCGCAGGAAGAATATGAATTAGTAATCCTATATTCAAAGTCCTTGTATAAGCTGCGTTTCTATCTACCCATATGACACACTGCAAACTCTTAACTTCCTTTGGTGTCAGTGTCCCCATGTTATTTCTTGACCATACAGAAAAGTTATATATCAAATGCCTTGTATGAGAAACTGATAATCATTGGTATATCTGTATGCTGTTCGGAGAGGAAACAAGGTACACAAACATAGGCCCTCTATTTCTTTTCCTACAAGATGGGAACATTATTACTTAATGTATCCATGATTCTCAAGGATATTATGAATAGCAATGACTTTAAAAATAAAAGGAGAACTTTATACTGGAATTCAAAATAGAATTGTAGGTGGAGATATAATATGAAAAGAGCTTGGTGGAATCAGTAACATTTTTGTAATTTGCAAATCTGTATTCTATCTGATGCTGCCTACCCTGACCTCTCCACCAATTCCCTGAAAAAAATTAATAGAAGAAAAAGAAAATTATTCGTCAAGCTTTGGGATCCTAATGCCATGCTATTCTGCTATCCTCTCCATAAACTTACAGTAAGCTGTACTTTTAAAATTAAATTTTGAAGAATCTTCCTTTCCATTTGAGGTAGATTGAACTATTGGTCCCAATTCCTCATTACCCTGGAATAATACCATACACCCACAACCTTACCATGGCCTCATATTGGGTCAAGTGTACATTCCTAATCTTTGACCTCTGATTTGGCCATGTGACTTTCTTGACTAATGGGATATTACTGGATGCGACCTGAGCAGAGGTGTGAAATATGCTTGCACAGAGAAGTTTGCCTCTTGCACTCCTGCCTGTCGCCATGAGAAGAACATGTCTTGGGTAGCTGCTGTTCCTCGGAGGATGACAGACAGATGGGAGAGACCCGGAACCCAGATGAAGGTTGGAACCACACCCAGATGAACCCAGTCTGGGTCACTAAAACTCCAGCCCATCCACATATTCAAGACAAAGAAACAAATGTATGTTGTTGCAATTTTCCACTAAGATTTTATGGCATTCACTAACTGATGTGCCTTTCCTTTTGCTTTTTAGATTCAATGCTTATCTATCATACAGGATTTCTGCACTTAGTTGTGAGCATTATTTACAACCTCTCATTTGTTTTCTCATTACTGATATAATGATTCATAATCCTAACACTGGCTTATGTCCTTAATTATCTCCCTATTTTGATTCAGGCTGGATAATGTTGATTTCTAAATGATTCTGTAACATTTGCAGTGAATGTCTGTCATGAGACCTAGTGAGTTCATAGTTTTGGAGTTTCCTGATCTGCTAGAAGGCCGGACCCACTCTAGAATGGAAATAGAGTGCTCAAGGACACCAGCCTTGGGGGCAGAAATATTTTGGTTCAGAATACAACTTTGCCACTTATTTGCAGGCATGGTGAAGTTGGGAAAGTTTTATTTTGTGTTAGGTGAGTCCATTTTAGATTTGATTATTGTAAGGTGTGGTCCTTACTCATTAGAATGACTTTTTGGGGGTCTCAGCAGAATGCCTGAGGTTCTCAGCAATGTATTTCCAATCTAGCTGAGCCAGAATCCCAACATTTTAGCCCTACTTCATCTCTGGTATCATTATTCAGTTCTCACCCCTGTAGCAGACAATCTCTGCTAAGTTTCCCAAAGTCTCATTTTGTGCATATTCAGCCAATCCCAATATCCCACGTTGGATCTTTCTGCAGACTTTTGTCTGTCCTCCATCAATATAGTTTGGGTAGCTTTCCTCAAAATTCCAACCTCCCTCAGTAACCAGGAGCTCCAATCTTGGCCTCCTTAACCGTTTCCACTCCTTTTGGGGTCCACCTGTCCAAGCCAAAGCAGAAAAGTACCTCCAGGCAGAAATCCAGGACAACCATGAGGCTTACTTTGTGTGTTATCCTTTGCTGAAGAATTATAGTCATGCACTGCTACTGTTTACTTACTTCCCAAGGCAGGTAGATTGCTTGAGCCCAGGAGTTAGAGACCAGCCTGGGAAATAGGGCAAAACCCCCTCTCTGCAAAAAATACATAAATTAGCTGAGTGTGGTGGCATGTGCCTGTAATCCTAGCTTCTCGGGAGGTTTAGGTGGGAGGATCGCTTGAGCCTGGGAGGTCGAGGCTGCAGTGAGCTGCGATCGTGCCACTGCACTCTAGCCTGGACAACAGAGAGAGACCCTGTCTCAAAAACAAACAAACAAACAAAAAACCAAAAAACCAAAAAACAGTTACCTCATATATTTTGTCTAGCTTTATCGTTGTTGACAGCATGAACAGCAATTATACTTGTAGTAATTGCTTTGTCAAGCCCAGAGCAGAAGTCCTATTTTCTTTTTATTATTATTTGATTTATTTGCCATATTCTTCTTTTCTTGTCCTTTTTCTTGATTGAATACATTATTTTATTTCATTTTATTTTGTTGATTTAAAAAGCTACATTCTATTCCTATTACACTAGTGGTTTCTTTCTTTTTTTAAAACAATAATTTCAACTTTTATTTTAGATTCAGGGGGCACATGTGCAGGTTGGTTACATGGAAATATTGTATGATGTTGAAGTTTGGGCTGCAAATGATCCTGTTACCCAGCTAGTTAGTACCCAACAGGTAGTTAATTCGGCCTTTGCCCCTCTCCCTTTCACCTGCCTCTAGTAGTCTCTGGTGTCTATTGTTCCCATCTTTATGTCCATATGTACTCAATGTTTAGCTCTCACTTGTAAGTGGGAAAATGCAGTATTTGGTTTCCTATTCTTGTATTAATTTGCGTAGGATAATGGCCTCTAGATCCATCCACGTTGCTGCAAAGAACATGATTTCACTCTTTCATGGCTGCGTAGTATTCCATGGTATAATGTACAAAGACTGGTGGTTGCTTTCAAGCAACAAATACGTTTGACTAATATTTAAACCTATATTTCTCTAACAACATCAACCATTAAAGAGTATATAAGATTTCTTCCTCTAAGAATAATTTGGCCATAAAAGTTGAAGCATAAATATTAGCTAAGAAGCATATGATATTTGAATGATCATAATTTACAGTGCTATTATTTATACCTAGAAAATCTAAAAGAATCAACTAAATTCACTACACCTAATAAGGTAATTTAATAATTTGGCCACAAAAATCAAAAGTCTTTCTATATATTAAGATTTCTTTTGGCTCCTGGTGGAGAAGCAACTGCAGCCATATGCACAGGTCCTTGGCTCCTGGAATCTCACTGGCTAAGATGGGCGGACAATTGAAGTGTTGAAATCTCTACAGGATGAGTGGCCCCAGGTTGTAATTCAGGTGTCTCAAATAGATGACAAAAGGGGACTGATGCTGCTATGCACAGTAACGTAATGGGCTGTCATCTTTGTGGGTTATAGACTTTGTACTTTGTTTTGATTTTAGGAAATTGCTTTCTTCAATCTTAACTGACCCTGATTTTTTTTTCTTTTCTTCCCCCACACTCCTCGAAGATTGTGTGTGTGTGTGTGTGTGTGTGTGTGTGTGTGTTTAAATAATTGTTCCTTACTGGTTATCTTTGAAGAATGAGAAAGATTATCTTCTAACAGTAGTAGAGAAATCTTGGAAGACACTAGGACTTGGGAAAGTGGAGCCCAACCTATGTTCTCTGTGTGCATAACTAGCCATCCCTGAAGGTGTAATTCTAACTTGAATGAGTCAGTCTTTGGGAAAAGCATCATAGTACATTGTATCCTATGTAAGATATGGTAAGAGAAAAGAGATTAATCCTCAAAAGAGACAACACCTTTGGGCAGGGAATGATGATGTTTCTCTAGAGTGTGGTGGACACTGGCTCTGTAATGAAAGAGACACTTCTAGGAGAAGAAAGAAAGGCAGCTGTCAAGCCACAGAAGCAAGGAGAGCAATTGGGCTGTCCCTATAAGGGGGTAATCTGTAGCAAACACACACACACACACACACACACACACACACACACACACACACACACAATAAAAACAAACAAAAAAAAACACCAGAGACTTTCTTTTTCCATGGACTGTAGGCATTCTTTTACCATGTGACTTTTAGTTTCTCTCCAGTGTTCTCATTTCTTTAATTTAGCCTCTGCCTTTCTGGTATACTTCTGGTATATTTCTTCTTCTTCTTCTTCTTTTTTTTCACACTTTGTAAATAACTTTTTTTTTTTTTTTTTGAAACAGAGTCTTGCTCTGTTGGCCAGGCCAGAGTGCAGTGGCACGATCTCAGCTCACTGAAACCCTCCCTCTCCCTGGCTCAAGCAATTCTGCTTCAGCCTCCCGACTTGCTGGGATTACAGGCATGCGCCACCATGACTGGCTAATTTTTGTATTTTTAGTAGAGATGGGGTTTCACCATGTTGGCCTGGCTGATCTCGAACCCCTGACCTCAGGTAATCCTCCTGCCTTGGCCTCCCCAAAGTGCTGGGATTACAAGTGTGAGCCACTGTGCCTGGCTGAAAAAACTACTTTAAATATTTGGCATATTTACACTCTTTCATGCTATACATTCAGATGAGCAAGAAATACTGCTTTTTTTTCTTCTCTAGTAACTACTTCACTCAAGACTCGGGTTCCCCATTCCACCAGATTGATAGACAGACTTGACCTTGGTTCTTCCTCAAAGTCCCTATCTCCCCTAGGGTTCTGTCACGGTCCCTGAATCATACACAGCATTAAGACACAAGTGTCCCACTGGTCATTTGGTAACTGATTTACACAGGAGACTGCTAAAAAGTGAGCAGGATCCTGATTGTTGCTGTGATCATTGAAAAAGTCACCAAGAGTAACAGTCATATACAGTAATACATATAGTTTCTGGTATACTTCTGTAGCATTGTGAATTAGCACTGTGGACCGTTAAGTAATGAGAAGTTAAGGAATATTTAGTCTTGCCAAAGTTGTGGCATCAACACTGATTCTGGAAGGCCAGTAGTCTCTGTGAAGCAAGGGAAGCTGAGAGAAGCACAAAAAGGGTCCTAAGGGGATGGCTTAGGAAAGGACAAAAGGTAGCCTCCCACTAGCCGAATGCACCAAAGAAAGGCAACTCCTGAAGCAGGGAGGGTTACAAATGGGTTACATAATGTTTTGTGAAAGTTCATGAATCTCTTCTTTAATGTAATTTTAATTTCTGTATGCATGATGTACATATGTAACAACACCAACAACAGTAATAAGAGACAGCATTTACTGAGTGCTTGCTATTTCATACTTTGTGCTATACTTGGATAACAGAGTTTGAGAGAGTTTATGTAACTTGGTCCTGCTCACAAATCTAGTAAATAAAGGATACAAATCTAGTAACTGATTTTGGGTCCTATGTTCTTATACATTGTAAATAAGTAAGATATGTTGAGTACCAGTATGTAGAATAAGTTACACAGCCTGTACTCAGCCCCAGGAATATACATTATTACTTCCATAAGTGACCTAGCACACTGGATTTTTACACCTCCATGAAGTGAGTACAGGGAGTATTTGCTGGAGGCAAGGTGGGCTGGGCATTCTGTTTTCCAAGTAATAGGAGTTCCTTCCTTCCAGTTAAAAATATCAAATGAGTCAAGGCTGCCTATGAGAATAACATATGCATACAAGATATAGAAAATAGATACCTGTTGTACCTGAACAATGACTGTCTACTAGTTTTTGTCCTAGACAACTCAAGGGAGAATATCTTTAAAAAGATGTTTCAGAGATGCTTTTATAAATTGCTACATGAAAAAATGAATATAAGAAATGTTGCATATTAAAATGCCTATGACTGGTACATTCCTTTTCTAACCTCCTACCCTTAAGTGTGTTCACATGACAAATGTTTCAATAAATACTTAGTCTGAAAGACATTCTGGAATGTAGTTGTGCTAATATACTTGCTAACTATAGCTGCAGTTGTCTCTTCTTTTCCTGGAATGTGAAATAATAAATCACCATCTCAGAAGTCATTTTGAAAGCCTTAATCAGATAAATCCTCATTTTTCCAGGCAGTATTTCTGTTGTTGAGGGTTAGTCATAATTTTCTTCTCTTAATGATAAAAGTGATGTCTCGCTATTGAGCAGAGGCAAAATGTGAATGCTAATGTCTTACAACTGGGAGAACAAATCTATTAATTAAAGGAGTATTCCCTTGGAAAATATTTTTCTTCTCTTCATTAAAATGAAATAACTAATTTACTTAATTAATGATTATTCCCAAAGCTACTTCCAGATAATGATTATATTGAGTTTTAATTGGCTGATCTATACAAACTTGGCAAAGCATTAATATAAAACTGATATTTTTAAATGTTCATCAAAAATTGAAACATTCATCTCTGTTCAGAGAACAATAGTAACAAGTAGAAGAGATGGGAGATTGAGCCAATGGCTTGGTAATGTAAATCTCATCCTCACTATGCTGCTTTCTTTTGGAGGAAAACAGTTAACAAACTTTTCTTGTCTCCCTAGTTCTTATTGGTGAGAAAGCATTTATAGGAGATTAAAATTTTTAGTTCTGTAGTTATACTAAAAGGCATATCTTTCCTAATATAGAAACGTTTTAATAAATATGCTTTAAAATAGGTTTGTTATTTTGTCCACGGTATGGTATTTTCTCCCAAAGAAATGGAGTTAGGTGATTATGCTGAATAGAACTCTTCTCCAGTTTACTTTCTCAACCCAAACCCCAGAGCTGGGGTCTGTGACATGAGCTCAGTTTGGATTGGGAGGCTGATTTCTGTGGGTCCTTGCTGCCATCCTTGATTCTGTCATGAACATAACAGATATGAAGAAAACAAACTTCCAAGGACCCATGAAACAATTTGAGTGCAGATTCTGACTTCTTAAAAGCTCTTAAAAACAAATTTTTTCACCAGTACATCACCTTCAGGACTGACTTCCTGATGAATTCTGAGCTTGTCCACCCCCTTTGGTATCTGTCCCCAACTCCACACCGCAGAGAGACTGCTTGAGTTTAGCAACACTTTTAGAAAAAAAAGTAAATCTTTGATGATTTAACCAATAATTTCTTAAAGTCTCTTTTCCTATTTAGAAAATATTATTTGCCATCTTTAGCTTGACTTTATTTGGTTTTATTTGTTGGTAGAGAAATGGCAATTGAGATGTGAGAAAGTAGGACTGATTTTGGAACTGTGAGACAGACAAAATCAGTGGTTGCCAACCATACCATCCCCAACGCCCCTTTTATAAAAAATAATTTGCAATATCCCTTTTGCTACCCTTAAATGATAATACATAATTTTGCAAACCAATCAATAAAATATCTTAAACTAAAATATAAACGATAAATACAAGGAAAGTGATTTATAATAAATAATGCCACTGCAATATGTAAACAATTAGGGATGACTGTATTAAAAGATATAACAGAGAAGTATGATTGCATTTACGAAGAATCACTACAAACAAAATGACCACAGATATAGATCGGCACACACGCTGTATTAGTGATTCAACTTCCACAAACAACATTGCTGTCTATGATATATTTACGTGAAATGGTGATATTTTCTTTGTAAAATTCTGAAGAACGCAAAGTAAAATAATTCCCCTAATTTGCATGGTAGTAGCATTCTTGGGAAAATTTGGCATGATTAAAATTGTGTAAAAAGTACTTCATGTATTTTTGTCATGAGGAGGTTGATTCTAGGCTTAGATAATGATAAGTGAAGTTTTTCACCTATTTAATGTCAGGCACATTATTCACAGATTCTGTCGAATGTGGCACAATTCTTCATTTATCTGGACTGCCCAGTGCATTGCACTCTGGCTTGTACCCACCAAATTCAATAGCACCTTTCAATCACTGACAGCCAAAAATACTGCTTCCAACCACACAGCATTTTAGAACTCCTTTATGGCTATGGGACAGTACCTGCCTGTTGAGAGTCACTGGTCCCAATAAACAGCAGTGGGCTCAGCAGCTGTGATGGGCCTCCAGCCTACCTGTGTCATCACATACTCTTTGTGCCATCATGACTCTGTCATTACTCACTTTAATTCTTACATTATCTGTATCCTATGTGCTTTTTAAGATTAAGAATAGTAATTGGAAGACCGGAAAGAATCTTTGGCATCTGCCATTTTCACTGGATTAAGATCGCTAACGATGAGAAAACTTTTTGAAATGGGCCTATTTGTGGAGCTTACACATTTTTCTGTGGGTTCTTAAACCTCCATGAGAAGGTTAAATCTAGATGAATGGTTGGAGTTGGGGGTTACACTTAGAGGGTCTTATTTATGTCCACCAAGGGAAATAAACAGGGATAATTGGTTGAGGAATCCATGTCAGAGCCATAAGCCAGGAGCCAAAGAGATCAGATACAAATGCCAGATCCAAAGTGGGAAAAGTAAGCTTAAAAAAATGAGTCTGAGGCCAAGAATCAGGATAAAAAGATGAACTGTACTGAAGCAGGAGATGAGGAACAAAAGAAGAGGGGCCCAAAGAGATTTTGGTGTTTGTAGTTTGTGTTTATGGGACAGTAGGTATGTAGCTCACCCTTGGACGAAACCATATTAAAGTAGAGTTGGAACAGACACCTTTCAATCACTAGCATATAGGCGGTTTTATACAGATGTGACATAGAAGGCAGGTCTGTTGACCATATATTTTAACAAATTGCTAAATGGAAGTTTGTTTGGCTCATGGTTCCGCAGACTATGCAAAAAACATTGTGCCAGCATTCGCTCCTCTTGAGGGCTTTAGGAAGCTTCTGTCATGGTAGAAGCGGATGGGGAGCTGGTGTGTCATGGGGAGAGAGGAGAATGTGAGATAGAGAGAGGGAAGGGATACAGTGTTCTTTTGAACAAACAGCTCTTGCGTGACCAAATAGAGTGAGAACTCACTCATTACCTCAGGACAGTACAAAGCTATTCATGAGGGATCTGCCCCCGTGACCCAAACACCTCCCACTAGGCCCCAACTCCAACATTGGGGATTGCATTTTAACGTGAGATTTGTAGGGGTCAAATATTCAAACTATATCAGGGTGCTTACACTCAATCAGTTCAGCTCTTTTAAATACCAAGACTCTTTGAAGGCTCTTACCACATTCTTCTAAGGTATCTACCTCTTTCCCTCAGGTTGTGGTTGTGAACCTCAGCAAGGCTGTAGTTCTCAATACCACCAACTTCCACAGGCCCAAATCGGTTCATTTATGGGATTCCTATTCTACATACCTTGGGAATGGGAAAGTGGAACTTTAGGGGGTAATGGGGTAGTGGTGGAGGTGTGGTGGTACTTATATGGAGTTCTGCCAAAACTGTACATCTCAATAAGCCCTTCAAAGAAGAGTTGGTCCTGGTAGTTGTAAGTCGTCTGATCTTAAATATGAGTAGTGTGTGCCCAGCATGAATCTTAGTGGTCAATTTCTGGCAAACAAAATCCCATGTGTTATCCGACACCATCCTATTTATACGTATATGTCAAGGTAACATTTTGGGGTATTTCAGTAAGTTTTAAGAAACATGTCTTCATGTGATTTAAATCTCATTAGTAGCATGTTTGTGAACTAATTAACTGACTTTCCAGGATGGGCTTTTTGATAGCATGTAGGTATAAATGTATAAAAATTCCCTAAAGGACCATAAATAAATTTATTTCCTTCATTGTTACTACATGATCTTTAATGTCAACTGGTTATCTAACAAAGGTCTTCTTGTAGTAGACACACAAAAATAAAGTTTAGAAAATAAGACCCATAGAAAAAGATTAAAGGGTTATTCAGAAAAACTGAGAACCATCTTGGTGATCATCCTCAAGAATAAAGAGAATATTGGTGAATTATTCTTCATAAGGAATAGAAAGAAGAGTGAATAAAGTGTTAACGGCAGTACTTGAATAGGTCAGAAATTCCAGCCCCTTGGAAACTGTCAAGGATTGCATTGGCAATGACAGATGTTTGGTATTGTTCTCTCTAGATTAAAACAGGATAATTCCCTCATCTGTTTGCTGTGATCTGGGACATGTTAACTAAAGCAGGTAGACAAATTTGATAGCTTTACTAAAGTTCAGTCAACTGTTGTTAGAAAACCCTCTGTTCTTCAAAATAACAGATGTTGGTGAAGCTTCAGAGAGAAGGGAATGCTTACACACTGTTCGTGCTAATGTAAATTAGTTCAGCCACTGTGGAAAGCAGTTTGGAGATTTCTTAAAGAACTTAAAACTGTGATTCAACCCAGCAATCCCATTACTAGGTATATACACAAAGGAACATAAATCATTATACCAAAGAGACACATGCACTCTTATGTTTATCGCAATACTATTCGCAATAGCAAAAACATGGAATCAACCTAGTGCCTATCAATAGTGGATTGGATAAAGAAAATATGGTACATATACACCATGGAATACTACATGGCCATAAAAAGAATGAAATCATGTCCTTTGCAGCAACATGGAGGCAGCTGAGGGCCATCATCCTAAGCGAATTAATGCAGGAACAGAAAACCAAATACTGCATGTTCTCACTTACAAGTGGAAGCTAAACATTGGGTACATATGGACATAAAGATGGGAACAATAGACACGGGGTCTACTAGAGTGGGGGACAAGGGCTGAAAAACTACCTATTGGATAATATGTTCACTACCTGGATTAAAGAATCATTTGTACACCAAATCTCAGTGTCATGCAATATGCCCATGCAACAAACCTGTACATGTTAGTCCCTGAACCTAAAATAAAAGTTGAAATTACGTAAATGCATTAAAAAAGAAAACTTCTGTAATTCTTAGAACAGCCTCTGGAGGTCAGGGTTGAGGCATGGCGCACAGCTAAGCTCCCCAACTCGCTGCCTAGCCAGTCAAAATAAGGCAGACACTAATACTTTGGTTCTCCATCTGGTACCATTCATGAGCTCTAAGTTTGTTTACTCAAAAACTGTATTTAAACTAATAAATTAATGTGCTGCTATTGAAGATTTGAAAATACATTTAGCTTATACATTTAAGTAAGAGTCCATATTAATTTCTTTAAAACAAATAAGGTAGAGCTTTAAGAACATTTTTAAAAAATCTATGTAGACCTTGAAATGTGTAAAGATTTGTAAAATCACGTATCTTAAAAGTTAAAGTACTTCAACTTTAATAGGATCATTTGAAGTTTTCTCACGTTCCTAAAATTTAGGGTTGCAATCATTCTCTTAATTCAAAAGCATTTGAAAGCTCTCCAAATAATATTAAAATCATTTGGAACAAGACAGAATAATTTACCATTATTATTGTACTTCAGTGGTTTTTCAGCCCCAGTTCAGAGGATGGCAGGCAGCCAAAAGACATCCTCTACACCGTTTCTCCTGAGCATCAGCAATCCAAAATTCAGGCAAGTTAGAGGAGGGTTCGTCTAAAGTGCTTTGCAATGTTTTGGAGCTACCATCTTTCCTGTTCTCTGGTTATTTTCTGATTTCTTCCATTTTTGATTTTTTAAACAGTGCTCCCAGATATCCTTGAATATTTGGGGAAAATATGAAAGGTAATATTACCTTTTTAAACATCTAAGTGTGAAATTGCTATATTTGGTTGTATATTTCAAGCTGCTTCCAAATATTATTGAGAAAGAATATGCTCTGGTAATAAACATTAGTTTACCCTGAGACAAGTGTGTTGTTCTTTACATTAGATGATCTTGCTGAACCCTTCTGGGACTGAATTGTCCCTGGCAACTTGCTGTGAGCCATCTGCTTGTTCTCACACTTTCATGCTACATTTTTCATGAATAGAATGGGTTAATTAAATTGGGTTTGTGGAAGCTGAAATAGTAAACAAATTAAATTTCCAAATAAAACTAAAAATCTATGATGCCATTTAAAAATAACCTGTACTTAATTTGTTTAAAACCTGGAGCGGTGGCTCACACCTGTAATTCTGGCACTTTGGGAGGCCTGGGTGGGCAGATTTTTTCAGTCCAGGAGTTTGAGACCAGGCTGGGCAACATGACAAAGCTCCAATCTCTAGAAAAAATACAAAAATTAGCTGGGCATGCTGGCGTGCACCTGTGGTCCCAGCTACTCGGGAGACTGAGGTGGGAGGATTGCTTGAGCACAGGAGGTTGAGGCTGCAATGAGCCAAGACCACCCCATTCTACTACAGCCTAGGTGACAGAGCAAGACCCTGTGTAAAAAAAAAAATTGTTCGGAGATATTAAAAGAAAAATTTTGAAGACTGTTATTCTTCCTGTTATTTTCACATATAGTGGAACACATATTAGATGAGTCATTCTTTATTCAATGTTTATCTGTCGTGGCAAAAATTATTTGAATACAACTTGGGTTTATTCAAAATGAAAAAAACAATGTTCACTTTGCCTCAGGATAGCAACTCTTTCTAATCTTATTTTTTAACCTAAAAGTAAAGACAGTGCATGTCAACCTGATATCCAACTATCTTTCCTGTGGGTGTTTTTTCTTTTTTTTTTTTGTCTTGTTAGATGGGATGGCTTCGTTTATTTCTACTTTTTCCTAGCAGTTGAAACTTCCACTCATCAAAGTAGTGGTTGCTTATCTACTACCCCAAGCAGATAGATGCATGTACACCCCAAAAGCATATCAAGCTGAACATATTCAATTTCTCATATTAGACTGATTTGGGAGACTAAAGAAGGTTTGGGGCCAAGACTAGCCGATTTGAGGTTAATTAAATCTACATAAAGTAATTATTTACCTCTGGTGAATATAGTGCTTCTAAGGGATGTAGCTGCAGTGAGGATTGAAAGGCATGAGTTTCGGCCGGGCGCGGTGGCTCAAGCCTGTAATCCCAGCACTTTGGGAGGCCGAGGTGGGCGGATCACGAGGTCAGGAGTTCGAGACCATCCTGGCCAACATGGTGAAACCCCGTCTCTACTAAAAATACAAAAAAATTAGCCTGGCATGGTGGCGGGCACCTGTAGTCCCAGCTACTCAGGAGGCTGAGGCAGGAGAATGGCGTGAACCCGGGAGGCGGAGCTTGCATTGAGCCGAGATCACGCCACTACACTCCAGCCTGGGTGACAGAGTGAGACTCCGTCTCAAAAAAAAGAAAGGCATGAGTTTCTTCCCTCAGTGCAATTAAAATGGGAATGAGGGTGGGGCTATAGTAAGCTCTAGATAGACAGTTGGGAAGTCCCACCTTATTTCTAGGAGACGTGATAAAAGGCAAATTCTGAAACCTCTGGCAAATCTTCCATTCATTGGAAATATTAAGCATTTGGGTTTGCTAATTAGTAAAATATCATGTGGCTCCAAACTTCTGCAATTTTTGAAAAGGCAACTAGCCATAGATTTTGGTAGTTGTGTCTAAGTAGATTACAAATTGAGCATTTCTGCCTGCCCAGGAGGCACGGCCTGGGGTTCGCTGCCCCAAATGTCTCAAATGTTGGTGTTGTGACAGCTGGTATCACTTTGTCCCATAGAGAGTCCTTGTGTTTCCAGACATGGGAGCCCTGTAACATTTTTGGAGTAACTCTCTTTCACTTACTGATTGATTTCAATCCACTTTCTCTTCTAAAATGATGCCTGGTGCATATTAGTCAAATTAAGTGGACTACAAATTTGTCTTTCTTAAAACATCAATATGAATATATGGGTAATTTATCCTTTGTAAAGTGAGACCAATATAATAGAAATTCATCCTAAATATGCACGCAAAAAAGATGAGAGTAATGGTGTTTAATCTTAAAAATTAACATTTGTGGAAGTAATGAGGAAAGTGTGAATTAAAAGGGAAAGCTGCTTTTGACCTGGGTTTCAAGAGTGTCTGCTTCTGGATGGGGTCAACATATATCCTCCAATTTGCAGATACAGAAACCCAATTTTCTCATTTTAGTCAGGAGTAAGTAAATTCTGGGAGAGACTGAGTCATCCTGAAGGAATTCATTTATATATAAGAATGCCAATTTTTATAATAAAATTTAAGAAATCAATTAGAATCCCACTTGATCTGGTTAGTAAATTGTGTTTCCTATAAAAAAGTTTCTTTATGAAATTAAATCAATATTGGAATACTTGGTAACTATGACATTATAAAATGGGGAGTCGCACAGCCTTCTGGGACAGTTCAAATAATAATAAAATTAAGGAGTATCGTCATCCATCTCTACTACAGGACTTTTTTTTTTTTTTTTTTTTTTGAGATGGAGTCTTGATCTGTCGCCCAGGCTGGAGTGCAGTGGTGTGATATCGGCTCACTGCAACCTCCGCCTCCCGGGTTCATGCAATTCTCCTGCCTCAGCCTCCCGAGTAGCTGGGACTACAGGTGGGCACCACCACGCGGGGCTAATTTTTTGTATTTTAGTAGAGACAGAGTCTCACCGTGTTGCCCAGGCTGGTTGTGAACTCCTGAGCTCAGGCAATCTGCCCACCTCGGCCTCCCAAAGGTCTGGGATTAAGGCGTGAGCCACAGCGCCTGGCCAGGACTTTATTTATTTCTAAATGAATCTTAAAGGGTCTTTTAGACAGTGATGGTGACACACTAGTGATTTTTTTTTTAACTATTGAATCTGTATATTTATAAGGAATTACCAATCACCGTAAACTTTAGTCCAATGGTACTGTACTTTCTCGTAAAAGATGTAGTATTTTTCTTTTTCTTTTTTTTGAGACAGAATCTTGCTCTGTCGCCCAGGCTGGTGTGCAGTGGCGCGATCTCAGCTCACTGCAACCTCCGCCTCCAGGGTTCAAGTGATCTTCTGCCTCAGCCTCCCTGGTAGCTGGGATTATAGGGCGCCCACCACCACGCCTGGCTAATTTTTTGTATTTTTTAGTAGAGACGGAGTTTAACCGTGTTAGCCGGGATGGTCTCCATCTCCTGACCTTGTGATCTCCCCGCCTCAGCCTCCCAAAGTGCTGGGATTACAGGCGTGAGCCACTGCGCCCGGCCAAGATGTAGGTTTTTTCAAGATTGTAGTTCTCCCAATTAATTACATTTTAAAGTGCTTTGTTTCTTTTACAAGGCACCAGAAGGTCCTTCAGATTTAGGAAATATAGTTGTTTGAGTAACCTCTTTACCAGTCTTTTCCTTGGAGGGTTATTTCTTATGGAAATATAAAATCCAATTATGTTTATGCCGGTTATGGTTAGCTTTTGTTTCTTACCAATGATCATAAGTGTGCCTTATTTTGGATCTGAAACCCTTATGGAAGTTTAGAGAAGTGAGTTGACATTGGTTACATGGGCAAATAGTTTCACAACTATATATTGCGTCTCAAGTATTTATTGAAATTTTGATATATGCAATTTAAATGGCAACTCTAATTTAGTCTATTTTTTCACTTTTTTTCCAAGATAGTATTTACCTATGAGACTCTATTTGTCTGTTTTATTTACCTCTGGTCAAGAAAGTGCTTCTAAGGGATAAAGCCGGTTCAGTGGGACCTCTACTACATTGAACTTTCAGTTTTCAATATTTATTAAGGGATAGTAATTGTAAAATACAGTGAAAATTTGAAGAGAAATTAAAAGTAATTTTTTTAACTGGGCAGATTGAGTCATAGGCAATATATTGAAACATTTGAAGTGTCTACAGTGAATTGTTTTTAATTAAGCAAAGTTGCTCAGGTCTTTTTTGTTGTTGTTTAACTTAAATAACAAGAAAAGGAATGTGAACAAAGGTCAAATTAATTACCTGGTTAAAAATATTGATTGCATCCATTATTTTTAAATAAAATCAATAGAAACTCCTAAATCTAAGACAGGTTTAGGAACCGTTGTTCTAGAATATGGTCTGAGTAAGAATATACAATAAACACTCCTTTGGAAGTTTTGGTGATCTTCTTAAAAATATCTGTAGCTTACCTTGATGTCTAACATTGCTACCAATGGCAACTATCTGTAGTCATTCAAGTATAATTTTTACCTGGGAGAGTAGGCATTTAAGTTTGGATTTTCCCAGGACAAAGCAGAGTACTATGAATGAAGAAATAGGACTGCAAGTTTTGAAGGGCAACAAAAGAAAACAAAAGATGTTGAGCGCAAATTGCCCAGCACAATCAAGGTAGGATTTAGGCAGCTGGAGACCCTAGCGGGGCAATAGGACATGAGTTGTGAAAGTACTAAAAAGGGAAAGGAGTACAGAAAAGGGAATGGAGTTATGTTTGCGCAGTTATATAGATATGATATCTTGATGCCTCTGTGAAGCTGACTTCTATCTGTGTGGTTTAATACATAGAACTTCTGAAAGTCCTCTTGACCAAAAATATCTCTTCCAACTTTCCTCCATAGTTGCTTGAACTTCTCATTATATTTAATTTTGGGGAAATAAAAGCAAGGATGATCCTTCCCTTGTCTTCTAATCAGTCTACAAGCATCTTGTTACAAGGACTGTATTCTATTTATCTGAATCCCACATGAGGCATAACATAATATGTTTATGTACCAGGTGAGCTATAAATGTCAGGGAAGATTGGGCATCTTCATTTCCAGCTGTCAAGACCTCAGCTCACATTAGTGTATATGAGGGGCACCAAAGAGGATGGGGTGCAAACCCGGAGCCACCTGGCCTGCTCTCAATTTTATTGTTGAAGGAGGGTTAATCATAATATGGAGCTCTTTCATTGTCTTTCTGAAAGTAGCCTAGTTGAAAAAGTGGAGGCTTTAGAGGCAGAAGACTTGGAATTGATTCTCAGCTCTACAATTAACCAGTTGTTGGATTTTGCACAAGTAATAACCACTCAGCTTCATTTCTTCATCTGTAAAACGGGATCAAACAGTCACCTACCCTGGCCTTGTGGAATGTAATGGCTTCTGCAGCTACCTAGTGATTATGTCTGGTCAAGTCAACACCAATGTCTACCTGTTTCACTGCTTCTCACATCCCTACCACCACCTCCCCACATATTCACATGGCTCAGTAATTAAGATAGTGAGACAGATTGCTTAAAGCTGGAAAATAGTTTATCTCTTTAAATAAAAGAAAATACTCACTAACATTCTGATTTTTCTTTTAAGTAATATAAAGGTAAACATCAATTCAGCCCATAGACAAATTGCAAATTAATCTAGTCTGATTTAAAATCTTATTGCCTCTTAGATGATATTTGTGAATCTAGTTCCGTGTGACTTTTCACAATCGAGATCAATTGGTGCCCATCAGAGTGCAATTTTCATGGTTATAATTTGCAGAATTTTAATAGGGCAGGTTTTCATTTCTGTTATTCCTTTGATTTTCTGATTATATAAGAGCTAGATTTTCTTGATTGTAGAATGCAAAGTGTAGCAAAGTGGTGGGTTATTTATTGTTTCTCATGATCTATTTTCTGTGTGTTGGGTATTATTGCTTTCTGTAGTGTTCTTGCTTCTGGTATTTTAAACTATCTTTTAACATTTCAATTGATGTTGTATATTGAACAGATGTCTTAAATTGAGTACAACATTTAGAGAAGCCTAAAAAGGATTAGTTTTAAAAATCATTATTTTTTACTCTTCCAAAACTTGGTAAAATGCTTTCTCTACTTTTTTTAAATTTCCACAGTAATGTTCTTGATTTCATCTTTTGAGGTCGATATGTTGCCTCATATCTATATTAAATTCACTGAATCAAGGCCCTAGGCACATTTGTCAAATGTCCAATTTGGCGATAACCAAGTTAACAAGTAACATCTGTTATTAATTACATCAATAAAAACATAATCTTACAGCTCTGGTTTGAGCATAATAGAGTAGGAGGTTTGAGTGATGAATATTTGCAAGCAATTAATGCACTGCTCTTCAGAAAAAATGCTTAAAATATTTTAATAGCCTCTTTGCATCCTAATCAGACTCCAGTCAAATCAGACCATCTCTGGCTAGAAAAAATGTAATCTGTTCCTCAAAATTAAATCCAATGAACTTGTCTCTGCACAAGGTCAAGTAATATATTCTCATGAAAGAAAACGGTTCCTCATTTAACACATCAGTTATTAAAAAGGTGTTCTATTTTCCTTTTTGGGTTATGTCTGTTATTTTTATTACTGCATATTAAAGTAACTATCTTGCCAACATGCAAATAATATGCTAACTGAACATAGCTAGGATGAAAGTGATGATGAAAGCACCAGAGAGACCTATCAGCTACCTTATTATGCCTAAGTAATGGAAAATCACTGAGCTTCCAGAATCTTCATCCATTTTATGCTTACACGACTCAAAGAAACAACTAAAATTTAAAATATGGTAGATTATTTTCTCTTTCTTTTTTAAAGGAGACATTCAAAGAATCTTAGATTTCTGTACCTCCTTTTTGGTAGAAGATTCAAATACTCCCGATTTTTTAAAGAAATGTTGAGAGAATCACACACAGAGTCACACACACACACACACACACACACACACACACACACACACAGAGAGAGAGAGAGAGACAGAGAGAGAGAGAGAGAAACAGGAAAAAAGACCAGAGAACAATATCCTTTCTCACAATAGGGAATGGAGTAAATGGTCATTGAAAACATCTTGTCAAATGCTTCCAGACACTTTGCATGTTTTATGAAATTTAATTCATTTTATTTTCTTTCTTTCTTTCTTTTATATATATATATTTTAATATACTTTAAGTTATAGGGTACATGTGCACAATATACAGGTTTGTTACATATGTATACATGTGCCATGTTGGTGTGCTGCACCAACTAACTCGTCATTTACATTAGGTATATCTCCTAATGCTATCCCTCCCCGCTCTCCCCATTCATTTTATTTTCAATGTAGAGCTGATGAAACAAAGGCTTGTCTTCCAAAAAACTTGTCCAAGATCATAAGGCACTAGTGACAAACCCCGTATCTTATGGACATTAAAGCCCATGATCTTTTTATTGTGTCATGCTAGCCAAAGGCATGTAGTATCTGACTTTTGATAAGAAAAATCCTTTTCTGTTTTACTAGAATGACTCAATACATTATTTTTACTTTCTAACCTAAGCAAGAACTTTATTAAATATCAAACATAATGAAGATAAAGGAGGTAGATATTTCATTTTCTTAGTAAATATATATTTAGTGTATGTTTCTGTGTGCACTTATTTCTTTAATGAACAAAGTCTCAGTGTCCTACAGAAAATAGCCACTTGTCAGCTAGAAGCTGCAGACACTTTTCACTGGGGCTAGTTGGTATGACTTTCTTCTTTTCCTATTTCTCCTATTTTTGTTCCCTGGGTAATAGGCTCTCCCTAAGGATAAGAGAAGCTGTAAATGTCCTAGAGTATGGTAAAGACCACTATCTTAAAGCTTCTACTGACAAGACAGATGGTCTCTAGTGAGATGAATAGAGCCCAGCTCAGAGGGTAGTGCTGTGGTCCAAAGGTCCTAGGACAAGGAGATGCCTCATACTCATATAATCTGGTTGGTGGCACCTAGGCCCTGGGCCTTGGCTATATATATTTTTTATTTTATTTCTTTTAATTGAGAGAGATGTAACTTACATACCATAACATTCACCCTTTTAAAGTACACAATGCAGTGGTTTTAATATATCTACAAGGTTGTTCAACCATTATCACTATTGAATTCCAGAACATTTTCACCACCTAAAAAATGAATTCTATATTCATTAGCAATCATTCCCCATCCCTCCACCACCCCCAAGTCCCTAGCAACCACAATTCTACTTTCTCTCACTATAAATGTGTGTATTCAGCTACAACTTATATGCAATTACAAGGCCACAAATGTGGGCATTTTTTGCTATTACTGCTGAGTGTGCTTCCATGTGGGGCACTTAGCTACCAGTAGGTTGTGCTTCTCAGGATGTTCAGAGAGGCACCCAGTGTAATTTCCCTGCACCCCTTCAAATGTATCCAGATTATCATCAGCAGCAGCGTCAGTTCTGGCATAAGACTACATTTTCTCCTGGAGTTCATAAGGTTCTTCTGGGCTCCCTGAGTTGTGAACATTAGAAAAGCATTAGGAACTCACTTAGGTTTGAGTTTTAACTAGAAATGTCTAGTCTCTAATATCTTCACATAGCAAATATTATTTATTAGGCCCATTGCCATTACTTCTGTCTGGTTTTTCTCTTTGCTCTTGATTCTCATCTCTCCAGATATCATCTGTGTGCAATTTAAGATCTCTAAACAACCTTTGAGTCTCTTGAAATCAGTTATCTAAGCTGAAAACCTAAGAATGATTTTAGGTCTTCTTTCTACATATTTTTAATTCTGCCTCCTTCCCTACTTCAATAACCAATTGCCAGATTCTATAGATTTTAACCACCAACCACAATCTCTTCCCTACTTTCTCCTTTCCTTCTAGCTCCACTGCCACTGACAGAGCCCCTTCAATGTGCATACTTATGACTGGCCTGCAATTAGTTTTCTTCTATTCTCTCTGCCTCTGATCTTGTCCACCTCATTATCCCCTACAATGCTCCCAGTCTTCTAAAAATCTAAATCTGTTTATATCTTACATCTCATCCTGAAATTCTTGAAACTCTGTCACAGTTTTCAGGATGAAATTCACACTATGCCACCCTGCACTCCACTACACTACGGCCTGCCTCGTGTGCTTATCTTGCATATTTCTCACCTTGTGTCTACATTAAATGTCTTGCTTGCCCCTGAAAATGTCACTCTGTTTCAGGTTCACTGTCCCTGCACAGACCTTGGCACCGTCTAGAATGTTCTTTTTTACCTTATTCTATTAATTCTTTATTTAAGGTAGTAAATGCAGAGTCATTGGATGAATTAATAAAAATGTTAATAACATATTTTTGTATAAAATATACACTCTCTTAGGTGAAAATTTCACCCCAGCTTTATTGAGGTATAACTGACAAATAACATTGCATATGTTTAAGCTATCCAATGTGATGATTTGATATACGTACACATTGTGAAATGATTACCACAACCAAGCTAATTAACACGCCCATTACCTCACATATTTATCCTGTTGTATGTGTGTGTGGTGAGAATATTCAAAATCCAATCTTTTGGCAATTTCAAGTATACAATGCAATATTATTAACTATATATTAAATCTTAAATTCTAACCACCTGTCTTGAATGTAGGGTCTTTGTGGACAGAGATTGTCTGATTTCATCTCTACACCAAACTCTCTGTTCATTATTCCACTGCAGCACTTCCCACACTTCTCTCACTTTTCCATAATGGCAGTGAACTCCTCAGCATCTCCAAGCATACTGTAAACTTATTGAAAACAGAGATTTATAGTTCATAGTATCTAGTATAATACCGCAGTAGACAGCATTTAATATTAATTGAATGAAAGAAAGGAAGAAAAGAGAAAAAAGAAAGGAATATAAGAAGCAACAGAGCCCAGCTGCTGCTTGTCTCCATGTGTAGCATTAACTCATAATTGAATCCAGCACTTTCCCCTAAAGGCTACCTATGCCAGAAAGCATTAGTGAATAAAACAAGTTTTATACTGTTTTTGTTTGGAAGACTTGGGGAGAATATGATAAAGAGTTTATATAAAAGACTTGGGAAATGTCATCAAAGTTTCTATTGTACATATTTGTTTTTCAGCTCTGCCCTGGTTCCCCCCTCTCTGGGTCTTATGCAGAGTAACTTTTAGGTCTTATGCAGAGTAACTTTTCTCCTTCTGGGCTCTTCCTCTTTTGTCCTACCTACCTTTCCTTTCAGCAATATTGGGTGCTCTCAGTGCCAAGATCTACACTTGTTAAAAGGTAATGGGAGAAGTTTCCAGTTTTGTGGTGAAATAAAAACATGATTTTTAAATTCCCCTATGAATCCCACTAAAATTGTAGTAAAGTTGGAAGAAAAGTATAAATATGGTCTAAACACCAAAGGACAAAGAGAACCAGCAGTGCATCAACAGCGATCAGAGATGCCAAAAATTTTTAGAAGATGGAAAATGAATGTAAGGAATGAAAAGATCTGAAAAAAAAACAACAGCCATAAGAGAGGTATGTCATTAAAGAAGAAAGCAGGTTAATTCATACCATGTCACTTGGAAGGATTCAGGACTTAGAGATACCCATACTGCAGAAGGTTGGAATGAGACATGGGGCTGAAAACAAGAAGAACTGGCTAAGAAGTACCTCATTGAGAGGTAATTAGACCTGATGATCTTTTCCTGCATCCCCTATAGCCCAATCCCACCAAGAAAATGGACATTTACTTTGTGGAAAGTAAATCTCAAAAATACCAGGGATAGCAGCAGACAGGGTAGAGCTACTGCAATAAAATGGTGATAACATGGAGCCAAAGGCTACATATGGAAACTTTAACCCCCACCCCAATGATCCTTGCTTTATGAGCATTCATAGTCAGGCATATGCTTCCTCCATTCTCTGAAAAAATATTAGAGGATTATTCTCTGGAGAAACTGAAGTATTCCAAAGGGGAAAAAAAAAAAGAAAAAACAAAAAACAAACTTGTGGATACTACTATCCTGGCAGGAAAGCAGATTCACCCTAAGGGATTCAAATGAAGGATGTTAATGAAGGAGCTGTTTAATACTAACCATCATGTGAGCAAATGAATGAGAGATGGTGAGTCACCCAGCACCTAGCAACGGTGGGAAGCCATTGCATCTCCAGGGCAGAAGGAACAAAGTGGAGCAGTGGAACAAAGCCCTCCCAACAGAAACTGACATGTAGAGAGTTACAAATACTACTAGAGACTTTGTGCTGAAACGGAGAATGAATCAAGAGAAAAAAAATACCCTGAATGCTCTCCTTTTTTGCTCACGAACAGCCTCAGAGTGTCTATTCACTGAAGCCCAGCCGTTCAGGAAGTCTAAGTGTGTAGTTCTCAGTGTCAGCCTCCAGGGACAGAGCAGGATGGATATAAATGGAGAAAAGTCATGGTGGGGGCAGTGCATACGCAGAATATCTAGCAAAGACACTGACATTTGGAGATCCTGCTATGAAACCCCTGTGTTCCAATATCTGCTAGAGTGTACTTCCAAATAGCTCTTGAGTGCCACACTCTTAAATATAAATAGACAGCCAAGGATTGTTCAACAGTTTGGAAAAATTTCCAGTTTGAAAGACAAATCAACCAAATAATCAATTGAAAAGAAATTCCTCCAGAGAACAAAAAGAAAAAAAAAACCCTGAGATTTTAAACAATATTTAAATCTATATCCTCATAGAAATGAATGATAATATTTTATTCATAAAACAAAAGCAGAATATTTTAAAAGAAGCAATAAAATAATTGAGCTTTTAGAGATTAAGAATAAAGTAAAATAAATCAATATGATTATAAAATCAAGGGAATCTTTGAGAAAATAGAACAATAAGGCGAAGAAATTTGGAGAAGGAGAGAAGATTGGATGATAAATTCATGAGACCTAATGTCCGATTCATAAGAGTTCCCAAAAGAGAGAACAGAGAAAAGAGAAGGGGAGACAAAACAATTTTCAAATAATTAATCCAATAACGTATGTATCACTGAAGAACATGTGATTTCGTAATGAAAGGGTCACTCAGAGTCCAGTGCAATGAATAAAATTTCAAACCACCAGGAATAATAGAAATATCTTACAAGCTCTTCTATAGATTGAATGTTGTGTCCCTACAAAATTCACATGTTGAAATCCTAACCCCAAATGTGATGGTATTAGAAGGTGGGGCTTTAGGGAGGTTATTAGGTCATGGGCAGAGCCCTGATGAATGGCATTAGTGCCCTTATAAAGGAGACCAAAGAGAGACCTCTTGCCCCTTCTACCATGTGAGGTTACAGCAAAAAGAGCCATCTATGAACAAGGAAATGAATCCTCATCGGATACTGAACTTGCTGGTCCTTTGATCTAGGACTTCCCAGCCTCCAGAACTGTGAGAAATAAATCTCTGTTGTTTATAAATCACTCAGTTTATGATACTTCGTTATAGCACCATGAATAGACTAAGACAAGCTTTTAGAAATAAAGTAAGTGACATTCAAGAAATTGAGCACCAAGCAGTATTTGACTTCTCAATAGGAATAGTGAAAGCTAGAACACAGCAGAAGAAAACACCTAGGTAAAAATGATTTTTAACTTAGAATTTTATATTCAGTCCAATGATTTGTCATTAGTGAGACTAGAAAAGAACATTTTCAGACACTTAAAGTCTTAAAATTTTATTTGTATGCACCATGTCTCAGGGTGTTAATGAAGAATGTATTCTTCTAAATCTATGTATTCTGCTAAACTAGTGTCTCCAGATAAGGGAAGATAAGCAAAGAAAGTCCCAGGTTGACAGCTGTGCATCAGGCCTAGAGAGCAACTAGTCCAGATTAAAGAGGGGAGGAGAGAGTTTCAGAAAAGATGTGTTCAGAAAAAAAGGGGGGATCTAATTATCTGATGTGCTTAGATGTAGTGACCAAAACACCCTTAACTTCAGTTTGACTAAACCTTAGACAGTCTTCTGATTGGCCCCTGATATAACTTTTCTTAGAGCATTTACCTTGAAAAACTTGTGATTGTAAGTTTCTTCTCTGCCCCTTTGAGATGTAAATTGTCTTCCAGCTTCTTGACAATTTTACTCCCAGTAATATCTTTCTCAAGGACCTGGGAGTATTCCCTTTGAAGTGGAACCATCTAGAAAGCTAGGGCCCCTGCCTCTTAGTCTCTGTGGAAAGGTAGGGGCCTAACTTTGATAAGCGTCAATTAGCAAAAACCAATAGTGTAATCACACTGACAAATTTTCCCCTTAAAGTCCTCATCCTCCAGTACTATTCCGCTAGTTCACTCCAGTGCTTCAAAACTCTTTAGCTTTTGTGTTCGAGGACTAGAGTCCAATCTCTAATCACCAATTGTAGTAGTCTTGATTCTTATTGCAATAGTGTTTCTTGCCAGTTTAACCTGTCCCGTGCAACTTTTCTTTCACTGTTAGGAAAAATAGCATTAAGAGGCATTTATTTATTATATTAGATAGTTTGGGAAGAATTAATGATAGTGACATTGAAAACCAAAGAAAAAAGAAAGAAGTGATTATTAAATTCAAAGTTTTCTAATTATACTTTTCTTTATTCCTGAGCTACCTTGTTCAAAGAGGCCTCTCATTAGTCACATAGTGCATTTTATTTATACTTATTTGTTGTACAATATTTTGTTCCTCTTGGGATCCTGAATCCTTATTCTCCATAATAAGAAGCCTGTAGGTTTAATTCCTGCCCTCTAATCTTCTGCATCTCCAACTCAACACAATGCCTACACTTCCTGTATTCATTAATTTAAAGTCTTGGTTAGGACAGTAGCTTACATTTACACAGCACTTTATAACCCATGCTATGTCCTTACATACACCATCTTATTCGATCCTCATAAAAACATTGCAAGGTGAGGTTTGGTGCTGGATTCAGATAAACGTGGGTTGAAACCCTAAATCTAGTCAAGTTTCATTATCTCTCTGGGCCTCAGTTTTCTTATTTCAAAGTGAGGTTGAGTAATGAGTGAGGTATGAGTAATGCATAGCTCATAGGACTGTTGTAAAGATTAAATGACATAATGTGTATTAAAACTTTGCACAATATCTGACATAGTAAATGCCCAATAAATATGAAATGATTATTATTATTTTACAAGGAAATAATGTTGTTTAGACCCAGTAGAAGAAAAGTTACCATATTATAAAACAGGGGCTTAAACCTGTATCACTTTATTCCAAAAGCAATTCATATACACGATTTTTTGCTGTCCTTCTAAATACATGTTTTCTAGCCAATGTCTTTATTAGGTACCACTAATTCACAGATTAGATGTTTAGAACATAGATAATTATATTTGAAAGTAACTGTGGGCTAGAGTATAATAGAGGAGACTGGCTCTGAGTAGTGGTGGGGAGGGGGATAGAACAAGAGGAGACTTAACAAAGGAGCTGGACCAGCTGAGAGGCAGGTGGAAGGAACCAAGGAACTGAGATTAGGAAGTTCTAAGGCGCCAAAAATGTGGGACATGATGTGGCTGAAGACACAATGCTCATGCCAACATTCAGATCTGGTTGGCTTTTAGCATATGTCATTTATTAATAAAACAGTATTTGAATAGCCAGACAAAATATTATTCTTGAAAGAAAGGACCACTGAAACAGGGAAGAGTCATTTTTTAAAACCAAATATGCAAAGCATTAATTTAATTCATCTGCAGGCAAAAAGGAGAAAGTAGAGTTCCGTAGAGACATTTTTGAAACATAAGTGCCTGTGGTTGAACAGACTGTGGGTCGACATGTCTCTGAGAACTGGCCAGACCTGGAAACTAATCTATTTCTATGGCAGCTAAGCTCGAGACCTGCTGTTGTTTTCACATTTTAATGTCTTTGTTCAAACCATATGGTGAAGGAACAGTACATATTTGTAAATAAATGGACTATGAGTCTATATTCCTTCTGTGTATATGACTTGTTTTCATCTCAGATTTATCATTCCTTTGGAAGAGAAGATGGGCTTGAATTGAGAAAACTTTGGACCCTTAGAGAACACATAAGATAATTTTTCACTGTGTTTGCATATTTGGCATGATGCCAAACTGCACTGTGACAGAATACTGTACAATTGAGAGCTATTTTTTTTGTTTTGCAATGTTCTGTTTTTAATATTTGAAGAGATTTCTAAAGTAAGTGTTGCCATTCATGGTTCTTTTATCCTTTTTAAATCCTTCCTTTGAGAAGGTTTTTCAGTGATTTTTAATTGAATTTTTTTGAGTACTTAAGGAACCTTGGCCCTGAGTAGCTTTCGAAGATGTTAGAACTTTATGATTATTGAAGGGCAAAAGAGGTGCTCGACAGGGTGAGATTTAAGTTAGGACTTCTGCCTTCTCATCACTGCAAACTCTAGCTTCACTGCTGAATGATTAAAGCTGACTTTGACCTTAATGAACTTGCTGTTAATCCTTAACCTTCCAGTTGTTAGAGGTGGAAAGAGCTATAGTAATCATCTATTCCAGGCCCCTCCTATTTCACAGATGAGGAAACTGAAACCCAAAGAAGCTTAGCTGCTTGTTCAATGCTACATAATTTGTAGAAAGGTTAGGTCTTCGTATACTTGGTAAAATATTTTACCTACTATGTGCGTTACCAAAAATCCTTCATAACCCACACTTGCTTGTACAAGTAATGGCTAGATGTCTCTTCAGGTTCCTTACCACCAAAGGCCATTTATATTCCTGCTCCGCTCACTGATTAAAACCTTCCCTCCCTGTATGTTATTCAACAGGTTCCAACTGACTAACCTGATAAACTAATAATCAATCTGCTGATGGGAGAAGATGAAAACACCCAAATAGGATAAGATTCACCCTATACGTTTCCACTGGCAGAAATTTCTGAGCTGACCACTGATGGCTGCTTCTCCAAGCATATTGTTCGGAGGATTGCCACATTAAGCCTGACCCTGAGAAGACTTTGGTTTCCTTTTGTTATGCTTTTGGCTTTCCACAAAGAGCTCAGGGTTCCTTGCTTTGGTCTAGGCTCTAGTTTGAATATTGCCCCTATTTTCCTTTCTTAGGAGATTTTAGTCACGAAATATTTGAGTGAATGAATGACTTTGTCTCAGAGAAGCTAGAACTCAAATATATTCAGTATCTATACCTCTGTGCTACTATGAAGATTTCCAACATGGTTATCCTTACCTCTGAGGTAAAATAATTTTGTTTTAAACGTGGTTTCTTTTCAACTATAATCAACCCAGTATGTTCAAAGGTTTGCTCTGTCAGAGTCAAAGGTGATTAGCACTCAGATCCTTTCCAAAAGAATTGAAGGTTGACAGCCTATTTTAATTGGGGTGAGATGATATCTCATTGTGGTTTTGATTTGCTTTCCCTGATGATTAGCCAGTTAGAATGGCTATTATTAAAAAAGACAGAAAATAACAAAAGTTAGCAAGAATGCAGAGAAAGAGAAATGCTCACACACCGTTGGTGGGTGTGTGATGTAGTAAAACCACTATGGAAAACAGTTTGGAGGTTCCTGAAAAACCTAAAAATAGAACTACCATACAATCCAGTAATTCCACTACTGGGTGTTTACACAAAAGAAAAGAAATGACTGCGTCAGAGGGATACCTATAGGTGCATGCTTACTGCGCATTATTCACAATAGCCATGATATGGAAACAACTTAAGTGTCCATTAACAGATGAATGGATAAACAAAATGTGGCATATATACACAATGGAATGTTATAAGCCGTAAAAAATGAAATCCCATCATTTGAAGCACCATGGATGGAAGTGGAGGACATGATAAGTGAAATAAGCCAGGCATGTATGCATGCATGCACACACACAAATATCACATGTTGTCACTTATATGTAGAAGCTAAAAAAAAATGATCTCCCGGAGGTAGTAAATAGATTGGTGTTTACCAGAGGTGAGGAAGAGTAGTGAGGAGGGGGATGAAGAGAGGGTGGTTAATGGGCACAAAAATCCAATTAGAAGGAGTCTGTTTTAGTGTTCAATGGCACAATAGGGCAGGTATAGTTAACAATAATTTACTGTATCTTTCAAAATAGCTAGAAGAGAAGATTTTAAATGCTCCCAACACAAAGAAATGATAAATATTTGAGGTGATATATATTCTAATTATCCAGGTTTGGTCATTACACGTTGTATGCATGTATTAAAACATCACCTGTACCCTACAGATATGTACAACTAGTACTTATCCATAAAAATGAAATATTTTTTAAAAATTAAAAAAATGAGATCACAGCCTATTAAAAGAAATGACAACTTGCATGCATGACTAAGGACATAGTACCTTAGGAAAACACTCTTTTTTTTTTAACCTTAGGTTCTGGGGTACATGTGCAGAACTGCAGGTTTGTTACACAGGTATACATGTGCCATGGTGGTTTGCTGCACCCATCAACCCGTCATCTACATTAGGTATTTCTCCTAATGCTATCCCTCCCCTAGCCCCCCACCCCCTGACAGGCACCGGTGTGTGATGTTCCCCTCCCTGTGTACATGTGTTCTCATTATTCAACTCCCACTCTTTTATGGGACTTTATGAAGGGCAGGCAATGCATAGTGGTTAGGAGCACACATTCTGGGGCAAAAGAATCCTGGATTCAAGTCAGCTGAGCCCATCACTAGCAATGTGGACTTTGGAAAAATTACTTAAACTCACAAGTGCCTCAGTTTACCATCTATAATATGGGGGATAAAAATACTGCATATTTTAGAGTTGTAAACATTATATTACTAAATGCATATAAAATTTAATAAGCATTATGTATTCAAAATTATTATACCGTATATATGTAACTTTATGTTTGAAGATGCATTTACTATGGTTATATGGGTATCTCATTTGATTCTCAGCTGACCTTTAGTGAGGGTAAAATTAATAAGAAAAAATCTGTCATGTTAAGGAGTTCAGAGTTCTTCTGAGGAAAACAGTGCTTTCATGCCTCCCTTGATTGACCATCTAAATCGTCACAGACTGTCTGTGTCTTATAGACAATGAATATTAAGAAATAAAGTTGATAATGGAATCTTCTTTCAAGTGACCCACACGTCTCATGTGAGCACAGGGGCCCTGATTCTGCCAAAACAACTTCACTCCTGAATACTTCCAATATACTTCTCCTAATCTGCAATAATTCTCTGTGGTAGGCAGTGTACAAAATTATTTTCTCTAAGTCCTAATGTTTAACTAGTATGTCCAGAAGTAAGTTTTCCTAGAAAGGGATAATTAACTTGATTCATTTCCACATGACTGTCCTGTGACAAGTTGGATTCCTGGAGTAAAAGCATTTGCCATTTTCCTTCCAAAGGGCAAGCAAATAGGTACTCAGTTATGCTTTTTTCCTCAACACATTCCCTCACTATCAGAATCACTACTGAGGGCTAAGGAAAGTCTATCTGCAAGCCCCTTGAATTCAACAGAATACGTGTTAGTGAAGAGTCTTTGGCAGAATCTGCTGCTAAGGGAACTTTGAGCTTCCCTGAAATGCGTTAAGTTCTGCAGTAAGAGCGAGATTTAAGCAGCACAAAGAAGGAAGTGTAGATTTCAATCTTATGATTCAAGAATATCAAACCAAAAATCATTTCCTAGTAAGAATTATAGGAGTGAAATAAAAATATAGTAAAAGTCTGTTATAAAATACTTCCCTACATAAATGGGTTACGTTCTATCAAAATAAATTCATGTCCTTCGAATTAGCCTAATATATCGCTAAATCATGGGGAGCAAATTAAATGGATTTTATGTTTGAGACTGTGAAAGGTTTAGCAGGACAGTAGAAGTTGGAAAAGTGACATAATTTCTCCAAGACTGACTGTGCTCGTTGCGGTAACGGAGATAGCAGTAATTATCACGGGGTGGTGTGTGTGTTAAATAACAAATGTGAAGTCTCTGACACACAGTAGGCACTCCAAAAATAGCATTTATTATCTTTTTTAAAATATCATAATAGACCTTCACTCTAATTGACTAAGAGATTTGAGATAACTATAATGCTTATATTTATATAAACTTCTGTGTGTGTGTGTGTATATATAGAGTCTATATATATATATACTATACTTATATAACTCCTAATTTATTGGCCAAATTTTTCTTTCAATGGTAAATATTTATTAGAAGCCACAAAATGACAAAGACAATCCTTCATTTCAAAACTTCTAAATTTTGTAACTGTTAGTCAAATATTTTTTCAGTTTGTTTGGATCGCAATCTCAAAATGCAGTCAAGCAATGAAAGAACAGAAATTTAAGCCCATTTGTAGAAAGACTACCAATCATTGTTCTCATTCTAAATAAAGAGTATAATTTAATACATGTCACATCAACAGTCCAGAAAGACAGAGGACAAGTCTGTGACTCTTGTCATTGTCACCTAAAGGAGCTGCCAAGGAAGCAGGCTTAATACCAGTAGTGGTGGGAAAATCAGAAAGGGAGAAAATTGAGGGCATAAGGATAGTGGTGCAAATCTTTTAATGTCGTAACAAGGAAGATATTTTCAGAGAAGTAGCAATGGAAGGAAGATGAGAAGAAGGGAAAGCAAGAGAAGAGCAATTCAGAGCACAAAGAGGAGGAATGCCAATTGTCTATTATTCAAAGGTATTAGATCACAGTATTCAGTGAACTCATTAGTGATAGTTGTCCTACAGTTGCTTCATGTGGATATAAAGTTAAATATTATATTGCCGGAACTGCAGTGTAGTACTAGTCAGATTTCTTTGATGATTTATTCCCAACTTTGCTAACACAGTTTGGCATGTGAAAAACTGATTTCTCAGCAGCCTTAAATTTTCTTAAAGTTTTATTTCATTTTAGGTAGAAAATTAAGTGTTCATTCCAATAAGAAAGAATAAATCCCTTTTTAAACACGTATTTCTTGCTGTGAGCTTATAATACAATTTTTACTAGCCTGTTTCTCCTTTTCTTATGAATTAATTTTGAGTTGCTGCTTTAAGATATTCAGAGTAGGCACAGATCCATAGAAAGGAAAGCAAAAATAATTATATGTCAGTGACAATTTATTTTCTTAAAATAATCCATATTTGTATGCATGGCTAATGTCTATTGATGCTTAGCAAATTGGCAGACTGTGGCTGTATTGACAATTCTGTTCCCAAACTAAGGGTTTAAGGGGACTGTTAGCTTTGTCCTTAGGCTCCTGGCAGCTCAGGGCAAACTTTTATTTCCAAGCATCTGCTCAGCACTTACTTCATAATTATCATTCTGGATACAGCCAGAGCTGGTAGCAGTCATTCTAAATTACCACTTTGGACAAGCATACAAATGATGAAACCTTATTTACAACCAGTGTCTCTGTTGAAAGGATGTATTTTGATGTTGTTTACTTCTTTCCTCTGCAATTGATAAGTGAAGAAACATACAATTTTTCCATAACATGAAGATAATGAATTTTTCTATTTTCTTTTTTTGGTATTTATTTCTTTTTCAACTTGGGAAACACTTCATTCTGGACCCCTGGAGGCTATTTTTTTGTCTCTTTTCTTGTTATCAATGGCATGGGTAGACACACAAATTGCACTATGTGATGGAATATTTCTCATCCTATTAGAAATTAAAATATTATATAAGATGGGTTTTTTTTGTTTTGTTTTTTGTTTTTTAGAGACGGAGTCTCACTCTGTCGTCCAGGCTGGAGTGCAGTGGTGTGATCTCGGCTCACTGCAAGCTCAGCCTCCCAGGTTCATGCCATTCTCCTGCCTCAGCCTCCTGAGTAGCTGGGAATACAGGCGCCTGCCACCATGCCCGGCTAATTTTTTTTTTTTTTTTTTGTATTTTTAGTAGAGACAGGGTTTCACCGTGTTAGCCAGGATGGTCTCGATCTCCTGACCTTGTGATCCGCCAGCCTCGGCCTCCCAAAGTGCTGGTATTACAGGCGTGAGCCATCATGCCCAGGCTAAGATGGGTGTTTTTTTAATAAGTGGTTAAATCCCAAGAACTGTGTATACTGGCAGCAAAATTTCTATCACATTTCAAGGTTTAAAATGTAAATCCTAACAATGACAACTTTAAATCCTTTCAGTGACTCTACAAGGTTAGTACTCAATGGTATCCTGACTGAATCTGTGAATTGGACAGCTCTTCTTGCCTGAAGAGTTTGGAGGGTTTAAACAATGAATACCAAACATTATATTGCTGACTGATAGCCTAAAAGTGGCATGATGACCCACTCTATCATGGACATGAAGGGGAGACGACTCTTAGGAAGTGGTCCTCATGGTGGTAACTATTGGCAAAGTCATAATCTCTACTGATTCTCCCACAAGTCAGGTAATCTGGTATAAACAGGATTCAGCCCAAGGCCAACCTCTCCCATAACTGTTTAACATCATGGGACACAGGGAAAATCACATGTGAGAAGGAGGCAGAGATTGGAATGGTGCATCTACAAACCAAACAATGTCAACAATCGCTGGCCATTACCAGAAGCTAAGAGAGAGGCATGAAACAGATTCTCCCTCAGAACCCTCAGAAAGAACAAACCCTGCTGACACCTTGATTTAGACCTCTAGCCTCCAGAATGCCGAGAGAATAAATTTTGGTCATTTTAAGCCACTTAGTTTGTGATCTATAACAAAGTCACCTTTGTTTTGAAAACTAATACAGGTGTTGATGGGGAATTATAGAAATATATTACAATCAGCATGTTTGTAAACATGCCTTTCCATATCCATATTCTGAATTGTTCCTTTAGAATGTACTCCTTCTACAACCATCTGATCTTTGACAAACCTGACAAAAACAAGAAATGGGGAAACGATTTAATAAATGGTGCTGGGAAAACTGGCTAGCCATATGTAGAAAGCTGAAACTGGATCCCTTCCTTACGCCCTATACAAAAATTAATTCAAGATGGATTAAAGACTTAAATATTAGACCTAAAACCATAAAAACCCTAGAAGAAAACCCTAGGCAATACCATTCAGGACATAGGCATGAGCAAGGACTTCATGACTAAAACACCAAAAGCAATGGCAACAAAAGCCAAAATTGACAAATGGGATCTAATTAAACTAAAGAGCTTCTGCACAGCAAAAGAAACTGCCATCAGAGTGAACAGGCAACCTGTCCAGAATCTACAAAGAACTTAAACAAATTTACAAGAAAAAAATCAAACAACCCCATCAAAAAGTGGGCAAAGGAGATGAACAGACACTTCTCAAAAGAAGACATTTATAGAATCAACAGACACATGAAAAAATGCTCATCATCACTGGCCATCAGAGAAATACAAATCAAAACCACAATGAGATACCATCTCACATCAGTTAGAATGGCGATCATTAAAAAGTCAGGAAACAACAGGTGCTGGAGAGGATGTGGAGAAATAGGAACACTTTTACACTGTTGGTGGGACTGTAAACTGGTTCAACCATTGTGGAAGACAGTGTGGCGATTCCTCAAGAATCTAGAACTAGAAATACCATTTGACCCAGCAATCCCATTATTGGGTATATACCCAAAGGATTATAAATCATGCTGCTATAAAGACACATGCACACCTATGTTTATTGCGGCACTATTCACAATAGCGAAGACTTGGAACCAACCCAAATGTCCATCAATGATAGACTGGATTAAGAAAATGCAGCACATATACACCATGGAATACTATGAAGCCATAAAAAAGGATGAGTTCATGTCCTTTGTAGGGACATGGATGAAGCTGGAAACCATTATGCTCAGCAAACTATCACAAGGACAGAAAACCAAACACCACATGTTCTCACTCATAGGTGGGAATTGAACAATGAGAACACTTGGACACAGGAAGGGGAACATCACACACTGGGTTTGTTGTTGGGTGGAGGGAGCAGGGAGGGATAGCATTAGGAGATATACCTAATGTAAATGACGAGTTAATGGGTGCAGCACACCAACATGGCACATGTATACATATGTAACTAACCTGCACATTGTGCACATGTACCCTAGAACTAAAAGTATATAAAAAAAAGAATGTACTCCTACATTTGAGATTGCTGAGACCAAATATATGAAAATTTATAGCTCATGTTCCATTTTGCCAAACTATTTTCCAAAAAGATTGTAGTATTTTATGCTAAAATCAGCATAGATAGAAATAAAGTGCTGTTTTTTTTTCTCTGAACCTTGCCAGCACTGGAAAGCAATAGTTTTGTTTGTTTATAAACTAGCAGGACTGTAAGTAGCAAACTCATATCAAAACATTGTAGGCATTACTACAGGGAATGTGAATGGTCTACAGAATGATTAGAGAAGAATGTGGGGAAATAAGGGAAAAATAACTGAGAGAGAGGAAATGTTTTTTATTTTATTCTGTACAAAACCAGTATGTGTGATTCATAGGAATGATTGGGTTTCAGAGAATGCAAACCAGTAAGCACAAAACTCATGGCTGTCAGTGATCACTAAGTGACGCTTGGATCTCAGAAGGGAGGTGAAGAGAAGACATTGTCTGGTTCTCCACCCACCTTCCCCACCATCTCACCAAGAACAGATGAGAAAACACCAGGAAGATGTGCTGGGACTGCAAGGGACTCCTCATGGAAAGATTGAATGTCAGCAGCCATTATGACCTGGGCAATGAACATGCACAATCTCAGGAATTTGCAAAGAGAGCAAGGATTGTCAGCTTATAAAGTACATGTTAATATAAAGGTGGTGTCTCTTGGTCAAGGAGATGCCTTAAAACTGTGCATCTCCGTGACTGAGAGATACCACTTTCCTGTTCTAAAGCAAAAAACAAAACAAAACAAACCATATGGAAAATATTGATACAAAAGTGTCATTTGTAGTACTCTGCAAAAGTGAAAACTCGGGGATTGGTTAAATAACTTATGGCACACCCTTTATTGGAATACCATCTAATCAAAAAAGGTATGATGTACTTCTATGCCTATTGTCATAAAATGTGTAATAATATATTGATAAAGACAGATTACATAACAGTATATGAAGTATGTTCCATTACTGTGAAACAATATAAAATACATAAATACTTATATTTCTTTAGAATATATCCTTAAAATGGAAATTTCTCTCATCAATAATAATTTGTCTGGCATGATCTTATCCCAGGTGTCTGCATGGTAACTTCCCCAATCTGCAAGTCTGTTCTCGGATTTTTACAACCCTATTTCACATTTCAACATGTCCCCATCCTGCCCCATCTGGAATTTCATTCCTTACCCTGCTCTGCTACTTTCCTCTTTCGTAGCATTCATCTTTTTCAAGCATTCAATATGTGTGTTATTTATTATATTAGTTGTTTATTTTTTCTCTCTCATTATAAGCTCCATGCAGCCAGTGATTTCTTCCCGTTTTGTTCTGAGGTATATCCCACAAGCCCCGAGGAATACCTGGTACATAGTAGGTACTTAAAACTTTTTGTTGAAAAAAAAAGTAGGATTATTTTTGTAGCTCCCAATACACATTTCCAAATTTCTCCTCCAATGGTTATATAAGTTCACACCAGCATGGCATGAAAATACCAAATACTATATATATATATGTATGCATGTACATACATACACACTGGTGCACATTACACTCAAACAGTGGAGATTAAGCACCAATAAGTGTTAAAATTATGGCTGATCTTCACCTTATTTATACTTCTTATATGTTTGAATTTCAAAGGTGACATTTTATAATCAGAAAAATAGGTTCCCGCCCCCCCATAAAAGAAAATATGGGCTTACTGAATGAATTCCACACAAAATTCCACGAACAGCCTGGGACTTCCCAGGTATGGCCAGACCTCAGGGAAGCTACAGTGAAGGGCAGGAAAGTAATCACAGGAGTGCCTTTCTCCATCCTCTGGAGACTGCCTACCTGGGCCCCTCTGCTCCTCTCTCTGATTTGCTCTCCTCTTGCTCCACTGCCTGATATCCCTTATTTATTCATATTTTTTCTATTCTCTCATGACTACAGTTTTCCCATGATGGAAATTCTTCCCTCTCTTCATCCCCCACTAATATATTAATTAAAAGTGCAGATGATTTGCTTTTTAATTTGGCAGAAATGTCTAAAAATCTGTCATTATACATGATAGTATATATTCATTTATAATAGGTACTTTTAATAAGAAACCAATTTTAATAATTAGCAATACATGTTGAATATTATCAAATGCCTTTTTAGCATAATTTCCATTGAAATAATCGTATCTTCCTCATGAATCCTGTAATGTGGATTATAATGAGCCACTTTTGACTGATAATACAAACCTTGCCTAATTTTTGTATCCACACGTTTTATTAGGAATCACGCACATTGCCCTTAAGACTTAAGACCTGGAGGTTGGAGCCTGGTAAATATTAACTGCAGCCACAGCAGTGCTTGACAGAATATTCCACTTGCAGGTTAACTTGGTCTTTCTTACTTGGTCTTTGGATACTCTTCTCAGCTTCCTATCCATCTTTGGTTAGTTAATCTTAATTTTTGAAATCTGCCTTGAAAATTTATGTTGTCTGAATTCTGTTTTTGACCAATGTGTGGTTTGTCCTTTTATCACCTATCTATCTATCTATCTATCTATCTATCTATCTATCTATCTATCCATCTATCTATCTATCTATATATATATATCCCTTGAGTAAGGGTGCATCTGTATTTCTGTATTTCTCTGTATGTATTCTATTACCCTAATGGTAGAGGTACCAAGGAGCAAGCTTTATATAGTCACTTCTTCTTTTGAGACATGAGAAGAGTCTTCTGGTTCCAAAATAACAGTAGAGAAGGTAGCTGGCATTATTCTCCCACCCTACCCCCAAGAGAATATAAAAACCAAATATTCAGTACTGAGATTATCACCAGCAATATCCCAGAACTCAAATATGATGATTAGACAATTCCTGAGGCCGCAGAGAAATGAAAAACTCTGAGCAAATGGTAAGAGAAGTGGACTTCCACATCTGCAATGCCCCTCACCCTAATCTCCTGACAGAAAATACATAGAAAAATTTTCCCCAACTCACAGTTTCCCCAACTCACACTGGAAAAAGTGAGTTCAAGTTGGACAATATTTCCCATCCTTTTGGGTTCCCTGGCAGGAGACTTGTCCCTGTTTCAACCCATGAGAACCATCATAGGTACCTGAAATGAGAAATATTCCTGAGGACAGAGAGAAAGGAGGGAGGTGGCACTTCCATTCACAGCCCTAGAAACTCTTCTCTGAGGTTGGCCAAAGTAGACACCAAATCAGAGTAGCTGTTCAGCAGGCTGTTTCCGTGCTGTAGGAAGTCTATTCCGTAGATGCCCTATAGGAAGGGGCCCCTTCCCAGCCTTCTCACACTTCTGGGATATCTCCTTTGGTGCTTCCCCCAATATGGGACAAACAGTACTGTGATTGCTTACTAGAACCAAGGCAGACCTGGGCTTAAGGTGCCATATGGTGCTGAAAATGGGGCAGCAACCTAGTAGAAAAAAACAAACAAACAAAATAAAATCAACAGGTAAATTACAAAGCAAATATATCCAGTAAAAACCAAAATAAGCCAGACAGAGAAGATTGGAATAATAACTAATGCTTCAATACAAACAAATAGAGATACATCATGAAGGAACAACAGCAAACAGGGAACTATGACCTCCTCAAATGGACAAAGCAAAGAACCAGTCACTAACCCTAATAACATGGTGACATATAAACTCTCTAAGAATTCAAAATTGTAGTTTTAGGGAAACTCAGGGATCTCCAAGATAACATAGAAAAGCAATTCAAAAATTTATTGGAGAAATTTAACAAAAAGATTGAAATAATTTTTAAAAATCAAGCAAATCTTAGAACTCAGAAACATATTTGGTAAACTGAAAAATTCTGTAGAGGCTTTCAACAGCAGGATGGATCAAGCAGAAGAAAAAATCAGTGAGCTCAAAAACGGGCTATTTGAAAATATGCAGTCAGAAGAGAAAAAGAATGAAAAGAAAGAAAGATCACCTACAAGATATAGAAAATTACCTGAAAAGACCAAATATAAGAATTATTAGTATTCAAGAGGGAGTTAAGCAAGAGCAGGGGGTAGAAATCTTATTCAAAGAAAGAATAACAGAAAACTTTCCAAAAATTGAGAAAGAGATAAATATCCAGATACAAGAAGTTCAGAGAACACCATATTTGACTCAATTAAGATTACTACCAGGTATACAATAATCAAATTCTCAATAATCAAGGGCAAATAAAGAACCTTAAAAGCAGCAAGAGAAAAGAAGCAAATAACTTATAAAGGAGCTCCAATGTATATGTCAACAGACTTCTCAATGGAAACTATACAGGCAAGGAGGGAAGGGGATGGCATTTTCAAAGTACTGAAAGAACGAAAAAAAGGCTGCTACCTAAGAATACTATGTCTAGCAAAGCTATCCTTCAACTATGAAGGAGAGATAAATCTTTCCCAGATGAACAAAAGCTGAGAGAATTCACCAACACTACCCCCATCTTACAAGGAATGTTAAAGGAAATTCTTCAATCTGAAAGAAAAAAACACTAATGTGCAAAAAGAAAACATTTGAAGATAGAAAAACCACTAGTAATATTAAATACACAGACACAGCCAGAATACTCTAATACTGTAATTGCAGTGTGCAATCTGCTCATAGTTCTAATTTGAAGCCGAAAAGACAAATCTATCAAAAACAATAATACCTATAGCAATCTGTTAAGAGATGGGCAATATATAAAAATATGTAAATTGAGACAACATAAAGTCAAAATATGGGGAGAATAGAGGTAAAGTGCAGAAGTTGTTTTTCATTTTTTCTTTGTTTCTATTTGTGATCTAAGAAAAGTTGTCATCTCCTTAAAATAACTTGTTATAATAATTTTTTTGTTAAGTATCATGGGAAGCACAATGTAAAAACCTATACTAGATGGACTAAAAATAAAAAGAAACAAATTAAAACATACCACCAGAGAAAATCACTTAACCATGAAGAAAATCAGTATAAAAAGAAGGAATAAGAAGTCTAAAAAACAAAACAAAACAAAACAAAACAAAAAAAAACAGAAAACAAGCAACAAAATGGCAACAGTGAGTCCTTTCTTACCCATAGTGTTGAAAATAAATGGACTCAATTGTCCAATTAAGAGACATGAGGAGAAAAATTTAGCTATAGTATAGTTTTGGCTCCCTCTTTTATGTAATGCTTCTTTCCTGGTTATAGTCTTGGTTATGAATTTTTTTTTCTTCTCCATTCTAATAAGAAATAAACACAGGAAAATTAGAATGCTTCTAACTTGGACTCTGGACTGTCAGATGTCATCAGGATTTTTCTGTTCTTAGAGCTTGGGGAGGAGAATGAATAGGTACAGATATTAAATTCTGAAGTGTCATTTTGTCTTCTAGGTCCTTTGGGCACAAAATGTATACTTGTATAGTTCCATTACTATGAAAATTTAAACCCTGTCCTCTAATCATTTGTAAGGTTTTTTTTTTCTGTTTTAGTAAAAAAGATTTTTAGATAACATCATTTATTCTCACTTAAAACTCATTTCCTACATTTTCCCACTGGGTCATGAGTGAAAAGGCAACCACTTTTCTGTCTTGGTAGGTTTGTATCCAGAGCAAGTACACAGTGCTTCTATTTCAACACTATTTTGAGATTTTTTTTTCAAAAGAAGCTTTTTTTTGAAAGAAAAATTTTGCCTGCTGGAGTAAATGATTTACTAGGCAGGCAAAAGAGCAAGGAAATTGCTCATATTAAATCTGAGAACATTCAGTTTTAGTGTGCCTTTAAAGTTTAGCTCTTAAAACTTGGATAGCAGCCTTTTCTACTCAAACACCTGAAATCTAAAAAGAAGAAATACTATATAATCACATGCTTTTCTATTCCTAGTATCTAAACAGTAATACACTGTAAGGAACCATGTTGGAAATTTATGTTTAAGTACTATCTTAATCCACAGATAGCATTTCAAATTATTCAGGTATGGTCATTAAAAATTCTTGTTTTACAATATTACATGAATAGATACTCCATACACTTATCTATTTATACACTTACACACATATGAAATATATGTATAAATATATGTGAAATATAAAACTATATTTTATGAATATACATACTTAAATATATTCATGAAATATATATATATTTCTACAGAATTTTATTTCTATCTCTATACATGATACACATAAAATATTTGAATAAAATATACCAAGGAATCAGGATCAATACTCAGACTAGTCTTTGTATAACCAGCTAACAAACTAACAACCTTTACATAAAAGAAAAGAGCAAGTATAGTAGAAAATCATCTATATCTAGACTGAAATATATATTATGTATTTCACTGCCAAAATACTTTTATGGAGACCATTATTACTTAAAAATTGATCATTGAGCTTTTAGATTAATTAATTACAACTTTTTATCACTTTTTCACTAAATATCATAAAAGCTTTGATACAGAATTTATCAAATATTTAGGACCAGAGGATCTTAATGAAAAGATAAATCCTTGGAAGAATGAGGGAAAATTTTAACAAGATATTATACTAAAAAATGGCAATAGTAACAAGCCATAATCAAGTAAGTTTGTACCTAATGATCCATGTTAAAAATGAAGAAAGAATACATATTTAGCTTGAAAACCAAAGGCCACAGGTTGATTCTTTGCTCTTGCTATTATTTCTCAATCCATCAATAGTAAAATATAGGTAACCAATAATTTTCTTATAAGGGCCAACATTTTTACTTTTTACCTCAGTGTGGTTCTTGGTTGTGCTTGAGGAAAAACAAAAGTCTTCGAGGTAAGAAGAGAAAGAAACAAGAAGCATGTTAACATTCTCAATTATAAAAATATGAAAAGATATACAAGGAACCCACAATGAAAACTGGAGAAAGTTATTACCTGAGAGAATATTAGAAAATAACAAGTGAGCTAACAGTATTGACATCAGGGAGAACTATGAAATCCGTGAAGTATGTCTTAAGGGTTTTTTGGGATATATAATATTTTACATATTTATGGGGTAAATTTAACATTTTTTACACGCATAGAATGTGTAATGATCAAATCAGCATATTTAGAGTATATATCATCTTGAGTATTTATCATTTCTGTGTGTTTGGAACATTTCAAGTCCTCTCTTCTAGCTACATTAAAGTGTAAAATATATTGTTGCTAGCTACAGTCACCGTGCTCTGCTATTGAACATTACAACTTGTGCCTTCTGTGTATCTGTATGTTTGTATGCATTGACCAACCTTTCTTCACACCGCTCTCTCAATCACACACCCTTACTAGCCTCTGGAATCAGTAATTGTACTCCCTGCCTCCATGAGATCAAATTTTTTAGCTCCTAGGTCCTAGTGAGAATATGTGACATTTGTCTTTCTGTGCCTGTCTTATTTCACATAACATAATGGCCTTCAGTTCTATCCATGTTGCTGCAAATGCCTGGATTTCATTGTTTTTTATGGCTGAATACTATTCCATTGTTTGTTGATATGGTTTGGCTGTGTCTCCACCCAATTCTCCTTTTGAATTGTAGTTCTTATAACCCCCACGTGTCGTAGGAGGGGCCCAGTGGGAGGTAATTGAATCATGGGGGTTGTTACCTCCATGCTGTTCTGGTGATAGTGAGTTCTTATGAAATATAATGGTTTTATAAAGGGCTTTTCCTCCTTTTGCTCCACACTTCTTCCTGCCATCTCGTGAAGAAGTATGTGTTTGTTTCCTCTTCCACCATGATTGTAAGTTCCCTGAGGCCTCCTCAGCCATGCAGAACTGTGAGTCAATTCAACCACTTTCCTTCATAAATTACCCAGTCTCAGGTATGTCCTTATAGCAGGATGAGAATAGATCAATACATTTATATAGACCACATTTTCTTTATCCATTCATTCATTTATGGATACTTAGGTTGATTCCACATATTGGCTATTGTGAATAGTGTTACAATAAATATGTGAGTGCAAGCATCCCCTTTTTTTTTTCCTTCGGATAAACACACAGTAATGGGATTGCTCAATTATATGGTTTACTTTCTGAGAAATCATCATACTGTTTTCCATAGTAGTTGTACTAATGTACATTCCCACCAACAGTTTCTAAGAATTGCCTTTTCTTTGCATCCTCAACAGCATTTGTTATTTTGTTACCTTTTTGATAATGGCCATTCTAACTGGGGTGAAATGATATCTCATTGTGATTTTGATTTTGATTTCTATAATGATTAGTGATGCTGAGCATTTTTTCATTTACCTGTTGGTAATTTGTATGACTTATTTTGAGGACTCTATTCATGTCCTTTGCTTACTTTTTAATGGAATTATTTGTTTTTTACTGATGAGTTATTTGAGTTCCTTGAATATTCTGTATATTAGTACTTGCTGGATGAATAGTTTGCAAATTTTTTCTCCCATTCAACAGGTTGTCTCTTCACTTTGTTGATTGTTTCCTTGGCTGTGCAGAAGCTTTTCAGTTTAATATAGTTACATTTGTCTATTTTTGTTTCAGTTGTCTGTGCTTTTGAGATCTTAGGCATAAAATCTTTGCCTATGCCAATGTCCTGGAGTGTTTCCTCTACATTTTTTTCTACTACTTTTATAGCTTTGGGTCTTCTGTTTAAGTATTTAATTCATATTGAGTTGATTTTTGTATATGTTAAGAGATAGGGGTGTAGTTTAATTCTTCTGCATATGAATATTCAATTTTACCAACACCATTTATTTAAGAGAATGTTCTTTCCACAATGTATGCTCTTGATGCTTTGGTAAGAAGTTAGTTGGCTGAGGCCGGGCACAGTGGTTCACACCTGTAATCCCAACAATTTGGGAGGCCGAGGTGGGTGGATAACCTGAGGTCAGGAGTTCGAGACCAGACTGGCCAACATGGTGAAACCCCATCTCTACTAACAATACAAAAATTAGCCGGGCATGGTGGCAGGCACCTGTAATCTCAGCTACTTGGGAGGCTGAGACAGGAGAATTGCTTGAACCCAGGAGGCGGAGGTTGCAGTGAGCCAAGAACACGCCATTGCACACCAGTCTGGACAACAAGAACAAAAGTCTCAAAAAAAAATTAGTTAGCTGTAAATATGTGGATTTATTTCTGGATTTTCTATTTTGTTCCATTTGTCTATATGTCTATTTGTATATTAATATCATGCTATTTTGGTTTCCATAAACTTGTAATATATTTCTAAGTCAGGTAATGTGATATCTTCAGTTTTGTTCCTTCCCTGCTTCCACAGGCTGGAGCGCAGTGGCACAATCTTGGCTCACTGCAACCTCTGCCTCCCGGGTGCAAGCAATTCTCTGCCTCAGCCTCGCGAGTAGCTGAGATTACAGGCACCTGCCACCACACCTGGCTAATTTTTTGTATTTTTAGTAGAGATGGGGTTTCACCATCTTGGCCAGGCTGGTCTTGAACTCCTGACCTCGTGATCCACCCACTTCAGCCTCCCAAAGTGCTGGGATTACAGGCGTGAGCCACCGCGCCTGACCCAGTTTTGTTCCTTTTCCTCAGGATTTCTTTGGCTATTTGAGCTCTTTTTGGTTTCATATATATTTCAGGATTGTTTTTTCTATTTCTGTGAAAAATGACATTGGTATTTTGATAGGGATCGCATTGAATCTGTAGGTTGCTTTGGGCAGTATGGTTATTTTAACAATATTAATCATTTTGCTCCATAAGCATGGGATGTCTTTCCATTTGTTTGTGTTCTCTTCAATTTCTTTCATCAATGTTTTGTAGTTTTCCCTGTAGCACATTTCCTTTAATGTGCTTGATGAAATTTATTTCTAAGTATTTTAATTTCTGTAGCTATTATCAATGGGATTGCTTTCTTTTCTTTGTCAGCTAGTTCATTATTAGTTTATAGAAATGCTACTAATTTCTGTATGTTGATTTTGTATCCTGCAAGCTTACTGAATTATTCATCATATTTAGGAACTTTCGGTGGAGCCTTTAGGGTGTTCTTCATATCAGATCATGTCATCAACAAAGAGGGACAATTTAACTTCCTCTTTTCCATTTGGATGTATTTTATTTCTTTCTCTTGCCTGATTGTTCTAGCTAGGACTTCCAGTACTAGAGTGAATAAGAGTGGTAAAAATGGGTATCTTTTTCTTATTACAGTACTTAGAGAAAGGCTTTCCGCTTTTCCTCATTCAATATGATGTGGAGTGGAGTGTCATATATGGCCTTTATGATATTATATTGAGGTATGTTCCTTCTATGGATAGTTTGCTGAGAGTCTTTTTTACCATGAAAGGATGCTGAATTTTATCAAACACTTTTTCTGCATCTGTTGATTATATGGTTTTTGTCTTTCATTTTGTTGATATGATGTATCACATTTATTAATTTGTGTGTGGTGACCCATCCTTACATCCCTGGTATAAGCTGCACTTGATCATGGTGTATCTTTAAATATGCTTTTGGATTTTGTTTGCTAGTATTTTGTTAAGAATTTTTGTGTCTGTGCTCATCAGGGATACTGGACTGCAGTTTTTGTTGTTGCTATTGTTGCATCCTTGTCTGGTTTTGAAATCAGTGTAATGCTGGCCTTGTAAAATGAATTAGGGAAAATTTCCTCCTTTTTAATTTTTTGGTATAGTTTGAGGAGTATTAGTGTTATTTCTTCTTGGAAAATTTGGTAGAATTTAGCAGTAAAGCCATCCAGCCCTGGACTTTTTTTGGGGGAGACTTTTCTTAAAATTGCTGACTCAATCTCATTACTCATTATTAGTCTGTTTGTGTTTTTTATTTTTTCCTGATTCAATCTTCGTAGACTGTGTCCAGGAATCTATTTAGTTCCTCTAGGTTTTCTAGTTTGTTAGTGTATAGGTAGGTGTTCATAATAGTTTCTGATGAACTTTCATAATTATGTTTTATCAGTGGTAATGTCTCATTTTTCATTTCTGATTTTCTTTATTTAGGTCTTTTTCCTTTTTTTCTTTGTTAGCCTAACAAGTGACTTACTGGTTTTGCTTATCTTTTCAAAAAACAAATTCTTTGTTTCATTGATCTTTTGTAATTATTTTAGTCTCTATTTTGTTTAGTTCTTCTTTGATCTTTATTGTTTCTTTGCTTCTAATAATTTTAGATTTGGTTTGCTCCTGCTTTTTTAGTGCGTTGAATTGAATAATTAGATTGTTTATTTGAAATATTTCTACTTTTTCAATGTAGTCATTTATTACTATAAACCTTCTTCTTAGCACTGCTTTTGCTGTATCCCATACGTTTTGGTATGTTATGTCTTGATTTTCATTTGTTTTAAAATTTTTAAAATATCCTCCTTAATTGTTTCCTTCACCCAGTGTTTGTTCAGTAGCATATGTGTGTTTAGTTTTTGTTTTGAGAAAAGTTCTCACTTTGTCACTCAGGCTGGAATGCAGTGGCTTGATCTTGGCTCACTGCAGCCTTGACATTGAAGGCTCAAGCAATCCTCCTGCTTCAACCCCCCAAGTAGCTGGGACTACAAGAGTGTGCCACCATGCCCAGCTAATTTAATTTTCTTTTGTATTTTATTTATTTATTTGTTTATTTATTTTGTAGAGACGAGATTTCACCATGTTATCCAGGCTGGTCCTGAACTCCTGAACTCAAGCAACCCACCTGCTTCAGCCTCCCAAAGTGCTAGGATTATAGGCTTGAGCCACTGCACCCGGACCAGGAGCATGCTTTTAAATTTCCATGTTTTGTGCAGTTTACAAAGTTCTTTTTCTTATTAATTTCTACTTTTATTCCTTTGTGTTCTGAGAAAACATTTGATACAATTTTGATTTTTAAAAACTTGTTCAGACTTGTTTTATATCTTAACATATGGTCTATCGTGGAGACTTTTCCATGTTCAGGTGAGAAATATGAGTACTCTGTAGCTGTTAGATGAAATATTTTATAAATTTCCATGTGTTTTCATGATTACAGATACTTTTCTTTCACTTCCAGGTGTAGGATACACTTACACATTTCTTGTAGAGCTAGTCTAGTGGTGATTAATCCTCTCAGCTTTTGCTTGTCTGAGAAATACTTTATTTTTCCTTCATTTATGAAGGGTGAATTTGCTGGGTATGATATGGCACTGGGTATGACTGGCACTTTTTTCTTTCAGTACTTTGAATGTATCTTCCTATTCTCTCCTTGCCTGTAAAGTTTCTGCTAAGAAATTCACCATTATTCTGATCGATGTTTCTTTATAATTGACTAGATGCTTTTCTCTTGCTGTTTTTAGAATTCTTTGTCTTTGACTTTTGACAGTTTGACTATAATGTGCTTTGGAGAAAATCTCTTTGACTTTTATATATTTGGGGATCTCTGGGTCTCCTGTATCAGGATGTCTTAATCTGTTACTAGACTTGAGAAGTTTTCATTTATTATCTCATTAAATAAGTATTACAATCCTTTTTTTTTTGTCTTCCTGAAAACCAAAAATTTAAATATTTGGTCACTTTATGATGTCCCATATGCCACATAGGTTTTGCTCTTTTTAAAAAAATTTCTTTCTTTATATTTCTGACTGACTGGTTTATTTCGAAAGACCTGTCTTCAAGTTCTGAGAAATTTTGCTGATAGATTTAATCTATTGTTGAAATTTTGAATATATTTTATATTTCTTTCAAGGAATTCTTCAGTTCCAAAATTTGTTTTTTTTTAAATTTATCTCTTTGTTAAATTTCACATTCATATCCTGAATTGTTTTTTTATTTCTTTGTATTGCTTTTCAATATTCTATCTCACTGAGCCTCTTTAAAATGAATATTTTAAATCTTTTGGGAGATTTTGTCAAATTCCGTTTGATTGGGATCTATTTTGGTAGACTTCTGTGTTCCTTTGGAAGTGTCATATTTCCTTGCTTTTTCACATTTCCTGTGTCCTTACATTAATATCTGCTCATCTGGTGTAGTAGTTGCTTCTTCCAATTTTTTGAATTTGCTTTTGTAGAGGAGGACTTTTTCCTGAAGATGTATCTATGATGTTGGTTGGGTGGGGTGCTTTGGCTTTGATTCTGGTTGTGTGCAGTAGTGTAGTTTCTGTATATTTGGCTCTAAGCAGCATCATTGGTCTATATGATTTCCTCAGTGGATAAGGTGCAGTCATTAGTGGAGGCTGTGATGAATTTATGCTGGTGTCTGGGATGCCAGATGGACCAGTCTGTGGGTCCCAGTGGTGGCAGTGGTGGGCTGAGCTTATCTATCCTTGGGCCTCAGGGCAGCATACACTGACACTGGTGCTAGAGGGTCAAGGCAGGCCTATTTTTGGGCTTCCAGTGGCTTGCTCAGATGTCAGGAGTGACAGTGATTAGTCAGGTGGGTGGGCAGCTTATCAAGTCCCTGGGCAGCTGGTGTGGCATTAGCAGTGGTGGTACAACCCTCTGGGACACAAGTGGTCTGCATTGGTGTTGATGGTGGTTGTGATGGGTTAGGCAGCACAGAATTCGAGTCTGCAGGTAGCATGTGTGGGTGGGTGCCAGCTGTGATGGTAGCAGCAGTTTTTGTGGGAATGACCTCAGACTCTGGGAGAAGTGTTCTGGTGCCAATGATAGTGAACTGGGGTGGGTAATCTACAGACCCCTGAATAGCGTGCTTGGGTACTCAAGGGGAGCAGAGCTAGGCCTGGTGGACTTGTCCTTAAGCCCTTTGATGGTGCATGTAGGTCCCGGCTATGGTAAGTAGGGGTGGGCTGGTCCCTAGGTTGCCAGTGGAATGCTTGGGTTGAGGCAGCAGCACCTGTGCTGCAGCCCTGCTGGAGGACATGTATGCGGTCAGTGGGAGAACCTGCAGACAGAGGGCTGGGGGTCATACACTTCACTTGTGCTTCAGCCTGCAGAGGTGGTAGTGAAATTTGTCTTCAGGGCATGTGAAAATGCATGACCACCCCTCTGCTGGTGGGAGCAAGGTTGCTGCCAGTGGCTTCTGCCTCAGCCTAGTATCAGCTGCAGGCAGGGAATGTCAACACAGCTGCTTAGGACTTGGGGGCTTGTAGGATTCAGTGTGGGCTCCCTCTATGGAGCAATGCAATTGCAGTCTCCAGGGAACTCCCTTTGTTAGTCTCAGGCTCCGTGAGGGTCAAGGGGCTCTCCCATAGCTAGGATTTTAGGAGTCTTCAGCAGGAATGTGGACTGTTGGGAATCTCTCACTTACCCTTTTCCATTAGAGAGCCTCTCCAGGTCCCCAGCCTACACCAGTCAAGAAGGCTGCCTTGCTTCCTTCTCCTTCTTTGCTTTTGGTGCTTCCTGTCACTTCTCTGTTGAATTCCAGTGTTTTTCTTAGGTGATTTATTTGAAGTGTAATTATCTATTCACTATTTTGGTTCCTCTTCGTGGAAGAAGTGAGTACCAGATGCATCTAGTCATCCATCTTGAAGCCCCTCCCAAGCCTGTCTTTAGATTCTTGAGTACATCTCCTGGCCCTGTATACTCAAGGTTCCTCCATTGAATGACCAGAACCCCTCCTTGCCAGTCTTTTTATAGTTCTTCCGTCCTATTATCTATCATGTCCTCAGAGTTCTCCAGTAGATAATCTGCTAAACTGTTCTGTTTTAACAACAGTAAAATTGTTAAATATCAGTATTTAACAACTAAGCATTAAATATGTACAGGACACTCTCGGTGCATAAAAATTACCCGAATGCCTGGGCTCCTCCCAAGTATCAGTGCAACAATCACAGAATTCTTCTTATTTCCTCCAACAGAGGGGAGTTATAAATAGATTGAAAGGGTAAAATTTTGTGAACTTGTTTGGGGAAAGATATGTAACATCAGGTATGGATTTGAGATATTCATTGAATCATTCTATAGGTGCTAATTTTATGTAGCCTCTTTTATGATTAGAATTTGAGAAGATAAAAATCAGACAGTCTTACGGTTTTCCAGTCATCAATATTTGTTTCTGCATTATACCAGGTGTTAAAAATAAGGATTCTCTGGCAGGTTAAAGGAGTCACAGATTAGTAGGAGATTTTTTTCCATCCCTTCAAATTGATTCTTAATTTTTCATTTGATGGTTTCACATAGAAATATTTTTTCTCCATTCTTTCTATAAACATTATGACCTCAAATATATAACTTGTTTAAATTGACTTCTAAGTGTAACTATACATCCACCTACACTCAACTGAAGATAATTTGAAAACTAATACAAGATGTGTTTTAGAATTTCAAGAAGGCAATAAAATTTTACTTTCATTTTCAATTTGGCTGGAACTGAGAACATTGAAAATGTGTTTAAATAATTTATTTTTAAAAATTGTCTCATTTATCATTTAAATAATGCCTTCACAAATTTGAAATTTGACAATTTCAAAGATCATGTGCTTGATTCATGTTCTTTAACTCAGTAAAGATATAAATATGATACATTTTCTATCAAAAAATATTAATTCCTTTCATTAAATATATTAGTGAATACTTGCAATCATTGCCATAGGCAAGTGCAAACATTCCTTTTTGACTGTAAAGTCACTGTTCTTATTAAATAAACATTTATTCAGCTTCAAACATGGTGAAGTGCATGACCAAAGGATAATGTCTACTCTTTAGTTCCTTTGACTTCAAGATCATTATTCTACTAAGCCTCTCAATAAAACTTGCACAAGAACCATGAGAACAATAAAGGTGCTCTTTAGAAAGCAAGTACCTGAACTTTGGTAACCTTCATCCTTTTCTAAGAGTCAGAATGAATGTGAAATTTGCATACCTCCTTAATGCTTTGTCTTTGATAACAACTGCAAAATGTTTATGAATAAAACCATAGGTTATTTCACTTCCAGATTGTTGCTATTTGCTGTTTATTTTAAGGACAATCTAGCAGAGAGACAAAAATAAACATTTTAGTTTATTTAGCTTTCATTTTTAATTAGTCATTTTTAACTAGTTTTACTAATTAGTAATTAGTTGAAAATTAATAACTAATTTTTTTAACTAATTAGTCATTTTTAACTAATTAGTAACTGGTTAACTATCCAGATGGGGGCATAAATGTCCAACCCCCTTGCCTAAAAGCAGGACAACACTGATGGGGCCATCCCTGCTTCACAGTACCCACATCATTGTATGAACCTTTGCTGTGAATTCATCTAGTTTAAACCCTCCCTCTGCCTAGCCCTACTTCTTATGCTCCCCTATTAAACTTTCTGCATATAAATGTCTGTTCCATGGAGAACTGCTTTAAAACAACACCCTTATATATACATTAACATGTAAACTTAGAATTTGCAGTTATCTTTTAACATCCTAAACTAGTATCTCAAAGAGAAACTTTAGGGTATGGGATGCAGATTCCAAGAGTTATGAGTCAACAGAAATCTTTCCATGAAGTAACTGATCTACAGCAAGAGTATTGAAGAGCACGGGCAGGAAGCAGACACTTACTGTTCCTTGGACCTAATGACATGGAACCTTGGGCAAGTTGGCTTCTCCATGAAAGATTGGACTGTGTGTTCTTTAAGATATCTTCCAATTCCATGGGTTGGATTTCTTCCAAGCTTGGAAATTACAGTCATCTTTTGAAACCCTGGACTAGTATTTTCTAAGCTGAGGAAGAACTACTACTTACATAAACTTATCTCTCAAAAATCACTAGAACAATATTTATCTCTCTACAGATTTCTTCAGTGAGAATGCCAGAAGCCACACAGCAGGATGAGTGGCAGATTTGAAAACAGGACAGTAATTCATTGCAGCCAAAGAGGTATAAAAGCAGCCATAACGTTTGAAGGATTGGCCCTCAAAGGGAAGAACAATGTTGGTGGCACCATAAAGAAGAGTCTAAGAAAATGTTAGGTCAACCAGTAAAAAGGCAACTCCCACAGGTATAAAGAAAACAAACACAAAGATGAAAGCTTATAATGTCTTTCCTGTTCCATGGCTTCTTCCTTAGTATGCTGTGTCAATTTTTTATTTTTTTATGTTTTATTTTTTTGAGATGGAATTTAACTCTTGTTGCCCAGGATGGAGTGCAATGGCACAATCTTGGCTCACCGCAACCTCCGCCTCCTGGGTTCAAGCGATTCTCCTGCCTCAGCCTCCCGAGTAACTGGGATTACAGGTGCCTGCCACCACGCCTGGTTAATTTAGTAGAGACAGGGTTTCTCCATGTTGGTCAGGCTGGTCTCAAACTCCCAACCTCAGGTGATCCGCCTGCCTCAGCCTCCCAAACTGCTGGGATTACAGGTGTGAGCCACCGCACCCGGCCGATGCTGTGTCAATTCTAGATGCCCATCATGACTTCTGCTTTCAGCTATGGCAGACTAGCTTGTAGCAGACCAATTCTCCAAGAAAAACTACAAAAGTGAAAAGCTGAATTAAAGTACACACACACACACACACATTCTCTGTTTGAGGACTTCAGAGAGCTTCCCAGGAAACAAGGACTTGAAGACCAGATTACTGGAAAGAAAGGAATGAAAGTGAACACATGCAGCATTCCATGCTGCTTTTCCCTTAAGTTTTTCATCAATTTGTAACTGATGGTTAAAAGGCTAAAAATCTGATCAGAGGTTTTTGTCTGTTTTATGGATTTGAGAGACAAAAAAAAAAATGGAATTCAGAAATCACTATGGAGGAGAGGCTTTGTTAACAATCTAGGATTTCCGTTGGAATGCCTAAAGGGTTACTCCTTAATAGAAAAGACGAACCAGAAATCAATCAGGCCACACAAAGACAGAATTCAGCTTCAAACTAGCTCAATTTCAAATTCAGACTGGGTTAAGGTGAATTTCTTTTACTCTGCCTACCAATGCACAATTTCTCTAAAATTTTTCATACCCTGTATCAATTCAATTACAAATTTACTAGACTATAGAAAACAAGAAGAAACGACAATTTTTGAAAAGATGCTAGAGAAGTTTATTATAGTTTCAGATATTGGAGTTATCAAATAACCACCTTGTGTTTGCTTGTTTTTACCCTATCTCCCTCCATCTCCTTAAGATTTCTGACTCTTCACTGATTCATCATTGGCCTGCCTGGTGTTGTTTCTATCTGATCTGCTACTATAGCTGTTCTGTTCTATACTTTGAGATCTTCTGTATTCCCTGCAGTTTTATTGTTTTAAAATGCTGATGAGGAAATATGTGCTTTCAGAAAAGCAACTGTAAGTCTATCAAATCTGCCACCGTCAATCTCAAATCCACCAGGGTATGATTGCTGGTATAAGGAATGCAGGTTATTTTCTATTGGCTGTGCTTAGATGAAGATAGACCTTGCTCAGGAAGACAGACCTTTTTTGGGCATTCAAAAAGATAAAGAGCACAGGAATCTTGGTTTTGTTTTTTAAAGAAATGAGATATGACATAAAATAATAATTCTAGGTCCAGTAAAGGAAGACAAGATAGGTTATTTTTGTATGTTATAGTGTTGAAAGATATAAAAAATCAGAAGAAAAACAAGAAATTGAGTTAGAAGGTTGAATAGCTAGGCCCAATAGAGCTATATTGACATTCCAAATCCTTATCTTCAGGTGTTTATAAAATCAAGTTATATTGAAACAAAATATACTAGATTCTAGCTGACAAGCAGTATTTTAAAAAGTGAATAGTATACCTCAATCACTAACTGTAGACCTTGCAAATTGTTCTACCACCAAACCACTCTGAACATCTCCAACCTCATTTGACCTGGCAGTGAACTTGGTTTATTTAAGACATATTTTTGATATATATATGTGTGGTAAATGATTTCCAAAGGCACTTTAATTTGGATAAATGAAGGAATTAAGCTTCATCACTGCTTTCAGAGAGTATAATCTTTAGAATAGATTACTGTATATTGCTTGAGTTAAGCAGTTTAGTAAATACTTCATAAGCACTGAATTTCTTTTGAGTAGTGCTCAGCATTTTAAAAACCTGACTGAAAATTAAGGCTCTAAACTAAGATTCAATAGACAATACTAAATAGGTATAATCGTTCCAATGCTAACACAGAGGTCAGCATAATGTAGATGTCCAAGCATTATTTATTGAATCAACCAACCCCGCCTCTATCCAGCATTGCTACATAAATGTTACAGTGTTGTATTAATACAACACTGAGAAACAAAGAATAGAAAAAGATGGGAGAAATCAGTGGAATGCATAGTGAAAGGATAGTAAAAGAAAGAACTAGAAATATAAAGTCAGGGAAGAGAAGAGATTTTGGGTCACAGGTTACCCAAAAGCACACTCACATTGACAACTTATTCAATGAACATCATGCTGTTATAAGTATAATCAGGACCACACATTTAACTGTTAGCCATTCATTTACTTAACAATCACCAGACACCTAATTCAGGCCAGAAATTTGTCTAAATGTTAGGGATATGGTAGTGAACAAAGATAAAAATGTCTTTTAATGAACCCATGTGTCCATTGGTAGATGAATGGATAAGCAAAATGTGATACATACATATAATGGAATATTACTCGACTTAAAAAGGAAGGAAATTCTGACATGTGCTACTACATAGATGAACCTTGAGGCCAGTATGCTAAGTAAAAAAAATCAATCACAAACATACAAATACCCTTTTATAAGGTACATAGGGACAGAAAGTAGAAATGTGCTTTACAGGTACTGGAAAGAGGGGAGGCTGGGGAGTTTTTATTTAATGGATATAGAGGTTCAGTTGTGCAAGATGAGAAGAATTCTATAGATGGATGCCATCTCCTGCCTCAGCCTCCCGAGTAGTTGGGATTACAGGTGCCCACCACGCCTGGCTGGTTGCACAATATGCCTGGTAATGGTTGCACAACACCTGGTAATGGTTGCACAACATTATGAATGTACTTAATATCACCAAATTGTACCCTTAAATGATTAAGATGGTAAATTTTGTTATATATATTTTATCACAATACAAAATTTAAAAAACATCTTCCCATGTTGAGCTTATGATTTGGTAAATTTGATTAAAATTTTTCTAGGTCAGAAGCTATCTGTAAGTCACAGAAAGATTCAGTAATAGTTTTCATCTTTTTCCATTTTTCAGAGAGAAATATAGACCAAAACTGTATTGGTTCTCATAAGATTCTAAAGAAATGCAGTACAAATTTTAGTATTTACAAGTCAATGTAATCCTTTGGTATTTCTTGTCAATAGGTGTTCCTTTAGGTTTCCTTAGGTCTGCTGAAAAGGGAGTAAGGCAAGTAATAGGCAGCAGGCATAAGAACCCCAGTAGAAAGAATTTGTGTAGGGTAGTGTGATACAATAGGAAATATACACTTGGTCTTTGTCCCTGGTTCCTGACATGGGGATCCTACAATGCACTGAATTTCCTGAGTGAGAGGAGTGATAGAAGCATCTTTTGTTATTCATTACAAGCCTCTTTCAATTGTACCTGAGTTTATGTTGATAAGGTGACTCTTGTTGGGCCCCTAGATAGCTTCAGAATGGGGGCTAGTTGCCAGAGTAACCAATCATGTGTTAGAGGGTTGAAACTTTCAGCCCCTTTCCCAACCTCAGGAGCAGGGAGAGAGGCTGGAGATTCAGTTAATCACCAGTGGAGAATGATATAATCAATCATGTCTATGTAATGAAACCTCTGTTAAAACTCCTATCTAAAAAGAAAAAAACCCTAAACAAAAGAGTTCGGAGTTTCCAGATTGCTGAAAACATCAAGGTGCTCAGAAGAGAACATACCTGGAGAGGTGCAGAATGTGGCTGTTCCCAAGTTATATCCTTTGTTATAAACCATAAATAGTAAGTAAAGTGCTTTCCTGAGTTCTGTGAGTTATTCTAGGAAATACTGAACTTGAGGAGGGGCTTGTGGTAACCATCAGATTTATAGGTAATTGGTCAGAAGTACAGATAACAACCTAGGAATTGTGACTGGCATCTGAAGTGAGGGCAGACTTCTGAGACTGGGCCCTTAACTTGTGAGGTCTAAGCTAACTAAAGGAAGTTAATGTCAGAATTTAATTAAATTTTAGGCACTTAGTTGGTACCTGGCGAGTTGTAAAATTAGGAGGTGTGAGGAAAAACCCCACATGTTTGGTGTCAGAAGTGTGAGCAAAAACAACTCAGGTAGATGATTGGAAATACAAAAGCAGAGGAGGATTAAAGCTGCTAAGACTCATCACTAAGGCTTACCTCTCCCACCTAGCAGACCTGTCTCCTCTCTTTCCAGCTGCCTTCTTTAAATGAACCATTCACACATTTGCCCATAAATTTAAAGTGACCCACACCTTATTCTGTTATATATATGATGTGCTGCTAGTGGCCATGTGTGCTCTCTTTTCTCTCTCTCTCTACACACACACACACACACACTCTCTCTCTCTCTCTCTCTGTGCTTGATTCTTCTTTCTTGACTCACATGACAAAGGAAAGAAGGACTGCCCTCTTAACTCATTGTACCCTCTCTGCCCAGGATCTGTAAGTTGAAAAAAATATTTTGAACTAGTTCCCTGTTATGGTGGTGTATTGAATTTGCAGTTTTTATCTAAAAAACTAGGGGTGCCTGTATTAGTCTGTTTTCACACTACTAAAAAAGACATATCCAAGACTGGGCAATTTACAAAAAAAAAGAGGTTTAATGGACTTACAGTTCCATGTGGCTGGAGAGGTCTCAAAATCATGGCAGAAGGTGAAAGGCATGTCTCACATGGCGGCAGACAAGAGAAGAGAGCTTGTGCAGGGAAACTCCACTTTTTAAAACCATCAGATCTCATGAGACTTATTCACTATCATGAGAACAGCACAGGAAAGACCTGCCCCCATGATTCAATTACCTCCCACTGGGTCCCTTCTACAACATGTGGGAATTCAAGATGAGATCTGGGGGGAGAGGGGGACACAGCCAAACTATATCAGTGCCCCAGAGTGAATTTTTCCTGGGACACCAGGGGAGAGTACAAGGTCAGGCTCCCAGTGACAGAGCCATGGTCAGGAAGGCATAAACTGGTCAGACAAGAGCCACAAGGGCCTCTGCCAATGTAAACAGGTTTCCCATATGAGGGAACCCTAATAGTGGGTTAGACATCTAGGCATTAGGTCATCTACCAGGTTAAAGAAATATCCCATAAAGGCACACTGTAAACCCTCACATCAAGCTCTCCTCTCCTTATTTCCTGTTACAATAGCAATGCTACACTCTGTCACTGGAACCCCGATTTAACTGGAGGAGTCTCAAAACAAATGGTGATGAGTATGGGACAGTTGGCACAGGTTATACACTGCCACAGTGCATTTTAGCTGCACATGGTTTACTAATTGTGATATGGTTAGGCTTTGTGTCCCCACCCAAATCTCATCTTGAATTGTAATCGCCATAATCCCCATGTGTCAAGAAAGAGACCAGGTGGAGGTAATTGAATCATGGGGGGCAGTTCCAATGCCCACCCCCCACCCGGCTGTTCTAGTGAGAGTGAGTTCTCATGAGATTTGATGATTTTGTAAGGGGCTCTTCTCCTTTAGCTCAGCACTTCTCCTTTCTGTTGCCTTGCGAAGAAGTTGCCTTGCTTCCCCTTTGCCTTCTGCCATGATTGTAAGTTTCCTGATGCTTCCCCAGCCACGTGGAACTGTGAGTCAATGAAACTTTTTTCCTTTAAAAATTACCCACTCTCAGGCAGTTCTTTATAGCAGTGTGAAAATGGACTAATACAAATTCCCTCTCCCAAACAGCTCGGTCCTTTTGGGAAGAAAGCACTGCTTGCTAGTGGCCTGTAGCTTTGCTTTGCATAACTGTGTACTGCTGTTGTTGGGCATTGCCTTGGAGATTTTCCAGAAATTGCATTGGCTATTGGTGGTTCTTAGAGCTATCAAACTTCCCTGTAGCCACTGAAGAGCAGGTCCCAGTGTAAGGAAGGTGTTTCCCTGTGAGGAACCAGCAGCACTTCCTGGGATTGGGTCCCCTAAACAGTGGGCCAGTATTTTTTTTTTTTTTTTTTGGAGACAGAGTCTCACTCTGTCACCCAGGCTGGAGTGCAGTGGCACTCTCGGCTCACTGCAACCTCTGCTGCCCAGGTTCAAGTAATTCTCCTGCCTCAGCCTCCCGAGTAGCTGGGATTATAGGCACCTGCCACCACGCCTAATTTTTGTATTTTTAGTAGAGATGGGGTTTCACCATATTGGTCAGATTGGTCTTGAACTCCTGACCTCGTGATCCACCCACCTCAGCCTCCCAAAGTGCTGGATTACAGGCATAAGCCACCGTGCCTGGCCCAGCGGGCCACTATTTAAGGGTGTGTTGCTCCTTGGCCAGGTGTACTTTTCCGGTTACCTGAAGGCTTGGTAGTAGTCAGAACTGTATTGACTGTATTGACTATACATTAGGAAGTGCTAGTGTTAAGCCACAGTGAGTTGGCCAGGATGGTGGAGCTCTACCTCCACCTGGCCAGCAATACAGATGTGGGCTACCAAGCTCCAGGGCATCAGTGATTCCCTCCTAGTAAAGTCAGAGAGGGTGATACAATTCTGCACTCACTGTGCAGTGATGAAGTGGAGCTGGGGTGAAATTGCCTAACCCTCACCCATAATGGGGGTTACTTTGCCTGAATAGCCATGTGCCTCACAAACGTAAGTACTGCTGGGGCAAGTGCCCCTTTTGTTGCTGCATTGCTTGCTTTTGTTGCAAGCAGGGCTCAGTCAACCTTGACACAGTTTCCAATTCTATATCACACACAAATGGCTCAAGCTGGTGGCCAGAGATGAGAACTTAGAGGAATCTCTCCTGCCTAGCAGACTGGGATCCCTTTAAAGAAACCATTCAGACATTTACCCAGAAACTTAAAGTGACCCACACCCTATACCCTATTCCCTTATATATGCTGCTAGTTGCCTCTTGTGCTTTCTCTCTCTGCCTCTCTCTCTCTCTCTCTTTCTCTCTCTCTCAGCTCGACTCTTCATTACTGCCTTGTGTGACCTGGGGATGGAGAACTGCCCTCCTGACTCGCCCTGCCCAGGATCTGAAGTTGAAAGAAACAGAAAATCTTTAAACATGATTCTTATTTTGGTTGTGTGTTGAATCTGTGCCTTCCCTCTGAAAAACTCAGGGTTGCCCCAGGTAGGATTTTCCCCAGAACACCAGGGAGAGCACAAGATCAGGTTCCCAGTGCCAGAATGATGGTCAGGGAGGCATGTAACTGGTCAGACAAGGGCATCTGCCAGTGTAAACAAGTTTCTCATGAACTCCTGTGATCATGGGTCGGACAACTAGACATTAGGCCATCTGCCAGGTAAAAGAAGTATCCTGTGAAAGACACACAGTAAACACCGCCATCCAGCTCCCCTTCATTCCCCATTAAAGAAGGGTCACTAACTGCTCGGTACTGGAATCCCAATTTAGCTAGGGGCTCTCAAAACAGTGTTTTCTTGAGCATATTTTGGGGACAAAAGAAATCTGTTTTCTGTCAAGTAAAACCTAGCCCAGGGCTCACTATCATGCGTATATATATATATATACACACACACACATAAATATATACGTATATATATTTTTTGAGACTGGATCTCATTCTATTGCTCAGGCTAGAGTGCAGTGGCACCATCATGGCTCATTGCAGCCTCAATCACTCAGGCTCAAGCCTTCCATGTAGCTGGGATCACAGGCCCACACTACCACACATGGGTAAGTTAATTTTTGTAGAGACAGGGTCTCCCTATGTTGCTTAGGCTGGTCTCAAGCTCCTGGGCTCAAGCAATCCTCCTGCCTTGGCCTCTGAAAGTGCTAGGATTATAGGCATGAGCCACGGTGCCTGGCCTGTGAATCTAAATTTGACCTGAAGCATGGATATTGCTTTTCAGCAGGTAACTCTGCAGGGATCAGTTCAACTGCTTGGAATGATTGCAACAAATTAAGATGTTACCTGGCAAATTATAAATGACAACTCTCTCATTTCTTTTAAAAAAAGGTGTATGTTGTTCACAGCAAATAACGTAGATTGTTTCAAACGCCCTTTGATATGTCTTCCCATATAAGCAGGTAAACAGTTTGTTATTATATTTTTACACCTTCAATAGTTAATGCACACAGGTGTAATGACTCCAATAATGTGGAACACCATGATCCTAGGACACTTGCTGGAAAAAAATGACCAAACTAATTTACTTCAGGCAGATATAATCCTTCAATTTATTGGATGGATAATTTCAGAAACTTTTCTTGGTGTCTTAAATGTTGAACTATGTGCTTTCTTTTTCTCCTGAATTCCTTTAGCATTTAATATCCCAGCAATTCATTTGGCATTGAAACTGTTATAATCTTGCATGATTACATAACTTGCTATGTCTCACTCCCTAGTCAGATTATAGATTTCTAGAGGGGAGATACTAGTATTACTTAGCTAGAATGACAGCCCTAAATAATACTGTCCATTTTTTAAGCTAATGAGGCTGTGAAGCTCTTCGAGGATTAGACAGTATCTACATTTTTCATTTGTATTCTTAGTGTTTGGTACTATGCCTGGTATATAACCAGATGTTCAGAAAATTCATTTTGAGTTAATATAAAATATGAGCATCGACGACTGGCCTTAAGGATGGGGATTTAATGGACGGGAGGGCATAGCATCACCCCACTAGCATGTTCCTGAGAACATGCTATCCTAAGGGATAGGGCATTGCTCTGTGCCGCCCAATAAGAATATACTAGAAGACAATCAACAAATGAACAATATCCTTAGGAATGAGAAATTCAATCTTGATCATTTAAAACCTTTTACTAAAAAATTCAATTGCTCAGAAATCCCCTTCAAACCAAGGAATGTATTGTCATCAAAAAAGGTATACAAGAGAACAAATTTGAAAAGTTATAATATTGATTGATGTTGTAGTGAATGTGCAACTGCAAATTTAATATGGAATTTTATGGTTAGATATAGGAGATTTCAGTTTGTCTATAAAACATTTGAATGCAATGTCCACTTTAACCAATCAAAATTTTTAGAATGTTTCCAATTGCTTAGAACCTATTACTCAGCTTGTTGAATGGTTTGTCTCTACTGTACTAGAGAAAGACAAAGGCCAATTGAACAGAAGAGCAATACCAGTGAAACTGATTTGGAAGCCACTTCTTTTTTTTCTCAATGTAAATACCAACCAAATGTTCTGCATCATCAAGGGTATAATGAGGGGGGTGGGGGCATAGGGGGAAAACGCAAACTAAAAACAAAGTAAGAGCAGAAATAGAAGGTACTCGTTGTGACATAAAAATTAACAGAAGAAACAAATTACCATGTAACATTAAATTTTATGGAGGGAGGATTATTGGTTTGTTTCCAGGTTTTTAACAAAGGTTAAATTTTAGACAACATTTTCTGTGTATGAGTATGGGTCCATTTTTCTGGTGAAGGGTGTAGGAACTATTTTCTCCATGAAATTCTTGACTCCAAAAAGCCACAAACCATTGTAATAGAGAGCATTTTCCACAATTTTTAGAGTTGCTTTTTAAAAGAGAATTCTCACATTGGAAGTTAAAAGCTTAAGTATGACCCTAGGAAAAAACTACCTATCTTAAATGTAACCAGTTTGCCAAGTCTTTGCATTCTCCATGGTCATAATTTATTTTAATACCTAGTCCCCATGATAGGGGATTGTAGGAAATTCAGTCCTATTTTCCGTGATTCAAGTGTCTTCAAAAAAATTCAAAGAAAATGTGTATTATAAAAATCTATGCATGGATTTCATTTTTTGTATCAAAATAAACTCATATTCATATTATTTTGCACCAATAATGAACTTGACTTGTTATAATATATATGAATATGATCTAATTTGACAAACTAAGAAGGATAAAACATCAGTTTGAAATTAGCCTCTATCAGGGCAACATGAATTCTGCTAAAACTAAACCAAGAACAAATGTTAAATTTATGGTGAAGCTTGGGTGGAAGAATGGTGAAACTGTTGATGTTTTATGAAAAGTATATGGGAAAAACACTCCCAAAGAAATCTACAGTTCACCAATGAATAACTCATTAAAAAAATCAATAGCTTTAGGGGTACAAGTAGTTTTTGGTTATGTGGATGAATTGTATAGTGTAGAAGTCTGAGATTTTAGTGCACCCATCACCTGAGTGGTGTACATTGTACTCAATAGGTAGTTTTTTATACCTTACCACCCTCCCACCCTCCCCTCCTTTTGAGGTTCCAATGTCCAATATACCACTGTATGCTTTTGTGTACCCATAGCTTAGCTCTTGCTTATAAGTGAGAACATATAGTATTTGATTTTCCATTCCTGAATTACTTCACTTAGAATAATGGCTCCTAGCTCCATCCAGGTTGCTTCAAAAAACATTATTTTATTCATTTTTATGGCTGAGTAGTATTCATCCCATGGTGTATATATAACACATTTTCTTTATCCATTCATCAGTTGATGGTCACTTAGGTTGATTTCACATCTTTGCAACTGTGAATTGTGCTACGATAAACATGTCCCTGAAGGTGTCTCTTTGATATAACGACTTCTTTTCCTTTGGGTAGATACCCAGTAGTGTGATTGCTGGATCAAATGATAGGGCCACTTTAGATCCTTGAGAAATCTCCATATTATTTTCCATAGAGATTGTACTAATTTACATTCTCACCACCATAGTATTAGTGTTCCCTTTTCACCACATCCACATCATCTGTATTTTTTTTTTTTTTTGACTATTTAATAATGGCTATTCTGGCTGGGGTAAGGTGGTGTCTCATTGTGATTTTAATTTGCATTTCCTGTGTGATTACCAACACTGAGCATTTTTTCATATGTTTGTTGGCCATTTGTATATCGTCTTTTGAGAAGTGTTTATTCATGAATCTTCTCTCTTCTAGAAGAGAAGTCAATCTAGCTAATGGTCTGTCAATTTTATCTTTTCAAAGAACAACCAACTTTTAGTTTCATTGATTTTTTGTTTGTTTCAATTTCATTTAGTTCTGCTCTTTGTTATTTCTTTTATTCCGCTAGCTTTGGATTTTGGTTTGTTTTTGTTTCTGTTTCCTTGAGTTGTGACATTAGGCTGCCAATTTGTGATCTTTCAGACTTTTTGATGTAGCTATTTAGTGTTATAAACTTTCATCTTAGCATTGCTTTTGCTGTATCCCAGACTTTTTATAACTTGTGTCACTGTTATTCATTTTGAAGAATTTTTAAATTTTCATCTTGATTTTATTGTTAACCACCAAATCATTCAGGAGCATATTGCTTAATTTCCATGTATTTGTATAGTTTTGAGAGTTCCTTTTGGAATTGATATCTCATTTTATTTCACTGTGGTCTAAGAATAAACTTCATATGATTTCAATTTTAAAAAATTTATTGAGACTTGTTTTGTGATCTATCATGTAGTCTATCTTGGAGAATGCTCCATGTGCTGTTGAAAAGAATGCATATTCTGCAATTCTTAGGTAGAACGTTCTGTAAATATCTGTCAGGTTCATTTGTTCCAGAGTGCAGTTAAGTCCAGTGTTTCTTTGTTGACTTTCTGCCTCAGTGATCCGTCTAGTGCTGTCACTGGAGAGTTGAAGCCCCTTCCCTGCATTATAGTGTTGCTGTCTATCTCTTTTCTTAGGGCTAGTAGAAATCGTTTTATGCATCTGGGAGCTCCAGAGTTAGATGCCTATATATTTAGAATTATAATATATCTTCTTGATTGATCCTTTTATCAATATGTAATGACTTTCTTTCTCTTTTCTTTTTACTGTTGCTTTAAAGTCTGTTTAATCTGATATAAGAATAGGTACTCCTACTCATGGATAACTCGTTTTGAAAGGGGATGAGATGATGTTGAAGATGAAGCCTGTAGCAACTGACCATCCACATCGATTTGCAAGGAAAAAATTCATCTCGTTTTTGCTCTAATTTAAGAGGACTGATGATTAACAGCAGAAACAATAGCCAACACCAAAGACATCTCAATTTGTTCAGCTTATAAATTCTGACTGAAAATTTAAAGTGGAGCAAACTTTCTACTCAATGGTTGTCAGAAGTTGTTGCATCCAGGTCAGCTACAGATAGAAGCAGAGCTTTTCATGGAAATTTTAAACAAGTGGAATTAAAGATCCTGAAGCATTTCTTTGAAGAATTGTAACAGGGGATGAAACATGGCTTTACCGGTACAATCCTGAAGACAAAGCACAATGATAGCAAAAGCTATCAAGAGGTGGAAGTGGTCCAGTCAAAACAAAAGGAAACTAATCAAGAGGAAAGGTCACTTTGATGCTCAAGGCCTTTTGCTGGTTGCATTTCTGGAGGGACAAAGAGTGATAGTATCTGCTTATTATGAGGGTGTTTTGAGAAAATTAGCCAAAGGTTTAGCAGAAAAATGAGTTGGAAAGCTTCACCAGAGAGTCTTTCTCCACTGTAACATAAAATAAGGGGAATTTTGTGGGAGTTTTGATGGGAAATCCTTAGGCATTTACCTTAAGGTTCTGATTTGGCTCTTTTTGTTTCTTAATCTTAAAAAATCTGGTAAGACCACACATTTTTCTTCAGTTAATAATATAAAAATGATTATGTTGACATGATTAAGTTCCCAGGACCCTCAGTTATTTAGGGTTGAACTAAATGTCTGGTATCATTACTTACAAATGTGTCTTGAACTTGATGGAGCTTATGTTGACAGACAAAATTTATATTTTAAATTTTTATCTTTTAATTCTACTTTTCCATGAACTTTTTGAAATTCCCAATTTTGAGGGCAGGGTTGCACACACCCAAAGCACATCACTTCTCCTTCTTGCTTCAGACCCTGCTGAGGGCTTCTCTACCATATATGGTTATCTTTATATCACTCTGTGCAGCTGCAGTTCAACTTCACACCAAAGTGGTTCTCAACATCCCTCAGGTCCAAGCTCTTACTAGGCTATAATAGGTGGTGGCCCAAAAGAAATCTTCCCAGAAATTTTAATGAAGAAAAGGTAACTTTAAATTGGATGTCGGGGTCACTGCTCCTAAGGGTGCCACCTCTGCCATTTTACAGAGATTTCCCAACCTCACAAATTTTGGGGGCTCATGAACACTATGAGCATTTCCGCCTCTTTCACATCACCCCTCTCTCTTGTCCCTTCCCCAGTCCCAAAACCCTCAATCTCTTCCAGTTTAAAATCATAATATCTTTGTGTAGATGTCACCCAGCCTACAAACAAGTTAATACTTTCCATTATTAAGTAGAGCAGTTCAGTTTAAATTCTCATTCTCCTTCCAAGAGTGGCCTTGCTTTGGAATAAGTATTTTCTGTAAATAATAGAATAGTTTCCATTCAGCCCTGTAATGCCAAAAAGCTAATATTTTTTAAAGCACCACTTTTTTTTCTTCTGCAGAAATTTAAGTTAATAAAAGAAAAATTGTGAGCTGGGAGAGCAGATAATGATAGAACAAGAAGAAATTATAAGACCAAGAAAAGGAAGAAATGAGGTTATTTTCAGTAATTATTAGACCAAATGCTTAGTTTAATTAAACTTTCTCCCTCACCCCATTAAAATGGGCCCCTGGGTTAGCCTAAGAAAAAGCAGGAGTCAGAGAAGGCAAGGAGGGAAAGCCCAAAATTGTGAAATGCTTTCTCCATTATAAAGGGGATCGAAATTGCTAAGTTGGCTTGTGAGACACAATTGATAATTAACCTGGAAAGAGTTTTAGTGGGTGATTTCAATGGATTTTTAAAACGTGTTCAAAGATACCATTATAAAAGTTTTAAAATTATAAAATAAACAAAAAAGTCTATATAACAAATGCAATCACTGATAAAACAAATACAGAATGGCAGATAATAGGAGTAGCAGAGCAATTTTTTATGTGAATGATGTCTAAATTACTCATCAAAGACATATTGTATTTAAATGAAGAATCAAATAATTGTTTTACTATAGCATAACACTAAAGCAGAAAAATTAAAAAGAAAAAACTGAATAGAGAAAACAAGAAAAAATACTAAATGTAAATTCCAAGTGGAGTTTAAAGCAACTATAGTATTAATAGCTAACATTTGTGTAGTGCTAGTTTTATGTACACGTTTTAAATGCATCTTGTAAATACTTAATTCTCACATAAATCCTATAAAGCAAATAGTATTATTCCCATTTTTGAAATAATGAGACTAAGGCACATAAAGGCCAGGTAATTTGACAGAGATCATATATAAATGGTGAGACTAATATTAAACCCCAGTAGTTGACCTCCAGAGATTGTATTGATTTTAGCTCAATACTATTTGTACCAAATCCCGGTAAAACAAAACAAGAACACAGAGAAAATAAATTCAGTTATTGGAAATAATTAATATTTACCAAAGTTTATAGACTTAAAAGGATTATCCATCTTTTTAAGTGCACATTATTTACATTCCAAAATTGTTTTTATAACACACAGAAAGAAAATCTATATAAATTTGAAAATCAGAAAATTTGAAGAATATATTTTAGATCACTCTTAAAGCAGAATACCGTGAATTTGTGTAAAGAAAGCTGATTTTTTTAATTTAAAAAATTATCTAAAGTAACAATTGGGCCAATAAATAAAGAAAGAATAAAATAAGCCTATAGAATGTTTCTGAAATTATAAACATTTAACCTATGTATAAATTGAAACTATGAAATAAGGCCACAACAGTGATCAAAGTAAATTTAAATTTTAAAAATATTTTTGATGTGATTAAAATATAGACAATTAATTCAGCAAGCATTCAACTTAAAATCTTAAGAAAACAGTTTGTAATTATATGAAAGGAAATTTTAGGATAAAATTATGATTAAAACAATATAAAATTACTTATTAAGTAAAATTTTATGGGGATGAAATATGCCTTCAGCTATGTTCCTAATTTTACAAGACTGCACAGATGAGACACTTTGAGATAATTGGTGAGTATTTTGTTTTCTGAAAGCACCTGTATGAATAGTCTTCCATTCTTTCAAAATTTCTTGTTAAATAACTCAAATATTTTAGGGAAACTGTATAGAAATTCCACAATTTTCTATTCCAATTCTTAAATGCATTTTTGTGCTTTACAATTATTTTCTAAAAATTTTAAGCTTACATTTAGCCATTTGAGAAAAAAAACTTAGTCAAAACTTGACAAGTTCCTTTTGATGTGCTAAGAAATAAAAGTATTTACTTAGCCATATAAGTAAGAATTTTGCATACTAATAAACAAACAACAAAATAAAGATATAGTGTTATATCTTCAGTATTATAAGGAACAGCTTATCTAATCTTGCAGAGTTAAAATAGAAGTGTGGTGAGAATGATGAGTTATCTGAAGGTATCTTACAGTAAAACTAAAATATTCTTCCTAGGCTAAGACACCTAGAATCTAAGCTCCCTGAAAGCAAGGACCCTATATTATTCTGCACATCTTCCCCAGCACCAAACATATTGTTTGGCACATGATATATCTTAAGAAATTTACTGATTGAATGGATAAGAGAAAAGATATAGAAAATTCCCAGGTAGAAATGGAGGTGGAAAATATAGAAAAAAAATGTAATATGTGTGTTTGTATTTCTTAGCTATGTCAGCTAAGCTGGTCTAGAAAAAAGCAATGACATTCTAGTTGTAATGAGCACATCTAGTGTGCATACTTTAAAAAAACAGACTTTATTTTTCAGAGAAGTTTTGGGTTCACAGCAAAATTGAATAGAGAGTACAGATATTTCCCATATATCGCCTGCCTCCACATATGCATAGCCTCCCACATCATCAACATTCCCTACCACAGTGTTATATTTATTATAACTGATGAATTTACATTGACATAACATTTTAAAAACACCCAAAGCCCATTTTTCACATGAGCTCACTCTTGGTGTTGGATATTCTATGGGTTTGGAGAAATGTATAGTGAAATATATTCATCATTATCATAGCACCATACAGGGTAGTTCACTGCCCTAAAAATTCTCTGTGTTCCCTCTATTCATATGGTTTTTAAACATAGTAATCTCCCCTTATCCATAGTTTCACTTTCCTCAGTCTCAATAAACTATGATCAACCATGGTCTGAAAATAGGTGAATACAGTACAATAAGATATTTTGAGAGAGAGACCATATTTGCATAACTTTTATTACAGTATATTGTTATAATTGTACTATTTTATTATTAGGTATTGTTCATCTATCAGTAGGCCTAATTTATAAATTAAGTTTTATCTTGGGTATCAATGTGTAAGAAAAAACATAATATATATGGCCAACATGGTGAAACCCCATCTGTACTAAAATACAAAAATCAGCCAGGCGTGATGGTGCGTGCCTGTAACCCCAGCTACTTGGGAGGTTGAGGCAGGAGAGTCACTTGCACCTGGGAGGCGGAGGTTGCAGTGAGCCGAGATTGCACCACTGCACTCTAGCCTGGCGACAGAGCAAGACTCTGTTTAACAAACAAAGAAACAAACAAACAAAAACACATGTATGCGACTCAGCTATATCTTGTTAAGATCCAAAAATAGTGAAAATCAATGAATAAGAAAAGATATTTCCAACCAAACAAAATCTGGCATACTTATATTAGTATTATATAAAGAAAACTTAAAAGCCAAAGGATGGAAAAGGATGTTTCTATGCAAATGAAAGTTGGTATACTTACATTAGCATCAGACAAAGAAAACTTACAGGGAATAAAGGATCATTAAAGACAAAAATGGTCACAATGTAACTTTTTAAAGTACTACTTCACTGTATTTTAAGCTTAAGTGTATTAAAAATAACATTTCAAAATATATCAAGAATTGATAGATCAGCAAAAGATTTATTCTTTGTAGACAAATACAAAAGAAAATGCGACATTTAGTCATATTTTTCAGTAATTGTTAAATCAAACATACAGAAAAATCACTGCAGATAATAACACATTTAAAATATTTAATTTCTTTTGTTCTTTTTTCCTTAATTTGTACATTTATTAAAAACACAGAATAATGGTCCTGGCTTAAATGTCACTGTGGTTTTGTGCTTTCACAAAACATAACTAATTGTAAGGAATTCTTTACAAATATACACTAGTCAGAAGTAAAAAGGTAAACTGACAATTCAGGGCCATTTCAGACATAATCCTCTCACTTTATTTTTATTATTTTTTTTATTTTGAGGACAGGGTCTCACTATGTTGCCCAGGCTGGACTCAAACTCTTGCATAATTCTCTTATAATTAATACTTGTTAGGAAATGGAGTTTGGCATGATTTACAATTGCATCAATATTTACAGAGGCTGAATATCACAGACATAAGAATGCATTGTGACCCCAAGAAGTTTTTTCATACTTCCCAAGTAGTTTGATATTTTAGTTACCAGAGCTAAACCTGGCATTAACAAGTTGAATTTTATGTCCATCCAATAAAAAAATCTCTTATATCTTTCTGGGGCTACTTATTTAAAGATAGGAGCATAAGTATAAAAGTACAGTTGTGCATCACATAATGACATTTTGGTCAATGACAGATCATATGTATGACAGTGGTCCCATTAGATTGTAATGCTGTATTTTTACTGTATCTTTTATATGTTTAGATATGTTTAGATACACAAGTAACATATGTATTTAGTACAGTAACATGTTTTACAGGTTTGTAGCCCAGGAGCAATATGCTATGTTATACAGCCTAAGTGTGTAGTAGGCTATACAATCTTGGTTTGTGTAAGTACACTCTATGATGTTTGCACAACAAAGTAATCTGATGAAAAGCATTTCTCAGAACATATATCCATATGTAAGTGATGCATGACTTATAGGAGTATGAGTATGCTCTTATAGGAGTTGGAGAACTGTAACTAGTTCTTCCCCTTATGCATTTACTTGTGATGCCCGATCTCATGTGTTGTCCAATTTCCTTAACATTAAAGAAGTGACTCACAGCAGGGTCATGTAGATGAGAAAGGTTTGTATGGAGATCACATCTCAGGCAACTTCCATTTCATCTCCTTGTCCAGCTTTGGTGCAAGGCCCTCAATCTGGAATATTGTGGCTCTGACTCACTGGGCTTTCAGCCCCTGCTCTCTTTACTGGCCACTTGCTTTCCTTACAGGCCAGCTGGCACTAGGATAATTTTCTTAACTCCTCAAAACTTCAATTACTTCATGTATAGAATGGAAATCATAGTATCTAACTGATTGCATTGTTGTGAACCTTAAATGAGATGTCATATTCAGAAAGCTTTACCCATAGATATTAATATACTTGTCACCTTTGCTTTGCTCCCTCCACTCATAATGTCCCTAGGACTGATCTTTCCCTCATTCATTACCCTTCTAAGTGAAAGATTAAAGGACTAAGTAAGACCAATGTCATAATATATGCAGATGCTTGCCCTATCTCAGGCATTTACTCAATTTCCTCGATGTCCCTGCTCTGGTTATAGTCTGGGTAACTTAGATGCCAAGCTTACCAGTCAGAAAATCTATATTATTCCTTTTTTTATATATAGCCAGTCCTGTTGCTACTGCATTGTTTTGTGTTCACTGCACACCAGATCACTATTATTATCATAATCACAACTGATGACAGTAATAAAACAATCTCTTAGATTTTCGCAGATGATGTCAACTCTCCTCAGGCTGTTTGGCTGTTTCTGTCCTATTTTCTCAGCCTGATCTAAAACATCCCTGAGCTGTCTCTTAGTTGATAATGTCTTTTCTAACTCATTTGATTTTACTCATTTTCCCCCTCCAGATTTCAAATGATGAACAAGTTCTATACAGACTCTTCTCAGAACTGATTTAGTTTAGATTCAGTAGCAGTCTTGCAGGATCATGGAGAGGCTGCTAAGTTTAATGCCACAATCATCTCAGCTCCTACAGCGTATTCATTTCATTGTCAGCTGGTGGGAACAGGCAATTGCTGTGGTGTAAGACTGATTCCCTTCAGTAATAAAGCAAGGCACTGGGACATTTTCATTTCTGAATTCCAAGTGAGTACACATTATCATTTCAGATGCTATTCCAAGAGCTATCATTTGCTGGGGTGCATCTGGTACCACACTGATTTACAGCATTCTAATTATTCTTTAAATCTTAGGGAATGTGGGAAGAAACTGAGGTTATTGATTTTGGATATGTAGGACTCAGCTAGCAAGATAGGGCCAACTTATATTCTCCAAGGGAAAAATGCTCAATTTCTCATCATTTCTGATACTGAAGACAGCATTAGAAAACATAACTGAAAATAGGTAATGGACAAGTAGCCAGAAGGTTTACTTGATAGCAAAGAGACATCTGAGTCCCAGGAAGAGAAAATCAAGTCGTAAGAGAGGCAAAGTGCTACCATTCAGTAATAATGGGAAACTGTGGCACATTTTACTTTGATACTGAAACATCTCTTATCCTGCTCTAGAGGAGATGGTGAGCACTATTTACTTGTTCACTCTTCTAAAAAAAGAAAGGAAAAGAAAATGGAAGAGTTCTGTAAAATAATGACAATTGCCTTGTCCTGAGAAAAAGTCACAAATCAAAGGGAAATTGTAACACAATACTGAAACATGAATTGAGCATAATTAAACAAATAATTGCAGATATGAAAGACAACTACAAATAAGAAATTTTAAAACTCAGGTTGGAAATTGTCAGCATATAATGTTAGATAAAAGTAGAATAACATTTCCAAGAAACAATGTGTGAACCAAGGGTTTTATATACTGTCCTTCAATTTTCACAACTACTGAAAACTGATTTTAACCATGTAAGAAGTCAGTTCATATTTTACTCACAAGTTCTTCTTAAGAAATTTGATAGAGAAAAGTATTCATCCAATTAAGAGATAATTTCAGTACAAGGACTGCTGGCAATTATTGCTGCATATATTGAATTGTAACATCTAAAACTAAAACAAAGAGGAGAATAAAGACGGAAGGTTAGAATGAAAATTTGGATGCTCCGAATGAATAGAACAACCAGAAAATAATAAAAGAAAGTGTAAAGTTAAACGCACACAAGGTACAAGGAAAACATTAAAACACTCACGAAACATATGACATTATATTTGGACAAATGGAAAGGTATTCTATATTCTTAGAATAAATAAGCATCACAAAGATATCAATTCTACATAAGAACTCAAAAAAAAAACCAAGTTTTAAAAAACAGATAAATTTATTATAAAGCCTATACAAAAACTATGAAGCTCAAATGGCTATGAAGAAAAAAAATACAATAAAAAGGGGCAATAGGAAATGAGAAAGGTAGCCCTAATACATATGATAACATACTGTATAGCTTCTAAATTAAATCAATATAGATTGGCACATGAATGGACTGACAGCCCAATGGCACAATCAAAAATCCAAAAATAGACCCAAATGTATATAACAGTTTCTGCGTTTTAAATAATTGGGGAAAACATAAACTTTTCAACAAGTGGTGTTAGTTTACTAGAGAAACATTGAAAAAAGATGAAAGTGGGCTCTTAATTCAAATTAATTAGAGGAGTTAACAAGAATAACTCTTCTAATTAATTAGAGACCTGAGTTTTTAAAATGAAAACACAAAAAACTCTACATGAACTAAAAATAAGTGAATTCTTCTATAAACTGAAATGAAAAAAAACCCTCTCCTAACTAATATTCTTGAAGTTATTAAGGAAAAGACTGATAAATTTGACCTCCAAAATGGGATGCAGCAAAGAAAAGCCATAAATAAATTCAAAAGAAAAATAAGAAATTTGGAGAGAAAAGGAAAAGAAGATTTGCTTTGCCACTATATTCAGTCTTTCTCTTTCCAACTTGATCTTAAATTTGTTTGAATGAAGAGGTTGGATAAAACGATTTTTAAAGTCCCTTTAATCTCAATATTTTATAATTCTAAGTAAATTTATAATTTACTTAGGTACTTGACATACCTAAGTAAAAGAGAAAAATTTCACTATATGCTTGGAGTCAATCTTGGTCTTTTTTTCTTTTTGATAGTCTGTTTCCCTTTAATTGCTTTACCTAATCATAAAATACAACACCTATTCTCACTATTCCTTTTCCCTCTCTTGTGCAACCACTGGTAGCCTTCACTCTTCATTCCTTCTCTCAGCATGATGATGATGCTGTCAGCCCATGAGAGCTATTCAAGTTTCATGGATTAGAATTTCTGTTCCCTTAAGCCTTTCACTGTTCAGGAACTTTGGAACTTCAGAAGGAGTGAATAGGCAACAGCTGATTAAGGTCCCTGGGTTTGCAGTGCAGGGTTCATTACAGTTAGCTCAGAGAGCTTTAGCTTGGGAAATGTGGTAGAAAAATATCTCCAAAAATAGGAACTAAGTTACGTGACCTTTAACCACGATGTGTATAAATTCTAGTTGTGATAAGGAAGTGTAAAAGGATGAAGAAGCAGAGGTGGAAAACAAATAATATTGCCATCAGAAGTCTTTTTGTCAATGATGCCTATAGATACAATATCTTTTATGAAGGAAAAAGAAAGCTTATTGTAATTTTTTTCTAGATAAACATACAAATTTTAGCTCTTTATATTTATCCCCCAAATGATTTGAGATTGCTTGAAATAAAAGGTCAATTTCCAAAGGAAAATACATACAGGTACAAATAAAACATTGAATATAAACAGTTTAAAGACTATATACTCATTTTATGCATGATATTGTAGAATCTAAAGAGGGAAATGCATTGAGTTATGTAATTCTCATTGTCAGTTAAAATAAGCCCATCAGCTTTTTCAGAGAGAGAAAATTTTTCTACTGCCGATTCTTAGAGTTTGTTTATTCCAGGGATCCTAATATAGGAAATGGGAAGGAAAGATTTAATAGTGGGTCTGTAATGAGTTTCCTTTCACCTCCGGAATACCTGAGGGGACATACATCTGAATCTTTGCAAACATTGACTGATGGAATACACAGGCTAAAAGATAAAAAGGAAGGACTTACAGAAAAGCTTTTACAAACGTATACCTAGTTTGTCTACTTTGATTATTATAAAGGAATCTGAAATTTATGGATTTATATGCTGCAGCTGTGATGAATAGTGGGATTTAGTTATATAGCCAGAACAGGACTATGTTATTAATGAAATACATAATTTTACAAGATCCCAAACTCAGTGGTTTCCCTGTGTTAACTTGACTGGCACCTGATTAGATGATATAATTGAAAGCAAATGAACCCAGTTCAGAAAAGGGTATTCTGAAAACTGCATCTGATGTTTGAGGTCTTCTTGACATTCATGCTACTGGCACCATTGTTTTGAATTCTTTGTGAATCATTAAGTTTGAGGCTGAGGAAGACTCTTACGTGAATCTGGTTGATAATTCAGGCCTCTGGGACTGTAAAACCATAATGAACAGTATAAGCAACATGATCTATTTTCTTTTAGAGAGGATGTTGACACATTTTTCACACAATTATTCTTTACAGACAAACTTCACAGCAGCTGAGGGCTCAACACAATGAAAGTAAATTGTTTCAATGGAGACTTAGAGTTCCTGGGGACAAATCATGTGGTTTTTTGAAGGTTGGGCTTAGTTTAAGGCTAGAACTTCAAAAACAAAGAGCAATGAATCGCTGGAATGTTCTATAGACTTCTTTTCTAATACTAGTGGTCTTAACAGGGCCTATTTCAAGAGCTCTGCAGGGATCTATTTTGTGATAGAGCTTTCTAGAGAATGCCTGCAGTGTTAAGTATTTGTTGATTGAAAAATAGGTCCTTAAGATTTAAAGACAAGACGTACAGTGTTAAAGTTGACATTGTTATAACATTTTAAAAACTGGTTATATTGAGGGTGTCCTTATAACTGATCACTACCCATTCTAGATGAATTCAAATAGAAGTTAAAATCGTTCTTTAATTTTTTTTTATTTGTATGGTAGGTGTATATATTTATGAGGTACATTAAATGTTTTATTACAGGCACATGATGTATAATGATCACATCAGGGTAAATGGGGGTATCCACCTCAAGTATTCAACATTTCTTTGTGTTACAAACGTTCCAATTATACTCTTTTAGTTATTTTAAAATGTACAATAAATTATTAGACTGTAGTCACCCTGTTGTGCTATCAAATACTATATTTTACTCGTGTAAAATATAAATGGGTACTATCTTTTTGTGCCCATTAACTATCCCCACTGCCTCACTACCACTCTTTCTAACCTCTGGTAACCATCATCTACTCTTTAGCTCTATGAGCTCTATTTATGATAGAACTTTCTAGAGAATGACTACAGAGTTAAGTATTTGTTGACTGGAAATTAGATCTATTTTTAGCTTCCACAAATGAGTGAGAACATGTGAAATTTATCTTTCTTTGCCTGGCTTATTTCACTTAATATAATGTCCTCCAGTTCCATCCACATTGCAAATAATAGGATATCCCTTTTTAAATGGCTGAATAATACTCCATTGTGTATATGTACCAAATTTTCTTTATCCATTTGTTTTTTGGTAGATACTTAGGTTGCTCCCAAATCTTGGCTGTTGTGTATAGTGCTGCAATAAATATGGGAGTGCAGATATCTCTTCAAAATATTGATTTTTTTCTTTTGGTTATATACCTAGCAGTGAGATTGCTGGATCACATGTAGTTCTATTTTTAGTTTTTTTAGGAACCTCCATACCATTCTCCATAGTGGTTGTACTAATTTACATTTCCAGCAACAGTTTCCAAGGGTTTCTTTTTCTTCTTATCCTTGCCAGCATTTGTTATTGCCTGTCTTTGAGATAAAAGCCATTTTAACTGGGGTGAGAAAATATCTTGTTGTAGTTTTGATTTTCATTTCTGTGATATCAATGATGTTGAGCACCTTTTCTTTTTCATATACGTTTTCCACTTGCATGTTTTCTTTTGAGGAATGTGTATTAATATATTTTGCCTATTTTTTAAATTGGAATACTAGATTCTTTTTTTCTATTGAGTTGAACTCCTTATATTCTGCTTATTAATCCCTTGTCAGATGGATTGTTTGCAAATATTTTCTCCCATTCTTTTGGTTGTATCTTCACTTTGTTGATTGCTTCCTGTGTGGTACAGAAGGTTTTTAACTTGATGTGATCTCATTTGTCCATTTTCGCTTTGGTTTGCTTTGTCCATTTTTGCATAACCCTATGCTTATGGGGTATTATTCAAGAAATCCTTGCCCAGTGCAATATCTTGGACCATTTCTCTTGTGTTTTAATTAGTAGTTTCATAGTTTGAGGTCTTAGATTTAAGTCTTTAATCCATTTTGATTTGATTTTTGTATATGGCAAGAAATAGGATCTAGTTTCATTCTTATGCATATGGATATCCATTTTCCCAGCACCAATTATTGAAGAAACAGTCATTTCACTAGTGTATGTTCTTGGCACCTTTGTAGAAAATGAGTTCACTGTAAATGTGTGGATTTGTTTCTGGGTTCTCTCTTCTGTTCTATTAGACTAGGTGTCTGTTTTTATGCCAGTACCGTGCTGTTTTGGTTACTATAGCTCTGTAGTATAATTTGAAGTCAGGTGAAGTGATTCCTCCTGTTTTATTCATTTGCTCAGGATAGGTATATCTATTCTGGGTCTTTTGTGGTTCTGTATAAATTTTAGGATTTGTTTTTCTATTTTTGTGAAGACTGTTACTTATAGTTTTATAAGGATTATGTTGAATCTGTAGATTGTTTTGGGTAGTATGGACATGTTAACAGTGTTGATTCTTCCAATTCATGAACATGGAATATCTTACCAATTTTGTGTCCTCTTCAGTTTCTTGCATCAATGTTTTATGATATTCATTATACAGCTCTTTCACTTCTTTGGTGAAATTTATTCCTAGATATTTTATTTGTAACTATTGTAAATGAGGTTACCTTCCTGAGTTCTTTCTTATATTTCTATTGGCCTATAAAAGTGCTACTGATTTCTGTATATTGATTTTGTATCCTGCAACTTTATTTGATTTGTTATCAGTTCTAATAGATTTTTTTGGTGGAGTCTTTGAGTTTTTTCAAATATAAGATAATCATCTGTAAACAAGGATAATTTGACTTCTTCCTTTCTAATCTGGATGCTTTTTATTTCTTTCTCTTGTCTGATTGCTCTAGTGAGGAAGACTTCTAGTACTATGTAGAATAACAGTGTTGAAAGTGGGCGACCTTGTCTTGAAACATATCTTAAAGGAAAAGCTTTCAGTTTTTCCCCATGCAGTATGATGCCAGCTGTGGGTCTGTTTTATACAGCTTTTATTGTGTTGAGGCATGTTCCTTCTAAACCCAGTTTTTTGGGGGGTTTTTATCATGAAGGGATGCTGAATCTCATCGAATGCTTTTTCAACATCAGTTGAAATGATCATATGGTTTTTGTCCTTTATTCTATTGATATGATATATCTCATTGATTCGCATATGTTGAACCATCCTTGGATCCCTGGGATAAATCCCACTTGCTCGTGATTAATGATCATTTCAATATTTTGTTGAGTTTGGTTTGCTAATATTTTTTTGAGGATTTTTCCATCAATGTTCACTAGGGATACTGCCCTGTAGTTTTCTTTTTTTTGATGTGTCTATGTCTGGTTTTGATATCAAGGTAATACTGGCAATGTACCATGAGTTTGGAAATATTCTCTCCTCTATTTTTTGGAGTAGTTTGAATAGGATTTGTATTATTTCTTTAAATGTTTGGTAAAATGTAGCATTGAAGCTATTGGGTCCTGGGCGTCTCTTTGCTGGGAGATTTTTTATTATGGCTTCAATCTCATTACTTTTTATTGGTCTGTTCAGGTTTTGGATTTCTTCCTGATTCAATCTTGGTAGGTTGTATATGTCTAGGAATTTATTTATTTCTTCTAGATTTTCCAACTTATTTGCATGGAGTTGTTCATAGTAGCCTCTTCTAATGCTCTTAACTTATATTGTATCAGGTGTAGTCTCTCCTTTTACAACTCTGATTTACTTTATCTGGCTCTTCTCTCTTATTTTATTAGTCTGGTGAAAGATTTGTCAATTATAGTTTTTTTGAAAATCAAATTTTCATTTCGTTTATCTTTTGTTTATTTTGAAGGGGTTTCAATTTCATTTATTTTTGTTATGACCTTTATTTATTCTTTTTTCTACTAATTTTGGATTTGGTTTGCTCTTGCTTTTCTAGTTCTTTAAGATTCATCATTGGGTTGTTTATTTAAAGTTTTTCTACTTTTTTGATGTAGGTGCTTACTGCTATGAACTTTCTGCTTAGTACTGCTTTTGCTGTATCCCACAGGTTTTTGTATGTTGTGTTTTTATTTTCATTTGTTTTAAGTAAGTTTTAAATTTCCTTCCTAATTTCTTTCATTGACTCATTGGTCATTCAGGAGCATATTGTTTAATTTTTATGTGTTTGCGTAGTTTCCAAAATTATTCTTGTCATTGATTTCTAGTTTTATTCCATTGTGGTCAGAGAAGATGCTTGATATTATTTCAATGTTTTTGAAATTATTACAACTTGTTTTGTGTCCTCATATGTGGCCTATTCTTGACAATAATCCATGTGCTGAGAAGAATGTGTTTTCTGCAGCCACTGGATGAAGTGTTCTGTAAATATCTATTAGGTCCATTTGGTTTATAGTTCAGATTAAAACCAATGTTTTCTTGTTGATTTTCTGTCTGCATGATCTGCCTAATGCTGTGGGTGGGGTATTGAATTTTACAGTTGTTATTGCATTGGGGTCTATCTCTCTCTTTAACTCTAATATTTGCCTTATGTATCTGAGTGCTCCAGTGTTGGGCACATATATATTTACTATTGTTATACCTCTTACTGAACTGACCCCTTTATCATTGTATAATGACCTTTTTTGTCCCTTTTTATAGTTTTGTCTTGAAAGTTATTTTGTCTGATATAAGTATAGCTATTCCTCCTCTTTTTTGTTTTCCATTTGCATGGAATATCTTTTTCTATATCTTTATTTTCTTATTTCTTATCTCTTATTTTCTTATTATTTTCTCTTATTTTCTATCTCTTATAAATAGAACTTTCTATCTCTTATTTATAAGAGATAGAAAAAGATATTCCACGCAAATGGAATTCGCTATCATATCGTGTGTCTCTTTGTAGGTGAAGTGTGTTACTTGTAGGCAAGAGATCAGTGGGTCTTATTTTTTTGATCCATTCAGTTAGTCTATGCCTTTTGATTGGAAAGCTTAGTCTATTTACATTCAATGTTATTATTGATAAATAAAGGCTTACTCTTGCCATTATGTTATTTGTTTTCAGCTTGGTTTGTGGTCTTTACTTCTTTCCTCCTTTCCTCCTTTCCTTCCTGTCTTTCTTTTTGTGAAAGTGATTTTCTCTGGTGATGTGTTTTAATTTTTTGCTTTGTATTTTTTGTGTATCTGTTGTAGGTATTTTTATTTAAGGTTACCATAAAGCTTGCAAATAACATCTTATAAGCCATTATTTTAAACTGATGACAACTTAACTCTGATTGCAAAAACAAAGAAAACTAGTAAAAACTCTATACTGCAGATATATAGACCAATGGAACAGAACAGAGGCCTCAGAAATAACACCACACATCTACAACCATCTGATCTTTGACAAACCTGACAAAAACAAGTATTGGGAAGGGATTCCCTATTTAATAAATGGTGTTGGGAAAACTGGCTAGCCATATGTGGAAAACTGAAACTGGATCCCTTCCTTACACCATATACAAAAATTAACTCAAGATGGATTAAAGACTTAAATGTAAGATCTAAAACCATAAAAACCCTAGAAGAAAACCTAGGCAATACCATTCAGGACATAGGCATGGCAAAGTCTTCATGACTAAAACACCAAAAGCTATGGCAACAGAAGCCAAAATAGACAAATGGGATTTAATTAAACTAAAGAGCTCCTGCACAGTAAAAGAAACCATCATCAGCATGAACAGGCAACCTATTAAAAAGTCAGGAAACAACAGATGCTGGAGAGGATGTGGAGAAATAGTCAGGAATTAAAAAGTCAGGAAACAACAGATGCTGGAGAGGATGTGGAGAAATAGGAACGCTTTTACACTGTTGGTGGGAGTGTAAATTAGTTCAACCATTGTAGAAGACAGTGTGGCAATTCCTCAATGATCTAGAACTAGAAATACCATTTGACCCAGCAATCCCATTACTGGGTATATACCCAAAGGATTATAAATCATTCTACTATAAAGACACATGCACACATATGTTTATTGCGGCACTGTTCACAATAGCAAAGACTTGGAACCAACCCAAATGCCCATCAATGATAGACTGGATAATGAAAACGTGGCACATATACACCATGTAATACTATGCAGCCATAAAAAAGGATGAGTTCATGTTCTTTGCAGGGATATGGATGAAACTGGAAACCATCATTCTCAGCAAACTAACATAAGAACAGAAAACCAAACACTGCATGTTCTCACTCATAAGTGGGAGTTGAACAATGAGAACACATGGACACAGGGAGGGGAACATCACACATCGGGGCCTGTCAGGGGGTGAGGGGCTGGGGGAAGGATAGCATTAGGAGAAATACATAATGTAGATGACAGGTTGATGGGTGCGGCAAACCACCATGGCACATGTATATATAACAAACCTGCACGTTCTGCACATGTACCCCAGAACTTGAAGTATAATAATAATAATAAAGAAATTGTATACTTCAACTTCATTTCCCTGCTTTTCAACTTTTTGTTGTTTCAAGCTGGTCCTGACAATACTATCTTCGTGTTTAAAAAGTTGTTGTAGTTATTATTTTTGATAGATTCATATTTTAGTCTTCCTACTTAAGATAGTTTACACACCACAATTACAGTGTTGTAATATTCTGTGTTCTTCTGTGTACTTACTATTACCAGCGAGTTTTGTACCTTCACATGATTTCTTATTGCTCATAAATGCCCTTTACTTTCAGATTGAAGAAATCCCTTTAGCATTTCTTATAGGACAGGTCTGGTTTAATGAAATTCCTCAGCTTCTCTTTGTCTGGGAAAGTCTTTATTTCTCTATAATGTTTGAAGGATATTTTCACTGGACATAATATTCTAGAATAAAAGGGTTTTTTTCTTCAACACTTTACATATATCATGTCACCCTGTCCTGGCCTGTAAGGTTTCTACTGAGAAGTCTGCTGCCAGATGTATTGGAGCTCTTTTTTATGTTGTTTCCTTTCTCTTGCTGCTTTTAGGATCCTTTCTTTATTCTTGACCTTAGGGAGTATGATTACTAAATGTCTTGAGGTACTCTTACTTGAATTGAATCTGCTTGGTGTGCTATAACTTTCTTGTACTTGAGTATTGACATCTTCTAACAGGAAGTGAAAGTTCTCTGTTATTATGTCTTTGAGTAGACTTTCTATCCTAATTTATCTATCTGCTCCTTAAGGCCAATAACTCTTAGATTTTGTTCTTTGGAGGCTGTTTTCTAGATCTTGTAGGCAATCTTCATTCTTTTTTATTATTTTTTGTTTTATCTCCTCTGACTGTATATTTTCAAACAGCCTGTCTTCAAGCTCACTGATTCTTTCTTCTGCTTGATCACTTCTGCTGTTGAGAGACTCTAATCCATTCTTCAGTTTGTCAGTTGACTTTTTCAGCTCCCAAATTTCTTTTTCAAAATTATTTCTCCCTTTGTTAAATTTATCTGATAGGATTCTGAATCCCTTCTCTGTGTTATCTTGAATTTCATTGAGCTTCCCTCAAAACAGCTGTTTTGAACTCCCTGTCTGAATGGTCATATATCTCTGTCACTCTGAGATTTGTTACTGGTGCCTTATTTAGTTTGTTTGGTGAGGTCCTGTTTTCCTGGATGGTCTTGATGCTTGTGGATATTTGTCAATGTCTTGGCATTCAAGACCTAGGTATTAATTCAAATCTTTGCAGTCTGGGCTTCTTTGTATCCATCCTTCTTGGGAAGGCTTTCCAGATATTCAAAGGAAATTAAGTGTTGTGATCCACATCTTTGGCCACTGCAGCCATATGTGTATTAGGGGGTTTCCCCAAGCCCAGTTACACTGTGGTTCTTGCAGACTTGTAGAGGTACCACCTTGGTAGTCTTGAGTAAGATTAAGAATTCCCTTGATTACCAGAGTCTCTTGTTCTCTTTCCTTACTTTTCTCCCAACAAACAGAGTCTCTCTCTTTCTGTGCTGAGCTGCCTGGAGTTGGAAGAGGGGTGATGTAAGTACTTCTGTGGCCACCGCCACTGGGACTATGCTGGGTCACACCTGAAGCTAGCATGGTACTGGGTTTCACCCAAGGTCCATGGTGACTACTATCTGTATACTGCCAATGTTTATTCAAGGCCCAATGGGCTCTCGGTCAGCAGGCAGTGAATCCTGCCAGGATTAGGTCTTTCCCTTCAGGGGAGTAGGTTCCCTTCTCATCCAGGATGGGTGTAGAATTGCCATCCAGGAGCTACGGTCTGGAATTCGGAGCTTTAGGAATTTGTTTGTTGCTTCATTTTACTGTGGCTGAGCTGGTACCCAAGGTACAAAACAAAGTCCCTTTACTTTTTCCTCTCCTTTCCTCAAGCAGATGCCTCTGCCTGTGACCACCACCATGTCAGGCCTGTAGCAACTACTGCCTTGCTACTGCTAATGTTTATTCAAGGCCCAAGAACTTTTTAGTTGGCAAGTGATAAATTCTGCCAGGACTGAGTCCTTGCCTTCAGGTTTCTTCTGGGCCCAGGGTGAGTCTAGAAATATCTGGCAGCTATGATCTAAAATGAGGGCCTCAGGACCCTGCTTGGTGCTTTATTTTACTGTGGCTGAGCTGACATTCAAGTTATAATACAGAGGTCTCATTACTCTTCCCTCTTCTTCCCTCAAGCAGAAGGAGTCACTCCCAGAATTATAGCTATGTTGCCTGGAGTTAGGGGAGGGGTGATGCAAGCACTCCCTTGGTCACCCCAGCTGTGTCTCACTTGATTACATGTACCCCAAGTCCACTGGCTCCAAGTCCAGCACAGAACCTGTACTTGCCCAGGAGTTGCAGTACTTGTGGCCTAGACTACCTTTCAGCTTTATTTAGGAAGCCAGAGCACTTTAGTTGTGATAGTGAGGCTATCCAGAACTCATCACTGGGATGGATAATTCCCTCTGGCTAGGGCTGGTCTAATTGCTGTCTCCATGGCTGCTGGTTGAATTCTGTCATGTGTTGCATTCCACTGTGATAGAGCAGCACTGGGTTCCAATGCAAAGTCCCATCATCACTTTACTCTCCCTCCCCCAAGCATACAGATTCTCTCTCTATGACACACAGCACTGCCAGGGGATGGAGGAGTAGTAGTGTTGGGAATCCAAGACGGTCTTTGTAACCCTATTCCGTGCCTCTTTTCTTGATATCATGTCAAAATCAGATACTGTGATTATTCACCTGATTTTTGGTTCTCATACAGTTCTTTCTTGTGTGGATATTTTTTCAATTTGATATTCCTGTTGGTGGTGGGGACAATCACTGGAGGGTTCTCTTTGGCCATCTTGCTTTGCCTCCCCTCTCTAGAATCATTCTTTTATGCATATTACTTACATAAAGTATTGTATATAGGTTAGCTTGTAAGAGTATCCTCTATATATGCTTTGTATTTATAAGTTAAGTACATAGTACTTGTATGTTGTCCACTTTTTTTTTTCAACTCAAAACATTTTTCCCAAGTAAAAATTCTGCTGGGTAAAGAAAGTGAGATCCAGTGTGGGGAAAAAATGTTCTTCCTCTTATAGTTTACCTTGTAAATTAGTGGATGGCTTTTTTATTGATTAGCCTGCATCCATTCCCAAGAGCTTATTATATTAAATTTATATTTTTTACCCATAAACATGAGTAGCAGACCCTAGATTCGCACGGAGCCTACAAAGGTGTAGATGCCCTGGGAGGCCTTACCTGCAGTTCTGAAAACTTCATCAGTTCTTGATGACAGGAAAATACTTACTCATCAGGAAAACAAAATGGAGGGGGAAGGATCAGAAAATGAAATACCTTAGAGAATAGAGGTTGAAAGAGGAGATTAGGAAATCTCTTGAGTAATGAATGGTTCCCTAATATCTGCTATTATACTGATTCAGTAAATTCATTTATACATTCTGAATATATTGATATCTTATTTGGCAATATTGTCTATGTCATTCTTAAAGTAGGAAATTTACTCAAATCCTTTCAATTGGCAAATGCCTTTTAAGTGGCTTTGCAAAAGGGATAGAAGTACATAATTGACAAGATAGGGCTCCTTCCCTTGGGGAGCCCATTACCTCAAGGGAGAGACAGACATTTAATTAAACACTCAATTGATTATGTAATTATAATTGTTATAAATACCTCAAACGAGGAACTATGTGCAATGAAAGGTTATAGATGGCCTGATGTGAGTGAAGCTCAGATAAATTCCTTTAATTGCCTAAGATCATACAACTTACAAGTAGTAGAGCAGAAATTTGTATCCAGGTGTCATCTTTTTCTGAAGCAGTACATTTACTGCCTCCAACTCCACAAATATAATAATTCCATAAAATACTATGTGAATAAAATAGAGGGTGTATTAGCTTTCCATGGCTGCTATAACAAATTACAGCAAACTCAGTGGCTTAAACCAAGACAATATATTATCATTATTATTATTTACAATTCTATATGTTAGAAGTCCAACACTGATTTTACTGGGCTAAAATGGAGGTATTCATTGGTCTGTATTCCTACCTGGAGTCTCTACAGGAGAATCTGTTTCCTTTCTGCCTTCAAGAAGCTGTTCCATTGTTTGGCTCATGGTTCTCTTCATTTTCAAAGCCAGTAATGATGGGTCAAGTACTTCTCATGTCACATCACTCTGACCTACTCTTCTGCTTCCCTCTTTCACTTTGAAAGACTTGTGATTACATTGAGCCCACCTGGATAATTCAGCATAATCTCTCTATTTCAAGGTCGATTGTTTAGCAACCTTAATGCAATTTGCAACCTTAATTCCCCTTTGCCATGCAAGGTAACATATTCTCTGGTTCCAGGGATTAGGATGTTGGCACATGTGGAGGTCATTATTCTACCTACCACAGAAGAGAATATTTATTGTGGCTAAAAGGTGGAGGTATCAGAGATGGCAATTGGTGGAAAGGAGTTTGAGAAATAGGAAAGTGAAGCAGCATGAGCAACACATGGAAAGGAGAGTGCAAGTATAATCAGGAAAGAGAAATTTGGCTGTTTTCTTCTAGACTATAGGCAGTCTGGTAGAAAAGTGGTAGAAGAAATATAGTGGATACTAGTTAGGATGGTTAGGTGGGCCAGTTTATAGTAGTCTTGAATGGCAAGTTATGGAATGTGGTTTATACCATTAGAGGTGGCAACGTATTAAAGAATCTGAGGAAGCCAGAAGCATGGTTAAGTTTGTCTCCTGTCAGACACAGATGAAAAAGTGTCCTCCTTGTGACCCAAAAGAACTACATATAGCCAAGACCCTGGCTGCATATGCATTCGGGAATGCTAAGCAGCATACCTTTTACAAGACACTAGGAGCACATTAGGGAGCAGGAGGGGACCTTAAGGAATCAGTACTGGCCACCCAGGGTCCTCCTTGTTTTGGCCATAGCCTCTCTTCATTTTTTATCTTCAAGATGGACAGGTTAAAAAAATGCTGTCTATTCTGTTACAGGTAAAGATGAAGCAGTTTTCTGCCTTTTTAAATCCCCAGAAGGATGTTTTTAGCTTTATTACAAGCTCAGATCCTCAGTCTTCGCCAGTGCTTTTAGAGTAAGAAAACACTATCTGTAACATCTGGCTCATCTCTATATTTTCTCTTTTGTTATCTTTTATTAATTGGGAACACATTTATTTAGGAGAGCTAAGGTACACAAGAGAACAAAGCAATAACCTCATGCATCATGGGCTTTAAAAAATCCCACCTTTTTATAATACAAAGGTTACTAGAAAATTATTTAAAAATGTATTTTAATACTGCAACAAAACAAAAAGACTCAATTTGTCATTGTTGAAAACTATCAAAGAAAGAAAGAAAAAAAATCATTTATCCTGCCTTTCCTATTATATCACTGATTAACCAAGCATTGAAAGAGATGTTTCTTTTTATAAAGGAATTTCAGCTAATAAATAAAAAGAAATTACAAAAGTAAAGAATCATCATTATGCAATCTATTAATTACTGCAGCTAGGAAATGATGATCAATGACTGTAACATCATAAAAAGAGATAATATTGGACATGATGTGCCCTTTGATGACAAAAAACAACCACACCTACGAAGTATTCCAGACAAAAAAAAATGAATCCTGATTCTGCTCAAGCTTTTAGATCAACTATCAATATAGTAAGTATGGATTCCATGGGAACATGTTAAATGATGCCAGGAGATACAATTACAAAGTTCAAACTACGATACAAAAAAAAATTAGTTTCTTTAACAAGTAAGTTGTAAGGGGAAAAACAGAAATATAGAAGGGAAACTTTAATCTTATTGGATCCCGATTCAAAGAAACGACTATGGAAATATTGAACATTACAAAACAAATCAAATGTAAAATGGTCACCTTTTCTTATAGATATATAGATCACTATATAGTTATTTTCTCCCTTAGGATCTTCAGTCACTAATTATTAAAATCGTGGTATATAAGTAATATTTAAGGCAATGAAACCAGCCACTATGATGGAGATGGTAAAGAAAAAATTGTTTTTGGTCAAAGTTCAGTAAAGCGCCCGATAGTTAAAGATCATAGGACACTAAAAGGAAGTGTACTAAAAGGAGAGATTTTCAGTATTAAAAAGAATTAAAATAGCTTATCAGCTACTTCCAAGTTCTCAGTTCATGGGCCTCAGCTACTCAGAATCATTGACTGAATTTAATGGTTGTAGTTAAAAGGTTTATTTGTCTGATTAGAGTACCATAGTAATAAACTCATGGTCCCAAGAAAACTCTTTTTACTAGATGGTTTTATATGAGGAGTAATTGCTTTGCAGCCATAGACTGTAGCAGTATCTCTAGCCAGGCCTTCTACAAACCCAAGGTTATCAAATAAGGGAGCCCAAGAGCAAGCATGTGCCTAGACTGGCACAAATGTATAACCACTAATTCCAAAGCACCTTAAAGTTTGCTTCTGTGATATTCAGCTTCAGATTCGAAGAATAGGATTTGTATGGCAGAACTTTGGTATACACAAGTCATTCCAAGTTTCTCTTTTAAGTAGACCATCTACAACTCCCTGCTCAAAGCAATGAGGAAGCTCACCTGACCCAGCAGCTTATATCATCTAATATCAAAGAGGAAAAGTGAAATAATAACTCTATAAGCATAATATTTTAGATGTTCATCCTAGCTTCAAAGTCAAGTGATTTTTCAAGCTGGTACTTAAAATAAAAGAGTGGAATAAGATTGTTTATAAGTGCAGTTGACAACTGACTCTTAAACAGCATGGGTTTGAACTGCAAGTGTCCACTTATAGGTGGATTTTCTTCCCCCTCTGTCACCTCTGAAACAAGACCAACCTCTCGTTTTCCTCATCCTGCTCAGCCTATTCAACATGAAGACAATGGGGATGAAGATCTTTGTGATGATCCACTTTCACTTAGTGAATAGTAAATATATTTTCTCTTCCTTATGATTTTCTTAATAATATTTTCTCTTCTCTAACTTACTTCATTGTAGGTATACAGTATATTATACATAAAACATACAAAATATGTGTTAATCGGCTGCTTATGTTATTAGTAAGTCTTCCGATCAACAGTATACTACTAGTAGTTAAGTGCTGGCAAAGTTAAAAGTTAAACCAGGATTTTGACTGCTCAGGGGCAGTGCTCCTAACCCCCACGTTGTTCAAGGGCCAACTGTAATTGAGATGGCAGTCAGTCCCTCTTAGTTTAATGTCTTTGTGTTCATTCCTCTTTGTTATTTATGGAAGACAGGTAGATGTCAGACTTTGTTGTTCTCACTTATTTCCATGACAGAAAAGATGGAATAAACTAATTTATATTGGAAAGCTTTGCAAGGAGCCACATTAAAGAATTAGTATATTTTTTAACAGAAACACTTATCAAAGTTTTCTCAATGCCTACAACACAGCAAACTTCCAAACTTCATATTTCAGTGTGAAGCATGTCAATAACAGATATCATAGTTATCAAATATGCTTAGCATATTACTAATTAATTATACTTTTAAATATTTAAAGCTTTATGTCAAGGCTAAAGTATTTTTTTTAATACCCATTGCCATCATTCTCCTTTAAGTGAGTGTTATTAGCAATGTTCCAAAACCAATTCATCTGAATGCCCATAAAAGAATGTAATTTGATAGGTGGAGCCAAGACTACAAAGCAGGAATAATGATTCACAGACCATGGTGCTGAGTATCATTTAGTCAGTATTTCTACAGGTTCTAAGGTAAAAGGTCATGTGTTTTCTTTTAGATATGTCAACTACAGCCTAATTTTACTAGATAGAATGAGAGATAATTGACTGCTGTGTTCATAATCAAACCTGAGGTCTCCACCAATAATTTCCCATCCTGGAATAAGATCATTACCTACAAAGTGAAAGGTAAATGCTATAATAAAAATTGCTTAGATGATACACTGACCAGACTAATAAAAACATTTCAAAAGGTTTAATATGGGTATGGTTTCATGTGCCTGTAGTCCCAGCTACCCGGGAAGCTGAGGCTACAGTGAGCTGTGACGGTGCCACTGCATTCCAACCTGGGTGACAGAGCAAGACTCTGTCTCAAAATAAATAAATAAATAAATAAAATAAACATAAAAAAAGAATTCAGTGTTTGTTAAATTAACTTGCTATCAAAATATGCAAAATGGTGACATGCTTAACTTTTTAATACAGAGAACTTCAAACAAAACAGCATGACAAATTCCCATGTTCCCATCACTTAGATTCAATAATTATCAGTTTATGGCCAATTCTGTTTCATATTTACTCTCCTTCTGTATTGGAAGCAAACACCAGGTGTCATTTGGTTTCATTCACTACCATTTCATATGTATCCCTAAAATGAAAGGACTCTGTTATTTATATAACCACAATATCATTACATTTAAATGTTTAGATTTAACATTTAGATGTTAAAACAAGATCTAAAAACTGTGGAAACAATCCTTCGATATCATCAAATATTAAAATCTTGGCATTTTTTACGTTCCCAATTGCTTATATATATAAACTATAAATATCTTCAAAAAATTTTCTGAAGATGTGAGACTATTTATTTTGAAAAATAGAGATAGCTGTAATTTTTCCCATTATAAAAGGAATGTACACTAATTGCAAACAATCCAGAAAATAAAAAAATATATAAAGAAGAAAATGAAAGTCACCACAATCTCATCACTGGAAGACAATCTCTTTCAAATAAACAATCTAATGATGCACCTGAAGGAACTAGAAAAGCAAGAATAAACGAAACCCAAAATTAGCAGAGAGAAAGAAACGTTAAAGGTTAGAGCAGAACTAAATGAAATAGAGACTATATTATAAAGACAATACAATTAATTGACAAAAGAAAATGTTGGTTCTTCAAAAAGATAAACAAAATTTATGAGCATGAGCTACACTATCCAAGAAAGAAGTCCCAAATACACAAAATTAGAAATGAAGAAGAATGCATTACAACTGAAACTACAGATACAAAAGATTATCAAATATTATTATGAACAACCATACACTAACAAACTGGAAAACCCAGAGGATATAGATAAATTCCTGGACACATAAAATCTAACAAGAATGAGTCAGAAAGAAATAGAAAACCTGAATGGACTGATAATAAGTAGCAAGATTGAATCAGTAATAAAAAGTTTCCCAACAATGAAAAGCCCAGGACTGGATGGATTTACTGCCAAATTCTACCAAATGTATAATATAAAGAAGAAATTTTACCAAACATATAAGTGTATGAAGAACTACCAATTCTTTTCAAACTATTTCAAATATTGAGGAAGGGGGAATTTTCCCTGACTCATTCTATGATGCCAGCATTACCCTGTTACCAAAACCAGACAAGGACATAAAATACAGAAAGAAAACTACAAGCTCATATCCCTGATGAACATAGATGCAAAAATCCTCTAGAAAAATACCAGCAAACCAAATCTAACAGCACACAAAAAGATCAAGTGGGATGTATGTCAAGGATTTAAGGATGATTCAACATATGCAAATCAATAAACATAATACATCACATCAACAGAGTGAAGGACAAAATCCGTATGATCTTCTCAATAGACACGGAGAAGCATTTGATAAAATTCAACATCCCCTCTAGACAAAAACTCTCAACATATTACTAATAGAAGAAACATACCTCAAAATTATAAAGGCCATATATGACAAACCCACAGCTGATCTCATACTGAATGGGGAAATTTTAAAGCCCTTTCTCTAAGAATTGGAACAAGATAAGAATGTCTACTTTCACCACTCCCATCTAACATAGTACGGGAAGTCCTAGCCAGAGCAATTAGGTAAGAGAAAGATATAAAAGGTATCCAAATTGGAAAAGAGGAATTCAAATTGTCCCTCTTTGCCGGTGGCATGATCTTATATTTAGAAATCCAACAGACTCTACCAAAAAAATCTTAGATTTGATGAATTCAATAAGGTTGCAAGATACAAAATCAACATATAAAAATCAGTAGCACTGTATTCCAGCACTTTGGGAGGCTGAGACAGGCAGATCCCTTGAGGTCAGAAGTTCAAGACCAGCCTGGCCAACATGGTGAAACCCCGTCTCTACTAAAAATACAAAAATTAGCCAGGCATGGTGGCACATGTCTGTAATCCCAGCTACTCAGGAGGCTGAGGTAGGAGAATTGCTTGAACCCGGGAGGCGGAGGTTGCAGTAAGCCGAGATCATGCCACTGCACTCCAGCCTGGGCAACAGAGTGAGATTCTGTCAAAAAAAAAAAAAAAATCAGTAGCATTTATACACACCAATAATGAAATAACTAAAAAAGAAATCAAGAAGGTAATCTCATTTATAATCTCTCAAAAATCTACAAATAAATTTAACCAAGGAATTGAAAGATCTCTTTGAGGAAAACTATAAAACATTGCTGAAAGAAATTAAAGAGAACACAAGCAAATGGAAAGACATTCCACGCTCATGGATCAGAAGAATTAATACCATTAAAATAACCCTATTGCCCAAACCAATCTACAGACTCAAGACAATCCCTATCAAAACACCAATGCCATTTTTCACAGAAATAGACAAAACAACCCTAATATTTGTATGGAAAAAAAAAAAAGAGCTCGAATAGCCAAAGCAATCATGAGCAAAAAGAACAAAGCTGGAAGCATCACACTACCTGACTTCAAAATATATTACAAGGCCATAGTAACCAAAACAGTATGGTATTGGTATAAAAATTGACACATAGACCAATGAAACAGAATAGAGAACACAGAAATAAATCCACATATTTAGGACCAACTGATCTTTGACAGAGTCACCAAGAATGTACACTAGGGAAAGGACACTCTCTTTAATAAATGGTGCTGGAAAAACAGGATAACCATATGCAGAAGAAGGAAACTAGATCCCTTTCTCTCAGTATATGCAAAAGTCACATTGAGATGGATTAAAAAACTAAACATAATATCCCAAACTATAAAACTACTAGAAGAAAACATGGGGAAAATTCTTCAGGATATTGATATAGGCAAAGAGTTTATGGCTAAGACATTAAAAGTACAGGCAACAAAGACAAAATAGACAAGTGGACTATATTAAGTTAAAAAGCTTCTGGACAGACAAAGAAACAATCAAGAGTGAAGTAATAACCTCTTGAAAGGGATAAAAGATTTGCAAACTACTCATCTGAGAGGGCGATAATATCCAGAATATACAAGGAACTCAAACAACTCAACATTAAAATAACAAATAATCCCTTTAAAAGATGAGCAAAGGATAGGAATAGACATTTCTCTAAAGAAGACATACAAATAGCCAACAAGTATATGAAAAAATGCTCAACATCATAAATAATTAGGGAAATTCAAATAAAAATCATAATGAGATATCGTCTCACCACAGTTAGAATGGCCATATTCAAAAAGGACAAAAAATAAGAGACGTTGGCAAGGATGTGGAAAAAAGGAAACTGTTATACGCTATTGGTGGGAATGTAAATTAGTACAGGCACTATGGAGAACAGTATGGAGATTTCTCAAAAATAAAACAAAATAGAACCACAATATGATCCAGCAGTCCTGCTACTGGGTATTTATCCAAAGGAAAATATATCAGTATATCAAAGGGATACCTGCACTAGCATGTTTATTGCAGCCTTATTCACAATAGCCAAGATATAGAATAAACCTAAGTATTCATCAATGAATAAATGGATAAAGAAAATGTGGTATGTATACACAATGAAATACTATTTGGCCATAAAAAGAAGGAAATTCTGTCATTTGTGACAACATGGATGATTCTGGAGAACATTACATTAAGTGAAATTAGTCCAGTACAGAAATACAAATATCTCATGTTCCCACTCATACGTGGGAGTGAAAAAAGTTGATCACATGAACACAGAAAGTGGGATGATAGATATCAGAGACCAGGAAGGGCAAATGGGTGGGGATAGGGATGAAGAGGGGTTTGTTAATGGGTACAAACATACAGTTAGATAGAAGAAATAAGTTCTAATGGTTGATAAGAGTCAGGTGACTATAGTTAACAATGCATTGTATCTTTAAAAATAACTAGAAGAGAGGACCTGAAATGTACCCAACACATAGAAATAATAAATACTTGGGTAATGAATACCCTAAATACCTTGACTTGATCATTATACATTCTATGAATGTAACAAAATTTCCCATGTACCCTATAAATATATACAAATATAATGTATTAAAAATTTAAAAAGAATCTTTGTTAATATTTGACTATTTTTTCAGACTTTTAAATGTATTTATTTGTTTTTACAAATATATGATTATGTTATACTTATTCTTTTGTGACCTGATTTTCTGCCTGAAAATGTACATACAGAAACACACACATAGGAAACTTTTCAGTTCAAAAATGTACTTGTATAAAACCAAAACATAAAGATGGTGAATAAAGTCTAGTCAGAAGGTTTTCTATGTAAGAGTAAAGAGGAGAGTGAAAGATTTTACCAAAATATTAGAAATATCAGAAGTATGTAAGCTTAACAATGACTTCCCCATATGGTTAGAAACAACATTCTTGAATTCTGTCTTACAATTTCCAATCCACATTTGTGTTTTGCTTAAAGACATTTTAGTGACTAGCTGGCTACTGGTAGTTATGCATAAATTTATCAGTTTCCAATTTTATGGTAAGCTCTCCATGTCCTTGTTGCTATATAAAAGCTGAATAAGAAGATAAGATACAGATGCTCTTTATGTCAGAAATTCTAGTTTTAAATTGCAATTTTTTAGTCTGTAGTTACAGTAACAACTTGACTGCTTTGACTAAAAAACCAGGTGTACTCAAACTCAATTTTCTTACATCAGACAAAATTTACTGAGAATTTATAATCCAAATTCTTGTCCTGTTATCTTGTCAACTATAATACGGAATCTCCTTTTGTCACGTGCTCATAACTCAAAGTACCCTAAGTAATTACTTAAAATAAAGATTTATCTAATAAAATAATGTTTATTTTACCAGTGGAGGAATTAAAGGCTAGAGAAGTGACTTGTTAAAATTACATAGATAATTACTGACCAGCTATGCTAGCAACCAATGGCTCGTTACACCTAGGTTGTCTACTAGACAATGTAGTGCATTAACCATGTCTTTTATTTTTTTGTATCCTGATGCCTTTACATGTGTGGCTTTGCTAACCCTGGGGGCGCTGCTCCTCCCAGAGTTAGCCAATTCCTAAAGATGGTAAACAACTCACCCATCAACACACTTTTCAAATGCAAAGCAAGCAATCCAGATCCTACAACTTTAACAATCTTCCTTATCAGGCTCTCATACTCCTGGACCACCATCCACTTACTCTAATCACCCCAGGGCCCGGTACCAGGCAACTAGAAAAAGCTCCTAGGTCCCAGAACCCACTGAAATTACTCAAACTGGCCAGATTTACATGTGCCTCCCCCATTCCTTCTCCATGAAAACCATAATAAAGATTGTCCCACATATTCCCCCCTCCATGCTCCTGCCTCCTGACTGATTCTGGTGCTTCTCTGTGTGTCGCCCCCACATGGTGTGATGGGGGAATCATGTGAGGTCTTGAGAACTGTGAGTACAACAAGCTATCTCTTCAATGGCAGTTTAAAACACGTAGACATTTCTAGACGGGCGCAGTGGCTCATGCCTGTAATCCCAGCACTTTGGGAGGCTGAGGCGGGCAGATCATGAGGTCAGGAGATTGAGACCATCCTGGCTAACACGGTAAAACCCTGTCTCTACTAAAAATACAAAAAGTTAGCTGGGTGTGGTAGCATGTGCCTGTAGTCCCAGCTACTTGGGAGGCTGAGGCAGGAGAATCGCTTGTACCCCGGAGGCAAAGGTTGCAGTGAGCTGAGATCGTGCCACTGCACTCCAGCCTGGGCGACAGAGTGAGAGTCCATCTCAAAACATACACACACACAAACACAGAAACACACACACACACACACACACACATTTCTAAACCATGATAGACCAAGGTTACTACCACCAAATAAACATTATGTGTACAGAGGTTAGAATCATTGCCTCTGATTCTGCTTCATAACAACATTGTATCATCTCCAATCATTCAAATAGACCTAAGAGAGGTCAGGACCATACCGCTGTTAAAATATTAGTACATATTTCTGTATATATGTATATTACAATATGAAATATGTATGAATTACGTACATATTTCAAACTTCCCCTTCAATTCATCCTTTCCCTCCTCCAAATTTGTATGGAGTTGGCAAATCAGGATTGACATGAGAGTCTCTGGTTAACTATGACATTAAATTCGGTGTATATATGGCATAAGACCTTTTGGCTTTGTTTTGGTATTATTACTTTGTCCTGTTATAGCTAATCTCACAATTACCAAGCTTTCCAGTACCTTCTACTGGTGGTCTCTAACTTTATTTCTACACTTTCCTCTAACATTTACGGATAGTGAATTTCGCAGTGGTTATAAGAAAGCATTGACTATTAAATGATTGTAGAAGTTTACCCAATATTATCTTCTTGTAATTATATTTTAACATGGTAGCATTTGCAAAAAGGATAGAGCATCTGGCAAATAAAGATTATATAAGTAAAGATCTGTGACTCCTCAGAGGAAAAGAAGTTGATTGAAGGGAAAAAGCATTTCTGTGGTATTTATCTTAAAACTAACATTAGTAAAACTCCTGGGAATTTTTCTGTGCCTCCACCGCTTCTTCTGTTTGCAGATTCTAGGATTTGGTGTCAAAAAGTACCTTGCATTTATATGCAATTACTCTTGTTCCTATCTCTTGACATTTAGATAGCTGGAGAACATTAATAAATTCACGTTGGAAACTGATATATACAATCCACATGATCTTACAATGAACAATAGAGTAGACGACCCAGGGGACATGCAGTGGTCAGTTCGTCAGTAAATACAATCTCATCTGACTTACCCTTGTACACAGTTTCTTAATACTATGTTATGGGTGAATGTGTACCTCTTTGGTTTGATATGTTTGAAAGCAAAGACATATTTTCTAATTGCTCACAAGCTTAAAATCCTCAAAAGTCAGACACAGAAACAGTATGATCTTGGACATAATACCAGTGACACAATAAAAACCTGTGGTCATGACAATGATAGTCTGGCCAGATGTTACCTAAGAGTTAATCACAGTCTGAGATAAAGACCTGAAATCGAGTCAATGGCTTTTCTTAATCTAATCAGTTATTAAAATGACCAGTAGAGTCTGCCTGCAGATTTATTTCTATTATCAGAAGAGGTAATGCTTGAGGGTTCTCATTTTATAGAAAATAAGATTATTAACAAATGATATGCAAAAACATGTTTAAATTCATGACTAATTGAAAAATAAACTCAAAGTAACAATGACGGAAATTTATAAAGACTTATGATATTACAAGCTGGAAGTATCAAAATGCAGCAAGTGTAATACAACATTGAGAAGGAGAAAACACATGTTCGAGGTATACAGAAAAGGAAAACTTAGATGAGAGTTCTAGAAAAAGAGGCTGAGCTTTGGAAACAAAGAGACAGCAATGTCCCTATGATCTGTCTCGAAGCAGGCAAGACGCTGGCATCCTGAGGTCACTGGGACACTACTTCACTATCTTTGCTTATTTCTAGAATTCTCTTGGTTTGTCTAGTCAGTTTTATGCTATCATTTCAACTAACTGATTATCTCAGAAACTTGACACCCCAAATTAAAGTCATCTTTTCAACTAAGTGGTACCTTAGTATCTGACACCTGGGAATAAATTGGCATCTGTTGTTACTATACATATTCTGTAATCTAGTAAAGACTCCTCATTTTAATTCCAGTTGTATGTCTGCTAAAGAAATCTGTGGCATCTTTTTCTTATTTTTATTTTAAAAAATTAAATCTTACTTTCTGACAATAGAAATTAAACTGTTAGTAAATTTTTACCTTATTATAAAGTTGTTGTCGAATGACTTAATTCTCATCTATGCTGACCATTACTTATCTGCTAAGTAGTAAAAGCTTGTGTTAAGGACTCTAATATAAAGTAGTGCTTTAGACCCTGTGAGTCATTTTGTAACAAGGAAAGACTCTTTATGGAAACCATAGTCCGGAGATCTGATGTTCAGGTGCCCCCGACTGAATCAAAGCTTCAGAGATGAGCAACTAGAACAAGAATACAAAAGAAACAAAAGCAGAAAACAGAAGGATGGTACTTCAGGACTCTTCTAAAACAAGGAGAAGCTTTTAATAAACCAGCTTGAGTTGACCTTAGGTAATACAGACATAAGGCCTCCAAGAGCTGCTAAATTCTTCTTTAGGTAGGATTAGGCTGATGCTATGGAATGTGTCTTGTGGTTCAGAGTTCCAGTCCTTGTGGTCAGAGGGTAATGGTGACATTTGGAGGAATTTTAGGTTTATTTGACTTCCTCTGCCTTGGACAATACCCAAAGTTTGGTTTATAAATCTCTTTCCTGTGTAATGAGAGAATGAGCCTGCTTATCAGTTTGTCAATAATATTTTATTGAAATGCTGTTTTATGATTAATTTACTTTTAGAAGACATAAAAGATATGCTAATTTTTAAGGTTTAGATTATACTGTTTTGAGTGAATGATTCACAGATGATTTTGAACTGGAAAACATGACATGACAGTGAGGATGTTTAAATTTCAAGTGTCAATTTAACTTTTTCTCCCTAAGCAATACATGGCAGTTAAGCTAACATTAGCTTGAAGTACCTAAGTGTACTATAGAGAAGAGGAGTAGATGGCAGGGCAAGGAAAGAAAAAAATATATTTGCTTAACATTTTCTAGCCCTGAACTGTAATGACCAGAACAGGCATAGTATACCCACCCCCATCCCACCATACTGTGCATAAAGAAGATGCTTCAGTCCTCCACACTTACTTAGCCAAAGAGATCAAGATATTATCAACCAACACTTCTGTAAGAGGGATCACCAAGGCAAGAAGCCTATGGCCATGCAGCATTTGAAGAGGCCCACAGACAAATGTGCATTGAGGTACTCTTAAAAAATACCTCCTTATTGGTCAAGAACCATTCCAGATACTTTTAGGCACTTTGGTTAAGTGAGTTTAGTCCGTGCTTTGTTTTCAGGCAACCTCCTGACTTTGAACCAAAATTTTGCTTAATTTAATCCTGTCAAGTGTCATTTAAAAACAGTTCAATCTTTCAGGGTACAGTAGATTGGGTTTGTTCTGTCCTTAATTTGATTGACTCAATAGCCATCCAATTTAGCCAAGAATTATTAAAGCTATAGTTTCTGAATTAACCATGTTTCAGTATATGGTTTTCCTCTTGTCTTAGCTGGAAGGCATAAATACTTTCAGTTGGTTGCTTTCTCATGGTTGCCATGAGATTCTAGAGTTTTCAGCTTTTCTTTCCACTCTACTTAAACTCTGTTTTTACTTAAGTTATATCTTTATCTAAGCAGGATTTTTTTCCCCCTGTTCTTAATTCTATAAAAATCTTAAATGCTTTTTTTTCTATGCTTTCCAGGTGATTTGTTATCTCTTTTCCTGGGGTAATGAAATATTCTTTTCTAGTTGAGCTTCACTATTGTAAATATCCTTTTTATACTCTGTTACTAGAGACCTCCTCATCTTCTTTCCTTACTGAATACCCTGATATTAGGACTTTGGGCTGTAACACTGAGTTGCAACTAACTATGACCCATTAGCCTCAACTTTTTTTAAAAAAATGATATATTGTAATTGTACATATTTATGGGCTACAATTTGATATTTCAATACATGTCTATGTTTTATAATTATCCAATAAGGGTAGTTAGTATATACACTAGCTCACAGGTTTTGGGTAATGCTGCTTTCCAGGCTTTTGCCCACTGGATACTTATGCTTTTGAGTGATTATTTTCAGATGATTACCTGCCTTTTTAAAAACTTTTACAAATTGAATGTCATTTTGTTTCTGTTCCCATTTCCAAACATATTTGGAAAATTTACATTATCTTTCTTCTTTCTTTTTTTTTTTTTTTTGAGACAGAGTCTTGCTCTGTCACCCGGGCTGGAGTGCAGTGGCACAATCTCGGCTCACTGCAACCTCTGTCTCCCGGGTTCAAGCAATTCTCCTGCCTCAGCCTCCTGAGTAGCTGGAATTACAGGCGTGTGCCACCACACCCGGCTAATTTTTGTATTTTTAGTAAAGATGGGGTTTCACCATGTTGGCTAGGCTGGTCTCAAACTTCTGACCTCAGGTGATCCGCCAGCCTTGGCCTCCCAAAGTGCTGGGATTACATTTACATTATCTTTCTTTCCATAATTTCCAATTTGGAATCATCAGCCAACATTGCTTTTGAGAAGTTCATTTCCTATTTTGGATTATTAATAGGCAAAGTCTGTTATCCTCTTAACTCCTATAAAACATTGTTTACTCTTCTCTCTTATCATCTCCCAAACAACTTTGCATATGATTAGTTGTGTTCATTTTCCCTAAAAGATCATAAATGTCTTCAGGGCAGAGAATATGCAGCTTCCCATTTCCCATGGGGAATAGCACAATGCCTTGCACATGGAAGGAAGTTAGTAAATATGTTGTGAATTACATTACTATGGATATTTGTAGTAGAATGTGCAAGTGCCTCCTTAGAACTAGAAATATTGCCATTCAACCTAACACAGTTTGTGCTTTTTCTTCTTAATGTCTTTCAGCTGATGTTTACCACATGTGCTTATGCAAATTAGTTTGAATTAATACTATTTTTATAGCTTGAGATACTGCATTATGTCTTTTAAAGTTCAAGCACACAATAAGTGTCACATTTGTTCTAATCACAACATGAAATTTAAGAGGGAAGCTTTTTTTGCTTTTTGCTTTTTTAAAGTTAGTTGGGCATTTCTATCTCAGTGTTTAAAATTCTGATTGCTTTTGTTTTGAAATATTTCAATGTTTTCCCTTGGCATTTTCTAATTATTATATAAAATAACACAAACAGATGAACAGGAGCAGTGTTTCAGCCTTCTATCTTGTTTTGCCAGAAAGCCCAAAGTGATTGTTAGCCTTGAGGTTTCTCTTCCTAATTTTCCCCTAGTTTTCCGTGATAAAATATTCTCCTGATTTAAAATATAAAACTATTGCACCATAAAAAATAGAAGGTATAAAAAGGCATAATTAAGAAAATTAAAATTATAATATATAATTCAGGGATTATCATCATTAATGTTTTAGGAGTATATTCTCCCATTTTTAAATGAAAAACATTGTTATATAATTTTCTTTTTTCACTTAAAAGAATATATACGACATTTTTTCAAGCTATTAAATATTCCTCTACAATATTATTTTCAACATTTACTTATTATTCTGATACTGGCATACCTCGTTTTATGCACTTTGCGTTATTGTGCTTCACAGATACTGTGTTTTTTACAAGTTGAAAACCCTAATTGAGCAAGTCTATTGTTACCATTTTTCCAACAGCATGTGTTCACTTTATGTTTCTGTGTAACATTTTGGTACTTCTTGCAATTTCAAACTTTTTCGTTATTATTATATCTGTTGTGGTCATTTGGGACTAGTGATCATAGATGTTACTACTGTAATTGTTTTGCGATGCCACAAACCCCACCCATATAAGATGGCAAACTTAATTGATAAATGTTGTATTTGCTCTGACTGCTCCACTAACTGTCCGTTCTCCCATCTCTTTCCCTCTCCTATGGCCTCCCTGTTTCCTGAGACAAAACAATACCGATACTAGGCCAATAAGTATGCCTACAATGGCCTCCAAGCCGTTCAAGTGAAAAGAGGAGTTGCATGTTTCTCACTTTAAATTAAAAGCTAGACACGACTAAGTTTGTGAAGAAGGCATGCCAAAAACCAAGGCTGGCCAAACACTAGGCCTCTTGCACCAAAGTTAGCCATATTGCTGATATGGAGAAGGTTTTAGTGGTCTGCATAGAAGATCAACCCAGATGCAACATTACCTTAAGCCAAAGCCTAATCCAAAGCAAGGCCCTCAACATTGAGGCAAGACCCTCCACCAGCAAAACAATGTAATACAACTCTCATTACTCTGCTTACCTCCATTTCCCTAGGAGAATGTAGGAAATGATGTGGTTTTACTTGACTCTAATACTTAATGGCAATTGGAGCACACTATTTGAGATTCTTAGTTTATTCATCTGTAAAAGAAAGATAACGATTTCTACTGTATTCATCTCATAGATTTCCAAAAGGATCTAACGAGAAATGATTATGAAAAAAAATTAAAACCTGCAAGCCAGTAGAAAAACAGAATGTGAGCCTATTAACCAAGCACTGAGTGTGAATCCATGGGCTCAGAAAGCTATTTAGGAGAAGAGGATGCCCAAAAAGGAAGTCTTATATCATCTGTCCCTCATTAGGTTCTTCCTCATCTTCTTATATAGCCTATGGTCACCCTGCAATGGCTACTAACACAATCACTTTCCTCATCAAAAAGGAAAATATATGGAGCACATGAGAAAAAAAACAAGGAAAAGTAAAAGTGAAATACCAAATTTGATACCAAATTGATTTTAGTTTGGATTTTTAAAAATGCATGTTGTCAACATTCAGCAGAGCCATTCAAAAAATGCATTGCAAGATATTCATTAGTTTTGCGATTTTGTTCTCTATCAAAACTTCATTTTTCCCCTTCATCTGTCACATTTTTTCTGCTTTTCTATCTTAAATGCTCCTTCTCTAACTTTTTTGTTGTAGATTTAAATCTCTACTCACCTCCTGTATTACCTAACTAGGCCCAGGGCAATGTTGACCTCTTTTAGGTTCTGTCCTTGAAACTAAGTTAATATCTGATCCCATTTTTTTTAACCTCATCTGATTTTATTGATAGTAGATATTTCCAGGAGCTTTTCAATAAACCAAGGGTTTGAGGAGCAGCTGCTCCCTGACTGCCACAACGAAGCCTCATTTATCCTACTCTTCTCTCTCTTTTTTACTCCCCAGCTCCAGTGATGCAGAGAGGTCGTAGACTCTCAGATCACCAGAATCTTATCACTCTAAAGGCAAACCATCCAATCCCTTCATTACTTTGACGTTGGAAGCAGTCAAGGTCACAGAGCTGATCAGCTCTAGAGCTGTGAGAAGAACATTGATCATCCAATATGAAAGCCAGTGCACATTTCCAACATGTCCCTCTCTCAGTGGGATCTCTGCAGTTTCCAAAGCAGCCACAGAGCAGCAGGCGCCGGTTACGTCCACATCGAGGGACTGACAGTCTTTAGACACAGGAGCCACCTTAACCGCTGAAGGCCATTATTCACACTGTTTATCTAAGATGTCTTCTTGCTGAAGTTCCATTTCTGTCCAGGCAAAAACCAATCCTGAAGATTCAGATCAAATCCAGATATTCAATAAAGCCTTTTCTAATCACTACACAAAGTTAAAAGCAATAACTCTTCTCTCTGAATTCCTAATTCACAGTATTGATTATCTTCCTATATCAGTGTTCTAGGGCTGCCATAATGAAATAGTGATTAGAAAAGGCTTTATTGAATATCTGGATTTGATCTGAATCTTCGGGATTGGTTTTTGACTGGACAGAAATGGAAGGACAAAGTAGTGAACAAGACAGGCATGGCTTTTACCCGTGTGAATTTTACTATATTAGTGGAGGATACAGACAATAGACAAGTGAACAAATCAAGTAAGTTGTGATTTTCAAACAGTATTTTAAAGGCGAACCCATACAGTCATTGTTAGTGTTTAAAATCTCAGTTCCTGTTAGTTCATTACTTCTAGGCAGCTCAAAGTTTCCTATGGAAATGGGACACAGATCAGGGAAATGTCAGTGGGGGGTGGGAAAAAACAGAACAAAGAAACATAGGACGAGTACATGGAATATTGAGTGGGCGCCTCTCTCGGAAGCTTAGTTGGGGAGAGGCAGCTGGTCATTAGGAAGGGAGAGGATAAGGAGAATGAAGGCACCTTATATAAAGAAGAAATGACTGGAGCAGAGACCAGAGATACGGAAAGGAAAAAGGAGCCACAGAAGAAAAAATAAAAATCTCTGAGAACCAAATATTTTCCTCTTTAAAAGTCTCCCAAGCAGTGATGTTTCCCTACTGATATTCCAAACAGGCAGGTTAGTCAAAGCCTGCCAAAGAGGCTGTCCCAAGGTCCTGTATTCATGATTAGAATTTTACTTTCAAATATGTAGAATAATTTTTTCTTTAAGCTCTAGAAATACACATATTACATAAAATGGGGAAATTGCATCAATAGGGTGTTTGTGTATGTATGTGTGTCAGAGACACTAATTGTGGCAAACCTAGCACTCAACAAATATTTATCATATGTTTATCACAAGTCAGGCACTCTATTAGGTGTTGGAGATAAAGCAACAAATAAAACAAATACAGCATAGAGTGTGGTTTAATTGTTTTTGCTTGTATGACAAATCTTTGTGGCTTTAAACTAAGCTTTTCTAATTTCCTTAAAGTACCTAGTGACAAACTGATAAACTTTACTACAAGTATATTTGAATTCCATGCCTTACCTTTAACAGCAGCTATTGTCTCCTCAGTTACCTTCATGTGATAACTATGATACATAGCACTGGAGACAGTGTCCAAACACGGTGGCCACCCAGTAGCTATTAGTTATGAGGAGGAAGAAGAAGAAAATTATAGTGTCAGAAAACTGTAATTACTAGACTTGAAAATGACATTGTGTTCTGAGATATGCAGAAATGGAGGAAGTTGAAGAGGAACGATCAAAAGACCTGGGTGTACATGCCAATATTTCCATTTTTCCCTTGAGCAGATTATTCTTTCTGGATCTCTACATGCTCATTTATAAGATGAGAAAATAAGGTCATATCTTCCTATGTCATTGGAGGCTGTGTGGATCAAATAATATAGCATAGGTGATAATAATTTTGTGAGTTGTAAAAACATTATTCAGTATAGTGGTTAATAATATTTTTGCAGAATGTACATTATTTATCAATACATGTATCTTTTCCAAATGTAAGTAATATTTTATTAAGAAATCTACCATATCTAATGGTCAACAATTTAAATGAAAAATGTGAGATCTATATTTATTTCTCAGAATGGAAACACAAAGGATATGTGAGACAGGCATGTTTCTTTTATGGGAGGGAATGATGTTTAGTTGTTCAGAAAATGGTTCATGCTGGTGAATCTGTGCCATCTCTGACATCTCCATAGCAACAAACTCTGATGTAACACACAAAGGAACTTAATGTAGAAATCAAAAATAACTCAGAGATATGGTAATGGGAATTCAGAAAGTTGCTGGCAAAGTAAGAAAAATGTTTCCATGTAAATATTTTCTCTTCCACCTCTATTCTTAATGAGAAAGTACTTTCTGAAATTTATTTGTAACTGTAGCTCTTATATTTAAATACTCTCTCTTTTTTCTCTGTTAAAAAGTTGGTTATTGCAAAGTGAAACATTTTTAGGAAAACAAAACATTATAAGCCTATAATTCCTGACTCACTTAAGTGGGCATATGGTCTCTTATTCAAGATAACATTCTTAGGGCCCAGCTGTGGTTCTAAGCTACAATAGACAGGAATGGGTCTGACTACCCTTGACATTTTCACTCCCCAAATTAGAGTAATGAAGAATCGATGGATCGCTAATCAGATTGTGTTGTATGTCCTTGTCTGTTTTAGTAGGTTCAGTGTTTATTAAAATGAATAATACTAAAAGTAAACATCTAAGTAGAACTTACAACATGCAGGCAATATTCTAGGAGGGGTGTATATGTGTGTGTATGTGTGTGTGTTTTCATTCATTTTTATCATTACAACACTTCATGAAATAGATGCTGTTATTATCCCCAATTTACAGGTGTGAAAACTAAGGCCCAGAGAGGTTAAGTAACTAAACCTAAATCACACAGTGGGTAATGTAAACTGTACCATGTGTTTTCTCTAGCTGATGGCAATTTATTTGGCTTTGTATCTAGAGGATCATCATCTAAGAATTATAATAGGCATTACTATAGTAATTTGAAATCCTATTTCTACCAGAGATGATGAAACCTTTAATACATAAGTAAGCATAGAGAAAAAAATGAGAAATATTTTTTCTGAATGGGCACAAGGAGGAAGGGGGATGTAGTATCTTTTAGTTCAGGCCAAATCCCTCAAATGTACTTTGCAATAGTATTGATAGCCACCATTTACAAAGTACCTTCTATGTGCTAGAGTCTAGACTTTTGTATGTTTTTCATTTAATTCCTATTATTCTCACAATAATCCATACTGCAGGTGTTACTTTTTATTTTACAGATAAAGAAATGAAGACAAAAGGATTTTGAATGAATGGAGTAATGGCAATGTCCAGTAATTTTTTATTATTTCTGCTTTGGTTCAAAAATTTTAAATAAATTCATAACAGTGAGTAGTCCAGAGTTTATTTCCTACACTGATTTCAAAACCTAGAATGTGGTCAATAGGAATCTGTAAAACTTACTTACACAAATGCATGGATGCTTCTGAAAAATATTTTATCAAAATACACAAAGTAAACAGGGTGGATGGGTGAAGTTGAAAATTTATCATGTATGATGCTTGACCTGCCTCTAATAGATGCCCTAGAAAGACAAATTCTTTCACTCCCTGTGTGTTTTAATGTATCAAAGTCTCTGAATTAAAAAAAATGGCAAATATGCAGATGCGACTTTTATCTTAGTTTTATTTCATTCATTGAAGAAAATCCTTTTGGAGCACCAACTCTGACCATACACCATGCCAAGTCATAGAAGGACTGAGATGAACAAAACATATTCCTTGGCTTCATGGTGCTCAGAGTTGAGTGGATGAGATGATAAAGAATTGATGACAGAAGTGAACATGTAGGATGAATCTCTCTTTTGGAGGCTTTGGGAATGGTCAGAGAAGAACTGTCACAGAGGAAGTAGCGTCTGGATAGTCTTAAGGGAGAAATTAAAATTTTGGGGAAGCTAAATTTCAGCCATGGAGAAGAGAATGAGATTTTGAGATATTGCTATGTGTAGGGTGTCGAAAAATAAAATTACAACAAATTCAATTTTAAAATCTCGATTAGCTTATTTTTACAATTCTAGAATTGAGGAACACCTCATTCTATAAAACTGAGTGTTCTGAGAAGCTGAACAGAGGAGCTTGGCTTTATTGACAAAGAAGGTCTAAGGAAAGCAGAAACAGAGGACAAAAAGCAGGTTGGTCGTTTCAAAACTAAAGGCGAAAGCAGAGGGGACTTTCCTGATCGTGCAAGCTAAAACTAGCCTATTTGGAAATTTGGCTATTCTCTCTCTCCTGATTTCTTGGAAGGAAGGTCCAATAAGCAATTTAGTTTAACTTTGTAGCATGGCCTGAGTGACTCCATTTTGGTTTTGTCTATTGGGCCTATTGCAGGAGCTCAGTGCAAACCAATGGTATTCTACAGATTTTATTTAATGAGCAAAAATAGAAAAACTTGCCTTGTCTGAAAACTGATCACTTCGCTAAAACAAGTGACTTTTTTGTTGTTTCTTAGCATTGTTAATTTAAAAGCATATTTCTGATTTCTCAATAGGAAGTACACTTGCAAGACCTTTTGTGGTAACACAGATCCATTGAGAGAATTGTGAATGACTTCTTATTTTTTTTCTACTTGCCACTTTTAAAGTTATTTATCTAATAAAACCATTTTATTATTTCAGGTTTATCTTATATGTTGCAAACATAAATATTTTAATTAAAAGGTAGAAAGCTCAGGATACATTATATTACAATGGTTGAGTTGTAAATGTATCATTTATGATGAATTTTCCTACCTGGACTCCTGGCAAATTCTAATTCACCCTTTCAAGACTGCTTAGATGCTACTCTCTGACCTTCCTTCCCTAATAACTGAAAGTTCTTTAGAAATGTTATTTTTCATCTCCCAAATCTGTAAAAGTATATGAAATACAGTTATTTCTTTCAGGTCGAGGAATATCATCTTCTCAGTGAGGAATATAAAAATGGGCACAGCTCTTTCTGTTGAAGGTTTTGTAACCCTTTTCATGTGGCTTTGTGCAGTTCCGATTTGCCTTTTTCTGCCCATCTCAAACTTGTCCTTTGTCTTAAAAACTCTTCAACGTGTCCCTCTCTTTTACTGTCTAGGTTTCATTCTAAATCATGTGTTTCACTGACATTCCTTTGTCTGCTCATAAATATGGAATTTTTTTTCTCCTCTATTGCCCAGTGCTTGTGAATAGTGGGTTGATAGGCAAACTCTTCTCTTCTCAGTGGACTTTCCAAATTGCTCTCTTAACTGCTGATGGATGGCCTAATCCAATCACTTCTTACTCTTCAATCCTGCTAGGGGTGTTCACTTAAAATCACAAACTACCCCAACCAATGACACCATACAAAAACAAGTTTCTTTATGTATATGTGCACTTGTGTGTGTGAGTGGGCTCATGCAAATGAGTGTTAAGTGTCAAAGAATCTTTGAGCTTCTGAGCCAAAAGATAATCTAGAGATCATTTAGTTCCATCCATCTACTTCACTAAATAGCAAACTGAAGCCCAGAAGCCCACCACAAGTAAAGGAGACCAGATGAGAAGGCAGAACTCTAGGCTCCAAGCTGCGTCACCATGCCCTAGGACTCCCAGGGCAGATCTGTTGAATGTGGGCTTGGTTTTTCGCAAAATGTAGATTTTTTTGAGTCTCTTAAAGAATTGGCCTGGAAAACACTATTCAGTCTGGTATGTGACAGCATCTCTCTTTTGGGTCTGATTCTTATCACTAGAGCTCAAGGAAGTAGAAGGAGATCACTATATATTTCAAATTGTTTACTGATGTCCTGAGCACTGAAGCATTTTGCAGTTCAGAGAAAAGAGACATACACAAAAAATAGGTTCTTAAAAGTAATTCTCAAGTGATTTAAGTTTCATAATTTGATACTCTTTAGGGAAGAGGGAGAACTTTAAAAGACCTTTTACCCTAAGGAACACTCTTTAGTTCCCTTGGTCTTACAATTGATATAGGGGCTTAGAGAGTGAAATTCTTTATGACAGAATTTACCTAGTCATATCTCCAAAGTAAATCCTTGTTATTTGTTTATTTATTTATTTTTCCTCTTCAAGTTCAGTCTTTAATACTAGAAATTTGAGGGCATTTCTTTTTGCTCTTTTTATAATAAATAGAGGTTTTATTCATACCCCCAAAAGACAAAATTAAGCACCGTGTGTGCTACACCCTAGTAATGAGAATACTGTGTTCTTCCTTTGGGACTTCAAGCAAAATGCCTCATGATGAGTCACTTTGGCCCTTCACTGATATCCAGACCTCACTTCTTACCCTTGTTGTCTCTGATATGTGAACGTTACATTCTTTCATTCCTCTGTCACCCCTCCTGATATCTTAAGCCTTCTTCAGAGTGGCAACAGAACATAATGTACTTGCTGTCCTCCACAGTAATTTCCCCCTTAGGTATAGAATCTCATTCCTGCCATTTGAGCAGTGATGAGGGATTTGGGCCACTCCATGGTACGATATTTCACAGGAGGATGCAGAAAAAATGAGTCTCACACCTCATTCTACATAACAGTTGCAGTGGGAACAGAAATGTAGAAGTTAGAGTCTAGGGAAGAAACTCAATTTTAAGTTTGGTAGGTTGCCTTCTGCTAAGGTAAACAGGGCATGAGTCTAAATGTAACCTTACCTTTTTAGATGTACCCCTGAAATGTTTCTGAGGATATTAATGAACATTTCATGAAATAATCTTCAATGTCTTCATTTAGCCACCTCAGAGAAAGTGGGGCTAAAAAGAAATGTCTGTTAAGTTTTTTTTCATATTTTTCCAATGTTCACTAGATGTATAATACATATGTATAAACATAAATACATACATCCATCTGCCCCCAAGTAATCATATGGTTGGTTTGTAATTTGATGCCTTTATGCAGAAAGGAGCTTTTAGAGTGATGGTGTTAGCTATTTTACATCCTAAGGGAAGACACTAGATGAGGGCTGATCCCACAGTTCTTAGTAGCAAACAGCTCACCAGGGGTTTGGAGGCAGACACAGATACAGCAGTCACATATCTTCAATAAGCACTTGACTGTCATTTGGAGTTGTTCTTTTACGGAGATAATGAAATCTGGAGTTGATGGCAAGATTTTCAAAATAACTAGTCCTCAAAAGCAATAATAGAAATTGCCCTTATTGACTGTTAAATAAGCAACTTGTAACTTCTGTATTTTATGTTATATTCTTCATTTCAGTAAACATCTAAAATTGCAGATAAAAATGGGCCTAATATACACAGCAGGCTTCAGGTGATGACAGAGAGGAAGACAGCCAAACACATCTCATCCCTGGTTTGCACTTGGGACTGAAATACCAGCATCACTAAATTCTTCAGGATTCCAACCCCAAGGGTTGCAATGCTTCTTCGGAGGTGATGGAAATCCACTGAATCAATATCTAAGTGAGCTCCTTGGCACAAGACATTCTCTATGTTTCCAAGTAGAATACCTGATGTAAAGGAATGTGGTACATATAACAGCTTTGAAGAGAAAAAAAACAAGGAAAGAGCAAAGTTTTTCTATCTGAAATTACTAGAGTGCCACAGAAGGCCTTGGACAGCTGCTTAGGTTCCTAAAATGGGGTCAAAGGTAGGGCGCCAACATGCATATCTGACCTTGCAATGTTATCCAGGGCTTCTTTTTTGTCATCATGGTCCACATAGAAATTGCTCATATATGAAAAGCACATTGGGATTGAAGAGATCAATATTTCAGCATCCTTGTAGCATGTGTGCTTTTGTATACTAGATAGAAATCTCTACTGTAAGGATAAATTATGAGAAGCTTTGCTTTGGGCAGATGACATTGGCTTCTAAGGTGTGGTTGTTGAATATTGTGATGAATCCCCTGCTGCTGGGTTGGCATTAGGTGTGAACTCATTCAGTTGGAGGGCTTTCATCAGAAAAATTTCTCTATGACTTCATCCTGGTATCAGCGTCTGTCTCCTCCTCCCAAGAGTGTGATAACAGTAGGAGCACAGTTTAAATAGTCAATAAAAACAATGCTTATATTGCTGCAGAGCCTTTTATCATTGAAACCAACTACTAGAGCAGGCATCTTGGCAAGTCTAAGATCTTGGCCAAGAACCCAGTGTGGATTTCAGAACTTTCTTTTTACTGCATAGATTCATTACATTCACTTAAGTTTAACGGGGAATTTATGGCTTCCCATTTTTCACAAATGTTTCCCCATTTAATTTTCATAATAACCATGTATGGTGAATATTATTATTTTGATTATTTTATTATGTTGATGATATACCATATGTGCATTTTCTGTTATTTTGATAAACTTTAGTTAAGTTCCTAATTGAATATATAACACCTGTGTTCAGCAGAACAATGTCCTATTTACCTTGCACTGAAGATGTAACCATCCTAATTCCTAGAAACTGTGGATATGTAAAGGTTTTGTGTGAAAAGGGAGTTAGGGTTGAAGATGGAATCGAGATTGCTAATAAGATGTTAATCCTTTAGGGAGTTTATCCCGGATTATCCACGTGGGACCACTGTAAATGCAAAGAATCTTAAAAGTGGAAGAGTGAGACAGAAGAGGTCAGAATGATGCTATATGAGAAGGACCAGACTTGCTATTGCATGCTGTGAACATGAAGGAATGACATCAAGAGCCAAAGACTGTGGGCAGCCTCTAAAAGCTGAAAAAGGCAAGGAAGCAGATTCTCCTATGGGGCCGCCCAGAAGGAAACATAGTTCCGCTGACACCTTTATTTTAGCTCAGTAAGACAAGTATTGGACTTCTAACCTACAGAATTGTAGGGCAATAAATTTGCATTAAACTACCAAATAAGAGAAAACTAAGAATTAGATTTTCCATACAAGTCAATGGCTTAGGTAATTAAAGTGCAATATTTTGATTGACAGTTTTAATCTTTTAGATGTAAACCTCTTTTATATTTGTGCAATCCTCTATCACATTAAACAGAGTATATCGATCACAATTTGGCTTTCTTAATAATTCTGGAACATAGTTACGAACACAAAGTGTTGGGGCTGCAATAATACAGATGAGCTCTTGATCTGGGAAGAACTTTTAACCATTACACCAAATGAGCCTTGTTCAGTTTTTAGAAAAATAATTGAGTCTTTTTCCTCCTTGTTATTTCTTGCTGCTAGTGATTTATGAGTTTCTACCCGTTACCTCTTAATGCTGCTTATAATATGTTTATAATCAAACTTGCTAAAAAGTATTTACCATTACATTTAATTGAATTAAGAAGATATACTCTAAGTGTCTCCTATGTTTAAAAATTATCTTGGCTTTGCAGAGGATAAAACAGTATAAATGGAACACTTGTTAGTATATAAGTACATATTTAATATTCACTTATATATATATATACACACACAATAAATGGGAGACTAATAAATGCGTAATTTTTGTAGGCCATCTTTGTGTCTGACCTAAAGCAGAAAATACTGTATTTTAAAAGAATAAGCTTGAGGTGAGGCCTGATGGGTGGTTCTCTCCTTCAATCTTCAGGTACATAGATTTTATGACTGGTATTATCCTGCCTTCTTGACAATTGTTTAATGTTAAAGATTTTTCAGATGGGTTTTGTGAGGAAGAAGTTACCAGGAATCTGTCAGAATAAGAGTCATATCCTAGTTCAAACTTCCTTTACTCAAATCCTCCTTTACTAAATTTACAGATTCCATGAGTCTGTAGAGCTTATTTGCACACCACATTCATATTTAGTGATTTCACGCTCAATTCTTTTGAAGGCCAGCCCAGGCAGAGTGGATCCTGAACCTTGACTAATCATCTTGCAGGTACAAATATTTGGGTAGCAAGTTGCTGGGAAGGTGGGAAACTAGGCAAGAGAGCACAGGCAGAATACATTAAATCTTGACTGCTAGGGAAAAGAGAGTCCATCCAACAGAGTGTCATCTTTGCCAAAGGCATCATCTTTCCATGTAAGTGTTGGGTCATCCCTCTCTTCATCAATGTTTTAAGCTTTGTCTGCAGCAAATGTAATATTCTAATAATGTATCCATGCTTTCTATATAAATGTAGGATGAGTCTGTCTTTTTAAAATTGACAACACTAACTCCAGCAGGGCATGATGGCTGACACTTGTAATCCCAGCAATTTGGGAGGCCAAGGTGGAAGGATCACTTGAGGCCAGGAATTCAAGATCAGCTTGAAAAACCTAGTAAGACCCTCCTCTGTACAAAAAAAAGTTTTTAAGAAAATTAGCAGTGTGTGATGGCACACCTGTAGTTTCAGCTGCTTGGGAGGCTGAGGCGGGAGGGTGACTTGAGCCCAGAAGATGGAGTCTGCAGTGAGCCATGATAGTGCCACTGCGCTCTAGCCTGGGCAACAGAGTAAGATCCTGTCTAAATAAATAAATAAATAATAAAATTGACAATGCTAACCTGAAAATATCACCCAACATTACGAATGACTCTGAGTTTGCAATGGAAATAAAACCTATATTCTGAAAGTGCATGGAAGCCCCTTGTATAGATAAGTACTTTTCAAACTGGATTCCTTAAAATTCTAGGATTAAAAATTATATCCAAATGAAATATAGCGTTTAGCTTAGAATATTATTTTATTGTCTCTACAACCCCCCTGTATCTATATATTGGTTAATTTTGTTGTTGTTGTTGTTGAAACGGAATCTCGCCGTCACCCAGGCTGGAGTGCAGTGGCGCTATCTCAGCTCACTGCAAGCTCCGCCTCCTGGGTTCATGCCCTTCTCCTGCCTCAGCCTCCTGAGTAGCTGGGATTACAGGTGCCCACCACCACACCCGGCTAATTCTTTTGTATTATTAGTAGAAACAGGGTTTAACCATGTTAGCCAGGATGGTCTCGATCTCCTGACCTCATGATCCGCCCGCCTTGGCCTCCCAAAGTGCTGGGATTACAGGCGTGAGCCACTGCACCTGGCCTATATTGGTTAATTTTTTAGGGCATAAAAACAATGCAAAATATTCTATAGTCTCTAAGTTTCAAAAACACTGGTATTGAAATAACTGCTGGACTTACTTCTTTGTTAAACCTGGCAAAGTGGGGATTTACAGAAGTAACTTTCTGCCTCAGATTTCTCTAAAATGTACATGAACAGAAAAACCAAAAGAAGATATTGAACACTCTCCTTTCCCTAATCAAGATGGCCTAAGCATAAAAGGCTATTTGAGTCTCTGGATTTATTTTAAGCACTAATATTTAGAAGTAAAGAATAAAAGGAGGAAGAGAAAAAGAAAAAGCAGAGGAGGGAGAAAGATAGTAGTTCTTGAAATGACCAGCTGACCTTTTTTGCATGAGAGGCAGTGTAATATATATGTTAAGATATATACGTTAAGAGGAAGACTTCGGAGGCAGACTCTTAGGTTCAACACCATGTTTCTACCACTTATAAGTAGTCTTTGTTATGTTAGTTAACTTAATAACCTTGGTCAAGTTAGTTTATATTTCTGTGTCTCAGTTTCCTCGTCTATAAGATGCAACTAATTATAACATACTTTTCATGGTGTTGTGAAAATTCAACAAGTTAATACATATAAGGTCCTATTACTGCAAATAGCAGCTTAAAACAACACTCATGTATTATGTGTTTCTGTAGATCAGAAATCTGAGCATGGCATTGCTCGGTTGGTTCTCTGCTTAGAGTTTCACAAGACAAAAATCAAGGTGTTGGCAGGACTGCAATCCTGTCTAGAAGCTCTGCAGATGAATCATTTTTCAAGCCCATTCAGATTGTGGCAAATCAGTTCCATGCAGTTGGAGGACTCAGGTCTTTGTGTCCTTGCTGACTGTCTTCCAGGGGCCATTCTCAGCTTCCAGAGGCCACCTGTATTCCTTGGTTAGTGCCCCCATGATCTTCAAAGCCAGTAATGGCAGGTCAAGTTTTTCTTATGCTTCCAATTTCTCTGACCTCCTCTCCTGCATGAACTTTTTTTTTTCTTTTTTTCTCTCTCTCTCACTCTTCTACCTTCCTTTTTAGATTTTATGGTCTCACGTGATAACATAGGGCCCAATGGATAATCCAGGACACTCCCCCTATTTTAAGATCACCTGCCTTAATTTCATCAGCAAAATCACTTCACAGTAGTAATTAGTTTAGTGTTTGATTAAAGACAAATTCTGCCCAATGGTGAATTAATTATTGTTTAAGACAAAGTTTTAATGGACCTTTGTAGTTTTATGACAATAGGCCCATGTCTTAATGTGGAACTGGAGTCATTGAGATAAAGAATTGATTTTTCCACATCATAAAGTAACCAAAATATTTTGTTTTCCCTTAGCTGATGAAAGAAAGGATAAATTTTAAGCCTATGGAATTAAGAGAGGATAACAGATAAGAAAAAGCCTTAAGATAGAGTGGTAGTGGGGTCTTCAACATCAAGGAAGAAGGAAGTCCATGAGAAAATCCCCCTGGTGGAGATGGCCAGGGAACTTTAAGAAGTGTCAAGGCTGAGGAATGCTTTTACACTGTTGGTAGGAATGTAAATTAGTTCAACCATTGTGGAAGACAGTGTGGCATTTCCTCAAGGATCTAGTACCAGAAAGACCATTTGACCCAGGAATTCCACTACTGAGTATATACCCAAAGGAATATAAATCGTTCTATTATAAAGATACATGCACATGTTTGTTTATTGCAGCACTATTCACAATAACAAAGACATGAAATCAACCCAAATGCCCATCAATGATGGATTGGATAAAGAAACTGTGGTACATATACATCATGGAATACTATGCAGCCATAAAAAGGAATGAGATCATGTCCATTGCAAGGTCATGGATGAAGCTGGAAGCCATCATCTTCAGCAAACTAACACAGGAACAGAAAATCAAACACTGCATGTTCTTGTTCATACATGGGAGCTGAACAATGAGAATACATGGACCCAGGGAGGGGAACAACACACACTGAGGCCTGTTGTGGGGGCAGGGGAGGGAGAACATCAGGGTAAATAGCTAATGCATGTGGGGCTTAATACCTAGGTGATGGGTTGGTAGGTGCAGCAAACCACCATGGCATAAGTTTACCCATGTAACAAACCCGGATGTCCTGCACATGTATCCCAAAACTTAAAACTAAAAAAAATAAAATTAAAAAAAAAAAATGAAACCATGATGATAAGTCCCCCAATGAAAAAAAAAAAAAAAAAAGAAATGTGAAGGCTGGTTTGTAATTTTTAGCAATTACCAATTCTGTGTTTTCCCACTGTAAATTCCCAAACTTTCAGGTAAATGCATTGCTCACAATTTACATTAATGGTGCTTTGGATAAAGCAGAAGCAATAATGGTATCTGCAGCTGGAGCAGACCAGTGTGGAGAAGGGAGAGACATCTAAAGAGGAGAGAGAGTAAGTCAGGAGAGAGCATTATAGAGGAAGCAATAATTCGGAGCTGCATATCACCAGATAGATGTAATACCCAGCCTCATTATCCCTCAGAAATATTGCAAAGGGCACTAGACTCTTCATGTCAGTGAAATGAGGAATACAGTCAGTTTCATTCATACAAGAAACATTTACTGAACACCACCCTGTGCCAGGCATGTTCCCAGGCACTGGAAATACTGCACTGAACGAAGCAGATGAGGAGCTGCTTTCATAAAGCTTGCATTCTAGTGGGAAGAGACAGACGAGAAATAAACAGGATAATTTAAGAGAATGACACATGGTGCAAAGTGAAAAAAAAAAAACAGAGAGATAAATAGAATGTGACTGGGAAAGCTTTTTATTTAATATGATCAAGTAAAGTACATCTAAGCTTCCTCCTTCCTAAACTTAAGTTTAAATTTCAGTAATTGTGATAGTTTTTAAATATGTTCATAAATTCTTCTACATTCCTTCCTCCAAAAGATAAAAACTAATTCTCTTCCTTTTAGTGTGGGAAGGACTTCCTAATTCACTTCTAATGGAGAGAATATAGTGAAAGCATGACTAGGTCATAAAAGGCATTGTGGCTTCTTCTCTAACTCTGATTATTCACCCTGGGGGACACTTAGCTGTCATGTTGGGAAGACACTCAAACAACTTTGGGGAGAAGGCTTTGTGGTAAGAAACTAAGACCTTTTGCCAAAATTGAGCAAAACTGAAGCCTCCAGCCAGCAGCTACATATGTGATCCATCTTGGAGGTAGATCTTTAAGCCCCAGTCAAGCCTTCAGATGCCTGCAACCCTCACTGACATCTTGACTTCACCTTCATGAGAGACCTCAAGCCAGAATCACTCAACAAAGTTGTTCCCAAATTTCTGACCCCCACCCCTGCCCAAATACAATAAAATTTATTGTGTCATACTACTAGATTTTGAATAATTTGTCACAGAGTAATAGATAACATGCACTGATATGTAGAATACATGGACAAAAACCAATTTCCAAGCACAAGGAAAGACAAGTTCAAAGGCTCTTGAAATGGCTACAAGTTTAGCAAATTTGAGACATTGAAATGAGGCCTAGAGGTGGAAGAAAAGATGTCAAGTCACGCTGGGGAGAAGGGTTGTGGTGAAGAACTTGGGTTTTATTCTAAGAGAAGAGAATGGAGGTAATTAAGAAGAGACACAACGTGTCAAAGAGCAAAGATTACTTAACTACTGTGTTAAAAATAGATTGAGCGGAGGTAAAAGGGTGGCAAGAGCGGACAAGAGGAGATCATGAGGAAGGACGCTGTGTCAGAGAGCATTTAGAGGAAACAATAATTCAGAGCTGTATATCATCAGATGGATGTAATACCTAGCCTGATTGTCCCTCAGAAATATTGCAAAGGGCTTAAAGGAAAGTCTGTCTCCTTCCACTAGAATGTAAGCTTTGTGAGAGCAGCTCCTCATCTGCCTCATTGAATGCAGTATTTCCACTGAGGTGGTAGCAGTGGAATTGGAAAGAAGGGGAGGGAATCAGGATATACTTTGGAGGCAGAACATTTGGTTCATATATTAAAGGAAAGGGCTATGATAGTATGTTGGCTAAATATTCAGGTTATTTAAGTAATCTAATAGGAGAGCTATAAGCTGATATAAGTCACAGTAACACGTGACAAATGACCCTAAATATCATAGAAGAGGTAGATGTAGTGTAGAGATATGAGGCTTTCTAGTCTTGGCAACATTTGAACCAAGACTGATTGTCTGGCCTTAGTATCAGAAGCCTAAAATCAGGTCCCAGACAAAGCTGTGGGAAGCTCAATTCCTTATTACTCAGTCTCTCAGGATATCCTTTCTCCTACTGTCCTAAGTACTGGCCTCTGACTCTGGAGTGACCTCTTAGGCAGGACAGGTTGAGGTACATCTCTGCCTTTCTCTAGGCTCAGTCATGTACACCTATAACTTGTGAATTTTTCTAGAAAAAGTTGGAAAGCCCATAGGATGATTTATAAATGAATCTTGAATTAATTTATCCTGGGCTTAAAAATTTGAAATGATGCGGCCGGGCAATGTGGCTCATGCCTGTAATTCCAGCACTTTGGGAGGCTGAGGCGGGCGGATCACAAGGTCAGGAGACCGAGACTATCCTGGCTAACAAGGTGAAAACCCATCTCTACTAAAAATACAAAAAATTAGCTAGGCATGGTGGCGGGTGCCTGTAATCCCAGCTACTTGGGAGGCTGAGGCAGGAGAATGGCGTGAACCCGGGAGGCGGAGCTTGCAGTGAGCCGAGATCACCCCACTGCACTCCAGCCTGGGCGACAGAGCGAGACTCCATCTCAAAAAACAAAACAAAACAAAACAAAAACAAAACAAAAAAATGGAAATGATGCAATCTTAAGCCTAAGAAAATCTGAAAAACATATAGGATGTCGTTCACTTAAGCAAAACACATTACATACATTGAATTTCAATTTATTTCAGAGTTTTAATTCTTTGAATCAGGAAAGGATCCAGATATTGAGATAATACTACAAGATACTTTGACCCAGACATCTGGCTACAAATATCAGATGCCAAGTTTTCTGAATTCAAGAGACATTTTTAAATCAAATGCCAACATTTATCATTCAAATACAATTTTCAAGATAGGAATGCCTATAGATGAAGTGTGACATTTTCTTTAAACATGAACTCTTTATTTACATCTAGAAATTCTTTGACTTCTATATGAAACCGGGACTGCTTATTTGTCTTTTTATTCCCTTGAACGTCACAGTTTCAGGCCCAACTTCTAGGATGATAAGGAACCTAATCAAAGTAGGTAAGTCACCTTTTTTCACTGTATTAAGAACACAAAAGCAATTGGTAGCATTTATAATTTTTATACGTTAAAATTATTCTACCTAATAGCCAGAAAAAAAGTGTTTTTTTAAAAAATTTTACTTCTACAAATAACAATAGTAGAAAGTGATCCTAAGAGAGAAAACTTGGATGTCCTTTCTAAATGTCTTTAAAATAAGCTTAGATTGATTTTTTAAAACATAAACAAAAATCAAATATTTTGCCCTACAACAGGACTCTTCAACAAATTGATATTCACAGAGAGTGCTTTGCTGTGCTCTGAGAATTTTAAATAAGTAATTAACTTAGTGAAGTCAGTATACATGTGGAAAATAACAACCAATGTCCAGAAGGTGATTCAAATACTGAGCACCTGTTGACTGAGTTGTTTCTAAGCCTCTTGACCAGAAAAGCTCAATTTTGGCTGCACATTAGAATCACCTAGGATCTCCGAAATATGCTGAATCCTGGGCCATAACCCAGACCAATTAAAGCAGAATCTTTGGAGGAGGGACCCAGTAATCCTTGCTCTTGTGGCTCTCCAAGTGACCTTGAGGGGCAGCCAAGATTGAACCACTGCTGCATGCATGATCAATGAAATGATTTGTTACCATCAGGATTACTTAGGTGTCTTCTGAATGTACAGGAATCCTTTAGAGAACTGGAATTTAGAACTCTCTATGTGAGAAGGTCATTCTGTAAAGGGCAGAAGGAAGTTGGTACCATACATGCTTACTGTCAGTAATCAGGTGTGTGCCACGTGATTGCTTTGAAGAACTGAACAAAAACAACTCACCACTGCCTGAGCAAAGCTGATTCTCAACAGGTCAAAATTGCTTACCTATTATATTGTGCCTCTTAACTAAAAATAAGGCAGGACCTTGTCCTTCTAAGGACAAGGAAGGAGGAAGCTTAGTAATTACTTCACCTGTTCCACCATGTGCCAAGACACCTTTGAATCACAGTAAGTGGGTGAATAAACACCAAGACACTCAGGAACTTGGCTTCCATACAAATCTTGAGGCTTCTGTAAACTTGTAATCATGGGACAATAGGGGGAGAATGGGATTGTTTCTAAATTGGGGAGGGGAGGATCCAATCCTAACAGGAAAACCCCTCCCCTCCCTTCCCCTTCCTTCCCCTCCCCTCCCGCCTGTTTACATCTGAAGAACTACATATGGATAAGAAATGAAAGCCTCCTTTCCAAAAGAATAATTAAGAAGTATCTGAGGATAAAGGTTACAACCCCATTTCCTGTTTTTCTACAGTAATCCAAATTAGGCTATGCTAATTGAGTAAATACAGATCAACAAATGAACAAGGGAATTTACTTCCCCCCTACACCAGCAATGATTATATCTTTTGGCCTTTGCTCTATAACTACCCAATGCCTTCAAAATTATTATTCAGGGAGCACAGGTTAGTAGAGGGTTTTGCGTGACTGAAACTGGTAAACATCTGGGAATCCAGGTGCTCGACATTTAAATTCTCTGGCACAGAAGTGTTCCTTCATTATATGAAACTGTCACATTATTATTTTGCCTAATGATACCATCATTATCATATTCATTTGAGTGACAAAATGCCAGATTCATGCCTGTCAATTTTTTGCTGTGTCTTTCCAAATCAAAGAGCTTTTTCTTTTAAAAATCTATCAAATTAGCACAGTAGGCTCAGGCAGCAGACAGTAGAGTTTCAGTAATGATATTCAAAAATTATATGCCATTTTAGTCCATCCAAGTAGTTTATGCATTAAATCTAGTATTGGCAAGATTTAGCCATTTAAAGTTGAATTGTTCTGAATTTAATTATGTGTATCAAGGCAAATATTTAAGCATGAGATTTTCCATCACAAAAAGTGATAAGAAAAAAATAAGCAATTTAGAGAAGAATAAAAAGAAATATTATTATTTTATTAAGCTGCTAATCCATATAATTCCAATTTATTTGAATGCATTAAAAGAATGTGCTTGATTTTCATGCATTTAAAAATGGTGTTTTGTCTGTACATAAAGCAAGTATAATTAGTGGAAATTACATGAAAAATAGTTATAGATGTTGAAAAGTCTCTCATAATTTAACAAATGATTTGGGAGACAGTAAAAAAAAGCAAACCTAAAGGCAAGATACATTACTTGTTAGGGGTTTGGAGTCTAGATTCAAATTACATTAGTTTAAATCTTGGCTTCTACTTACATATGAACTTGACAAGTTACTTAGCCTTACTTCAATCCCATCTAACTCATACATTTGTTGTGAGGCTAGAAATAGACAATGTGTGCAGCACATAGTAAGTGCTCAATACTGGTTAGCTAGTAATAACAGGGATTATTATATATTATACATTACATTTTCTTGTATGATACTATATTGTTATATTATAAAGTAACTATTTCCAGTTGTAAGACTGGTAGATAAGAGGAATGAGTAGACAAAAGGTACCTAGATTTCAGTTAACATTTGACAGATATTTTAATAATATTTATGTGAATAAACCAAAATTTTCAGGATAGTACAGCATGATGAACTTATAACTAGATTATTAACTCTTAGATAACTAGTTAATATCAATGAAACTGACATTACTAGACAGGATCTGCTTAGCTCAACTAAAGATACCATCCAACCTCCCATCTAGACACAAGTAGAAACCTCTTGGGCTGTTGAGTTGCTTACCATTTTTTCACCACTTCTCTCCCCCAGCCATTAACTCAGAACATTTTATTGGTTACATCTCTTCAAAACCTCTCTGAAATCTTCCTTCTTCCCTCATTCTCCTCTCCTGCCTCAATCTCTGCTCTTCCCCCATTCTCCTGCTCAAGTGATCTCACATTTCTGGCTGAAGAGCTCTCTGACTTTCCTAACACAGTTGCCTCTCAGTCTTCCCTTCAGTCCATAGAAAGCCTTTATCTTTTCCCCAATTACAAATGGCTGACAAATATAATTCTAGCACAAGAATTAGTTAAATGATATTTTGATCATAGTTTTACTGAATTCTAAGGTTATTAATTTTCTGCATCTTGGTTAAATGTAGTATATGCTGTTAAATCCTCTTATTTTCCCCAAATCTAACAGAAAAAACAACATATATGGGGAAGTCCTAGCTGCTAATGATTCCATAGCTCACTGTGAGTTATCACAGTGAGACATATTACACCATCATGAAAACAAATGCACTGGGTTATTGCTATGTATTCAAGAGGAGATTGCAAGACTGATGAAGACTAAGGTAGATGCCATGTCAGTTAAAAGGCTCATTGTAGGGTCTGACTGCTTCATTCAAATCTGTTCTCTGTGGAGCCCTTGGGAAAGCTATTCACTGTTTTTACTAGAGAGACTATGGGAGCATCCATGTAAAATGCTTAGCACAGTGTGTGATTTTTTTTTTTTGTTTTTGAGACTGAGTCTCACTCTGTAGTCCAGGCTAGAGTGCAGAGGTGCGATCTCAGCTCACTGCAAGCTCCACCTCCCTGCTTCATGCCATTCTCCTGCCTCAGCCTCCCGAGTAGCTGGGACTACAGGTGCCCGCCACCATGCCTGGCTAGTTTTTTTTTTTTTGTATTTTTAGTAGAGATGGGGTTTCACCTTGTTAACCAGGATGGTCTCGATCTCCTGACCTCGTGATCCACCCGCCTCGGCCTCTCAAAGTGCTGGGATTACAGACGTGAGCCACTGCACCCGGCCAGTGCTTGTTATATTTTTAGCATCCTATAACTGGTAGATCAAAATGATGATCCTCTTCTGTGTCTCTGGGAGTGTGTGTTTGTGTGTGTGCACTTTAATTTCCCTTTCAAAGTTGATCTCCAAGGCAATTGCAAAGAAAAGATAAAACAGAAGAGGAGACAGGTAATTTTAAAGGGGTAGGATGTTACATATAAAGGCTTATAAAATCTAATTGCTATTGTAAAGACTTCCTGAAATTTTCCATTCATAGTTTATATTTATCCATTTACTTAAAATATTTTTAACAAATATTTATGGAGTATTTATTATGTCTGCTGTCCCATACAATAGAGGTGCTTCAGTGAACAAAGCAGAGTTCTTTTCCTGGACTGTGTCTTAGAAGAGGAAGATGAGCAATAAATAAAGTAATAAATATACAGTGTACCAGATGTGACACACGTAACAAAGAAAAGTAAAATGAAATAGAGGGCATGGGGAGTGTGGAATTTATTATTATTATTTTATGAAGACTGTGGGTCTCCTGCCTTGCTGACCTTCATTAGTTCCATAAGAGGATCAGACTAATCTGCGGATAACTGGATATTTCAAAACAATCAGCTGAGACTGAGCTAAAAAAAAAAAAGGACGAGGCTATCAGAGGGTGCACAGAGCAGACCCATAATTTTTTTGCATGAGGAAATTCTGAAAGTATAGCACTGTACAGATGTAATATGAAGAGGCGCTAAAGGGTATCAAAATAATAGAGCTAGGCAGGAATTTAGAGATGTAAATTGGATACTGTAATCTAGGACTTCCTAACACAAAGTTACTTTTCTAGTAAGAAGATCTGAAAAGACAAAATAAACAAAAGCCAACTTCAAGTTAGCATCATAATAGACATTTAAGAATTGCATTTGGTAACAATATGAAAGAATTCCTTTATTTTATATAGACTGATTTGATGAAGTCTTACTGTTAAGGTCTGTCTTAGTTTGTTTTCTGTTGCTTAAACAGAATACCTGAAACAGTATTTTATAAATAAAAAGAACTTATTTCTTACAGTTATGGAGACTGAGAAGTCTAAGATCAAGGGGTCACATCTTGTGAGAGCCTTCTTGCTGGAGACTCTACGGAGACCCAAGGCCTCACAGGACATTTCATGGTGGGGCGGATGAGTGTGCTAACATTCTAACTCAGGACTCCACTTTTTCTTATAAAGCTTCCAGTTCCACTCCCATGATAACCAATTAACCCATCAACCCATTAATTCATTAATTCATAAATGATTTAATCTACTCATGAGGGCAGAGTCCTCATGATCCAACCACCTCTTAAAGGCCCCACCTCTCAATACTGCCGTATTGGGGATTAACTTTCAACATGAGTTTTGGGGAGGACATTTAAATCATAGCATCCTGCTTCTAGCCCCCCAAAACAAAAAATTTTCTCATATACAAATACATTCATTCCATTGCCATAGTCATAGAGTTTTAATTCATTCTAGCACCAACTCAAAAGTCCAAAATCCAGAGTTCCATCTGTGAGCCCTAACATTACAAAAAAATTATCAACTTTCAAGATACAGTGGTGGTATACAGGCAAAGGGTAAGACATACCCATTCAGAAGGAGAGACGTAGGCCAACGGAAAGAGAGATCACACCCAAGAAAGTCCAAAACCCAGCAGGGCAGGCATTACATCTTAAAGCTAGAGAATAATCATTTTTTTTACTTTATGTGCCACCTCCTGGACATATTGGAGTTGGTGTTGTGCCCCCAGGGCCTCCGGCAGCACAGCTCTTATGGCTTTGCTGAGTGAAGCCCGCATGGCTGATCCCATGGGCTAGAGTTAAGTACCTGAAGTTTTCTTAGGCAGGCATTGCATGCTGCCTATGAGTTCACAGATTTGGGCTCCCAGTGGCTGTCCCACACCTACAGCTATACTAGGCATTGCCCCAGTGGGGACTCGGCAATGGCCTCATTCCCACAGTTCTGCCAGGAATTGCCCAGGTGAGGACTATATGGCAGCTTCAACCCCACATTTCTGCTTGGCATTACTCTAGCAGGGGCTCTCTTCAGTGGCTCTGCTTCTGCAACAAGTCTGCCTGGGACCCCAGGCTTTCCATGATATTTTGAAATCTGGGTGGAGGCTGCCATACCTCTATAGCTCTTGCTTTCTGTAAGCCTGCAGAATTGGCACCACATGTACATTATCAAGGTTCATAATTTGTTCTTTCTGGAGCTGTACCTAAGACCCCTTGAACCATGGCTGGGATGGCCACAGAGCACTGTGCTGGGTTTCAGTGAGAAGGGTCTCAAGATGATCTTGGACAGTGAGGTCATTGAGAGCACTCCAGGTCTGTTTCTTGAAATCATTCTGCTCCCCCTAGACCTCTGGGCTTAATGATAGGAGGGGCAGCCTCAAAGATTTCTGAAATGCCTTTGTGGTCTTTCTTCTATTGTCTTGAAGACTATCACCTGGCTCCCTTCTTTCCATGCTGATCTCTTTAGCAAATGGTCACTGGACTACACCCTTAGTTTCCTCTCCTGAACATACTTTTTCACTCTTTATGTGACAAGGCTGAGTTTGCCAAATTTTTCTGCTTTGCTTCCATGTTAAGTATAAGCTCTGCTTTCAAATTGTTCCTTTGGACACAGTTCAGCCAATTTATTTGCCACTTTACAACAAGGATAGCCTTTGCTCCAGTTTTCAATATCTTGTTCTTCACTTCCATCTGAAACCTCCTTAGAATGGCTTTTACTGTCCATATTTCTATAAGCATTCTAGTCATGACCACTTAACGAATATCTAAAAAGTTTCAAACTTTCCCCAGTCTTGTCTTCTAAGCCCTCATGATAATCTAGGCCTTTTCTAGCCTGCTGCTCCAAATTCTTTCAGCCTCTGCTCATTGTCCAGAGTGCCCAAAGCCACTTCTACATCTTCTGTAGGAAGATAATTCCAGGCAGAGGAGCAGCAAGTGCAGTGTCACAAAGACCAGAACATATTTGGATTGTTTGGTGAACAGGAAGAAAGCCCATGAAGAAGATAAAATCAGAGTAGTGGGCGCTGTGAGGTGGCCAGAACACATATGTAAAGACTTTGGCTTTTATTCTGAGTGAAAGTGGGAAGCCACTGGTAGGTTTTTGAGTGGAGGAGTGACATGTTCTGACAGATGTTTTAAAAGTGTCTCTCCAGTCACACTGTAAAGAATAGGCTGAAGGGAGTTGGAGGTCTGGGCAAGAGTGGAAGTAGAGAGCTTCTAAGGAGGTAACTACAAAACTCCAGTCACAGTTGAAGGTGGCTTGGACCAGCATGAGGACTATACAAGTGGTGAAAAGTGGTCAGATTCTGGATCTGAAGGTAGAGCTGACAGGTTTTACTGATGGATTAGCATTTGACAGACTACAAAACATGGTTTTGTACATTAATGCATTGTTTCATTTAACTCTCCCAATGATGGTAAGTAGTGGTTGTGACACTTACTTTGTAAAAGAAAGAATTGGTGATCTAAGACCCTAGTGTGGGTATAGGGTCTAACTGCCTTAACAGGGTAGGAGTGGAGCCTCACAGCTGGGTGTTATTATTCCCAGCCGTCCCCTCCTTTTAGGAGCCTCTCTCTCCAAGAGCTCTTTTAAATCCATTTTTATCCCATGCAACAGCTTTTTAAGGTCATAACAAACACCTTAGTTCAACTCACAGTGACATCATATTATATACCCATTCCATTATCCTTTGAGGAATTTTCTAGACTTCTTACACACTAGCTTCATAGTATCCTGGGGAGAAAATTCAAACTGCTTGAGATGGCTCACCAGCATTTTCCTCATTTAGTAACAGGCAATTTCTGCAGTTTCATTTCTGGCTAGACTTCCTAACTTTACCAGATACCTGTAACAAACACACACACTAATCTGTTATACTCACAAATTTGCCTTAACCTTATTAGGTGTATGTTTCAGGTTCACACAAAAACTCAAGTATGTATTTTCTAATCTGGAAAAATAAAAAGAACAAAATATGGCAATGGACCAAAACAGAAACTACCAAATCGTTCTCTCAGAAAATAGCTATTAAAAACTCAGATATTCCAAAAATGTCCTTTTTGATGTTGTCTTTGTCTTCTCAATATAAAATAACTTTTGCTTTGTATATTTAAAGCATCTCTAGAACAGGGCTGGTGGGGAAGAGACACGGAGTCAGAGATTTTTAAGCAGGCAAGTTATTTCCTTGAGCATAATTAAACAGCATGATGCTGATTTTTCTCCTCACTCATGGTTGAGGAATAATGAAAATTAACACATCTTTATTGAGATCAAACATAAAATGATTCCAACTTAGTACCTTATAAAGTCAATTTCCATCCCTGGGATAAACAGGCCCTCAAAGGCCTGTGAATGAAAACTCAGATATGATCTTTGGCAATTTTGTTCACTTTAGGCCCTACTTGCTCTTTTATAAAAGCAAGCACAGTATGGGAGGGGTAATTTTTTTGTCTCCAGACAACTTTTCAGCTCTTTCTATGATTCCGAAGCTCTAGTGCACCATGAAGGGAGCCCCAGAAAGCTACTGTCAGGCTTGGATTTTGGCATGCAGGAAACCATTCTCCCTGAACTCTCTTGGAACCAATATAAGGCAATTTGGGTGGATTGATTTCATCAGGAATTAGGCTATAATGTATTTTAGTATCTGTACCCCCAGGGAGAGTAGAAGTATGTCTCAGCTCCTGATGGTTATTATCTATGTGGATGATTCTCCAATTTTTTCTTTTCCTCTTCTGTAAAATAATGAGTCTGAGTGGTTGGCTTGAAGTTATATGGAAGGATTGCACAGAAGCTTCTTGATCATTCAAGTCTTGATGTGGTTCCTAAGCATAATTAAATAGACTCTGTTGTTCTAGTACTCTGTTTTTGTTAGTCTATACATACATAAGTCACTTTTGAAAAATCAAGTCTACATTAGAATCAACCAGTGAAAAATGTTTTAATCTCAGTAGTTCTATAATAATGATTCTAAAAGGAAAATACAACTGTGAGCTTCTGGGACAAATCCAATAGAGTACTAATTTTAAAATGTATAAAATTAATAGATAATGGAGATATGGTCAATGAATTATTGAATAAAACAACTATTTCTTACTCTGTAGTAATCATTTGCTGTAGATTCCATTTATTTGTTTCTCTGTGTTAATAGTCTCATGAAAATGTAGACATTCCTGAGTAAGGTAAACATATTAGGTTATTATCAATCACAGTAATTGTGGTAGGTTAAATTATGTTCAAAAATATTTATATACTGGGGTTGGCATGTGATTTGCTTGAGATTAATGGTGGGCAGGATATAATTCCCTTGACTTTGGGCTCAGCTTTGTGCCTTGCTTTGGCCAGAGGAATGTTAAAAGATGTGAAATGTGATTGTATGATTGGCCTTGATCTCTTACATTGCCATACTTTCCCAAGGAAGCTGCTGTCCCTTCAGTCTTGACTCTATAATGACATAAATGCAGAATACCAGAGCTCAAGCAGCATAATGTCTGGTCTAGGCCAGTCTATCTTCAGCTGACCAGTATACACGTCAGCATCTGTTTTAAGTCAATATGTTTCTGGCTAGTTTTTATATACTAGCTAGCTAATAAAACAGGCACTTATTGGTTAAAGGTGCTATACATTCATTATCTCATTTAATTCTTAACTCCTACCTTTGGGCTAGTTATTAATATCCACATTTTAAAGGAAGATATAGCTAATGTCAGAACCTAGATGTGAACACTGCCTTTTATGACTCCCAAGCCAACACTCTTAAATCATTTCAAGAGCATGATTTTAGTATAAAATTATTCATTAAAATTAATAGGAAGTTTGAAACTGTCTGGCTCCAGTATTCATGGCTGGCCTTTTACCATCCTTTTGATTTCAAAATGGTTTGTCTGACTTCCTTGAAGCATCCTTCTATTATTTTCACTCTTGCCTCCTTGTATGTTTCTTCAGAGCATTACCACAGTTTGTAATTATTTTACTTACTTGCTTTCTGTGCATGTCCCTTACCAAATGCAATTCCACTAGAGTAGGGGTATTTTGCTTACTGTTGTATCCTGAATATCTAGCGCAGTGTCTGGCACATAGTAGGTTCTCAATAAAGATTTGTAGAATGGATAAATGAACAAATGAGTGAGAAGGACAGGGTTGTAAAGAATAGACTGATGAGTGGGGACAGCAAACCCATGCTGGAATTGGTGAAACAGAACTCGAGTAGCTAGAGTTAGAGTCAGGGTTTGAGGAGCCCACAGCATATGAGGGAGGGCTGCAGACATAATTGGAGGGAAATCAGAGGTAAACTTTGCCCACTTCACAACTATATATGGAGCTTGCCAGGGTGCTCAAGGTTTTTATTTTCTTGAGAAACATAAAACCAAAATATATACAATAGAAAACACATACTAATGTAGGTATGGAGCCTTTTTGATTTGAAATCTATCTTTTGTATTTTTTAGAGTTAGAAAAAAAAGTTAACAAAAGAAACAAAAAGGCAAAGAAATCTCACAGTAAGTCACGCAAAGGGAGCAGAGGGTTACCCCAAACAAGACTTTCAGTGAACTGTTTTCTCTGCTGCATTCACACAGCATCCTCATGAATCTCAGGAAAGGAGGTCAGGCTGGAGGCTAGAATATTAATGAGTCTCACTGGTAATTTTCCACGGGGAAGAAATAATACATCTTACAGATGAGAAGTCAAAAAAGGTCTTAACAAGATGAAGTTGTGACTAGGTTCTGGGAGAGTTGGTTTCATGCAGGAGTAGTGCAATAGCTTTAGGACCTTTTTTTTTTCTTTTGAGATGGAGTTTTGCTCTTGTTGCCCAGGCTGGAGCGCAATGGCGTGATCTCGGCTCATGGCAACCTCCGCCTCCCAGATTCGAGTGATTCTCCTGCCTCAGCCTCCTGAGTAGCTGGGATTACAGGCATGTGCCACCATGCCCGGTTAATTTTGTATTTTTAGTAGAGACGGGGTTTCTCCACGTTGGTCAGGCTGGTCTCAAACTCCCAACATCAGGTGATCTGCCTGCCTTGGCCTCCCAAAGCACTGGGATTACAGATGTGAGCCACCATGCCTGGCCCAGGATAGACTTTTAAATCTGACTGTGTAAGGATATAAAAAAATGGATACTCAAGTATTACATTTTAAACTAAACCTTGCTTCTTGATATGGTTTGGCTGTGTCCCCCACCAAATCTCATCTTGAATTATAGTTCCCATAATCCCCACATGTCATGGAAGGGACCTGGTGGAAGGTAATTGAATCATGGGGGCAGTTACCCTCATGCTGTTCTCGTGATAGTGAGTGAATTCTCGTGAGAGCTGATGGTTTTATAAGGAGCTTTTTCCCCTTTTGCTCAGTGCTTCTCTTTCCTGTCATCATGTGAAAGAGGACATATTTGCTTCCCCTTCTCCCATGATTGTATGTTTCCTGACACTTCCCCAGCCATGCTGAACTGTGAGTCAATTAAACCTCTTTCCTTTATAATTTACACATAATTTTATAGTTGCACATAAACATGCAACAAACTGAGAAGAAAAAAATTCACTGTGGGTCTGACAAGTAGAGGAAAGCTCCAAGTGTGGATTCTGCCACAGGCATGTGCCACCATAGGCAGTCCTTTATAGCAGTGTGAGAATGGACTAGACATATAAGTCATGAATTGTTAAATCTGATATATTGCAGGTATGATATGTAAGGATACTAGCTAAGAACAACTGTTTCTTTCTTTATACTCCTCCGGATACAAGTTGGTATCTCTTGAATCAACTAACTTATTGATTGGTCCAACAGATGTTATTCAGCTCCTACTATCTTAGGCACTAAAATATATGGTAGTGATTAAAGAGGTAAAGATTCCCAACCTTATGTCATGATATGCTACAATGTAAGATTGGAGTATGATTTAAAAAGAAATAAAGAAAAATAAATAATAATATTTTAGAATGTGCTTGTGACTATTTTTAAGCTTAGGAAATCCATGGTATGATATATTCATTTGCCAGTTCCTTATCTTGATTTTCCGATTTCATCATAGCAATGACGTTAGGAGGTTGGTTATTATCCCCATTTCATAGATGAAGAAATAAGACACAGGAGTTAAGGAAACTGCCATTGTCAGTAAGCTAATAAATGGAAGCTTCAGGACTCCAACTGTTCCAGGACTGACCCCAGAGTTTATGCTATACCAAGTCATGAATTAACTGAATCTGAAGGAACAATACTACTGATATCTGTGAGAGCCCTTCCAGCATTTCTTAAGTGCATCAGGAACCCTCATTCCTTGATCCCTTGAGATTCATGTGAATCTCATGAAACAAGATGTCCTGCCCTCTTTGCCTGAAACAGTCCCTAAGATTCATCCCAAATGCACTGCCTCTAGAAAGTGTCCTTGGTCTTCCCTGGTCCGGATTCATGCCCTTCATCTATATTTTATTCACTCCTTGTGCTTATGTCATTTACTTTCAATGCAATGTTGTTACTACATATTTCATTGCAACTCTTCTCCAGAATATGTACAGCTTGAAGGCAGAAGTTATGACTTTGTGGTAGTTACAAAGTAGATTCTTAATGAAAGCCAGTTGTGAGGACTACATGAGATATTGCCAGACGAGTACCATAAATGATTAATATTTGGAAAGATTTCCTGTTTTTGTCTCTCCAACTTGATTTTTCTAACATTCTCTGCACCATCTCCTAAGCTTTATTCAAACTAGTCTTTCCTTCTGGAAGCCCTCCAGGCACTGGTCCACCTGCCGGCTTTTCCACCTAGTAGCTTCCGTGCCGGGAGCGCTCCCCAGCCCTGCTCTGTTCATAGGTGGCTTCTTTGCCTTGTTCAGTCTTCAGGTAGGCCTTGTCTGACTTTTTATAAGCTCCACCTTGCTATTATATTTCAGTGCAACTATGTTTGTTTCTTGCACACTAAGTCAGGATAATTTATTGAGATATTAATTTGCATTTTCTTTTTTCCTGGTAAAGAAGAATCTAATTTAATGACAGTTAATGTATTTCATTCTCTTTATTTTTCTCTCCCAGGTTTTTGGAAGGCTTAATTGTAAGAAGGAAATTACGCCGAGTACCCTAGAGGGGAAAGAAGAGAGGATCATACCTCTGAAGCTGGGGATTAGAGGATGGAAGAGAACATTTTCAAATATTGGGGAAGGATAAAAGAGTATGAGTCCACAGGCAGTGGGCCCTGTTTCAGTTTCCTGGGAGTAATTCAGGGAAGATTCAGAGCTCCAATGGTCAAGGCTCTAAACTATGTTCCTCGGAATGTTGTACCCTTGGAACTGGACTCATTGCTTTAGCTAGGAGTCCCAAGTGTATGTGTGGGCAGTAGTCCAGAGACTTGGCTGGGCCTTCATTCAAATCCTCTGGATACACACCCACCTGAGGGCCAGGATAACATCTTGAGAGATTCCAAACAATCATCCTCCTTCTATAATTATAATCAAAATGTTTTTTGAAATGACTCAAAATATACTGATATTAAAATATCAGACATTTGATCACAAGATTCTAGATAGTTAAAAATTGAAGCTGAGCTTCTCTCTCCCTTTCTCCCTCTGCCATGTGACCTTCCGTTGCTTGTGCCTTTAGTATATCCTCATTCCTATTAAATATCCCTTCTCCTGAACATACATTATATACCAGGACACCTATACATCCAACGGAGAGAAACCGAAAACCAAGTGGGTGATGGACAAGAAGAGCTATACCTGTACTTTGGAGGCTGTACACTGAATGAGTCTCAGATAGTCTTGTGTAGTTTAAACTGTAACAGCTCTGGTTCCACAAGTAGTTACAAATGAGGGAGGTAGGCAGTGTTTTGAAGCAAATGGCAGGAGTGCCTAATCTGGGTGGGGGTATAGGAAAGATTTCCCAGAGAAGGAAACATTTTACCTCAAGTCAGAAAAATGAGCTGGACATGGTCAGGAATAGAATGAGAATGTAGGAGAAGCTGGATAAAGTTTTGTTTAGGGGCTGACCTAAGGGTACGAGTTCCCATTTCTTTTCATTATACACTTATCTAGACCTTACTGTATACCATAATCTATATAAAGAATTGATTGTACACAGGTAAAGAATAAGGATTTTCATTCTAATCAAGAAGTTGTGCATAGATACGAAATTTATAATGCTCAAGACAGTAAGTTAGGGGGTGGATGTAGGTAACTATTTGTTTGTGTGTGTGTGTGTTTATTTTTTTCTGAATTTGTCAGTTGGTCCCAGTATCACCTGCCTGGATGCTCTATTCTTTACAAATCATTAGAGCATTGACATGTTCAAGAGCTGAGATGCTGCTATGAGTACAGTATGTTATGAGCTCTATCTCTAACAGTGGGATGACTATGTGCGTAGTGGCCTTAAAACCAGCCATTATCCTTGAAAGCTTTGCAGTTGTCCACAATGGAAACCCAGAGAAAGGCTGCTGATGGAGGACCATAATTTCAACTGTACTGTAGGTAAAAACAATTCCAGGAACATGGCTTTCCATCAGCGGGATCAGTAGATTTATTTACACAGACAGAGAAAACATATTTTGTTACAAATAAAAAAATCTGAAAACCTACATTTTGCTTTTGATAATAGTCCTTAACACTGGAGGAAGAAGCTGGATCTATTTCTGCAAGAAGCTAATAGGAAAACACAAGTCACCTATCTCTGATTTCCTTATGATGGGTCTGCAAATATTTTTTCGCTCCATAGAAAGCTTCAACTAGTCCCCAGGACAGCACTTGTTTGGAGGAAAATTGTTTCCCCTGATGTTTTAGCAATGATGTCAAAGATAAGAATCTGGGGTAGAGACAAAAGCTGCTACTCATTTTCTCTCCTTTTTGTTCTGTTGACGGTGTTGGGGTTGTAGTCAGGACAGAATCAAGGTACAGAGAGAGGGAAGGCATTTTTCAAAATTTATAAATTTCTAGTTAAAATGAAATGGCCTTTTGGCATTTCACTGAAGTAGGCCATTGTAAAAAAAAATCATTTGTTTTCCTTTCATTTTTGTCATTGTAAATGAATAACCCCTTTAGGAAAATTCTATATGGAGACTCAGAGAATTCATTGCTCCATTCATTCAATGTGACAGGAATGAAAATGATTCTACAGAAAACAAGGTGAGTATGAGTTGATTGTATTTTTTAATGCTCATAATAAAAAAAAATTCCAATGTCAGTTTGGTATTATCTCTTGACAAATATTTATTAAGCCCTCATTGTGTTTTGTGCTTAAAGTAACAGAATAGGAAGGCAGGAGAAAGGAGATTGGAATAAAGACAGAACTAATAAGACCCCATTTGGTATGATCCTATTCTATGTTTCTACTCTAACTGGAGAGTTACATGTCAGTGCCTTTTCTTCAGGATCTGGTCTTTACCATCAGGGAGACATTTAATCTAAAAGACCAGAAAGACAAAAAATATGCAGGAGGAATATAAAAGTAAGATAGATATACCTGGATGCTTCTAGGTAATATCATGCAGGAATGACAGAAATCTGGACCTCCCAATGCTGGCTATGGAATTCACCATTTGATTTCCCAGATGCTTTGCACAAGGTTTTCATTTATAAACAAACCATGCATAAAAATCTCCCCATTACAAGAACACCAACGAATAAGTAGCTGTTAACAATCACTGATTTTACAGTTAAAAATTTGATATTGTAGCTCATGCTAAATAATAAAATCATAGGCAAAGTTAACTTCTGGCCACCTGTTAAGTGATTGTATCTTTAAAACCAATTTGGAATAAAAGAGCACAGGGCTATTAACTTGGACTATTGGAAAAAGACTCCCTAAACACATTTTTTATGGTAGGGTGAGCATACATCCTGATTTTTAGTGGGCACATACATACAGAATATTTCTGCTGCTGCAGCATACATATTAAAGGATCCTGTTAAACTCTCAAAAGTGTCCCAATTTGGATGAAAAATTGTATCTACTGATGGGTCATGATGACTATCATGAAGCAGTCATGATTTGAGGAAGGTGGATCATTTTACTTTCCAACTGAGTTGTATTTATTGAGCAACCCACTATCAACTCAGTAATAATAACAATAATAGCAATAATTTCAGCAAATAATATTTTGTGATTTTTCTGTGTTAGATAATATACTGGGCAATACATGCATTAGATCATTTAATTTCCACAACAACCTTATGGGTAAATAATACTATTGCCACTATATAGTGTTTTAAAAAAAAAAAAAAAAAAAGAAATGGAAGCATAAAGCAGTTAAGTGACTTTCTTATTGTCACACAGATACTATGTACTGAACTCAGTATTCAAACAGAGACATTTTGGTTCCAGAGTCTATTTTGTTCTGTGAACAAGAACCTTACATTGTAGGTAAGCAATGACATAAGCACATGAAATATATAACATGAGATAATTACTAAGAAACCAAATGAATTGTAGTTCCTATTTCCTAGTGTTGTTTTTTTCCATCTGTGGAGCATGGTTATTACAAGGAGTTTAAAAATTATACAAAAAAGCATTGTCTATTGGTTGAATAAATAATATGCTTTATATCTCTTCTGCTATTCTTTTGTGATTAACAAATTATATCTTAAATCAAAGCAATATAGAATTCAAAATTGTTTCTTTTCTCAAACCCAAAATATTTTTTCTTGAAATATATTGAAACCCCTATATTTTCAAGTATACGTGTGGCTACAGGCAAGGAGGATACCAGCAAATCAATAAAAGCTAGATAAATAAATTGCCATAGAGCAGCAAGAGTCGAGGTGAGGTTGGTGAGGTTGCAAGAGCTGAGCAAATGTATACATGATTCTATATAGGGATTCAGGCCTGTCCAGTTGATATATGATATTACAGTAGCACTCAGGGATGGAATGTAGGAGCAGGCAAGGCTGGTAATGCATTATTAGAGATTGGAATGCCAGTATATCAAGAGTGGTGAGTGTGGGACAGTGGCAAGAAAATGATTGAAGGAGCCAATCATGGAGTAACATATTATCTAAATTGAGTAGCTGGAATCAAAAAAGAAATGAATGAAGGATGAGACAGCTGAAAAGCAGACTCACAGAGTATGAATAGATGTTAAGAAAAAACTAGATAAGGAGTTAATGGCAGCCCAATTTGGGGAAGCCTGAAATTCATGATGCTGGGGATAAAATTGTGCCTTTCATGGTAGGATCTGATATTTGGCTGGGGTGGCAAACAGCTGATATGGAATGAAGATGAACAACTTTGTGCTATAGAGAGGAAGTACGAATAGTTACTTGAGAGATGTATTGGAAGATTAAATGAGTTATGTATATGAGGGTTTAGCACAGTATCAGACATACAGTAAATGCTTAGTAAGTGAATATTCAACAAATGCTACTGAAGAATATGTCACATGTTGATATCAGGGTATTAGATTAGCATGTATGATGATTAATTTTATGTATCAACTTGACTGGACTAAGTGATGCCTAGATAGCTGGTAAAATGTTATCTCTGGATGTGAAGTGTATTTCATACCCAGTGAAGTGTCTATGAAGGTATTTCCAGGAGAGATTAGCATCTGAATCAGTAAACTGAGTACAGAATATCCACCCTCACCAATGTAGGCAGGCATTATCCAATCCACTGAGGGCCCAAATCGAATAAAAAGGCAGAAAAAGGGCAAATTATCTCCTCTTCTTGAGAAGCTGGTACATACCAGTCCATTTCTCCAGCCCAGATGTAGAGTTCCTGTTTTTTGAGTTTTGGACTCCAATACTTATACCAGTGGTTCCCTATCCACCTCTTTCACCATCGCCACATTTGGTTTCTGGCTGAATTAAATCACCAGCTTTACTGGTTCTTCAGCTTGCAGGTGGCATATCATGGGACTGCTGAGGCCCCATAATCATGTGAGACAATTTCCATAATAAATCTCCCCCTAAATATCTGTATATATCTTGTTGATTCTGATTCACTGGAGGACCATGACTAACAGAGATTTTGGTTCTGAGAGTGATTCTAGAGGAACAGAAGTTTAAGGATGAGTTTTCTAATCAGTATGGGGGCTCCTGGAATTGGCTGTAGTCTGGTTAGCTTTGAAGGTGTTAATGATTCTATTTCCAGTAGTAAAGAGAGCACCGATAGTCCATGTCAAGAATTATTTACAGAGATACACAAAATACCTTCATTGCATACTTCCAATCAACCACTTACAAGAAAAAAGGAGTATTCCAGTATTGATTTTATATCAGTATTTTAGTTACAGGATATCAGGAAAAGAGTAAACATCACTCAAATATTTTACTCCCTTTTCTAGGGAATGAATTAGTGCATTTCAGTTGTATTCAGGATAGTCACATTATGTTAAGTGGAATTATAACCTTATTATGGCCTTTATTTGGAGATAAAGTATGATTTAAGGAGATGCATACATGTGCCAAGTTGACAAGGGGTAAACTTAATTAAGTTTATCACCCCATAACAACTCCATACGAGAGGTGGTTAATTTTATGTGTCAATTTGACTGTACAAAGAGATGCCCAGATAACTGGCAAAAAATTATTCCTGGTGTGTCTGAGGGTGTATATGGAAGAGATTTGCATTTGAATCAATAGACTGAGTAAAGAAGATCTGCCCTCCCCAGTGTAAGCATCATCCAATCTGTTGAAGGCCTACATAGAATAAAATGGCAAAAGGAAGACAAATTCACTCTTCTTCGCAGCTAGGACATCCATCTTCTCTGGCCCTTGGATGTCAGAACTTCTGGTTCTTAGGTTTTCAAACTCCAGGACTTACATCGGCACCTAGCCTGACCTCACACCTCAATGATTCTCAGGACTTTGACTTTGGACTGGGAGTTATGTCATTGGCTCCCTTGATTCTCAGGCCTTCAGACTCAAACTGAATTGCACTACTGGATTTTCTGGTTCACCAGCTTGCAGATGGTAGACAGTGGGACTTTTCAGCCTCTATAATCACATGAGCCAATTCCCATAATAAATCTCTTATCTGTCTACCCGCTCCCTCCTCTGTCTCTCTTTCTTTCTCTCTGAAACATTATTATCCTATTGATTACATCTCTCTGGATAAGTCTGACTAATACAGCATGGAATTTAGAGATGCCAGGATAAGGTTGGAAAGTTAAAGAGGAAAAATATAGGTGAGCTGTTGAAGACATGCAGGAAACAAATTGGGTCTAGCAGGAGAGGACAGCAGAGCAGGCAAGATGTAGTAAATAGTCGTGGTAGTAGCCGTCAGGAAAGGAGAATTTAAACAAGTGGTTGCTTGAAAAGGAAAGTAAAAACCTCCAAAGCACTCACAAAATTCGGAGGGAAGTTTGCTTCCTTCTTTTCTGCCATTGTTGTAATTCACTCTCCCAGACTGCTTTGAGTAACACATTCATCCTTTTAAAGCCAAGTTTTATGTGTTTTGAATTATAGATACTAAAAGGTAAACAGTGGGAACATCTATAATTAGTTTTAAGAACAAATGAATGAAGTAATTTTTGTTCATTTATATTCTTCATTGTTTTCTGGATGTTTGTGATCATCCTCTGCTCTCTTTGCCAGGTTCTTAATTATTGTCGTCAGAATGATGAAAGGGCTTCATATCACAGGTGTTGACAGCAAACAAATCTGTGGCTTCAGAAAAGGAAGTTCCGGTCTGAAGACAAATGAATGTTTACAAAAGCAGAATAGATATTGCATTTATAGAGAGAATAGCAGATGTGATGCTCCAGAGCCCAGGTTCAGCACATTTGATATAAGGAATGGCTTCCCTTCTGATTCTAACAAGAACATTAATTGTTCTCCTCTTGCATCGTGTCTGGTGTTATAGCACAAACCTTGCTCCCTTAATTAGATTTTGGAGGATTTAGAAAGGGCCCACTCCTGATCTAAATTGCTTCCCTTGGTGATATTATTAGGTTTTATTTCAGCAGCCTGGAGGGAAAAACCATCAACCAATCAGCAAGTCATACAGCATCCCTTCTATGTGACTGGCTTTGTATTAGGTGCTCTCTAGGAGCCTACAATTGAACTGAGGCGGCAGAACCTATACATACGAAATAGTAGGAGAATAATAAAGGCCAAACAATAGAGTTGACTCTCCGTGCCATAGGAATTCAGAGAAAGGAAAGATCAGTGTGGGCTAAATAGCCAAAGGTTTTTATATTATTATTATTATTATCAGTTACTATCATTATAACAGCAATAGCTAGCATTTATTGAGCATTAAGTGCCTACCATATGGCAGGTACTGTGCAAAGCACTTTGTGTGCCTTCTCTGTTTTAATCCTCAGAACAACCCTTCTATGGTTTGTTTTTACAAAGAGAAAACAGCATTACCATTATTATTCCCATTTCATAAATGAGGATACTGAGTCTTAAAGTTGTTGTGTAATGTAACCCTGGTCACAGAGCTAGCAATGCCAGAATACACACTTGAATTCAAGTTTGGCTGGCCCCAAACTAGTACACATATAACTAAAATAGACATTGGCTTAGCTTTATAGCAGGATGCAGTACATAATGTCAGTCTTAAAAAAATATATGTAGATTCCAATAGGCAAGAGAGAAGAGGGAGGGCATTTCAACAGAAGAAATGGCACATACACAATCCTGCAGACAGGAAAGAGTGTGATACCTGGGAGAAGATGTGGAAAAGGGCATGTCAGTGTAGGAAGTTTGTGTCTTGGAGAAGTGTAAAGCTTGGGTAGATCCACTTTGCATGGCTGTGCACTGTGAATCTGCTCAAATCAAGGTGTAGAGCAGAAAGCTGAGTCAGATACATGACAAGCAGTGCTATTCAAGAAATTAGAATAATGTTAGATAGCAAGAACTTTACATCAAATTAGATAGCCAAGACACTCAGATACACAACAGTCAGAGAAATGGAATAAGACTAGTCAGGGTAGGTCATTCATTCATTCACACCCTCCCTTCATTCATTCACAATGTTGTTCCTGATTCAAAGCAGCACACTAGGCATTGTGCGAATTATAGAGATGAAAAAGATGGGATTTTTTTCCCTCAAGGATTTTGCAGTCTAGACAGGAGTGACTTGAGTTGGGATTGTTAGAATATAAGATAATTAGGAGAAGGTAAAAGAAGAGAAGATTTTTGAAGAAATACTTAAACATTCTGAGTGGACTGAAGGCTCAAAGTAATAATTTATTCATTTATTGGTTTAATAACTATTTTTGAGCACATATTGTATGCTAGGTGTTAGGTGAAAATGGAGTTTTGTCATAAAACTTATATGTGGGTAAAGGATAGACATGAGTAAGATGAGTTCACAGATGAATGTAAAATTATAAGGTTAGCGAAGTCCTTCCTGAGGAAATAAATTGAGATTGAGGAGTAAACAGGAATTAACCAGACATAGAAAGGAGGGAATATCATTATTATCACAGGCAAAGGAAAGGGCGGGCATACTGGAATGTTGTATTTGGGGTGGAAGCATGGTAACTATAAAGAACTAAAGAAAGCAGAGTCACTGAAGCACAGGGAGTGATAGGGAACATAATGTATGAGGAGGCTGAGGTGTGAGCTGGGGGAAGACAAAGCAAAGATTTATAGGCCACTGGGCAGTTGCGTCTTTACCTTAAGGACAAGGGAAAGTTAGTGAAGAGGGTGAGAGGGCAGTGGTGGATCAGATTTGCACAATGTGGAGAAAGGATTGGAAGGCAGCAAGAATGAGTTCAGGAAGATCAACTGGGAGGCAAAAGGTGATGGTGGTAGTTTAAAATAGGGTGGTATTGACAGTGTTGATAGGGTGAAGACAGAAAGGCACAACTGGATGAATTATAATGCATTCTCTGAGGGGACTATGTTCTGGTAGAAATGCTATGGGTTTAGTTGAGGTATCTTGGATAAATCCATGGAAAAATCTCAAGCAGGCACTGTACATATGTTTCTTGATCTGAAGGAGAGTTCTGAGCTGGGCATATATGTTTGTGAATCTGTTGTGGAAGATCCACAGGATACCAGCCTAATTCTGAAAGATGAAAATTATCTTAATGAAGGCCCTTGTCTCAGTGGTCCAGCCACAATCTGCCTGAGGCTAAGATTCTCCCCAATATATATCCTCACCAATCAAGGATAACTGTCTGTGCTATTAATGTTTAGGGGTAGTAGGTAGGAAAGGCATATTAGAAACATTTCTACCATCATTTGATCTAAGAAACATTTAATGAATATCTGTTACAGATGAGGTCTTTTACTCAACAACTCAGGAGTTGAAATTTGAGGTTTGGGATCTCTCCTATTGTTAAATTATGTGAAATCAGTGTGTTTGGTTCTCAATCAGTAATCAATGATGACAAAAGCATGTAGGTGTGTTTTTTATGATCTTTATAACCTATCTTCTTCCTAAGTAGAGGAGAGGTATATGAAGGCAATGAAAACTCAGGTTGAAAGGATAACCAGTAAGCCAAGACCCTGAGAAATCATTCTAAGAAAAGGCGAGGGAGTTAGGAATAAAGAAAACAGATGGATAGTTGCTTGTACAAGCTTTGCCCAGCCACTGATAGAAGATTATATTTAGAAATGCAGTGCTCATATGCACAGAGATTTCTTGACCACTCTGCCTTCTTTATTGGCATTTTTCATAAGAGTACCATTGATTTTAATACTAGTGCCAATATATAGTATATTTCCATGTAAGGCTGAATTCCTGTAAGGAATTTGAAATGATAGAACAAGTGTCTTCAATGCTAGTAACAATAGCATATACAGTATTATTTGGAAGAAAACATGTATCTAATAAAAGACTTGTGTTGAGAATATATAAAGAATACTTACAACTCAATAATGAAAATAACAGGCAAAGTAGAAAGACAAACATCCTGATTTTTAAAAATAGACCAAAGATTTAAACAGAGACTTCAAAGAATTTTTATAAATTACTCATAAGCACATGAAAATATAATTAACATCATTATTCTATAGGGAAATGCAAACTAAAACCATATCAAAATACCACTATATACCCATGAGAATGATTAAAATTTTTTAAACTGACAGTATCAAGTGTTGACAAGAATGTAAAAAGCTGGAGCTCATACTCTACTTGTAGAAATGCAAAACGGTTCAGCCACATTAGGAGACGGTGTGATTGTTTTTCATTAGGTACTTTCCAGATGACTCAGTAATCCCACTTTTAAGTATTTACTCAAAATAAATGAAAACATATCCACAAGAGATGTGTATGCAAATGTTCATAATAGTTTTACTCAGAATAACCAAAAACTGGGAACAATCTAAATGTTCATTAGATGATGTCTGGATAAACATGTTGCGTCTGTAAATGTAATACTATTCAGTAATAAAAAGGAAAGAACTACTGTTGCATGCAACAGTGTGAATGAATCTCAGAGCCATAGTGCTATGTATAAGAAGCCCAGCACAAAAGGCTATTGTGTGATTCCATTTATTATGAAATTCTAGAAAAGGCAAAATTATAGGGACAAAAATCAGGACAGTAGTTATCAGGAGTTGGAGGATACAGAGAGAGGAATGACTGCAAAGGGGCATAAGAAAACTTCAGGGTGACAGATGTTCTATCTTGATTTGGTGCTGGTTATATGTCCGTACATATTTCACAAAGTTTATCAAAATCTATAGTTAAAAAGGGTGAATTTAATTGGATTCAAATTATACTTCAATAAAACTAATTGTTTTTAAAAAAGAACAAATAAAAGAAGGATGGTCTTGGTATAAGAATAGATAAATTCTTCAATGAAACAAAATATACATCCAGATGTATAAGAAAATTCAGTATATGAATGATTAAGGTAGTATTTCAAGTAATTGAAGATAAAATGGAGTATTTAACAAATGATGTTGGATTAACTACTAGTGAATGAAAACAATATCTAAAGTAAAAGCCCTGCTTACTCCTTATATCAAAGTATATTTTTTATTTGTCATATATTTAAACATTTAAAAAGTAGAATGAAATAAAATTAAAATTTCCTTTCAGGGTATACACATGTGTAACAGAACGTCCCCATAATCCTCAATATTTAAAATAGCATATAGCCAATGACCAGGAATAAAAAATCATCACTCATGCTTGCTGGACTCACACTGGCTGGGTGTCAGAGTCAAGTGCAAACTCCTCAGCCTGGCCTCCTGGCCCTCCACTACCTGTCCCCTTTTGGAAAAGTTATTAATTTTCCAAACTTCTGGCTTACTTTGTCCTGTAATGTACTACACAATTCCTGGGAAAAAAAAAAACAAAAACAAAAGAAAAAGAAGATGTCCCTAAAGAATGCTTTGTGTTTCCTGACTCTCTTCCCGATTATGCCATACTTTCCCCCAGAGTCTGTCCACTTCTCCTTCCTAAAGCCTACTCATTCTTCATAGCTTTACCTATTGTTTTTGCTAAAATTCTTCCAAAGTAACCTAATCCTCAATCTTATCCTCTGAATTCCAAAAGCATCAACTATCTGTGAATTTTAGCACTGTCTTTTTTAGTGTATATATAATGTATATTTGATTTTAACATATATGTATACATAGATGCATATACACATGCACATATTATAATATGATATATAATACCCATATGTAATTATAATACTTTGTATAAGTTATTATATAAAGTTATAAACAATTCTTATAATTATTATTATTGCCATTGGTGTTTATATTCTTCCTACTCAATTGCAGTTGCTTTGACAGACATGACTGATAACCTTAAACCTGCATTGTTTTTGTGTCCTTAGATAGAAAGCCTCAGTGTGTGTTTGAGCAGAGGGAATGTCAGAATGTGTAGGCTATGGCTTGAAGAAACCAAGCTTTAGGGGATAACTTGCAAAAAATATGGAAATGCCTGAAGTGCTTTGTTTATTGCAAACAGGACAAATAGCAGAAATAGCAAGTCAGGCAAACAAGAAGTTAGATTATGGTCCTCAAACCCAGAAGAAAAGAAATATCCAAAGTTAGGTGCTGGGAAAATAGTATCTGTGCAAGGTGCTTTCCTATAACAAACAATGTCCTATTTAAAAACTATAAAGAAGTGTACTGAAACCCAAACCTCTTGTAGTCTGGTGTTGAAAGGGAAGGGAAGGAACAGAAGAAGAAAGAAGGAGGGAACATAGGGAGAGGTGGGGGAGGAAGGAAGGAAATCGTAGACCTCGGCCCAGTCTTTCTGGAAATTTGTACCTTACAGAGCCACTGGGAAAATGAGTAGTACTTATGACTAAGATGTCTGAGCCTGAGGGTTTGATTCCTGGAAATCACAGTCTTAAGAGGAGAATTTCTGAAACCTGTGGGCAACAAATAATCGAAACATTGCTGAAAATAATGTAAAACTTTGTTATTACCCTTCTGTTTCCGCTGACTATAAAAAAAGGATCAATATGAAGAGTTATGGTTTTTAACTTTTAATGTCCTAATTTTAAGTTTAAAAATGAAGTGGTAGAATCTACACATTGCAAGAAACTTTTGCTTATAAAAATAATAGTTGTATTGTGAGATTCTCTGAAATATAGATAGAAAGTCCATCAATGTTTCGAAGGTAAATTTTTCTCTTTGAGCATGTTTAATGAGAACAGAATTATGTCTAGCTTATACATCACTGTATTCCTGTACCCAGCCTAGTTCCTTGTACTTACTATATATACTCAAGATGTATTTGCTGACCATGAATGAATGAGCCAAAATTGACTCAGGATTACCATGTGGGCCTAATTTACTTGAGCAGTCAACCTACAGAGCAAAGTCTCTGGTAGGTTACCTTCACAGGAGGTGATGATCCTATTGGGATATGAAGAAAGTGAGAACTATTGATCCAGCGAGGTCCATGCTGCTGATAGTTTCAACCTCAAAGGCTGTCCTTGTTTGGACTCAAGGGTCTGTTAGGTAAGTCCAGCTCTCCAGTGTGAGAGCTTTATCCACTCAGCATAACCTCTAAGAAGACTTGCACTTCCCCTGGTCATTGTGGTCTCCCTGTAAATAAAGGTTGCTGTCTCCTTGAAAGCCTCTGATTTTCTTCAACAAGCTCTTTCACCTGGCAAGTTATAATATTTATGGAGAATATATTACATGCCAGATTGTCTAAAGTGTCCAACACTATGGGGTAGATTCTTTTTTAATTATATTTTATGCTAGAAGTGTAAAACCCTTGAATCTGGATTAAAGGATAGAGCAGATCTGGGACTTACATAAATGCATTTCTGAACATGATTGAAATATATAGTAAGCAGTTATTTTATTAGTACAAAAATTATACAGCCATTTTTATAAGTCATATGACATTCAGCTTAATATAAAAGACCAGGTGTTATTCTAAGCACTTTAACTTATTTGGTTCTCCCAATAAGCCTATAAGTTAAGAACTAATATCTTCATTTTTGACAATAAGAGTGAGTAACCTACCTAGGGCCACATAGGTCATAAGTGGAGGAATTAGAATGTAAACTAAAGAAGCTTGAAGTAAGGGCCTTCACTCACCACCACCATATACCATAACAATTCTGTGTACCTGTGGTACCCTTCACCTTTGCACCACAAGTCATACAGCTGTGAATACCTGCTCCATGCAAGAGCCAAACTTGGAACCAATAACAATAGAAAACAGAGAAGGGATCCCACAGGGCAAAGCAAGCAGGCTCCAGGGTCCAGGAAGTGAGCAGAAAGTGAGACAGAGTGGGCAGAAGGTGTGGATTCTCTTCCTTGTCATTTGCAGGTGAGAGGATAGGCAAAGGCAATTGCTGAGGACAAAGGCTAGATTGCCAGGAGGTGATAAATAAATAGAAACTGAGAAAGAAGAGAGCAAAATTACTCTTAAGAAAACTAGAGATAAAAGAGAGAATTAGAATGTTAATTTGAAAGTGTACTGAATAAAGTGGATTTGAAACTCTCAAGATTTAGGGAATAACAGGGGTGAATTAAAGATGTATGTAGCCAAACAGATTGAAAATGGTAGAAAGAGGGAATAATGCCTAGTACGAAGACAAGTGGTGAATGTGGTTGCTTTAGAAAAGAGAACATATGTGTCATCTGCCAACATTAAAGCGGGGAAGTGAAGAGGTGAGAATATCAAACTATTTTTGAAGTGAAGAATAAGACATCTTTATCTTCTCAATATAACCTTACTACTGACTACCTGGAGCTATGCTTTATGGATACAGGGTTTTACTATATATAGCTCTACCAAGAAAAATAGGCAACTCGTCTTCAAAGACACTATACAATGAAATAAAAACACCAAAAATAGACCGTTTTTTCCTCATGTTGAGGGATTGTAACATTAAATTTTCCTCTTGCTTCTAAAACATTACTCGCCCCTTGCATTCTTTCCTTCAGCATATATAGGGCTTTTTACCCAAATAAATGATCAACCGAATCTCTTGCTTCCTCCTCTTTCCTTCTCTTTATAGCTAACCATGTCACTGAAACCATTGGCTCATTAGTGACCCTTTAACCCACTGCAGTCTGACTTCCACCTCCATGTCCTCAGGAAAATACTCCCATGAGGTCACTCACAACCTCCATCCAAGGACACATGCAAGGAATATTCCTGTTGTAACTCACCCTGTCCTTGATCTCATCTTCTCTTGATGGTTCTTCTCCCATTTCTCTGATGGACCTGTGTCATTCTTGTATAATTTCCTATTCCATCTGCTCAATAAAAGCCAGTGTTCCCTAGGGTCCTCTTGTAGGTCATAATCTGCAACTTTCTATATATGTTAGGAACATAATCCAAAAGAAACAAACTTGAAGAAGACACAAAATAAGTTGTCTAGAAATAAGTGGTGAAGAAGAAGAAGTGACAATGTTGGGATGATGAAAATTCTGGGAACTTTAAATTAAATAAGGTAAATTAAAAATGATTAGAAGCCAAAGATAAAACTGTCACATAAAGACATAGGAAGTTAGGAGGATTTTTGGCACTTCTGTGTGACTGAACTGGAGATTATGGACAAGGCTGAAGAGTCTAGGTCTGTTTAGCTTGGGTCAGAAGACCTGATCAGGCTTCCTGGTCCACACCAGGCTAATGTTACCACAGAGGTCAGTAGGGACCCCAAACTCCCTCTTAGTAATGACCCTTTTTGAAAACTAGACTTTTTAAAGATGCTGATAAAAGCTATATTCTGTATTCCTAGGAAAAAGCATATATTCACATAGATATGAATTCACAAAGTTTACAGAATTTTACCCTGAACTATGAAAAGCTCCAACTTTTGCAGGCAGGCAGAATGCCCCACACATTAACAAGTTTATTCGCACTTTGTCCAGAAGTCCCTACTGATTAAATCATTGCGGTTCTTGGCAATTGATTTTTGAAAAAAAACTGCACTTTATTCATTTTTTCACTCTAGATACTATCCTATTCAGCTGCTCTACATTTAGGGCTGAAAAGGAAACAGTGATTGTCCTATTAACATATGTCTGCCTGACCTGTGAAACTCTGGTATGTGTTTGGCTTCAATTCACAATAGTTCTCAATTCAATTACTCTCTCACAACCAAATACTTTTGGAAAGCTTTCTCTATGACTGAAATACTGTTGTATTATCCAAGAGGGAAAAAAGGATGTTTAATTTTGTCAGTAACAGATAATTATATGTTTATCTCACTCAATAGAGAATTCCTTGGTATAATACTTGGAAGTCATTGTCTTTATTAAGGCATTCCCTTCTCACTCATATCTGAGGAAAACATGGTCTGGTGATGACATGTACTTACTTCAATAACAAATGTTCATCTAACCACTCATTCAAAAACCTTTTTTGTCTTTGGTCACCAAAATGCCTGCTATGCTAGATCCACAGGCTAGGAGAATGAATAAGAAAAGTTCTTTCTTTCAAAGGGCTGAGCCACCTAGCAGACATAGACATGCATATATTTAATACATAAGGACACAGTATAGTAATCAGTGGTTCTTAACCTTGGCTTCATATTAGAAATACCACGGAGACCTTTTAAGAAATGATGCTGGGAAGAGAGGTTCTGGTTTAATTGGTCTGGGGCAGTGTCTGGACATCAGCATTTGTTAACACCCAGGTAAATCTAGTATGTAGCCTCTGTCATGGAGGAAAATACAAGGCACTGTGAAAGCATTTAGCATTTACCAAGGATCTATAATAAATGTCTGGAGGATGCGATCCCTGAATTGATTCATTCAGTGAAGGAATATCAAATCAGAGAGAAGGCTCTCCCAACCAGATGCATCAGTACATGCAATAACATGAAAATGCGAGGGCATGTAGTGGGTTCATTCACTCTTTCACTCAATACTTATTGAGCGCCTTCTATATCCCAGGTACTGTCCAGGGACCTAAGATCTAGGCCCAGTAACCATACAAAAATCACCCTGCTCTCATATAAATTATAGTCTGATGGTAAATACTGACATTATACCATTAATTGCAATAATGTTTACATTATAATTTTGAGTATTTCTATAAAGAAGCAGAGGAAATAAGTTCTAGTTGCATCAGACCCCAGCCACTCTGGTGGGCCAGGAAGTTTTATATGAGGAACTGATATTTAGGCTGAAACTTGAAGGATGGGCAGGGGGTGGTTGGTAGAAGTGGGAATGGAACACACAGAGCTGTTGGCAGAGAGAATAGTTTTGCAAAACCTTAATGAGGAATGCATGGCCAGTGGGTGCTCAAAGCACAATGAGTCAGGGGAGAGTGGTGGAGGGTGAAGAAGGAGAATGTTTCCTCAGGTGGTCAGATTATCCAGGACCTTGTAGGCTGTGCTGAGTCCTGACTTAGATCACATGCTGCACCAGTGACACATCTGTAAGTGGATCTCTTGGTAGTTAAAACAGTATTTTCATAAATACTTCAATGTCTGAAATATAGTCCTGTCTTTTAGATAATGTTCAAAGATGCTAGTTGACTTGCACAAGTTTACACAGCTTAAAATCAAGCTGCAGAACAAAGATTAGAGCTCATGCCTGGTGACTCCATGGCTGAGCCTCTTGTCATCATATTACAAGTAATACTTTTGTTTATTATACTCTGTATATTATATGCAACTAAGGAAAGATTGTTTTGGTAAATCTACACTCACTTGTCTAGGTTTTATGACAGTACAAAGATGTCTGGAGCACTTTGTTGTTTGTTTTTATAAGAATGACAGAATCAAAAGACGAAGAGCAGATTTTTTCAGGCCATACAACAGTAGCTAGTCAGAACCGTCTAGATGAAAGGAATCTACGAAGACAGATCTTTGTTCAGAGCTGGAGGGACCTTATTTACTCAGAAACTGCTTGTGAGAGGATATGAACACTTATACTACTTAGGCCCAAATGTGAAGAAAAGAAAGCCTTCTTGTCCAAATTTTTCTGATGAAAAGGAGTTTTGTCAAAGATCCTAAGGAAGCTATGGGAGCACTCAGGAAGCAGGCAACATATAGGCAGGCCTTTACACTGCTCCAGAGCCTCACTCTGTCTGTGTATCTTGGCGAGGGACAGGGGTAGGGGCTGGAGAAGCTGGGGGGGAGTTGTGGGGGAGGTGGGGGGGTGAGGGGAGCTGCACCTGCCAATCAAAAGCTGCTTCCACCTGGCCCAAGATCATGTTCACTGGCTGCCAGATTTCTGATGGGGACAGATCAGGGTCACAAGCTCCCCCAAGTGACATTTCCAGGAAATTTACATAGTGTTTGCCTAAGTGGAAAAGATTCATGGTAGATGTGGGACAAATAGCAATTAATCTTTCTTGTCACTTTTTCACAGTTTGGACTGGTTAGACTGTAGCAGCTATCACCATAAAACAATACAGAGAAAAATGTTCTCTATAGACACTACATAGGGACACAAACTATGTATTTAAATAAGTAAATCACTGAAGACTCAACCCCTAACTACATAGAACTAAATACCAGGAAAAGTAACATCTGGTGACATGTTAAAAATGTCAAACTCTTAAATATTTCTATCTATATTCTAAATTTGCAAAATCTTAATGCATATCTATTCCAGAGAATAGAAGCCAAATACTTTTACACGTGGGTGAGCGTCTCAATTCCTGGAATATAGCCAACGGCTTCTTAAATACGTGATGATGGTGCCTGAGCGAGCACCCAGGTGAGGCCGGCTGGACTTTCCACTCACTGGCCCTTGGCCCACGCCCCCTCCACTTGCACAGTCCACCTAGTGGGTGGATATGCAGCAATGCGTGTCTGCTCTGCTGCCTGCCACGGGGTCCACTGCCCAGAAGGCCACAGCCGCAGTGATTTTTCTTCATGGATGGGAAGATATCGGGCACAGATGGGCAGAGACTTTGCAGGTATCAGAAGTTCACATATCAAATGTATCTGCCCACATGTGCTAATTATGCCCATGACATTAAATATGAACATGGCTATATCTTCTTGGTTTGATGTTTTTGGGCTTTCACCAGATTCCCAGGAGGAGGAACCTGGAATTAAATAGGCAGCAGAAAATGTAAAACTTTTGGTAGATCAAGAGGTGTAGAATGGCATTCTTTCTGACAATTATTTTGGGAGGATTTTCTCAGGGAGGAGCTTTTATTTTTATGTACTGCTCTTACCACACAGCAGAAACTGGCAGGTGTCACCGCATGTGACTGCTGGCTTTCACTTTGGCCTTCCTTTCCAAAGGGTCCTATTAGTGGTACTAATAGAGATATTTCTATTCTCCAGTGCCATGGAGATTGTGACCCATTATTACCCCAATGTCTGCTTTCCTTATTTTTTTCTTATTGTTTTATATTGGTAAATCCAGCCAATGTAAACTTTAAAACCTGTGAAAGCATAATGCACATTTCATGTCAACAGAAAATGATTGGATGTCAAGCAATTCACTGATAAAATTCTACAATTTTATCCAATTGATTGATTTCACTAAGAGTCCTTTTATAGAAGTACACCAGCGGTATTGTAGTGGAGTACACATTTTTTCCAATGTCTGATCTTCAAACTTCTAAAGTTTTCAGTTTTAAAATGTTTTGCAAATACACAGCAGTGACACCTTACAGGAAATTTATCCTATGTCTCCTCATGAAAAATGTAGGATCTTTTAAGCTATATACCTGTATTCTTATAATATAACTCAGAATATACTCACATTAAAATAGGTGAGGTAGCTAGTTTCTTTTTTTGCAAATATAATTCAGCAAAGTAATGAAATACTACAACCAGATTTTTTATTACATCATTTGAAAATTACTGATATGCTTAATGAAAATTTGTTCAGGTATAAATGAGCAGTTAAGATATAAACAATTTATGTATTCTATGACTTAGTCTATGGATTTATTCCAAAATTGCTTAGTCATCATGCAGTGTCTGTATTTTTACATGTGTATTCATATATATGTAATGATTGTAATATATAATAAGAATTACACTAGTCCTAGTAATAAGGATAATGCTAAGTGTCAATAAAGAATAATATTCTTCTCTTCAATTAATGGCCCTTTTATTTTGGGACCAGGCTTTTCTCTTCCCTGATATAATTTCTATTTAATATTCCTTTCTCCTCTCAAGATAAAAACATGTTTTTATTGTCCTTCATAGCAGACCAAACATTGCTTCCCTGCCGTAGACATTTACTGTCAACACATGCTATGACTTGACATTCTGAATCACAAACATAAGGTATTTAAAATCTATACTTACTTCATAAAGAAACCAGACATTACTTAAAACTTGCACTACTTATTTCAAATAACTATGCCTTAGTCCAAATTTAAGCCTATTTAGTTATTAGAATCTTTAACCCATGTAACAGGAATAATTATTTCATTTTATTTTATGTAAGCAACTGAAAAAATTAAATCATACTCTAATAATTTCTGAAAAATTTAAGGCTGATCCTAAAAACTAATTTCTAAGATAATTTTATCTCCTCATAGCATCATTTGCTTACTTATTTTGTACATATGTTTAAAGCTGACTGCTATAGAAAATGAGCAATCCATTTAAAATTTTGCTTTATATCTCCTTTTTTTTTTTTTTTTTTTTTTTTGAGACAGAGTCTCACTCTGTTGCCCAGGCTGAAGTGCAGTGGTGCAATCTCAGCTCACTGCAGCCTCTGCTTCCCAGGTTCAACCAATTGTCCTGCCTCAGCCTCCCAAGTAGTTGGGATTACAGGCACCCACCCCCACGCCTGGATAATTTTTGTATTTTTTTTAAGGACAGATGGGGTTTCACCATGTTGGCCAGGCTGGTTTAGTACAGATGGGGTTTCACCATGTTGGCCAGGCTGGTTTAGTACAGATGGGGTTTCACCATGTTGGCCAAACTCCTGACCTCAAGTGATCCGCCCCTTCGGCCTCCCAAAGTGCTAGGATTACAGGTGTGAGCCACCATGCCCGGCCAAAATTTTGCTTTATTTATATCTGCCAATAGACTTACTGGAAATTTTAACCTTAGTAAAATGATTTTTTAATTAATTTTTTGTGCAAACATTAAAAATAGCAATCATTTGATTTCAGATAGTCAAAATATCCAGATTACTTGTAAAAATGATTTTTAAAAATTTATGGGTAATAAAGGTTAGTGAGAACTGTATATATGTGGTGTAATTACCATGCAGTTTTATATGTAGCAAAAATGTATGCTTAATATTTCTGGCTTGTGTTAGTTTTTCTCATCAGGGGACCTGCCCCGATAATCACATAGGTTCTTTCCTAGTTTCCCTAAGCATTGGCTGGCTTGAGAAATAAAAGAGAGAAATTTTAAAGCTGGGAGTCTGGGGGAGACATCACACATTGGTAGGATCCCTGAGTGTGTGAATAGGTGTGGGTGACAGACATCAAGTACTTAACAGGGTAATAGAATATCACAAGGCCAGTGGAGGCAGGGCGAGATCACAGGACCACAGGACTGAGGCGAAATTAAAATTGCTAATGAAGTTTCGGGCACCATTGTCATTGATAACATCTTATCAGAAGACAGGGATCAACCTGTCTGACCAAAATTTATTAGGTGGGAATTTCCTCTTCCTAATAAGCCTGGGAGTTTATAGGAGACTGGAGTTTATTTCATCTCTGCAGACTCTACCATAAGAGACAACCACGCCCCCAGGTGGGCCAGTTTAGAGACCCACCCCCAGGTGCACATTCTCTTTCTCAGGGACGTTCCATGCTGAGAAAAAGAATTCAGTGATATTTCTCCCATTTGCTTTTCAAAGAAGAGAAATGTGGCTCTGTTCCACCCGGCTCACCAGCGGTCAGAGTTTAAGGTTATCTCTCTTATTCCCTGAAAAATTGCTGTTATCCTGTTCTTTTTTCAAGGTGCTCGGATTTCATATTGCTCAAACACACATGCTGTACATTTGGTGCAGTTAACGCAATTATCACATGGTCCTGAGGCCACATACATCCTCCTCGGTGGACAGGATTAAGAGATTAAAGTAAAGACAGGCATAGGAAATCACAAGGGTATTGATTGGGGAAGTGATAAGTGTCCATGAAATCTTTACAATTTATGTTTAGTGATTGCAGTAAAGACAGGCATAAGAAATTACAAAAGCATTAATTTGGGGGAACTAATAAATGTCCATAAAATCTTCACAATCCACATTCTTCTGTCATGGCTTCAGCTGGTCCCTCCGTTTGGGGTTCCTGACTTCCCACAACATTTTCTACTGTATTCCAACTGACCAAAACAATGTTAAGAATGAATCTTCACACGAGTGCCAATTGATAATGGGAATAATTTAGTAATGGACAGTATAGGATGTTAATAATGAATCCATGTTTATATCTAGACTCAAAAATTTTAAACATTCACCAAGTCATTTTGTTTACTTTAAGGAACAAAAACTGTTGTTTCAATTGTACAAATCAACAAGATCTTCTTTACAGCCAGAAATACTCTGTTGAAATGTTATATTGTTATGTGGAAAAATGTAAATGTTTTTCATGATTTCTATGGATGTAAAATAAAATTTAATTCTGAAATAAATAAATAATATCTCATTTGACCAGTATTGTTGAAAAATAAAATATCCAAAAAGTGAACTTCTAGATCACTAAATCTTTTAAATGTCAAAATATGTATTCCTCTGTTTCCACTTTTACCATCCTTTAACATAATCGTCCTGCTTTTTTCCTAGTTCTAGTTAAGATTAGCATTCTTCCTGTCTCTCAAGTTAGGCTCCATTTGGCTGTATTATCTCTTAGATCCTTTATCCAATACGTTTTCTTTCTATAGAGCCCACTTCCTAAAAGTTCACGTTTGGTTTTGATTTCTCTTTTCCATTCCCACTATCAGCATCAGAGTTCATATATCACCTGAACTACTGCAGAATGTTTTGAACTCTTCTCAAAGTTGCCTGTTTTCAATTTGTCTTTAATACTATTGCCAGGTGAGGTGGCTCTCTGCCACAGCAGCCCAGTACCTTTGGGCCATACTTGCAATGCTTGGAGAATCTCTAACGCTATGGGCCCAGCCTTCCTCAGGTAGAATCAGAAATCTACCTTCTCCAGCTGCTCAGAAGAAATGGCAGAGGCATGAGATCCTGGCTCTATTAATTAGATTTATTCATGGTCCACTTGGATTCAGAAGTGAATAGAGGGAGGAAGGATGTTCCCTGTAGATTGTTTTGCTGGCTAATGTTGTGGAAAGAGGTTTGGTTCTGGCAAAAGAGTTATGGTAGCATTCGGTGACAGCAGCATCTCAGATGGCCATTTTCTGCAGAGTCAATTCTGAGCATGATTTGGGGTGTCATTCCTCAAAGCAGTCTTGAGCTTAGTTCTCAACTCTCCCACAGGTTCCATGAATCACCCAGTATCCATTCAGGAAAGTCAGCTGCATTTTCTTTCCTAGTAAATCCAGATTAACCTTTCTGAAAGGTAAGCCTGATTATACCACTTTTCTTCCTAAACTCCTGCAGGGCTCCCTAAAGCTTACATAAGAAAATCCAGAATTCATAACCTGGCATTTATAGGCCCATTGTCATTTAGGTTCCATTGACTTTTGTAGTCTTTTGCCTATCATTCTCCCATGCAGATCCTGTGATCTGGGCACACCAAACAACATGTAAGACCCTGTATGTATCTTTTATCTTTGGTGCTATACCTTTTGCCTGGATTGCCCTTAACCCCACTCCTGTATTCCCAGAGAATGCCTACTCCTCCTTCATGTCTTAGCTCACCCCGATCTTAATTCCTAAATCCCCTTGGAGGAGTTGTGTAATTTTTCCCTTTGTGTTCCGACCATATGTCTTGCAAATCTCTACTTTAATACCTATCACATTGCTGAAATTATTTGCTTAGATTTTGGCTTCATCTACCAGGATGTAAGCATCTCACAGGTAAGAATTAAGTGTTCTTCATCCTTGTAGGCCCACTCCCAGCACGGTTCCTGATATTCAATTTGAACTTTACACATTGTAAATGAATAGATGATTGAAGGAATTTACCCACTCCTTTTAGTTCATCATGCTTCACTTCTTTCAGAGTATCCCACTTACACCCTACCTAGTCTATTCAAGTCCTTTTTTAAGATTCCACAAAATCTCAGGGGATCTGACGTTTCTACTTCTTGCCTGCAAAGTCCTTCTTCCAGATGCTCTCCTGGAAACAGCTCCTCAGTTAACAAGGTTGTTTCAATGATCTCTTTTGTCGTAAGCATCTCTGTCCTCCCTCCTATACTGGTCAAACACAGTATATTTGACCACTACCTCTTTTGTGTCCAAAATGTCCCCTAAAGGGGTTTCGATTAGTCTCAAAAACAGTTTCTTAATCTTGTTCACACATTCTGTTTTTTTTTAAACTATACAATAAACTTTTGAGAGTAGTAACCATATCTTATTAATCTTCATATCCCCAGCACTAATCAGAACCTGGGAAATAAAAGAAGCTTAATAAAAGTGTGGCAAATTATTTAAATGTTGCTACCACACATTTTCTGGTAAAAGTGTTATTGTGGAAGTTTTTTTTTTTATTGTTCTTCTATCTTCTTTTCCTCTTGCCCTTTACTCTAAGTACTCTTTCATTAAAAGGGAATATATCTGATGTAAGTGGGGTTTGAAATATAGTTTTATAAGGGGATGAATGAATGGAGAGATAAATGGAAAGAATAAAATAATACCAAAAAGATGCTACTTTAAAAATTAGAAAGGGGAATGTAAACTGGTATAGCCACATGGGAAATACCATGAAGGTTCCTTAAAAATTAAAAATAGAATTACTATATGTCCAACAATCTTACTGGAAGGAAATAAAATCAGCATCCTGAAGTCATATCTGCACTGCCATGTTCATTTTAACATTATTTACAACAGCCAGGATATGGAAACAACCTAAGTATCCATCAGTGGATAGCTGGATAAGATAAAGAAATTGTGACACATATATACAGTGGAATATTATTCAGCTATAAATAGAAGGAAATCCTGCCATTTGTGATAACATGGACACAACTGGAGGACATTATGCTAAGTGAAATAAGCCCAAACCCAGAAAGACAAATACTGTATGATTGCACTTGTATGTGGAATCTAAAAAGGGTTGAGCTTAAAAACACAGAGAGTAGAATAATATGCCGGGGCTAGAGGAAGGTGAAAACGGAGAGATGTTGATCAAAGGGTATAAACAATTAGTTATAAGATAAGAAAAGTTCTGGGCATCTAGTATAGAGAATAGGTGGTGATGAATGTGTAATCACTTTGATTGTGGTAATCATTATACAATGTACACATATATTAAATCATCATGCCATACAGTTTGAATCTATTCAATCTTTATTTGACAACAAATATTTTAAGATAATAATTACAAGGGGCTGAAATCCAAAATCTGAACAGACTAAAAACAAGTAATGAGATTGAAACTGTAATAAAAATTCTTCCAGCAAAGAAAAGCTCAGGGCCCGGTAGCTTCCTGCCAAATTTTACCAAACATTTAAAGAGGACTAATACCAATCCTACTTAAACTGTTCTGTAAAATAGAGGACAGAATACTTCCAAATTCATTCTATGAGGCCAGAATTAACCTGATATCAAAACCAGACAAAGACACACCAAAAGAAGAAAGCTAATGAGGAACATTGATGCAAAAAATCATCAACAAAACATTAAAAATTCAAATTCAACAACACATTAAAATAACACTCATCATGACCAAGTACAATTTACTCCAGGGATACAAAATGAATCACATATGCAAATCATTCAAAGTGATACATTATATCAACAGAATGAAGGACAAAACCCATATGATCATTTCAGTTGGTGCTTAAAAAGCATTTGATAAAACTCAACATCCCTTAATGATAAAATTACTCAAAAAAACTGGGTGTTGAAGGAACATAGCTTAACAGAATAAAAACAATGTATAACAGACCCACAGGCTAGTGTCATACTGAATGGGGAAAAACAGAAAGCCTTTTTTCTAAGACCTGGAAGAAGAGAAGGATTCTCACTTTCACCACTCCATTGAACATAGTACTAGAAGTCTTAGCTAGAGTAGTCAAAAAAGAGAAACAAAAATAAAGAGTACTGATGTTGGAAAGGTAGAAGTCAAATTACCCTTGTTTGCTGATAATATGATGTTATATTTGGCAAAACCTAAAGATTCCACAAAAAACTATTAGAACTGATAAACAAATTCAGTAATGTGTCAGAATGCAAAATCAACATAAAAAATCAGTGACACTTCTATATGCCAACAGAACAATCTGAAAAAGAACTCAAGAAAGAAATCCCATTTACAATAGCTACAAATAAAGCAAAATACTTAGGAATAAAATTAACCAAAGAAGTGAAAGATCTCTACAGTGAAAATTATAAAACACTGATGCAAGAAATTGAAGAAAAAAATAACAGAAAGATATTCTGTGTTTGTGGATCCGAAGAATCAACATTGGTAAAATGTCCGTACTACTCAAAGCAATCTAAAGATTCAGTGCAATCCCTATCAAAATACCAATGACATTCTTCACAGAAATAGAAAAAAATAAACCCTAGAACCACAAAAGACCCAGAATAGCCAAAGCCATCCTCAAAAAAAAGGGTAACAAAATTGGAGGAATCACATTACCTGACTTCAAAGTATAGTACAGAGCTATAGTAACCAAAACAGCATGGTACTGGCATAAAAACAGATACATAGACCAATGGAAAAGAATAGAGAAATAAATCCATACATCTACAGTGAACTCATTTTTGACCAAAGTGTCAATCATATACATTGGGGAAAGGGCAGTCTTTTCGGTAGATGGTATGGGGAAAACTGGATATCCATATGAAGAATAATAAAATTAGACCAGTGTCTCTTGCCATATACAAAAGTAAAATCAAAATGAATTAAAGAGTTAAATCTAAGAACTCAAACTATAAAATTACCATACAAAAACATTGGGGACACTCTCCAGGACAATGGACTAGACAAGGATTTCTTGAGTAACACCCCTACCAGTGCAGGCAACCAAAACAAAAAGGAACAAATGGGACCACATCAAGTTAAAAACCTCTACATAGAAAAGGAAACAATCAACAAAATGACAAACTACAGAATACAGGAAGATATTTGCAAGCTCTTCATCTGACAAGAGATTAATAACCAGAATACTTAAGAAGCTCAAACAACTAAATAGGAAAGCAAATCTAGTAATCTAATTAAAAAATCGGCAAATGATCTGAATAAGCATTTCTCCAAAGAAGATATATAAATGGAAAACAGGTATGTGAAAAGGTGCTCAACATTATTGATCATCAGAGAAAGGCAAATCAATACTGCCATGAGATATCATCTCACCCCAGTTAAAACAACTTTTATTCAAAAGTCAGGCAATAACAAATGCTGGCAAGGATGTAGCTAAAAGAAAATCCTCATACACTGTTGGTGAGAATGTAATTTAGTGCAACCCCTATGGAGAATAGTTTAGAGATTCCTCATAAAACTACAAATAGAACTACTTTATGATCCAGCAATCCCACTGCCAGTTATATACCCAAAGATAGGAAATCAGTATATTGAAGAGATGTCTGCACTCCCATGTTTATTGTAGTGCTATTCACACTAGCCAAGATTTGAAACCAACGTAAGTGTCCATCAACAGATAAATGGATAAAGAAAAGTTGGTATCTATACACAATGGAGTTCTATTTGGCCATAAAAAGAAGGAGCTCCATGAGATCCTGTCATTTGAAACAAGTGAAATAAGCCAGGCATGGAAAGGCAAAGTTCACATGTTCTCATTTATTTGCGGGAGCTAAAAAATTAAAATAATTGAACTCATGGAGATAGAGAGTAAAATGATGGTTACCAGAGCCTGGAATGGGTGGTTGGGAGAAATAAGAATGGTTAGTGGGTACAAAAATATAATTAGATAGAACAAATAAGAACTAGTTTTTTAGGCCAAGCACAGTGGCTCATTCCTATACCAGCACTTTGGGAGGCTCAGGCAGACAGATCACTCAAGGCCAGGAGTTCAAGACCAGCTTGGCCAACCTGGCAAAACCTTGTCTTTACAAAAAATGCAAAAATTAGCTGAGAGTGGTGGTGCATGCCTATAATCCCAGCTACTTGGGAGGCTGAGGCGGGAGAATCACTAGAACCCAGGAGGCAGAGGTTGCAGTGAGCCGAGATCGTACCACTGCAGTCCAGCCTGGGCAACAGAGTAAGACCCTGTCTCAAAATAATAATAATAATTATTATTATTATTATCTAGTCTTTGATTGCACCACAGAGTGACTATAGTCAACACTAATTTATTGTACATTTAAGAATAATGTGTAAAGCAGATCACCTTTCCCAATGTGGTTGGGCACCAACTAAGCCACTGAGGACCCGAAGAGAACAAAAAGGTGGAAGAGGGAAGAATTTTCTCTCTGCCTGACTGTGTGAGCTAGGACATTGGTGTCTTAGTTCAAGCTGCTATAACAAAATACTATAGACTGAATTGCTTAAATAACAGAAATTTATCACATTTCTGGAGGCTAGAAAGTATAAGATTAAGGTGCCAGGAGATCCAGTGTCTGGTGAGGGCTACCTTCCTGGTTTTTAGATGGCTGTCTTCTCATTGTATCCTCGTGTGGTAGAAAGGAAAGAACACACACTCTAGCATCTTTTAATAAGGGCACCAATCCTATTTATGAGATCTCTACCTCATGACCTTATATTACCTCCCAAAGGCCTTACTTCTTAATACCATTACATTGGAGGTGAGGAGCTTAACAAATGAATATTAGGGGGACACAAATATTCAGTCCATAGGCATCAGTCTCCTCTTGTCCTTAGACTGGAATTTTACCAGCAGAACTACTGGTTCTAAGGCCTTCAAACTTGGACTAGAATTTATATCAATTCTCCTGGTACTCTGGCCTTCAAACTCAGACTGGAATTACATCACTTGCTTTCCTTGGTCTCCAGCCAGCTTGCAGATCATGGGATTTCCCATCCTCCATAATCGTGTGAGCCAATTAATTCCTTACAATAAATCTAAATCTTTCTCTCTCTCTCCTCTCCTCCCCCATATCTTATTGTTTCTCTGAAGACCCTTTTTCTAATACAACCCCCTTTAAGTCTTTTTGAAATCCTTAAATACTTATTTGTTTAAATTACTTTTATATTTAACTTTCCAAAGCTCCAATCTTAGCATAACTTATACAGTCCAAAGGTGGCAAGGGTTAGCTAGGATGTGGAGAAAGGGCAATACTGCTGGTAGAAATGTAAATTGGTACAATCAATATGGAAAACAGTATGGAGTTTCTTCAAAAAATTAAAAATAGAACTACTGTATGATTCAGCAAACCCACTTCTGGGTATATATCCAAGGGAAATGAAATCAGTATCTTGAAGAGTTATCTGTACTCTTATCTTTATTTTAGCATTATTCACCAGAACCAAGATATAGAAATAACCAAAATGTCTGTTGATAGATAAATGGATAAAGAAATTGTGGTGCATATATATAATAGAATATCATTCATCCTTGAAATGTAGGAAATCCTGCCATTTTGACAACATACATAAACCTGGAGGACATTATGCTAAGTGAAATAAGCCAGGCACACAAAGACAAATACTGCATCTTCTCACTTATATATGGAATCTAAAAGTCAAATTCACTGAAGCATAGAGTAGAATGGTAGTGCTACGGGCTGAAGAGAAAAATGAGTAGATGTTTTGATCAAGGGGCACAAGATTTATTATGCAGGACGAATAAGTTCTGTACATCTAATATACAACAATGTGACTATAGTTAACAATACTGTATTGTATACTTGATAGTTGCTAAAAGGCTAGATTTTAAGAGTTCTTACTACAAAAAAGCAAAGCAAAGCAAAGAAAAATGATAACTGCGAGGTGATGAATATGTTAATTAACTTGTGATGATTATTTCACAATGTATATTTATATCAAAACATCAAGTTGAGTACCTTAAATATATACAGCTTTTATTTATTAATTGTACCTCAATAAATCTGGAAGAAAAACTATACCCTGTTCTCATGATATTTTTTTTGGAGAATAAATTTGTATTTTTCAAAATATGTTATTTATGATAACATGTAATGAAGTTACTACTTTTGGTTTTAAACAAATTGCTAAACATTTAAATTTTGTTTCAATTTTATATTCCAATACAGTGATTACTAGAAAACAATTTTCATGTAAGAGTGTAATGATTCTTAGAAGTAAATGTTTGTGAACTGCTGATAAGGCGTTTGATACTTTGCAAATAATTCCACATTTATTATGTAATTTTGAGTAGTTTTATCTTTTATTAAATCAAGACATGAATCACATACTGTAATATTCACCTCTTTAATCTGTACAATTCAATTGTTTTTAGTATACTCACAAAGTTTTACAATCATCACCACTATCAAATTCCAGAACTTTTCATAACCCAAAAATAAACCTTGTTACTCATCAGCAGTTACTCCCCCTATCCCTCTTTCCCGAGCCCCTGGAAACTGCTCATCCACTTTCTGTCTCTGTGGATTGACCTATACTAAACGTTTCATATTAATGGAATCATACAATATGTGGCCTTTGTGTCTGGCTTGTCTTGGCACAAGGTTTTTAAGGTTTATCCATGTTGTAGCATGTATCAGAATTTCATTCCCTTTTATGGCTGAATATTTTATTGCACAAAAAGACCACATTTGTTTATCCATTCATTAATTGAGGGACATTTGGATTGTTTCCAGTTTTTGATGCTATTATGAAAAATGCTGCTATGAACATTCATATACAAGTTGTTGTGTATACAGATATGTTTTATTTCCCTTGGGTATATACCTAAGAGCAAAATCGCTAGGTTATAGTATAACTTTATGTTTAACTTTTTGACAAACTGCCAAACTGTTTTCCAAAGAGGCTGCATAATTTTTTGTTCACAAGCAATGTATGAGAATTCAATTTCTCCATGTATTAGTCCTTTTTCATGCTGCTGATAAAGACATATCTGAGACTGGGCAATTTACAAAAGGAAGAGGTTTATTGGACTCACAGTTCCATGTGGCTGGGGAGGCTGCCTTCATGGCAGAAGGCAGGAGAAGCAAGTCACATCTTACATAGATGGCAGCAGGCAAAGAGAAAGAGCTTACGCAGGGGAACTTCCATTTTTAAAGCCATCAGATCTCGTGAGACTTATTCACTATCACAAGAACAGCATGGGAAAGACCCACCCCCATGATTCAATTACCTCCTACCAGATTCCTCCTATGACACAGGGGAATTCTAGGAGTTACAATTCAAGATGAGATTTGGGCGGGAACACAGCCAAACCATATCACTCTACATCCTTGCAAACACTTGTTATTGTCTGTTTTTTTCATTTCAGGCATTTCAGTGGGCATGAAGAAGTATCTCACTGTGGTTTTGATTTGTATCTCCCTTATGGCTAATGAGCTTGAGAATCTTTTCTGGACTTATTGGCCATTTGTGTATCTCTATAGAAATGTCTGCTAAGATCTTTTGCCTATTAAAAATTGTTTTTTATATTACTCAGTTGTAATTGTTTTTATATGTATTACAAATACTAGACCCTTATCAGATATAAGATTTGTAAATATTTTCTCTCATTTTTCAGGCTCATGTTTCGCTTTCTTGATTGTGTCTTTGAAGCTCAAAAGCTTTTAATTTTAATGAGGTCTAATTTGTCTAGTTTTTCTTTGGTTACTTATGTTTTGGGGTCATATCTAAAAAAAGAATGCCAAATTTAAGGTCACAAAGATTTAAATCTATGTTTCTTCTATGAGTTTTATAGTTTTGTCTCTTACCTTTAGGCCTTTGTTCCATTGTGAGTTAATTTTTGTATATAGTGTGAGGCAGGGGTTCCATTTCACTTTTTGCCCGTGAATTATCCAGTTGTCCCAGTGCAATTTGTTGAAAAGACTATTCTTTCCCCCATTGAATTGTCTTGGCCCCCTTAACAGAGTAGTTTTACTTCTGCCTCAATTTTTCTTACTTCCAAGTTAGTCTTGACTAATTATGTCTTTTGCCCAAGTTCAAAGAACACATTCTCAAACAAAGAAGTAGCTCCCAGGTAATTAGAGAAAATATTTGTCAACGAAGTCAATTATGGGAAATGTTTTAACTCAATGTCTATTAAAACATCTTCTGGGATAATCAGTCACAGCAAGCTACTGGCTTTGTAAGAATATGAATAATTCTGTGTAAAAATTAACTTAAAGTTTCCCTTATCTTATGTAGAGTGGATTTTCTAAGGTCCTATTAGTGGGTTGTGCTAAAAACTGTCTGATGCAGCAAATTTTTTGACTACTGCTTGGATTGGCCTCAGGTAGTTTCTTTTATTTTTTTTTAACAGTGTTTTTTTTTTTTTTTTGGAGAAGTGTAGCCACAAAGATTAGAAATGCATTGCTGCAAAGAAATACCTGAAGCTGGGTAACTAATAAAGAAAAGAGGTTTATTTGGCTCATTGTCCTGCATTCTGTACAAAAAGCATGGTGTCAGCATTTACTTCTGATAGGGGCCTCAAGAAGGTTCTAATCATGGCAGAAGGCAAAGGGGAGCCAGCTTGTCACATGGTAAGAGAGGGAGCAAGATAGAGAGGAAGGAGGTGCCAGGCTCTTTCAAACAACCAGATCTCATGCGAACTCATGGAATGATAAGTCACTCATTACCATGAGACCAGTGCCAAGCCATTCATGAGGTATCTGCCCCCATAATCCAAACACCTCCTACTAGGTCCACTTCCAACAATGGGGGTCACAGTTCAACCTGAGATATAAAGGTGACAAAACATCCAAACTATATAACTAGTTAACAGCTAAAGAGCATCTCCCAATATGAAAGTTTACCTGTTAGCTATTATAAGAATACATTTGCTGAGCTAATGAAACTAGGCAGCAAGGAGCAAGGTTAAGATGAAAAGAGGCTTTCAGACTTTCATGAGGCTTTCAGGCTTTCAGACCAAGGGACCATAACATCACAACAAGAGATAAAAATTAAGCAATAGTTTTTTATTTTATTATATATATATTTTTAAGGAACTTGTGGGATAGGAGAATAGCAGATAATTGCCATGAATGTTTTAGGTATGGAGAGAATATTGATATTAGATTAAATTAAACTTATAATAAAATAAAATAACTCTCAAATATGTGCCATCATTTGGGGGAAGAGATGTAAAGAAGGATTATATTTTTCTTAAAAGGGGGAAATGAAGTCTGTCAATCCAACTAACATTTCTTAACAATGGTTTGGATGGTAAGGCTTTTGGTAGAACTGCAGTGTGTGAAGGCAAAGTCCCTCTATTCCCTGCCAAATTGTTTTATCAGAGTCACTTTCAAATGGATTGAGGCAGAGTAATGCAGATTATGGAGATAGGGTAAGCACTATGACTGCTTAGCAGCTACACTGTCACATAAAGGAATAGAAAGAAGGGCTGAAAAGTGTTTTTACACACATTCAAGTTTGCTCTATTTACAGCTGTGATGGTATAGTTAGAAGATGAATGTGAGTTGCTCAATAGGTTTCTTCAGAATTGGAGTTTAATAAAAAATATTTGCATATTCTGAAAAAGTTGATTCAGCCTTGGCTTCCAAAGTTGTTTTGAGCTGTATTTTTTTTAATTTGTCTTTATATGTCTTAGAGAAGGTAACTGAGAATCAGATTGGTAACCAGGTGCTTTCTAAATTCCATTTTCTCTAACGTTTTACAATCCTTCTGTATTAGTCCATTTTAATGCTGCTGATAAAAACATACCTGAGATGGGGCAATTTACAAAAAAAAAAAAAAAAAGAGGTTTAATGAACTTACAGTTCCACATGTTAACATTTTGGTTAAAACCATTCAACAAGTCCTAGGGAGCTCCAAACATTCCCACATTTTCCTGTCTTCTTCTGAGCCCTCCAAGCCATTCCAGCCTCTTCCTGTTACCCAGTTCCAAAGTCGCTTCCATATTTTTGGGTATCTTTTCAGCAGTACCCCACTCCTGGTACCAATTTACTGTGTCAGTGCATTTTCACGCTTCTGATAAAGACATACCCAAGACTGGGCAATTTACAAAAGAAAGAGGTTTAACTTACAGTTCCACGTGGCTAGGGAGGCCTCACAATCATGGTGGATGGTGAGAAGCACTTTTTACATGGTGGCACCGAGAGAGAAAACTTGTGCAGGGAAACTCCCCTTTTAAAGCCATCAGATCTTGTGAGACTTATTCACTATCACGAGAATAGCATGGGGAAGACCTGCCCCCATGATTCAATTACCTCCTACCAGGTCCCTCCCACAACATGTGGGAATTCAAGATGAGATTTGGATGGGAACACAGCCAAACCATAGCACCTTCCATCATAGATATATGCAAAGAAAATGTCCTCTCTTCCTGTTCCCTATGTATGTCAGTTGTTAAAGTGAATATCATACTGAGAGTAACAGTCAAGAAAGGAGGACTTCAGAGCAGGTGTCTAGCTGTTGGGAAAGTCACCTGAAAAAGGTTTAAAGTCTGTGTCAAGCATGGTAAAATAGAAGAAACACTGGCTTGGGAATCAGAAAGATGAGATCTCAGACCAGCCCAATAATTTGGGGAGAAACTTTAAACCTACCCCAAATTCTAAAATCTAGGCTTCATAGCTTGGAGAAACCACCCATTCCTATGGTTCAAAGAGTCAATGAAACAATGTCTACAAAAATACCCAATTGTATTCATCAGTTCTGGCACTGCTATAAAGAAACACCTGAGACTGGGTAACTTATTAAAAAAAAAAAAAAGAGGATCATGGTTCTGCAGGCTGTACAGGTAGCATGACTGAGGAGGCCTCAGGAAACTTTCAGTCATGGTGGAAGGTGAAGGGGAAGCAAGTATGGCTTAAATGGCTGGAGCAGGAGGGAGAGAAGAGGGGGATGTGCTACACACTTTTAAACAATCAGATCTTGCAATAACTCACCCATCATCATGAGAATAGCACCAAAGGGGAAATCCACCCCCATGATCCAATCACCTCCCACCAACATTGAGGATTACAATTTGACATGAGATTTGGGCAAGGACATGGACCCAAACCATATCACCAAGAATCTATGAAACACCAGTACCCATGAGATATTATCAAAAATAAGCTTTTCAGATTTGCTAAGAAAATAAGGTCAATATCAATGACCACTTTTATTAATCAGGGTTCTCTAGAGGGAAAGAACTAATGGAATATGTGTATATATATTATATATATAATATGTGTATATATATTATATATATAATATGTGTATATATATATTATATATAATATGTGTATATTATATATATAATATGTGTATATATATTATATATATAATATGTGTATATTATATATAATATGTGTATATATATTATATATATGTGTATATTATATATATAATATGCGTATATATATTATATATATAATATGCGTATATATATTATATATATAATACGCATATATATATTATATATATGCGTATATATATTATATATATAATATGTGCGTATATATCATATATATAATATGTGTGCATATATTATATATATAATATGTGTATATATATTATATATATGCGTATATATATTATATATAATATGTGTACATATTATATATGCGTATATATTATATATAATGCGTATATATATTATATATATAATATGTGCATATACATTATATATATAATATGTGTATATACATTATATATAATATGTGCATATACATTTATATATAATATGTGTGTATATATTATATATATAATATGTGTATACATATCATACACTTGTGTATATCTTATTATATATAATCTGTGTACTATATTATATATGTGTATATATTATATATAATGTGTATATATATTATATATATAATATGTCTATATACATTATATATATAATATGTGTACATCTCTCTATATATAATATGTGTATATACATTATATATATAATATGTGTATATATATTATATATATAATATGTGTATATATATTATATATATAATATGTGTATATATATTATATATATAGTATGTGTATATATATTATATATATAGTATGTGTATATATATTATATATATAGTATGTGTATATATATTATATATATAGTATGTGTATATATATTATATATATAGTATGTGTATATATATTATATATATAGTATGTGTATATATATTATATATAATATGTGTATATATTATATATAATATGTGTATATATATTATATATGTGTATATATATTATATATATGTGTATATATTATATATAATATGTGTATATATATTATATATAACATGTGTATATATTATATATATATGTGTATATATATTATATATATGATATGTGTATATATATTATATATATGTGTATATATATTATATATGTGTATATATATTATATATAATATGTGTATATATATAGATATGTGTGTATATATTATATATGTGTGTATATATTATATATAATATGTGTGTATATATTATATATATAATATGTGTGTATATATTATATATAATATGTGTGTATATATTATATATATAATATGTGTGTATATATTATATATAATAGGTGTGTATATATTATATATAATATGTGTGTATACAATATATATATAATATGTGTGTATATATTATATATAATATGTGTGTATATATTATATATATAATATGTGCGTATATTATATATGTAATATGTGTGTATATATTATATATATGTGTGTATATATTATATATATGTGTGCATATATTATATATATGTGTGTATATATTATATATATAATATGTGTGTATATATTATATATATAATATGTGTGTATATATTATATATAATATGTGTGTATATATTATATATAATATGTGTGTATATATTATATATATGTGTGTATATATTATATATGTGTGTATATATTATATATGTGTATATATTATATATGTGTATATATAATATGTGTATATATAATATATATAATATGTGTATATATAATATATATAATATGTGTATATATTATATATAATATGTGTATATATAATATATATGTGTATATATATTATATACATATATTATATATGGGAGTTTATTAAGTATTAACTCACACAATCACAAGATACCACAACAGGCCATGTGCAGGCTGAGGAGCAGCAACAGCCAGTCTGAGTTCCAGAACTGAAGAACTTGGAGTCTGATATTCGAGGGCAGGAAACATCAAGCATAGGAGAAAGATGTAGGCTGGGAGGCTAGGCCAGTCTCTCTTTTCACATTTTTCTGCCTGCTTTTTATTCTAGCTGTGCTGGCAGCTGATTAGATTGTGCTCACCCAGATTAAGGGTGAGTCTGCCTTTCCCAGCCCAGTGACTCAAATGTTAATCTCTTTTGGTGACACCCTCATACATGCACCCAGGATCAATACTTTGTGTCCTTCAATCCAGTCAAGTTGACACTCAGTACTATCCATCACACCACTGTAGTAGTCTGGATATTTGATTGAATGCTTAATTAAATAAAATCAATTACATTCTTGCCTTATCTTATTCCTAAAAATATCTAAGAGCATTCAAAGGGTACACACAATGCAGAATAAAATAAATAAAAATAAGTTGGGAGAATAAAGGTAAAGGGCAAAAAGTGTAGAAAGACAAAGTCAGAAGTGAAATCAGCACTCAGATGCAGGCCACAGGACCCTTCAAATGAACAGAGATGGACAAAATCTCTTAGCTCTCAGTTTCAGGCAGCCAGTTTGAGAAGGGAATTCACCCATGTCGTGATTCACAAGGTACCCAGCAAAACCCCTAGTAGCCGTATAGGGAACCTTATCTCTGTGGATCTTCAGAGAGGGGACTTTGTAACAGAGTGAATAGTCTTCTCAACAACACCCATATAGAAAACCCAGAGCCATACAGCTGTTTTGAAAGTCACCATTCTAAAAACTTTATGTGTATTTTCCCACTCAGATTCAAACAACCTTGTGAACTAGGTCAATTTTTATCTCCATTTGAAGGGAAGAAAATTTGGACACAGCGTATTAGTCCATTTTCACACTGCTATAAAGGTACTACCCGAGATAGGGTAATTTATAAACAAAAGAGGTTTAATTGACTCACAGTTCTGCATAGCTCGGAGGCCTCAGGAAACTTACAATCATGGCAGAAGGGGAAGCAGGCACCTTCTTCACAAAGTGGCGGGAGAGAGAAGAGTGTATAGGGAAGAGCCCCTTATAAAACCAACAGCTCTTGCGAGAACTCACTCACTCTCACGAAAATAGCAAGGGAGAAAACCACTCCCATGATCTAATTACCTCCCACTGAGTTTCTCCCTCAACACGTGGGGATTATGGGGATTACAATTCAAATAAGATCTGGGTGGGGACACAGATACAAACCATACCAGAGAGGTTAGATGACTGGCGCCAGCTACCACATTCAGTAAATGATGAAGGTGGAATTCAAACACAGGCATTCCAGAGCTTATCCTTCAAAGTGAGTCAAATTATTCAGGAAAAACTATTTCATAAGAGTCATGCAAGACCACCCATGGAAGTAGCTCTGTAGTGCTGTGGCTTAATTTGTGAATATAACAGAAATTCTCAAACTTCAACATACACAGGAATCTCTTTCATAGTTAACAAAGCTGCACAGGGGATTTTAATTATGGTAGACCATTTGAAAACCTCAACTAGAGCAGTGATTTTTCTAACATTAGAATGAATTAGAGTCACCTGGAAGGCTTGTTAAATCAGCGATTCCTGCCCTCCTGACCCCTCCTCGAAGTTTCTGATTCAATACACCTCATGGGGCCTGAGATTTACATTTCTGACAGATCCCCAGGTGATATTCATGCTGTTGATGTTGATGAAGGCCGTTGACCACAGCCTTCGGGCAATCATCATTAGTGATGTTCTAAACAGGATTAAGTATTGGTTGATAAACAGTGAATATAAAATTTTAAATTAAATTAAAATTTTATTTTCTGAGAAATATATGGTTCCATCTTTTGTTATTGGGACAAACGCTAAAAAATAGACTCAGTCCTGATGCACACTATGTGGCTTGTAGACATATGTAGGCATTCTGCTTTTATAAGATTGGTGCAAAAGTAATTGCATTTTTGCCATTACTTTTAATGGCAAAGACCGCAATTACTTTTGCACCAACCTAATATAAGCTAAAAATAAAATCCTAAGCCCTTCAGCCAACTGAATGGACACCTCTCTTGGCCAAGGGGACCCCAGAGAAACCTTAAATACTGAGTTTCTGGCCATGCCTGCACAGGAGGTCAGGCACACCTCATTATACCCACTCCCTTTTGCAATTTAGACACAAAAACTGACCAGCATTAACATTAAAATAAAGATCGTAAGACTAGCAGAATAGATTCTTTGTGGCAATAAGATACCAAATCATAAACATGACCTAAGGCCATGCCATGCAAGAGTTAAGTCATGCACCCCTGAACTTAAAGAATAAACTGTGTTCTAACTGCTACATGGTTTTTCTTTTGCTTTATCAGCTAAACAAGCACTGACCTTGAGATAAGCAATATTGAAAGAATTGCAGCTCACTGCCAGATGATGACTAACCGACACCCTGTTCCACAACCCGTAACAACAGCTTTGATCTAACAAGGTACTGATTCCTGCAACTTTCCAGTGATAAGAGACGGCAAACCAAGGACTGGTTCTGGCCAGTTTACACACTTGAGTGTCTTCATGTCTCTACTTCATCTTTTGACCTATAGGGCCTACTTTTAATACATTTAAATGTTAAGTCTCCTAATGGGTCCTATGTAACATGTATGTTTATTCAATACATATGCATTAGGACCACCTTCATGAATATTCACAGCTCCTCCTGTAACCTGTTGAATATGTATACTTGGCCAAGATATTCAACGTAAATCCCTGTTCCACCCTTCCTTCCCTTGAAGTGCCTGCTAATGACTTTGACTGGAGGTTATGCTTCTTAGCCTGTAAGAATGTCCAACTTGCAGGCTGTAACCCTTTATAAGAAATAATGTCTCCTTTCTAAATTTATAAATTGTGTGATTTTTAAGTGAACACTTTCAAGATATTGGATTATACTATCTGACATAAAGTCTTATTCAACTGTTACACAGCATGGAAGTCACTTCCCACTCCAAGCAGTTTATCAATATATTCTTTCCAGCCACAGAGAAGCCTCTCCCTAAAGACATTTTCATTAGTATTTATTTCTACACATTGCAAAATATTTTGAATGATGAATAGGAATTTTATACATGGACAAAGCTTGGAAGAATGTCTCAGGCAGAAGGCAGAGGCTTGGAAGTGTAAGAACACATGTTTTGTTTAGGATTGGTTTGGTTTTTTTGGGTAGGGTCTGTTTTATAGACAAGCATGAAGTGTGATGCAGGCTGGTGTAGAGAAAAGAGGCTGATGATATAGGCTGGCATTAGAGTCTGTAGGGTCTTTTAAATTATGGAGAAAGATTGGACTCTCTCCTTTCCCAAGTGGAGAGCTCTTGATATGTCTGAACAGGAGTGACACGTTCTGTTTCATTTGAGAAGAGCCCTCTGGTGGCATTGTGGAGCATTCAGCATTGTGGAAGTTGTCAGGAATGGATACAGAGACCAGTTAGGAGACCCTCGAAATAGTGAGAGATGGTGAGAGCCTGAACAAAAACAGTGGTCATGGGGATGAAGGAGATGACAGACATTCAAAGGCAAGTAAAATCGAGAGCACTTAAGGATGGAAGGAGGGAGGGGTGTGAGCAAGAGGAAAGAACCAATGTAATGTTCACATCTCTGGTTGATGGGGGCTGGGTACCTTCTTGGTGCTATGACCAGGTGATCATATATTCCAGTTTGCCTAGGACTTTCCTAATTTTAACACTGAAAGTCCGGTGTTCCAGAAAACTCACAGTCCTGGGTAAATTAGCACAGTTTGCCACCCTAGTGATGAAACTGATATCCTGGTCCCTGAGATCACTACCAGGCCCTTCCATGGCCGCTAAACTGCCCTCTACGCCCTTCTCTGCCAAGTTTTCTAAATTAATGCATTTGTACCCTAGACTCAGTTCCTGATCCAAGAACAGATTACCCACTGGTCAGGACAGCTGCTTGACTCTAGTACAATCATCTAGGGTGCAGTACCTCTACATAGCTCCCTCCTTTCAGTGTCTGCACCCTCTCTCTCACATTCTGGCCAGAAATATCCAACAAGACAAGCTTCTCAGAAGTATCTCTAGCCCCTCTGACTTTAAATATCCTTACTTCTGGAGTCTTGTGCTCTGTGTCCTCCTCATTAGTTGGCAACAAATTATGGTGCATATATGAAGCCAGAATTAGCAGAGTTAGAGAAAGAAGAACACTAGCTTTGGAGTCAAACAGATCTGAATCTGGACTTTGAGTGAGTGAACTCAAGCAAGGTACTTAACCTCTTGAAGCTTCATCTATAAACATGAGATCGTTGTTGGAAATCAATAATATGATGGATACAGAATGCTAGCCATTCATCATTTGATTTTTTTCTTTCTTAGGTCTTTATAATTTTAGATGTTGCCTTTTTCCCCTCAGGAAAGAGTCTGAGATTAATTCATTGTCTCAGCCTTAGTCCTTCCAAATCCACACTCCTTCTTTTCTCAGCAGCTTCTACTGAGACCCCTGGATGTCTGTTGCTGCATCTGCCCAGGACATAACATTCCTGTAGGAGAAAGAAGATTGATCGGGAGGAAATATATTAGTAGTTTCCAATACTGCTATGGTCACACTAACTCCATATATGTTTTGCTGAGTGTCTGATTATGGAATCATACATGCATTCACCCATGTTTTGTTCTGATGCCATTTCCTTTCTGGAAAATATAGTTCTAATTTTTGAATAAATTATTGAAGGATAATTCTTCTTTCTTTGGAGAAATCAATGATACAGTAACTATAATTGCTAATTCTTCTTACTCAGACAAATGCATATTTCAAAGTATAAAGGAAGAATTGGTTGGTGAAGCTGAAAGTAACTTATGCCTTAAAAAACTGTTTATGTCCTTTTTAGTATTTATGCTAGTCAAGGTGTAGAAAGCTTCATATAATCAGCTGAATAACCTAAACTTCTGGAAGGTAGACTTTAAATATTTTATTGGAAATGTGGTTTTGTGTTCCAAGACAGGAGATGGGTAAACAGCATCTTGGCAGTCAACACCATAAGTGTTATTACTATTAACTCTGTATCAGTGAGTTAGATGTCAAACTTGGGGCAGATTCTAGAATGGATTACTGAAAGGAGACAATTCTGTAGACCCAAGTGTGAAAAGGTAAATATCTTGGGTCCCCAAAATCACTAAGGAGAACTGAAGCTGGAAATTGCTTAGGGAAAACCTGCCTCCCATTCTATTCCAAGTTATCCCTCTGCTTCCTGAGATAGATGCATATCTGATTACCTCCTTTGGAAACCATAGTCAGAAACTCAAAAGAATGTGATAGTTTGTGTCTCACCTACCTGTGACCTGGAAGCTCTCTCCCTGCTTAGAGTCTTCCTGCCTTTGCTTCAAGTTGTCCAGCCTTTCCAGACTGAACCAATGTCCTTCTTATATATATTGATTGATGTCCCATGTCCCAAGCTGTGTGTTGACCACCTTGGGTACATGTCATCAGGACTTCCTGAGGCTGTGTCATGGGCATGTCCTCAACCTTGGCAAACTAAACTTTCTAAATTAACTGAGACCTGTCTCAGACTTTTTTGGGTTCACACAAGTTAATAGTAGTACCCAAAAGCTTTCTAGTAAAAGAATTTCAACTTGAAAGAACATACTTGAAGAAGGGAACCTGTTGAGTATAATATCAATGATTTTAGATTAAAATGTAGAGGACACTATTACTAAATATGTGCATAGCATACATGTGATAAATAAGTCCTGGCAATTCAAAGCATATGTACAAACCTAACAAGATGAAAACAAGAAAAATATGCCATATTTATCATTATGACAACATAGAAATTACTTAGCTTTAATACATAAAACATATTTTTGAATGTTTATTGAATAATAAGCTCAATATGTTTCTGCGATGTAAAAAAGCTCATGCAATTTTGCCTGCATTGTTAGAAGAATCATGTCCAGAACCAAGGAGGTGTCAGTCTACTCCTGCTTTTTGCTGCCAAACAGAATCTGAAATAGAACATTCAACTCAGGAACTCAGCCAGAGTCAGAGAGATGAGTGCCCAGGATAGTGAAGAGACTTAACATTTGAGACATGAGGAATAGCTGAAGCAAATGGAAATGGGAAGACTTCAGGTATATACAGGCTGTCACATGGAAGAGAAGTTGAAGTTCTCCCTCTCATGGTCCCAAGAAGCAGAATTAGAACAGTAGATGAAGCCACAAGAAGCCAAATTTTGTCCAATGGCAGAGGGAAAGGAAGTCTAACAGAGAGGAAAGCAGGTATTTAAATATGAAATGAGGAGAAATGAGTCATCCATCAGCAGAGGTATTGAGAAAGAATGGGCTCTTTGGCATGGATATTACATGGAGGTCTAGATCAATTTTCCAAACCAAAGTTACTGTGGTTCTCAGAAAGTCACCCCAGGCCAAGACTCTTGCCATGAGAACTTGTAATTATTTTAGGGACTATGAAAATGGAGATTGTTATGCAAAATAACAGAGCATTCACAATTAATTGCCTCCAATTGCATTTGTCTTATGCTCTACTAAGTCACTTGGAGTTCTTTGCTGTGAATAGGCTCTCTTTCCCTTGTAGAGGCACAGTATTTTATTCATATCAATTCATTCACTAGAAAAATCTGTATTTGGGTCCATTTTAGTAACCTCATTTCTTTTAAAACCTCCCAGAGATCAAACTACTCACTATCATTCGTTTATCTGGGACAAAAGTATAAATCAAGCTGTGTCCTCCTGGCCTATCTGCCAATTAATGTGGTTTAATTGTACAATGATATAAGTTGAGAAGAAAATATTGTTCTGAAAAATGTATCTTTTAGAATCAATGATAAGGAAAATGGATAAAAATGTAAGTATAAATGACTTAGAGTAAATGTTGGTGTGTTTCTTCATGAGGTTGTAAGGCACACATTTTCTTTAAATACTGAATTTTCTTCATAAGCAACCAGTTTGAACCAAAAGCCACCAACCTCATATAATAAAAGAAGCCAACTGGTGAAGAACAGTGAATGCTGTAGCTATGCCAAAGAAAATTATTGTGAGAGGGCAGCCTGGCTAACATCTTATATTCATGTTAATAACATATTGTCAGCTAGTCTATGCTTAGGTAAAAAAAAATTCCAAAGATGGGTCAGCCTGACAGGAAACTGGATTGTGTCAATGTCATTTACTACACTTAAAATAAGTTCACCATTAGAATTATGTTAACGCTTTATCTTTTCATTGTTATCAGGGACATGAGATGCTCCAAAGAGACAATATTTTTGGTGGTAAAAATGGCAGGAGGAATATCAGGGTTTTTTTTTTTTTCTGAAAGAGAAAAATTAACACATTTGGCCATGAGCAACAGTGAATTTGTAGCAGAACTGAGATGACTGAGAAAACGTTTCCCTCATTAATTTCTTTAAACTTGTTTTTTTTCTAGCTGTACTCAAAAGCAGTTGCTGATTAGCTAGTCTGAGTTCCATGGAAGCCTTCTGACTTGACAGGGGGAGTGGACACTTGGATCAGCTGGGATTCTAGGGTATTTCTCCATGATCCATTTCTATGGATTTCCGTTTCTAAGAGTCCTAGAATCACAGCAGTCACTACCCAAGTGCTGACTTAATAAATGCCATATCCAGGGGTCCTGGGTTCACCTCTGAATATGCTAAACATTTTCACAAGGATTACAGTACAGTTGCCTGTGTCAAGACATGACTGTGACACGAGGTGGCTGTGCAGGGGAGGGTGACACAAGCAGGAAGAGGAGTGGAACAAACAGTGTTCTAGATATCTGAGAGTAGTTTTACTCAGCTTCCCTTTTCTAATAGTTTGTTAAGTGTCCTGGAATGTCCTTTCGCTTCCCTTCTCTACATTCCCAGCTCCCTGAATTTTCCTCTTTCACCTCCCAGAGAACCCAAGATTAAAATGAGATAAGGCTCAGCCAAGATAAAATTATTCCTCCCCAACCTGATGGAGGTTGTGGCCAGTGGTGTCTTGGCTTCAGAGCTGACATATTCTGGCAGGTGCTGTTATTGCTAGAGGGAGGTCTTCCTGTTTAGGAATTTGCTTTCCTTCTCAGTTCATGAGCATTCAGGTCTTCACCTTGTAGGACACAGTTCAATCTTCATCTATTCAGTTAGTCATTTACTTCATTACACTGGAAGAATAATTATTGAAACTGTGGTTAATAATAAATGACGTTAATTTAAGTTTTTAGGGACTTGTATATAAATCTACAGTCTCTAGGGTAGATTATTCTACCTTAGCTAATTATTTTATCCTTTATCTTAGGAAATGAAAGTAAAAATTGATATAGTTAATTGACATCAGCCTGGAAATTTTACTATATACACAATCTACATGCTTTTCTTTCATCAAGAAGACTCAACATCTTAAGGAAGGGAGAGGTGAGCAGAAAAAGAAATAAAACTCTAAAAAGTGCTAATGTAAATGACTACAGGATGCTACTGAGGAAAAAAGATCATCTTAGTTTTAACAGTATCTAAAATGTTTGGGGATTCAGCTCACATATGGCACTCAAAGAGTATACCCTTCACAGCGCAGTGCTTGTAAGTCATGCAATTTATGTAGGTAACCAGAGTATACAATTAAGGGTACACTATGAGTGAGTTTTTGAATTAAGGGCTAGTCACAGCTTAAGAACAAATGAATGTTGGGAGAAAATCTGGCTTACATTTTTTGACCAATAATCCCAACAATAGCAATTGAATAAACCTGGCATGCACTTTGAACTCTAAAAACCCTAAGAGTGAAAATAGAAATACATAATTGAAGCAAATGCACTGTCTTTTTGTATACAAATGCACCTGGCTGTTTTTGCCAGCAAAGTAAAAGTGTATACTGAGTATATACACTTTTTCATCTAAGTGTATATATGTATGAGTACATTTGCAATGGGGCAAATATTTTCCATTGAAAAGCCATATCTCATTGCAAACCTATATATTCTATTGACAAACTGCTTGAGTAAACCATACTATATAAACAAGGAAGCTAATTGGTTTCCATTTATCTATACTCATAGGTAAGTTTAGAGAAAGTATTCTTTGAGTATTTACTTGTACCCAACACTTTACTAGGGACATAAGTGATGCAAAGGAAGTAGTCTGTACTTCCTTGTACTCAAAGAATTAACAATCTTACAGAAGATGTAAGATTTACATGCATTATTAAAATAGTAAATAACATTGGTCTACTCACAGGCCACAGTGTGTCTTACAGATATTATCTATGATTTTCAAACTTTACTGTGTATTAAAAATTACGCAGGGTGCCAAGAAAACATGAAGGTTTCAAAGTCACATTTAGATCCAAAAGGGCAGGGAATCTGCATTTTTGTTAAGCATCTGATATTATTTGAATACAGTTGGCTCAAGGACCACCCTGGGTGTGTGCATGGAAAGTCAAGGATTGGGGATTTGTGCAAGGACTGGGATTGTTAGGATGGTTTTGAGATGAATCTACAAGGTCAAACTTCAACTATGGTTAGCATTTAAAACAGAGATGGAAACCATATTCTTGGAAGAAGGAAAGGCTTGAAGAACACAAATTTGGGAGTTAACATTATAAACATAAGCATAAGAAAGAGACAACCAGAAGGTAGGCCTGAGAGAAGCATGTGAGACAACTGGATAAAAACTAGTTTCCACTCCCCTCAGTTGGTTAGACAACTCAAGCATCTTGGGCAATCTAACTTCTTTACTACCAATAAGAAACCCTTCATTTCCTCTGTGCTTGAACCTGAGCTTCACATAATTTATGACCATCCAGAAGTCTCAATGGCAAACGCCAGAACTACAGTCCCTAAACTAACCAAACCAGGTATCTCCATACAAATTCTAGACTTGAAGTTAGTGCTTAGTGCCAAATGAATATTCTTGATGGTAGACCTCAAACGTAGTACAAGGAGCATTGCCTTAGGTGCCAGAAAGAACTGGATTCAAATGAATTGTTTTGCCATTTAGTACCTGGGATATTTTACTTTACCTCTTTGAATCTTAGTTTTCAAATCTATAAAATATAAATAATAATAACAATACATACATATAACTTGTATCAAGTTTTGAAGATTAAATGAGGTACTAAATGTAAACTCTCTGGGACATAGGATATAACTATAACAATGAATGAATGAACAATATCTGTGATTTTTTTGGTAAACATGTTTTTTAATTAAGGGCTAGGCGAAGCTTAAGAACAAATGAATGAACATAGTCATGAACTGATTCATGATTATGTAATGGTGTGATTCAGTTTAGATAAAACATAACACAATTATGATGTAGTAAGGTTTATGATTTTCTGTACAAAGAAGAGGTGAAATTTGACAACTGTGACTAATTTGTCCTAGGCATGGAGCTAGTTAAAGCGTGATGTGATTTGAAGGGTACCTTAAGATATGTATCCAAGGGGCCCCGAAGTCTCCCTTAGAGTTTCATTCCCCAGTGACTCTTGCAGAGACATTCAGCTCACATCAGTCATTCATGTTTAGTGCAAATTATTTTATTAGATTTTTTTCTCTCTATGACAGTGAAGAGAAAACCACCGAGGAATAAGAGGTTGGCTGAAGGTAAGGAGAAGGTGAGGCTGTTTTGTAATAATGAACACCCACAGCAGATTCAGCTAGCTAGAGCCCAGGCCATAAGAATAGGGTCCTGGAGCCTTCCTCTGGTGAGAAATGAGGACCTAAAGAGAGAAAATAGGGCACAGAAAGGAGGGACTAACAAATGTCAAGTGCTTTTCCCTTAGCCTCTGTCTGGTTCCAGTTGCCTACACATAGGCTCTCATTTCCTTTAAATGTCACACAAATGCCTTTTCGTTTTTTGGTGTCATCTCACAAAGTAAAATCCTCTAAGATGAAAAAGTGAGGCTCAAATCATCTCACCAGGTAGCTGAAGGAAATCTGAGAGCAAAAATGGTTTCTTCAAAAAGTAGTAGTTTAAAAAAAAGCATGCAATGAACTAGAGAACTGTACAGGGTGTTAATGGAAAAAAATAAGTACTACAACTGGTTTGAGTAAATCAGTTCATAAATTAATTTTAACACTATATACTATTGTTACCTATTTATTATCACTTACCATTTTATTACAATATCATTTGTAATTATCCTTTCATCTAAGAAATTTAAGATATAATAAGACTTTCTGGTTTGGAAACTTTTTTTCTGTTTACTATTCTGATTTTCCTGAATAACTGTCCATAATAGATGTTTAGGAATTTAAATTTTTTACAGGAAAAAAATGCTTTCTCATTTACATTAATATGGTGAGTACTGGTGAGAGAATTGTTTCTCTTGATGGAAAGAGAATGCAGAGTTATATTAGTATGAAGTTAGAAATAAGACCTAAATGCTAACTATAGATTACATAAGAGTAAGGTTATCTATGTCAAGAGATATTGACTATAAATTCTAGTAGGGCTGGGAATGTGTTTCATTTATATCTAAAGACAAGTAGTAGTTGCTAACTTGAGGTTTACTGGATCATCAATTTACAACACAACGTGAAAAAAACCAGGGTCCTTATCCCTGAAGATTTTCAAAATACATCCTCCATATCACTGTTGGAACAGTCTCCAACTTCCCATGTGCTCATGTGCACAAACCATACACACACACACATCACACACCACTTGAATGTCCCTAATCACTCATCTTTATGCAGATTCCCTGATAATTATGTAGTCTGTATCAGCACAACAGTATCAAATCAAGCCTTCAAAGGTCTTAAAATAGAGGGTTTATATAACACTTCATGGTTATTTTGGTTTTCTATCAAAAGAGACAATAGGGTCCAAGAAATACACAAAACTTTGCTTCTAACCAACAGGGACATTTGCTATAAATTTTGTAGAAGACCCTTGCAATACATTGTCCAAGAAGTCCGTTAAAAATCCATCTCTAAACAAAAAAGTTTCCCTTTCACTGTCATACACTGAAATTCCAACTATTAGTTGCTATTTCAATTTACACACTGAAAACATACTTCCTTAGAAAGGGCCATGGAGGCTGCCTGTGGAGACTCACTCATGGCACCATGACAATGTGGTAACTACTCCAGTTAGGGAGTCTGGAAGTCAGAGGACATCAAAAGGGTTGGAAGTGCCTCATTGTGAACAAACAACCAGCTTCATGGTTTTGCCTTCTCCTAGGCTTGTCCAGTCTGTATTTCAGTGAATGTGATCAAAGAAAGCAGGGAAAGAACAGTTTTTCCTTGAAAACCCAGAGGAGCAAATGGTCTTTGATTTCTCATGAAAAGTCTTGGGCCTATCTCTTCATGTTAATTGTGATAGTAAAACAATAAAAAATGAGATTTAATTTTAACTTGTGTTGGTCGGTCTAGGGCAGTGAGTGAAGGTGACAGGCTGGAAAAATATTAATCCAAGTTGGTTATTTAACATCTGCTTTATTTGGAGGACACTATTGAAGCCACCTGCTCAGGACAATGAAATTCTTCAGTTACATTCTGGTTTATCGCCGATTTCTCTTCGTGGTTTTCACTGTGTTGGTTTTACTACCTCTGCCCATCGTCCTCCACACCAAGGTGAGTGAACCTGGAGAACAGACTGGTGGATTTCCTGACTTATTTAATTGTCCTTTATTAAAACTGTTTGCTGTTTAACTGCCTGGCTCAGAGCTGAATGAATGTTGACCCTTCATACCTAAAGTCAGGATGGTTGTACATGATGTTTTGGCCATTTTCTCCCTTTTTAATAATTAACATTGGTTGATTCTTAGTATGATTAAACATAATTAAATAGAATATTCAATCAGAATTGTTCTCTGCCTATCAACTAGATGAGAGGAAGAACAAAAGAAGCACAACCTTTGAGATTTTGCAGTTCAAGTTGTCATTCTCCAGGGAGCATGCATGGCTAGTGCAATGCCTTCCCCTGAGAATAGGCAGCAAAGCAATTGCTGGGGACAGAGGTGGAAGAACAAGGGAAATCCTAGGTCCAGCACAGACTAATTTACTTCTCAGCTCTGTGGCTTTGTCACAGAACTTCCTGGAAATTTAGTTCCCTTGTAGGAAAAGAAGACATTGAAAGCTTAGAGTAATTTCCCTTGGTCAATCAGAAAATCTAATAAAGCATTTACCATGTTCTGATAATTCCAGGTTTTGTTTCATTGTGGTGTACTTGTAAGCATTTTTGTTTGCTTTTTAAGAGTAGTCAGGGCATTAAGTCCAGAACAATAAGCTCAAGCATGTTTAATTTCTTGGTAAAATGATTTGAATCAGCAAACATTTAATGAGCACCTTCTCTGTGCCAGGCACAAACGTCACTTGGTAGTAAGAGGACAGGCTTTGGAGCCAGATTCTCTGCTTCAGGTCCCAGATTTACCACTTACAAACTGTGTCACCTGGGCATGCTACTTAATGTCTCTGTGCTTCTGTTTTCTCATATGAAAGATGTGTATAGTAGCAGGCTTGTTGTGAGAATGAAATGAAGAAACACTCTTCAAACACTTATTTGGAGCAGTGCCTGGCACACAGTAAGTGTGCAGTGCCAGTCTCCTTGGGTGTGTTGACTCCACAGGTGGGGCAATTCCCAGCACTCCATTATGCACAGTCCCTCCTCTTAATGGGCAAGAACCCTGCTGATGCTCTCCTCTAACAAGTACTAATCGAGGTTACACCAGTCTGGGTTATAATAGAATCATATTAACTATAATATGGTGGTCCCTCCAGCCTCTGCCAGAAGCCTTTGCCAGTGATCCTGGGACCTCTGAAGGGAATTCATGTGAGCTAATAAAGTCCTTTTGGACACTGTCAAGGCCTATCCTACCTGCAAAGCTGGAGAAGGGACTGGCCCCTGCTGTGGCATCTGTGGGTTGTCTCCCACCAGGTGCAATCTTCTAGCTGCAGCATTCTTGGCTTATCTCTCCTTGTGCTGAGGTCTCACAGAGCTACATGGAGGGAAGGGAAAAACTCCCCACCCCTTTTGGTCCAAATTTCTAAGCCCTCAAATTCGTACAGAATTTGTAAATAATAATAATAACTAAAAGACCTTGTCAGCTGTTTTTGGCTTTGTTGGTTTTGTTTTTCAAATTCTGTGTGACTAACCCTTTCCCTCCCACCCTGCCACTCCCACCCCGGCTCCTTGTGAGGTCTCCTATATGAATCTCTGGCAGCCCCATCAGATGACAAATTCCAGCACAGAAATAGTGCTCTATTCTGAATTCTCACCCCATCTCCTTGCCAAGAACTTCATCTAAGACACATTATGATCTTCACTTTGCAACTCTCCTGGTCCCATGAGTCCTCTAGATTTGGCTGAATCCTATCATGACCATATCCTGCTTCATACCTGGAGCCCTGCTATATTTTAATATTTTTGAGTTAGTCTCAGCATACATTCTTACTTATGGCAGAGAAAGTAGGAAATTAAACTAGTCAAGACAAATTTAGGTCATTACCACATATCATCTGTGCTGCTCTTTTTACATATAAATGCATGACAATTTGATTATCCTCCATAATTTTCTGAGAAATGAATATAAACTCTTTGAAAAACAAAATGAGTAAATAAATCAAAAGCAATCATTTTAGTACATGATTCATTCACTGGGAAGTGTATTATTTTTAAGAAATGCAGCCACTGATTATTTTTTCCAAGGTGCTATGACAAAAGAACATTAGGTCCATGCAGGAACCAGGTGTCTGGCACCAAGTTGCATCTGGTGAGCTGGTTCCTCTTTCCTTTCCTCCTAATCAACTCATTTGTTAAAACTCAATTAATGTTAATGGAGGATTTATTCCTAGTATAATAACATGATATTATTTTTTGGCCACTTTAAACATATATTTAATCATTCAATAAACTGCTAATTAAACTGAAAGACTATTATTTTAACTTGCTTACAATGAAAGCAAATTATTTTTTTAAAGAATGTAGGCCTTTGGAGGGTATAAAATTTAAGGAGAAGTTTACTTTAACATAAATGCAAGTCAATTTACTGTTAACTTTTAGGTTACCAAACTGAAGAAGTCTATGCTTCTAAAGACACAATATTAGATTAATTAAAACATTCAATGGAAACAAAAATCCAAGTTTCTCTTTCAAAACCACAATTATAAAAAATAATTCCATGTGGGGCTATAATCTACAGGATGTAGAGCCAACAAACAATGAATTATTGACTGATTTCTTTCCTTCATTTTCCTGCTTGTTATTGAGTTGTTCAATAGACTGGCCTTAACTTATGTCTTAATTCCATCTAAAGTGAAAAAAGTGCCATGAATGAAGAAAGACCCTAACTGGTTTTTCAATGTACTATTAACAGGGACGGAGAATAGACTGATTTGCAGAGTACTCTTCTGTTTCAGGCATTCTGCCAACTGCTTTCCCCAAATTATCTTATTTAACCTCCATCACAAACGAATAAACAAGTACAAATGTGCTTCTCGTTTTACATTTGAGGGAATTGATGCTCAGAGACATGTAACTCACCAAAGGCCATCTACATGCTCTAGAAAGTAAATTTGAGCTTGGATCCTGTCAGAACTCAGAATTCATGCTTTAAAAGTGATTTTGTTTTAGTCTTTTGTATATTTTTGAAGACTTACTCTTTCATGGCTTGTTCATCATTTGTCAACAACACAGGCATTTCTGTTCATGAAAATGCTTTAGACAGGCCAAACAGAAGAGTTCTGTTTTAACCATTTCCTCAATTGACCTTATGGTACGCAATGTCATTAAGGTAGAAAGTTGCAGTGATTCTAACCACTGAAGATAGGCTTATGAGAACTGAAGCTATAAGGATGTCATTTGCTGGGTGTCCCAGAGCCCCAGTTTTTTAAGCTGGTCAGTCAGCTTGTCAGGATATGGTGCCCCTTTTCTCCATACTTGCGTCCGAATTGGAAATAGAGACAAAAACAGGTAAGCAGCTTGCAAAAATCTGGCTACACAGATTTTTCCAACCAACTTCTGTCTGACTCTAGAGCCAATGATGTTAATCACAACTGAGTATCTGTGTCTTTATAGCTTCCGTGGTCATAATAAATATATTCCTAGTACATTGCTGTGAATCTCACTTCGCTAATGCAATTCCATTTTCTTATTGATTTACACTGAGCATCAGAAATTCTTTCTGTCTCTTAAACATAATGGTAATCTCAGTCCTTACCCAATTAGTAGTTAATGATCAGTAAACAAGTCTGGAGTGTAACTGCTTTTTATTTGAATGAAATAATCACACTGAGTTTTTCTCATTTTGGAGAGAAATTTCTTTAAATATTTCCAGTTAAAATCTTGGTAAAACTGGCCTAGTATATACTGACATAGTTTCAGTAATATTCTATGTGCAACTTTGTTCTTTTTAGGCTATTTTGTTAATTTTTACTCTTTTCAGCAGTCAATACTATTTCCTTACTTATTTTTCCAGTTATTGGATTTTCTTTGTATTTTTATTCATGAAACAAAAAGGCCAGATTTGTTAGAAGTAAGAGGGGAAAATCAAACAACAATATATTATATTTGTAGAGTGCAATTCTTCCAGGTATACCTATTCTATCTAGCTTACTTATTAATCAGGACCCCTTTTTAAGATCAGGAGACAAGGAAACAACCACACATATACTGAGCAGCATTTCTTAGTTGATGGGTTGTAAAACCGATACCAAATTTTAATTCTTTCTTCAGAAAATATTTTGGATTTCTCTAGAAAATATTTTATATTCTAACTTTGAAACTCACGATATAGTCACTTGAATCATGATGACTTTCAAAGTGAGAATAGAAATAATAATAAATAAAATGATACATGATGAGAGACTTATGGTGCTAGATATAAAAATAAAATAAACAGATGGGAGAAATATAATGATTGTAAGGAAATATAAACTTTAAAAAGTGAAGTATCCCCTAGAAGGAGGAAGTGGTAGGTCGAGAAGTTGGTCAAAGAAAATGAAAATGAGTAGGAGATAATTTAAAAAGACTATAAGTGAAAGAAGAGGGAGGAGAGAAATTCCAAGAAAACAGATAAGTTTTAAAGAGCCAAATAAAATAATTAAATATATTAATGGAAATAATTGATACTGTTTTAAATGTTGGCATAAAAATATTGTAGGGATTTAAGATAAAGAAGAAAATGCTATAAAGTCCAAGTAAGTGAATATTTTGGACACCAAAGAATGCAGAAATGATGAAGAACAAGGAAAAAAATAGAAATAATGCTAATAGCAATGTGGTAGTTCGACAAAACCAGAAAATCCAATTTTGGTAATATATTTTTATTTCACAAATATTTTACAAGAACTTTCCCAGCCCAAAGTGTTGTGCCAGATGAATTGTGTGATATAAGCAGAAGTTTAAATTAATGTTTCTGTCTTTATGTAGCTTGCAGAATTGCTGGAAAGTCATTATATAGTATGACAAATATTAATGGCAAAAGTAGGTTGTACCTAAACACATGCCGAATAATTTAAAGAAATCATCTGTGCTATGAAGGCGTAATTAAAAAGTGGATAAACCACTAAGGATTCATCATCTTCCAGCTCCTCTGTTCCCCTAACCGCATGCAGTCCCACTTGCCCAAAACCTGCTGCTCCTTCTGTTTTCTTTATGTCAGAGAATGCCACTACCCTTCTCTCCATTCACAGGTTTGAAAGCTGTATGTCATCTCAGATGCTTCAAATATCCACAAGCCCCCATCACTAATACGGTGTTGCATCTCCTTAATCTAAATCCTCCTAAATCTCCCCTCTCAACCTCATCTTCTCCTCTCTTTCCTTTCCTGCTGGCACTGCTTTCCTTGAAGCTGTCTTTCTCTTTCTTTCATAGACTGTTTGTTTTTTACACACTTTCCCCTACAGTCTCTGGCCAGAGTACTATTTTTTAAATGCCAACTCAGTCCAATTGTGAAAAATCAAAATTTTTCAATGGTTCCTTTTTGCCTATAATGGAAAAATATCTAAACAAAAGATGGTTTTGCTGATGGATATTTCTGACTTTTCATTTATTTGTCCTAAAAGCCTCCACCACACAGTCCCCAGTATCTATCTCCCACATTTGCATTTTCCTCTTTAACAATACTTCACTATTTGCAGTTTCTAGAATGCCTGTGATTATTCTTGTCTCTCTGCCTTCTCACACGCTATATCCTCCTCCTAGAATGCCATCTCCTCTTACCTCACCCTTCTTGGGAAGGAAGGCTCAGGCTGTGATGTAAACTAAGGATCATCCTCGATGCTCTCATTGCATCATGGATACATTGGCCTCTATTACAGTATGTCTTCCGTTTTGCTTTATCTTTGTGTCTCCCTCCAGACTGTAAATATCTCAAGAACATGGAGCATAGTGTTTAAATTTCTGTCTCCTCCAGCACCAAACCCAGTGCCTGTCACATAGTAGATAGTTAATAACTGTGTTGAGTGAAGGATGATCTAGCGTGGCAGAAGGATGTAAGGCTTTGGACCTGATAGGAAGGAGAGAATGCAGGAGAAAGAGGTTGATGAAAGAGGGGAACTTCAATAGAGTGAAAATAATGATGAAAGGACAGAACAAGAAGAATGTAGGTGTAACCAGAGGCTGTCCCTTTCACAAAGCTCTTTCTTCCTCCCATAATATGTTTTATACCTTGTTTGGTAACAATAGTAAATGTGAATGCCCACTGTGAGCCTCATAGCGACAATTAGAAATAGTCAATATCATCCCAATTTTACAGAACAGAAACTCAGAGAGGTCAAGAAATGTGATCAAAGTCACACAGTCCACAAAGGGAGCAAGAGGACTTAAACACAAATCTGTCTGACTTCCAAGCTCATGATGTCATTGCTTATTTAATGATATTTATATCAGATCTTTAAAAGCTGTGCTCAGATTGCCTTATGTCATTGTTCCTGCATTTGCAATCACGAAAGCACAGGTTGAGGTGATGCCTCTCTCAGCCTGGATCACGTAGTAACCTCTACCCATGATGGACAAATAGTATAAGTAAGAAATAATTGGCTGTTTTAGACTGCTGAGATTTTGGAACTTTTGCCACAGCATAGCTTATCCTGTCCTGATTAACATAGCATATTCTGAAACATTCCCCAAGTGACTCAGACATGCTACCCTTGGCTGATTTTTTTTTTTATTTATAAAATGAGCAAGGCTCTTTTTAAAAAGTTCCAAATGTTGTCTATGGATAAGCTTCCCCAGATTCACCTGAGATACTTGTGTAAAATCATAAACTCTTAATGTGAAGTGTAGGATGCTGCACGTTGAACAAACTCCCCAGGTGATTCTGGAGCAGGTAGTTCATGGATTGCATTTTGATCATAACCAAATGTGTAGTCAGGTTGGAGAACTGATTATTTCTGTACCTTTTTCCAGTTCCACTGTGTACAGAGTATGAAAACAATGCATCTCAGGTGCTGGTTAGGTGTGGAGGTTGAGTGAAAAGGAGGAACTAAAAATTTCCCAATAACTGGTTTAGTGGGCCATCAATTGCTTTTCTCTACTATCCATTTTGGCTAAAAACTTAAAAAAAAAGAAAAGAAAAAACATCTAGTTATTTCTCCTTGACTTTGTAGTTGAACTTATTTTTACTATCCATCTTCCAAAATGAGGATATTTTAAAGCACTTTAAACTTTGCAATTAATATAAATTGAGTCTTAAGAAATCACTGCTGCAGTAGGGGTAGGAATACCAAGAACCATACAAAGCCCTTCACAGGCTCTGTCAAATAATAATGATGTTTTTCTTGTAGCACAGAGATTTAGAATGCATGATTTTTCTCCTTTTTTAATTGCTTTGTGTTCTCTTTAGAAAATCAATTGTAGTGATTGAGGTCTGTGATTGGCTCTGCTTTTCTCACGCTGTGCTGAGAAGAGATCATACCCACATACGTACTAATTCATCAGCCAAATTACTCCCTAATATCAGTCAGTATGTCATTTAAAAAAGCAGAAGAGATGAAAAAACTATATTTTAAAGCCAAACTTATATTCTAATTCCATGTGGGGCTATAATTTAAAAGAGAACCAAGGTGATTTTTAAATGTAATCAGCCACATTTTGTAAGATAACTTGACAGTCAGAACTTTGTAAGGAGGAAAAAGTCATTATCCAAATTGCCTAGTCATAGCTTTCTTTGCCTTTTTCACCCCTTCAGCAAGTGCCCTAGCTGTGCACTTGAGGTGGTTAAGACAAGATATGACTATGATATTTTTAACTGGGGGCTGGGTAAGTGGGAATGTCTGTGATGGAGGAATTCACCTATGCAGGTGGACATTTTAGTTCCAGTGCTGTTTATTAGCAAGAGAGATGAGGGCTGCAGGAAAATTGTAAACACATTCACCCACTGGGGCAGGAGTCAAAATATCCAGTTCCAGGCAAGGAGGAGAGAACAGAGAAAAGGGAACAAGGCAAAGAGAAAGAAGTTTCTATGCTAAGGAACCTTATGCCTAAGATAAAGATTTAGTGTTTTATAAGATATATAAATACAAACAATATTAGAAAGAACAGAAAGAAGAACCTTACTCACTCAAATATGTTACTGACCGTATACTCTATGCCAAGTACTGCTTTAAATGTTGGGAACAGGGTAGTAAATTTTAAAAATATATACTCTGATAGAGTTTATACATGGACAAATCTCAACTCTACCACACGCTAGCAGTGTGATCGTTGAACCTTAGTTCAGCATGGAATTACAATATCTACCCCAAAGAATCTTGGCGAGGGTTAAATAAAATGTCATGTGGAGTGCCAAGTGTTGTTATCTGGCACATTATAAGCATTCATGAGTATTACTTGCCCATCCTATAGTAAGTCAGAAAACAGGTTTATCTGTCTACTTGGCAAATATTTTCACATCTTAAATAAGTTTTTCTATATATAAAGTCTATGATCAACAGTCTAGATGAGGTTTTAGACAATTAGGATCCTCCCTTCCCAAGCTCTTTCTCCATTGGAAACACAAAGCAAATAAAGATCTCTGTAGATCAGAATGAGTCAGAAAAGCAAACAAGTGGCATGAATGTGGAAACCTGTGGTTGAAAGCACTCCCATGCCATTCAGGGACCAGAGTCAGGTTAAATGCCAGAAACTAAGGGCTGGAAAATGGTTTTCTCAAACCTGTGAAGGACAGAAAGAGCTGGATTGATCGCTGGCTATGATGGCTCACAGGAAGCAAACACTGCCCAGCTCCCCAGCCAAGACCTCACCCATACTACCCAACTCAGCTAGATGACTGGATCCATGTTATGCTGGCAAGAAAAGAACTCTAGGGTGTCAAGATAAGACCCATCTGAACCAGGAACTAGGAACTGGCTGGAAGCAACTGTAAAAGTGCTAGATGAGAAACAAGGAGTGCAGAAGAAGAAAACACAAGAATAAAGCTACCACTCAGAATAAATTTGAAAATAAAATTTCAAAATACAATAAGACACTAAAGAAAGACTGACAAAATCCGCTCAGAAGAAATGAAAATAATAGGGAAATCAACAAGTTAGGAAAGGAAAAAAACAAAAAAAGAGAAACAAATTATTTTTCAAAATATAAAGCAAGAGCAGGAAAGTATAAAATAAAACTAGTTAGATATCCTGGAATTTTGTCACTGAGATTAAAAAAACAAACAAAATCCTCAATAGATGTGTCATGTTTGAGGCTCCTGGGTGGTCCTAGTTAACCAGCTTCCCCAGGGGCAACTTCTCCTTTTTCATTTGATTCATGTCAAAGATGAGTCTTAGACACTCTAATGCTCAACAGCTTATTCTCAACAGCTTCTCCTTTTTCATTTGGTTAATGTCAAATATGAGTCTTAGACAGCTTATTCTAATGCTCAACAGCTTATTCTGACTTTTCCAAGATGAAGATGAAGAGCAGGCCAGTGGCATGGGCCAGATGCAGTCAGATGACTGACTGACCAGGAGGGCCTCCGTCCAGTGACCAGTCTCAGAATTTAAAGGACCCTTCCCCCTTACTTATGCTTGTACTCAGCCCAGGTGAGTTACCAGCCATTTCTCTCATAAAGGGAGTTTAAACAATTCTGGAAAGAGTAAGCCTTTTTTGTTTATGAAAGTTGCATCTGAGGTAGCCTTGTCTCCTGGAAATCCCCAGGCCAAGGTTGGAAATCCCCAAGCCAGTCTGCATCACATTGCTAAGTGACACTTAGTGTCAACCCTACTCTGTGACATACTGCTACGTGACATGTAGTATCAGCAAGATGCCTGAATAAGCCTTATGGCTATCATTAATCTTATAACCAGGGTATGTCTCTTATAGTATACTACAAGATGAAATAAACTTTAAACTGAGTATCCTTGAAGATATATTCAGTGAACTGAGAAAGAATACTAGGAATTTACCTAAAATATCAAATAGAATATAAAAGGATATCTTTAAGTGAGAGAATCATTTGGAGAATGAATTCAGAGCCCCAACATATGTATAAAAGACATTACCGAAAATGAAAGACTAGAAAAGAAGTCATATTCAAAGTAATAATTACTGAATTCTCCAGAATTTTTTTAAAAAAGATGAGCTCTCAAATGCATTTGTAAGTACAAACAACTTAATTAGATATTAGTCCATATTTAGGCACATCAGGAATGAGACTTCAGATTAAAAATAAGGTGAATTTTTTAAAGCTTCCAAATAGAGAAGAAAAAAATCTCCAAAAGGATTGTAATTAGATAAATTTTTCATTTCAATAATAATGAAAACATCTAATAAATATATAATAGACCTTTCTGGAGAAATCTACAAAACATTATAGAAGAAATTTAATAGACACCTAAAAGAATAGAGAAGTTCATAGATAGAAATACTTAAAGCTATATCTTACTTCATAGATTCTGTGTAATTTGAATGAAAATCTGAATAAAATTTTTATAACTTGAGATAGTAATTTTAAAATTCAAAAGAAAGAATGAAAATCTAACACTATTAAGGCAATTTGAAAAACATATAAGATGAAGGAGTTGTCATACAGATTGTAAACCTTATTGAAAGGTTAGAAATGTTAAAAGAGCATAATTCTGTAAGAACTTATTTTTAGAAGGCAGCAGTGGGAGAGGGAGAGGACAAAATAAAGAGACCAGAAGCTTATGTGTCTGCATTTGAGAACTTCAGCATAGAAAATATGTAGCAACATGAATTACTAGGCAAAAATGAGCTCATTCAATTTAAAAAGCATGGCACTTTGGCTATTCATTTTGAGAAAAAAAAAGTGTTAGATTCCTATACAAAAATATTAAAGCTCTACACTTGAAAAAATTTTAATCTTAGAAAAAATATGGAAATATATAATGTAGAAAGATTTTCTTTCTTTTTTTTTTTTTTTTTTGAGACGGAGTCTCGCTCTGTCGCCCAGGCTGGAGTGCAGTGGCGGGATCTCGGCTCACTGCAAGCTCCGCCTCCCGGGTTCACGCCATTCTCCTGCCTCAGCCTCCCAAGTAGCTGGGACTACAGGCGCCCGCCACTACACCCGGCTAATTTTTTGTATTTTTAGTAGAGACGGGGTTTCACCGTTTTAGCCGGGATGGTCTCGATCTCCTGACCTCGTGATCCGCCCGCCTCGGCCTCCCAAAGTGCTGGGATTACAGGCGTGAGCCACCGCACCCGGCCGAAAGATTTTCTTATAAAATATGGTAAAAACATGAGACAACAGAAAAGTGTTTAAAATCACTGCATTAAAATTAAAATCCTCCTGTCAATTAAAAATACAATAAAGCTAATTTCATAGACAAGCCAGAGACTAAGAAAAATGTTTACAAATACATAGTTTATAGAGAAATAATATTAAGAATCTAAAAATAACTCCACAAATCCATGAGATAAAAGAAAAAATAACCCAACAGAAAAATGAAAAAGAACTATAAATATATAATTTACAGAAGAGAAACAATTATGTTCAATAACTGTGAAAATACTCCACTGGTATTCAAGAACATGGAAATTAAATAAGAAGATTTTTTCATACCATCAGACTGTCAAATGAATAAATTAATCCCATATACCAAGGATGGTGAAATGGAATTTCTGAACATTGTTGGTGTTAATATAAACTAGTATGACCATCTCAGCTTCTTAGTCGATTTTCATAGTGCTATAAAGAACTGCCCGAGACTGGGTAATTTATAAAGGAATGAGGTTTAATTGACTCAGCGTGACTGGGAGGCCTCAAGAAACTTACAATAATGGTGGAAGGGGAAGTGAGGCAACTTCTTCACAAGGCAGCAGGAAGGAGAAGTGCCAAATTAAGGGGGAAGAGCCCCTTATAAAACCATCAGATCTCATGAGAACTCACTCACTATTATGAGGACAGCATGGGGGAAACTGCGCCCATTATTCAATTACCTCCACCTGGTTTCTCCCTTGACACCTGGGTAGCATGGAGATTACAATTCAAGATGAGATTTGGGTGGGGACAAAAAGCCTAACCATGTCAGATAGCAAATGGGCAATATCTAGTAAAGTTCCAATGGACTCCTTCCCGTTTGAAGTTCTGATGCTAGTTTTCTCCACCAGCTAAGAAAATCTATTTTCCATAGACATGCATGTGGAGATAGGTACAAAGATGTCCATAGCCTTATAATAATAAAATATTGGGGAAAAAATCCAAACAAACATCAGTAGAAAAACAGACAAATAAATGGTAAAATATTCATAAAAAGAAATACTACATCTATTAAAATGAAGTAACAATAAATCTACATGTATCAACATGAATGTATTTGAAGTACATAAAATATTGAGTGAAAAAAGCAAGTTGCAAAGTGACATATAGAGTAAACCTTATTTAATTTTAAAACCACTTGTTATTAATGTATTAATGTCTGCATGTAGTATAATCACAAAAACATGAATGGAAAGGATACAAACCACATTCTAGACAGTAGTTAACTTTGGGAATGGTGGAGGAGAAGGAAATGAGGGAGTGGTCCTTAACATCAGTCTTTAACAGAATATGGAATGTTTTATTTGTTTAAAAATAATTTAAGCAAATGTGGCAAAGTGTCAACATTTGTTAAATATGATAAGGTGTACAAATATGTTTGTTGTATATTTTTACTATGTTCTAAATATTTTATAATTTTGAAAATGCTTCTAAAGAATACACTGCTAAAAAGCTTCTAATATATATATTTTTTAATTTAAGGGACGAGGAACTGCCCATACTATAATAACTTCATGTCTCTGGTAGTGTGAGGAAATCTTATAATAGGAAAGACGGAGCTGCCATGAATGAGCCAAAGAGGTGCAGTGTATACATACAGAGCAGGTATCCAGGGTTAAGCGACATGACATTGCCTATGATCTAATGGAATTTCACCTGGTTTCCACACAATTGCCTCTGTCTGGCTAGGTGTGACTTGTTTGCTGAACTTCTTGATGTAACTTTTGGGAGTCGTAACACGTACAGAGATTTTTAAGTAGAAAAGTAGTATTTTTGAGGAAGTCCTCTGGACTTTTTTTTTTCCCCTCTTTTCTCTTTCTTTATTTTGAGAAGGAATCATGATTTAAAAAAAAAAAAATTGTAAGGTCAGTGGTAGTCATAACTGTAAATCTTTACAGTTATGTCCTTCATGATAAATAAACAAGATAAAAGTACACATTATTTTTGTTGCTATCATTCAGTTTAAGAATTCATAATACTAAAATACTTCAGAACAAAATGTGATTAAAACGTTTACTTGTTACGGTTGCAGAGTAAGTTGTAATAACGATATCGGATGTATCAGCAACTTCCAGCAGACTTGGGGGTAGGTTGTGGGGGAGGAAGGATTCACTCATACTCTTAATTGACAACTGGTCTTCTTTTATTGCTGTTTTACCATCGTTCTCTTGAGGAGGTAGTAGTAGTAGTGATTGTGTGTAATGGTGGTAAACAATTTGTGGTGGTTTTATTTCTTAGGAGTAGGAGGTCTGTTAAGGTGAAGAAAAAGAGGAAAGAGACAAATTTGGAAGAAATTTACAGGAGACAAAGATAATATAGCTTGAAACAATTGGTCACTCTATGAGTTTCTAGTGACAAAATGAAGCTACTTTATGTTCTACCTCAAAGCCAGTCCTAAAATCAAATATCTAGGATCTCTTTTTAGTTGCAACACAGTTCCACAACCTCTGAGTAGTTTTCTTCTTCATCAGAAGAACTTGTCCACCAAAAGTTACTCACCCTCGTATTCTTTGTGTGCATGTGTGAATAGATGTGAATAACACAAAAGAAGAAAATGGTTGTTTTTTTTTCTATCTCTTATACTTTTCTTCTTCTTAGCAAGATTATTCACAGATCTTTGATTTTAAAGTAAAAAATAACCCTATATACTTTAATAGGATAGTTTTAAAAGAAAATACTTGGTGTTGTGTTTGAATTAACCTTCTGCTATTTAATGCCTAAGGACTTTGAAGGGAAAGAATGCTTTCCTGCATTCTTTCACATACCCAAGCACGACCAAGAAAAATCACACAATAGAGAAAAGGAATTAGAGGAAGGAAGCATTCCTGGGATGAACCCATCAATAGGATGCTTGTTTAATTTATCAGCCAAAGAGGGACGCTTTTGAAAATGAAAGGAAATACTAATGAGAAAGGAAACTCTACAATAACACTGTCCTGAGAAAACTGGGGCAGATGGCTACCCTACCCATTAAAGAGCTCTCAAACGATCCTAAAATTTGTATTGAAACAAAAGACCCCAAATAGTTAGAGCAATCTTGAACAAAAAGAACAAAGCTGGGGGGCATCACACTACCTGATTTCAAAATATACTACAAAGCTATAGGAACCAAAACAGCATGGCAGTGGCATAAAAACAGACATGTGGACCAATTAAACCATAGAGAAGCCAGAAATAATTCTCTACATTTACAGCCAACTGATTTTCAGCAAAGGTGCCAAGAACACACAATGGGAAAAGGAGAATCTCTTCAATAAATGGTGTTAGTGAAACTAAATATCCACCTGCAGAAGAATGAAATCAGACCCATATATCTCACTATATGCAAAAATCAACTCAAAATGAATTAATTAATTAAATGTAAGACCAAAAACTATGAAACTACTAGAATACAAAACAGGGGAATAGCTCCATGACATTGACCTAGACAATGAGTTTTTTGGATATGACCTCAAAAGCACAGCAACAAAAGCAAAAATAGACAAATGGGATTACATTATACTAATAAAACTTCTTCACTGCAAACAAAATCAAAAGTGAAAAGACAACCTATAGAATAGGATAAAATATTTGCAAACTATTCATCTGATAAGAGATTAATATCAAAAATACATAAGGAATTCAAACAACTCAATAGCAAGAAAGCAAATAACCCAATTGAAAAATAAGCAAAAAATTTTGAATAGACTTTTCAAAAGAAGGCATACATATGGCAAACAGGTACATGAAAAAATGCTCGACATCACTCTTCTGGGAAATACAAACTAAAGCCACAGTGAGATATTATCTCACCTTTGTTAGAATGGCTATTATAACAAGTGTTGGCCAGGATGTGAACACTGTTTGCAGAAATGTAACTTAGTACAGCCATTATGAAAAATAACACAGCATTCCCTCAAAAAATTAAAAATAGAACTACTGTATGATCCAGCAATGTCATTACTGGATATATACCCAAAGGAAATGAAATCAGTATGTTGAGGAGATATCTGCACTCCCATGTTTATTGCTGCACTAGTCACAATAGCCAAGATATGGAATCAACCTAAGTGTTCATCAACAGATGAATGGATAAAGAAAATATGGTATGTATACACACACACACACACTCACACATGCACTTGCACACAAACACACACATGGAGAGAGAGAGACAGAGACAGAATGAAATACTATTCAGCCATAAAATGAAGAAAATCCTGTCATTTGTTACAACATGTATGAACCTGAAGGATATATGTTAAATGAAATAAGCCAGGGACAGGAAGACAAATAGCATGTGATGTCAGTCATGTGGAATCTAAAAAAGTTGATCTCATAGAAGTGGAGAGTGAACTTGTGGTTTCCAGGGTCTGGGGAGATCAGGTGTCAGGGTTAAAGAGATGTTAGTCAAAAGATAGAAAGAATAAGCTTGAGAGATTTATTGTACAACATGGTGACTGTAGTTAATAACATTATGTACTCTTGAAAAATGCTAAAAAGAGTGGATATAAAGTGTTCTCAGCACAAAGATAATAATGATGTGAGGTAATGCACATATTAATTAGCTAGACTTAGTCATTCCACTATGCATAGATACTTCAAAGCACCATGTTGTACATGATAAATACAGTACATACAATTTTACATGTCAATTAAAAAAATAAGGATAAAAAAATAGCATTCAGAGGGGAATAACTCTGTCTTCCTCCTTTTCCAGACCTTTGGTTTTCTTCAGATGTGAAAAAAGGGGGCAATTTTCACAAATTCTGGGAAGGCAGCTATCAAAGACATGCAGATATGGTGCCTTAGCTAGCTGAAATTATAATCCACTGGGACTCCTAGGAAAAAATACAAAATGCACATGTGTGTTCAAGGTAAACTCCATGATGAGACATAAATTTGAACTGCAAATCAAAAGGTAGACAAGTTTTACAAATGGGTTATGAATCCAGGGATTCAGCTTAGGCAAAAGGAAACTACTTGGAAGCAAGTGTATGGAACCAGATTTAAAGATGAAAGGGAAGGTCTGGAAAAGGATGTAGCCCAGTGCTTCTCAAACTTTAACCTAGATAAGGATCACCTTGTGAGCCTGAAAATGCTGATTGATTCAGTGTGTCTGGGGAAGGGCTTGATGTCCTACATTTCTCACAAGTGCCCAGATTATGCTGACGCTGCTGGTTCATGGACCAGGCAGAGGGGCAGAGAGGGGAGAAGTCCAAATGCACAATCTAAGTGTTGATTCTTGAATGACAAAGCAATATTTGAAAGGCGGAGCAAATAGGCAACCTTTTTCCTACCAGATATTTTACTAAAATGCTGACAAAAGTTGAGGAGGTAAGAGAATGAGTGAAGTAATGTAGTAGTACTGTATAGAACTGAAAAAATACAAGTCAATCTCTAAAGGTGACCCTGGAGAACTGTTGCCATGGAAGAATATGATCCCAGTGTTACCAAATATCTCAGTTTGTTAAGAGAAGGCAGGAATTCAGACTTTATTTTTTAACATTAAATCTGCTGATTTGTAAATCTTGACTCAAATTAAGCACATAGACTTATAACACTGTGAATCAAATATATAGAATTGCCTTGCCAGACTTGGCTATCAGCTTGTGACTGCTTCATCCAAATGATCAAACACGGTCAAAGGGTCTAGAATGTGAGCTCAGACAGGTAGAAACTAGCACATAAAGGATCTGGGGGCTTGTTGGTATACCAACTGGCTGAATACTATGAATTAGAGTTCAGAGAAAGGGATGCATTATGAGGAGCAAGGATCAGAACTCAAATATCAAGGAAGTGTGTAAAGAAGATTCTTTGGATATAGAAAATTGATGTCAGGAGGTGTTGTGATAAGACATTATAGTCAAAGTGAAGGTGGGTTTGAATGCAAAATGAGGATTCTTCAATTATTTTCAATAAACAACTAAAAGTCACTGACTTTTGGTTGATTTCAGTCAGGGCTGAGCCACTTAAAATATGGAAGTATTCTGGGCCAGGTAATAATGTGATTATTGAAATTTTGCTTTTTATTCTGTCACCAAAGTTGTGCCATCTTAGTGGACTATGACTCTCCACCCAAAGGCCCATGTTGACATGGATGTTCAACACTTAAGGCAGGGGGTGTATATGGTGAACAGAACCAGCTAGCACTATGTATTCTATTTATTTTTTGATGTTTTAGCAGACCCTCATAGATTGGTGCTCCAGATAGTTGTCAGGGTGGCTAGACCTGTATCTGGCTTTCTGTAAGGGAATGCCAAATACAAAATGGATTCTTGGAAAGTGACCTGATATTGGAATAGTCTTGCCTGCAGTGGAGGAAGTGGGTGGAGGGGCAGATTTGAGAGATATAATGACTGGGGAATAAATAGGATCAAGATAGTGGCTAGTTGTAACTAGAGAGCAAGATTAAAAGTGGTCCATTTTATCTCTGCAACCTAGGTTCTTACAAGTATGATGGAAAACATAAAGTCATAACAGGAACTTTCAGGCTATCCATGTGTTCTCATTAAGAGAAAATGCACAACCTTTCTTCCATGCTGGCATTTTAATTTAAGCTAGTATACACAATTCTCTCTAGAGCTGTTCAGGAAGATCCATTCAAGGCTCAGCTTTGTTTTGTTGTTTTATTGTTTATCAAGATGGTAGAAGCAGACTCTGTATGAAACTGTCAACATCAAAACACTTTCATTCTTTCTCCTTTAAATAGATAACACAATAAAGGTACTGCCTAATCCTGGCTTATTAAGGATATCTTAGAAATGCACTGGAAGTGTAGGGATGCTGGTCAAGTAAATCCCAAGCCCCAAGGACTCACCCTGAGGCAGTTGAATCAGACAGCAGTAGTGCCAGACAAAAATAAAAGCTTAATAACTTCATTCAACCTAAACAGCAGTTTTTGTAAATTTTTCAAATGCAACTCAGAATTTGCAGAGAGTAAGCACTGTGAGAGCAAAATAGCACCATTTGATAGCTGCTAACCTTTACTAAAGACTTAGAACGTTCCAGGTGATTTCATACCAAAGTTATCTATATAAGTTAAATATAATGATAAATTTTGACCATCTCTTAACAATGCCCTAAAACATGAACCTATAGTTTTATACTAAGCAAAGCAACAGATTCTATTAAGAGTAGCATTCAGGCTCTTCCATGCCACACAACTTGTCATGTCTTTTCTCTGAGACACAGTACGGCAAAGGTTTCTCCTAGGTTGGTTTTCCCCTTTTAGTTAGAAGGAGAGGAAGGCAGGAGTGCTTAGGTCCCACTCAACCAGGCACCAAGGAATGCATTTAAAAGGCAGGTATCCTGCCCCCAGGGGAAAGGCTGTAACTTGGCTATTTCTGTACTCTGGAAGTATGGGGGAGTGCATTTTATAGGCCAAAGGAAAGTGAGTAGAAACATCTATATACACTAATATGAGCAAGAAAATGGACTAGATTATCTCTTTTGAGGGAAATGTGAAATAAATGTAATGAATGGGGATTTTTTTCTCCCTTTAGTTTTTTATGTTTATTAAATTTTGCTTCTTAGAACTTCTAAGAAATGAGTATTTGAGGGCAACTCAAAGATGCAGAGGTCTTCAGATCTTCTTACGTTCTCTGTGACATGGCTCTATTAAGCAAACATGTTTGTGTTTGAATGTTGACTTCTCCAGCCTCATAATATCACCTTTTGCTTTGCATTTGTTCTTACCAGGAAGCAGAATGTGCCTACACACTCTTTGTGGTCGCCACATTTTGGCTCACAGAAGCATTGCCTCTGTCGGTAACAGCTTTGCTACCTAGTTTAATGTTACCCATGTTTGGGATCATGCCTTCTAAGAAGGTAAGTCCTCTTGCCAATGTCATAAGTTGATTTCCTGTTTTGTATTGAGATTTCCATTGAGAAAAGTTATTTTTAAAGGGAGCAATCATCTCGTTGGTAAGGTTCCACATAAGTCCCCCAAACTTCCAACTGTTTCTCCTCTCTGGCATTCTGCATGTGTGTCCACCTTCAAAGAACAAACACAAGCTGCAGCTTCTTGAGTCATGCATGTCAGTGGGAGAAATGTATGTCCCCTCTTCTCTCACTGACATCTATGCCTAGTGCCTCCCTCTCAAAAACAGGGAAATTTGTTGACATCCTCCATAAGCTTTTTATATTCAGCAGAATTCAGCCTCACGGTGTTGGAAAAACAATTTTGTTTTTAATGAAGAAAAAGTTTCCCTGTTTTCATTTCCAGAAACCTGCCATTTCAAAAGATAAAGCCAAACTAATGTTCATGTATAGCTCCATTTTGTTCTTGCTGAGAGGAGTTTATTCATGCTAAGAGGTGTTTATTTGTTCTATACAATCTAAGAGTACCCATCTGAAGAAAGTGGATTTGGTTTCCCAAACGCATTGAAACCAGTCTCCAGCCACCCAGTGAACAACTGTCTAAACCACAGCTGAAACAATCTCAAGAAAGATGTTAAGTTCGAGATACCAGTCAGTGCAATTTATCACCTTTGGACTTCTATCTTCTGCCTGGGTCTAACATTGCTCTCTTGAGGCTTACCTGTCTGTCATTTTCTTTTTAACAAACCCTTGATTACATTTCTTCCTGTGAAAGGAATGGTTCCCTTCTTTATTTTCACGTCCTTCTTCCTGATTTTGGAGCCCCAGTCGATCTTTTTGCACTTTTTATCCTCCCTGATCCTCTTTTCTTACTGGGTTTTCCCCTCCCACCTAACTTCGAGTCTTTTCTTTCTAATGGCCATTGATTTGGAAGACTGGCCAGGGCTGTACTTCAGTTCCTCTTGCCTCCAGGCTGACATTCTGCTGCCGCATGGAATCTCAGAGCTATAATCTATTAAGCTTCTTAAATGCTTAAACATGCTATATGGCTTTCAATATCGGGAATAAAAAAAGAAGGGGTTGATCAGTTGTTAAAAATAGGGTGTCAAATTTTTAACCCTTGTCCCATGGGCTTGGATGGTTCTGTGTCCAGAGACAGGTGTGTTTTTAACAGTTATACCTTTGTCTGTTATGGTTTAGTAACAATAAAACTGACTAAATTAACTGTTAAAAAGAGGCTGAAGTAGAAGTGAGATTCACTGGACTCATGGGGCATTTCTGTAGCAAGCTGTTATGGGAAGGGACATAGAAACATTAGAGGGAAGCAGGAGGGAAGGGTGCCTGGGAAGGGCTGGCTTTGTAGGAGCTGCCAAGGATATATACGTCTGCCTCTTTGTGGTGTGTAAGGGCCTGACTAAAGGCAGCAAAATTGTAGGTGCCAATGGCAGTTTTGCATCACTGTGACTGCAGACACCTGCCCAACAGTCCTTTATCCCCAGACTAATTTAACAGTCATAGAATCTTAGACTTGAAAGGGAATTCTTCTTGGTCACTTCTCACCCAGAACAGGGATCCCATCCAATATCTCCAATATCTCTAACGGATGAAATCATTCAGAAGGTGTTTAAAAGCTTTCTGGGTTATGGGCCTCTAATATCCCTTTCAAGGAGATACATATTATTTTTGAATAATTTTAACTCATAAGTAACTCAGCTTTATTAAGCCCACATCTGAAACTCAATCACTGACTCATTAAACTTATTTCTAACATGTAGAATTTCATAAATAAACCTTAGTTTTTTTCATGAAAATGTTGCTTGAATTTGAAAATTAATATCATTTCCTCCTTATTTCTTCCCACCTTGAGCCTTAGTGGTTTCCAGACCTCAACTCCCATCCTCAAATCTGCCATTTCCAACTCCATCACCACCACCATCTTCTTTTTCTTCCTGAAACTAACTCTAGTTTGTCAATGAGACTTAAGAATTAAATGAGTTAATAAATGTAAATTTCATTACATAGTAAGTACTCCATATATGTTAGCCAATGTTATTATTTATACATTCACAAAAGTGAATAGATCATTCTAGAAACATTCTGAGTGTTGTAAAGGTGAATGAGCCTATCGTCTTCCCTATGGCATTTCAGCCTAAGTTTGTTTTAAACTTTATGTGATTCTCTTCACCTTGTAAGTTTAACTGGAACTTGCAGCAAATCATAGTCCTTAGAACTTTTAGTGGAGAAAACTGTTCTCAGACTTGTGATCCTTTTTGCCGACAGGGTAACTTACCTTTTACTAATAAGTTAGCTGACCAAAGCTACAATCTATTATGAATGAGCTAGAGATTTAGTCATAAGACCTGAGCTTAAAATTTGATATTTATCACTGATTATGATCATGTCCTTTAATAATTCTTATCATCTGTAAGTGGGATGTGATAATGCTACACAACCCATTGTTGTCATGATCAAATTAAATAATGTATGTTAAACAATGATACAAACTAAGTATCAAGCATTCTTACTAGGTTTAATATTCCCAGTTAAAATTTGTTTTGAGAGTTTTAAACTATAATTCCTGCCCACTGCAACATCTTTGAATCTCAGATCTGTCACTGAGTAGGATACCATGTCATTAATGCCCTCATCTAAGTTTAGAGCCCTAAACACCTCTCTCTTTGGCCATCACAGTTATAACTTTACCTGTTTATTAAGCCAATCCTAAATACTGGTATTTTGCTGAGCCCATTACTGTATTTGAAGAATATCAACAAATATTAAACTTTTCTCATATTTGTTGAACTAAACCAGAAATCTAAAGTATTTAGAGTATGTTCAATTTGATATTTCAAAACAAGCATTAATATTATCATCGAAAATATTTAAATATAAATTTCACATATATGAATGTGAAAATACACATGTATGGAGATATATATATATATATAGAGAGAGAGAGAGAGAAAGAGAGAGATATAGGTGTTATGTTATGTATTTACTCAGTTATTCAACAGATATTCATATGGTAGTACCCTGCCAGGGATTTAGGAACATATCAATGAATAAAAACAGGCAAAATATTTCCTGTCTTTCTAGAGGAAAGGAGGCAATGAACACTGTATCTGATAAATAGAAATATTATACAGTATAGTGAGCTAGAAAGGTAATTTTGTGCTATGGAAAAGATGCAACAGGATGATGGGGATCAGAGAGAATGGTAGTTTTAAATAAGATGGTCAGGTTAGACCTCCTTGAGATAGTGATACCTGAAGAAAGACTTACAGGAAATGAAGGAGTTAGCCATTTGAATATTTGGAGCATGACTATTGCAGAAGAGGTAACACCCAGTGCAAAGACCTTATTGCAGGTATATCTGCAGTGTAATTGGAAAAGAGTAACTAAAAAGGAGAATGACAGATTAGGTCAGGTACATAATGTAATGAGGCAATGGACCAGGTAGGGTCAAAGTAGTCCATTGCAAGATTTTAACATTGAATAAAATGGGATCTTTTGAAGAGTTTTGAGCACAAAAGTTAAATGATCAACCTAACTTTGATTTTAAAAAGGATAATTTGGGCTGCTGTGTTGAGAAACAAGACAGAAAGAAAGAGACAGGTAGGAGGTTACTGCAGTAGGTGAGAGACCATGGTAATTCAGACCAGGGGCAGTAGTAGAGATATTGAATGTATTGCTGATAAAATTTGAAGGTAAAATCAGCAAACTTTCCTGATTGATTAGATATGGCATATGGTTGGAAGAAAAGTGTCAAAGATGCCTCACAGCTTATCTGCCAATTGGGAAAATGGAGTTGCTATCAATTGAAATGGGAGGAAGATGGGAAGTGCAGGCTTACTCTAGGAAAGGGGCTGACACTTAGAGTTCAGTGCTGGACAGAAAAGTTTGAAATACCTATTAGACATCTAAGTGAAGATGTTGAGTAGGCAGTTGAATACAAAAGAGTCCAGAGTTCATGAGAGAGAGCTAATCTGCAGATATAAATCTGAGATTCATCAAAATATAGATGGTATTTAAAGCCCTAAGACTTGATGAGATCACTCAGGGAGTGAATGAAGATAGAGAAGCAAAGAGGACAAAGAACTGACCTCTGCATAGCTATAACAGTAAGAGGCAAATGAGAAGAGAAAGCACTAGCCAAAGAGACTAAGAAGAAAAGGTTATTGAGGTAGGAGGAGAACCAGGAGGGTGTGGGATCTTGGAATCCAAGTGAAGCAAATGTTTTGAAGATGAGGCAATGATTATGTGTGTCAAATCTGCTGATAAGTCAGTTAATGTGAAAAGTAGATATTGGCTATTGGATTTAGCTAAACAACCTAATAACTAACAAAGCACCTTTTAAAAAATATTATCTCATTTAATTTGCAAGGTTGGTGTGAGGTAATATTTAATTTTTACAACTATTTATTGATTTGTAGAAAGGTTGCTGAACTGGTAAATTACATAACTAAGAGAGAACTCAGGTGCTCTGATTGCAAAAGCCCATGCTTTTTGATGAAATCCTATTTTGAGACAGAAATATAACTATGTTGATCTTGCAAATAGATATCAAATTTTATTAGAGATGTTATTTGACATATCAATTTTGCCTTGAGAATAGTTATATTTATCAGTGTAATTTACAAACCAACAGCACCTTCTTCTATTACCTCCCTGGACAAGTAGGCCATAAACAAACACATCTGCCTGAGGCTAATGTTTCTTCTCAAATATTCTGACTGATGAAAACCATAGAATAGGTACTACAATGAAAACAGAGAATGTGAAGTTTTTTTCTTAAGTTTAACAACTAATTTTATTTGGACTGCAGGCTGTAGTTTGTTTGCATGGTCTATTGAGAAAACTGGCAAACTGTGGGCCTGAAGGCCAAATCAGCCTGCTGCCTAATTTTTAAAATAAACTTTTTAGTAGGACAAATCCATAGTCATTCATTGACATATTGCCTTTGGCTATTTTGTGCCATGACAGAGTTGAATAATTACAATGAAGACCATATGGCCAAAAAAGTCTAGAATATTTACTGCTTGGCCCTCTACAATATGCTAACTCCTCATATAACCCAAATCAGTAACAGCAAGAATGTCTCATAGTCCTGGACTTCTTTCTGTGTCTAATCACTTACTAATAATGGCTTGCTTCTAAGTGTTTATTTGTATTTTTAAGTAATTCTGCATTTATTCTTTTATTTAATTCTCAGAGTATTGGTAAAATAGGGTATCTTAGCCCATTCAGATTACTACAACAAAATACATTAAGCTGGGTAAATAAACAACAGATATTTATTGCTCACAGTTCTGGAGGCTGTGAAGTCCAAGATCAAGGCACTGGCAGATTGAGTGTATGGTAAGGGCTTGCTGTCTGCTCCATAGATGGCATCTTGCTGCTGCATCCTCACATGATGGAAGGGGCAAGGGAGCTCTCTCAGGCCCCTTTTATAAAAGTACTAATTCCATTCAAGAGGTTGGAGTGAACATATTTGGTTCCTTTTAGGTGCCAACATATGAATTTGGGTGGGGGACACCAACGTTTAGACCACAGCAGTCAATAGGGCTTATTTCCATGAGCCAAACTGCAAAAGAGATAAGGGAAAATGAAAACTTAAATCTTTATTCATTTTTCAATAATAAACTCAAGGATCAGCTCCTGTAAGAAGACTTTCCCAATCCCTCTAGGAAAAAAAATTATCACCCCACTTACTTTTAAAATCTCAATTATATTTTGGAGAGGTATCATTCAAGCATCTATAATACTTTATTGCACTTTTTGTTAACTTGTTTTTTCTCATCTAATAGCTTGTAAGCTCTTTAAGTCTAGGGACTTATTAAATTTAACATCCATTGAGTGCCAGTTTGTGCCAGGCATGTGCTAAGTCCATAAATACAATGATCAATAAGATACATCTTGCCTTCAAGATAAATCTAGTGTAATAAAGGGGATAAATAAGTGAAGAAATTATCAATATATAAATTAAGATGTACTATAAAAAGGGAGATATTATCTAATCCAGTTTAGTGTCCTAGGGAAGATATCTTAGAAGAACTGACATCTTCCATGAAGGAAGACTAGAAGTATCCAAGACAAGCAGAGAGGGTCATTCCAGGTTAAATTGCAAGCAAGTGTTAAAGCACTTCTGTGTTTGGGGAACTAAATACATAGGAAGAAGAAGGGTGGAGTGGCAAAAAACTAAATTGGAGAAGTGAAATGGGACCAGATGATGAAGGGTCTTTTATGACATGTTGAAAATATTGGATTTGGTCTTTAAAACTATGGGAAGTTCTTAAAAACTATACTGAAGAAGTATAAGAAGGACAATTATGTGATCAGATTTACACTGTAGAAAAGGGGCTATGACAATGGTATGGAGTGGATCAGAAAAAGATCGATCATACAGTAGCCAAGTGAGAAATAGTGAGGAACTTAATCAAGGTAGTCATGTGTAAACAGAGAAAAAGGGACAAATTTTAAAGATATGAAGGACCTAGGAATAATAGGACTTATATTGGAAGTGAAAAAGGAATCATGGCTGACCTTTAGGTCTCTGTCTTGGGCAACTGAGTAGATAGATGTTTACATTAACTACAAAGGGAGAATGTGTTTGAAGGATGGGGAGTGAGAAAATGAGAAGTGTCATTGTGGATATGTTGAATTGTAGGTGTTTGTGGGAAATTCAAATGGAAATGAACAGTTGGACATATCAGTCTGAAACTCAGAAGACTTATCTGTGTGGAAATAAAGATCTTGGTGTAGTCTACATTCATTTAACAAAGGTTCATTGAGTGCCCCCATGTATGTGCCAGGCATTATTTTAGTCCCATAAAGTTGAATCTTTCAAATTCAGTCATTGGATGGATAAAACAAGGAGACTATAAAGACTATGGACAGAACCCTGTGGAATACCAGCATTTTGGAGGACCGAGATAACTGGATTTTCAAAGTTAGAAAAAAAAGAAAAATTCACAGGCAGGTATAGAACCAGGGAGAAAAAAAAAAAAAAAACAGCTTCCCGACTCTGGAAGCACTGGCAAATTAATATACTGAAATACTTATACCTAGAGTAAGAGTTGAAAGAGGTGGGAGACTAGGAAGTAGAGGACAGAGTGTAGAAAATTGGGATATAAGAGCTCAGAGACCATAGCTTATTCATTGTCCCTCTCTCCCTCATTCTTTCAATTCTATTTACCAAGCTCTCTACTGTGTACCAGCACTATGCTAGGTGCAAAATACGTGATGGTTAGCAAAATAGAGTCCTGGTTTGGCTAGCAAAACAGATTCCTGGTCCTCATCAGAATGTATGGTATAATAGAGAAAACAATAAGCACGTAAACAAACAGTATTTACGTAATGTATATACTACGAAAAAACCAAACACGGCTCTATGATACAGAAAAATATAGGACCTATTTAGAAAGGCCTGATATTTGAGAATTGAAGAGGTGCAAAGAGGGAAAAATTTATCAAGCATTTATTAATATATACTCTGCTCCTATAATATTTTTGGTGCATATGGATAATTTTTCAATGAGTAATAAATGAAATAGCAAGGAAATTGATATAATTATTTTCTATTATCCAATCACTACAAAATGTAAAGAGATAGATATAAACTTTGAAAGACATCATAAATGAACATTTTATAAAATATAAAAGTTGTCCACTTGCCTACTTTTAATTTCAAGGGTAATTATCAATTTTTGCTTTTTATCGAAACGAAGCCAAGCTTAGCAAATTATGTTAAAAATGCAGATATAATTTAATATAGCAAAATTATCATAAGAATTGATTTTCCTTTTTGTGGTTTTGTAACATTAGAATGGTTTTATTCCAACATTCCCATTCCTTCTATTAGCTATTGTTTGATTTTTTTAGAGGGGCATTTACTCTTATAATCCTCTTTCAGCACAGCCTTGTGTTTCAGTTTAGCCAAGTGCTTCTTAAAGTAAGTTATCTTGAATACCACTCTCATGAAGTGCTCCACCTAAAAATTAAATAAAAATAAGTTTTTAATAATTAAGTAAATCTGAAAAATATGTAGTATATGATATCCCCCTCTTTAAAAATGACATTATACACTATTGTTTAAAGGTTTTTGCAAAGGCCTATAGGAGAGAAAGTTCTAGTATGTCAAAATTCTGTTTTCTCAACCTAATCAATTACACAACCCTTTTAAAAAAAAAGATTATGTACCTAAATGTATTTCAAAGTATTCTTTAAGAAATACTGCTGCAAATGGTTGCTTAAAGTTCTAGGTCCTTTACTAATCTCTGAATGGTGTTGACTGAAAATTGCTTAAAATATTAAGTCTCATTTGAGGGTATTTGTTTTACAATTTTATTATTATTATTTTTTAAGATGAAGTCTCACTCTGTCGCCCAGGCTAGAGTGCAATGGCACGATCTCGGCTCACTGCAACTCCGCCTCCTGGGTTCAAGCAATTCTTCTGTCTCAGCCTCCAGAGTAGCTGGGATTGCAGTCATGCACCATTACACCTGGCTAGTATTTTGTATTTTTGGTAGAGATAGGGTTTCACTATGTTGGCCAGGATGGCCTCGAACTCCTGACCTCAAGTGATCCACCTGCTTTGGCCTCCCAAAATGCTGGGATTACAGGTATCAGCCACCATGCCTGGCCTTATAAAAAGTAATTTTGAAAGTAAAATCATTCAATATATAAAGGTGTGACTGCAGTTACAGCATAATGGGTCATGATGAAGACAGTAGTAAGTTGGAGCTTGATTGAAAACGTTCCCAAATCACAGTCATTGCCATTCCACTATAGATGCATAAACAAATTAGCCCCAATAGAAAAGCACTTACCTGATGTTACTCAGCTATTTAATAACCCTGAGTACTCTTTTTTCGGTATACTTTTCCTTAACACCATTTTTGAGTAAGAATATAGAACATGTCTAAATTTGTATTCAAACACATCTACATTTTTCTCAACAAAATGGAAAGATTATGCGGTTGAAGGTCAAAATTAAGAGCAGCATAATAATGTCTTTCTTGTGCAATGTTATTTTTCCCCACCAAAGTAAATAATCACGGGTTTAATTGTTATTTCAGGTGGCATCTGCTTATTTCAAGGATTTTCACTTACTGCTAATTGGAGTTATCTGTTTAGCAACATCCATAGAAAAATGGAATTTGCACAAGAGAATTGCTCTGAAAATGGTGATGATGGTTGGTGTAAATCCTGCATGGTAAGTACTGCATTTACTGCTTCCAGTTTACCTGCTGAACAGACCATTTTTGTGCAGAGCAAATAATCAAATAAGTAATTCACGCCCAGGAAATTCTTTGTATCACAGTCTGACTTATGACGTTTTTTCCTCTGCAAATATGAAAGTGATATAAAGTGTACTTGAGTTGTAGGAGGAAAAAAAAACAACTTTCACTGCAGGTCTGATTACAGGGTGCTTGGAATACGTGCACACAACTTTCTCACCTTTTATGCATCATAGAAGTCAAAGCTGAGAGAAGCTTTGAACCTCAACAGACAAGATTGATAGACTTCAGAGTAGATTTTCCTCCGATCTTGTTTATTTGGCTGATTACACATTCAGAACTTGTTCAAGAGCATCCTTTATCATCAGGGAGGATGTTACAAACCAAAGACAAAGACATTACTGACAAAATACAAATGTGTGCAGAAAAATTCCAAGGTGAATATTTTTCTTTTTAAACCAACTGTTGCAAAGTGAAAAAATCAATTAAGACATTTCATCTACAGAGTATGAAATCACTCATTTGACTGATAAAATTAATTGGCTATTTCGGTTTTATTTCACTTCTTGCTAAGAACATGAATGTAAGCTAAAGAAAATTTCCAGTGTCATAATCATTTGCATAGTGGCATTTTGCGTTAAAGCCTTAGATGTTTCTTCCCTTCTCATCTTTCTTTGAAAATTAGAATATTGTATTGACTTATATTGCATAATTCATTCTAGGGCGTAGACACATCTGTGTTTTTCATTTATGGTGCAAATTGTTTTGCTAAATACAAAAAAAAAATGACTCAGACGAGACAAATTTTCAATTTTTTTTTTACTTAAAAATTGTATAACACATATGTGTTTAAGACATTATCTCGGCCGGGCACGGTGGCTCATCCCTGTAGTCCCAGCACTTTAGGAGGCCAAGGTGGGCGATCGCCTGAGGTGGGGAGTTCAAGTTTAGCCGGGTATGGTGACAGGCACCTGTAATCCCAGCTACTCGGGAAGCTGAGGCAGGAGAATTGCTTGAATCTGGGAGGCAGAGGTCGCAGTAAGCCAAGATCACGCCATTGCACTCCAGCCTGGGCAACAGAGTGAGACTCTGTCTCAAAACAAACAAACAAACAAACAAAAAAAACCAAAACGACGTCATCTGACTCTTAAAATGAAGTGGGGCTCCATGCCTTTTAGGGTGCTACAGAAATGTATCTCTTTTTCCTGACCCTCTGCTCACTGTTCCAGAGGATGATGTAATGCACTTCACAGTGGGGCAGAAGTTCTGTCCATTATGCCACTAAGTGGCTCTTCAATTTAAGGCATTTTCACCATCCAGAAGCTTTATCTGATCCTGGCATTTTTTATACAAAGATTTCTTGTTTTGACAATGCCTTAAGAAGTTAAAAGTTCTTAATTTTCTTTTTTTTAGAAGAACCATTTATTGCGTAAGCAGATTCCTAATATATTTTCTTTTATTTTGTTGTATACATTGAAAATATTCACCTTATCTGAGTCTGAAACTTACAGTGTGGTATTGTTCTTGTACATCTGTTTTAAAAGGGTGTCAGATTATTTCATAAATTGCTCTATATAGAAAGGTGTGCTTCTGAATGATTTTCTAGGCCCGCCTACTCAAAAGAGATCATTTTTTTCCCCAAGTGTGACTTTGAAAGTTTATAGATATGGCTTAAAATTTTGTAGTCTTAGGTATATTATTTTTAAGGAGAATAACTAATAACTACTCTATTTATAAAAGAAGACAATGTAGTGTGTCCAGATCTTGACAATAGGAAAGGATATCAGATTCAGGGGAGCATAAATCAGAATATTCAGAAAATTCAGAAACCTCATTTTAGCAAATGACTTTAACTATTTTCTCCACCCACCTTATACTGAACTAGTATAGTGAACAAGTAAAAAGAGGCTTTATAAATATTAATCTTTCTTTGTCCTTGTACCTCCTTGACACCCCTATGAACAGAGTTATGGCTAAAAGATAAAAGAAAAAATAAGGGACCTTAAATTCAAAAGTTGATTGCAGTTTCGTCTTAATAGCATTTGAAGATAAGTGGTCAGCTGTGAAGAGCATTCAGATATTGGTGTAATATTATAAGCTGTTATGTCATATAACCAACTTGCAGTTCGTTTAGTTTTAATCATTTTTCTGTTTCTGAAGAGAAAATTTGCATGGTTCCCTGGGAGACAAATCTCTTAAGAACTCCACTTTTACATATATGGCTTTGATTTCTACCTGGCTGTCACGGTACTCCAATTTCATCATCTGGGCAGAATCTTAACCTTCCATGTTTTGAAAGACTTAATTTCCCAACTCACAAAACACATCTTAAACATCTTCCAGTTAAATAATACGGTGCTAGTTAAGCTAAGAGCACAGCTCCACAATAATGGCTCTCTGGTTTCAGGCTGACGCTGGGGTTCATGAGCAGCACTGCCTTTTTGTCTATGTGGCTCAGCAACACCTCGACGGCTGCCATGGTGATGCCCATTGCGGAGGCTGTAGTGCAGCAGATCATCAATGCAGAAGCAGAGGTCGAGGCCACTCAGATGACTTACTTCAACGGATCAACCAACCACGGACTAGAAATTGATGGTATCACATGTTGATATGGCCAATCTGGGGTCTAGTCATTAGAGCAATAGACATAAACTCAAGAATTCTAAGTTGTATTTTGAATTAACCATCTATACATGCATGATATGAATTTAACTTTCTTCCCTCTATAGTTCTCAGTATCTACAAAAATAGTTTTCTACAAATATTTTACCTAAATTGTTACATTTCTATTTGCTTGCAAAAAGAAGAATGCCTTTTCTATCCCTCAGCCAGACTGATGGAACACTCTCTCATGTCTTTATCAGTAGACCTCCAGGTTACTCTTTCCTATACTGAAATGGCTTTCCTGCATAATATTGGGAATCTTTAATTCCTACATTCTATTTGGATACAGCATCAAATTTCACTGTTATTATTTCTGGCTCTGACTAACTGCTCTGATGCAGTGAAAAAGTGTTGGGAGGATATTTGTATTTATAAAATAAGATGACTGTTATGTTAGTACACAGTGAATTTTTTATTTTCAATTTCTACTAATGCTTCCATCTTCGCATCCACACACAGGCAAACCCAATGATAATCCCTTATTTAAATTGTTTTTCTTTTATTTAATGTTTTGCAGAAAGTGTTAATGGACATGAAATAAATGAGAGGAAAGAGAAAACAAAACCAGTTCCAGGGTAAGGAATACTGACATTTTGATTGGGATTTTTCCAAATTATATTTTAATAAAATTATAACTGGATCAATGTATTTTTCAGATACAATAATGATACAGGGAAAATTTCAAGCAAGGTGGAGTTGGAAAAGGTACATAAATTTGATTCTTTCTAAATAATTATATACAAAATTATATTAGAGCTGTAGTTAGATACATATGCATTTTAAAACCTGCCACTTGCTTCCTTTTCTATAAATTATTTTGCTTGACTAAGCAGTAGCATGGTGTAATGGTTTGATAAACTTTCATGAACAGACAGAAATCAACATCTGGATAGGAACCATTTTAGGCTCTGAAAATTAGTATCATTATTTTCTCTTTTTACCAGAATCAGGATAATGGCAGTTAGCCAAGGTAGTTTAAAGAAATATAATTCCAGTCTCAGAATATTGCTTCATTTTCTTTTTTTAACTTTTATTTTAGTTTCAGGGGTACATGTGCAGGTTTGTAGTACAGGTGAATTGCATGTTTTGGGGGTTTGATATATAGATTATTTCCTTACCCGGGTAATAAGCATAGTACCTGATAGGTAGGTTTTTTTCATCCTTCTCTTATTAAAATCTTGCTGGCCTAATAGACTGATTTTCATTAGGGGCATCGTCGTCATTTCTTCCAGGTTATGAACTTGGAGCAACTCCTATTCATGTAATTACAACTCGTTATCTTTAGTGCTTCCATTGCCACTAAAAAAAATCAATGCAGAATTCATGAGTTGCTTCTGTCAAATACAGGTGGAGGAGTTGTAGCCATTCTAGATATTAAAAGAGGGAAGGAGATCTCTGTAAACTATCCCATAGAATTCATTTCCCCAGAATAAATCAATATAAAAATACTATACTAGATTGCACTGGGAGCAATATATCTCAAGACCTGAAAAATAAATCCCACATAGAAATACTCCTATAGTAACTATGGCATTAGGAATAGGAAAGTGGGACATATATTTCTTCATCTGGCCATGGAATGCATTAACAGGCAGTTCAATAGGAAAAAGAAAACCCTCTTGTTAATTACAGAAATCTTCTAGGAAAGAGCAATTTCTATGTAAAGAGAAAATGAATACAAAGATAAGTTTTAAGCCATTAGCTACAGAATATATTAAGGATTTTTTAAGATGGGAATTGCATATATATTTATGAAGATATTATCTTTAGAGATAGAAATAATTCCTATAAAACATGAAAAATTAACAGTATGCCAGGTATGTTATAGAATAATACATTAGAAATGGGCTTTATGTGCCTGATTTATAATCCTTTGGGTATATACCCAGTAATGGGATGGCTAGGTCAAATAGTATTTCTAGTTCTAGATCCCTGAGGAATCGCCACACTGACTTCCACAATGGTTGAGCTAGTTTACAGTCCCACCAACAGTGTAAAAGTGTTCCTAATTCTCCACATCCTCTCCAGCACCTGTTGTTTCCTGACTTTTTAATGATCGCCATTCTAACTGGTGTGAGATGGTATCTCATTGTGGTTTTGATTTGCATTTCTCTGATGGCCAGTGATGATGAGCATTTTTTCATGTGCCTTTTGGATGCAGAAATGTCTTCTTTTGAGAAGTGTCTGTTCATATCCTTCGCCCACTTTTTGATGGGGATGCACACGTATGTTTATTGCGGCACTATTCACAATAGCAAAGACTTGGAACCAAGCCAAATGTCCAACAGTGATAGACTGGATTAAGAAAATGTGGCACATGTACACCATGGAATACTATGCAGCCATAAAAAATGAGTTCATGTCCTTTGTAGGGACATGGATGAAGCTGGAAACCATCATTCTCAGCAAACTATCGCAAGGACAAAAAACCAAACACCACATGTTCTCACTCATAGATGGGAATTGAACAATGAGAACACATGGGCACAGGAAGGGGAACGTCACACACTGGGGCCTGTTGTGTGGTGGGGGAAGGGGGGACGGATAGCATTAGGAGATATACCTAATGTTAAATGACAAGTTACTGGGTTCAGCACACCAACATGGCACATGTATACATATGTAACTAACCTGCACATTGTACACATGTACCCTAAAACTTAAAGTATAATAAAAAAAAATAAAGAAATGGGCTTTAAAAGCTGTTATGAAAATTGGCACACCTAAACAGAAAGAATATACATGCATTCAGTAAATTTCTTGTGGTCATCTTTGGAAACCTAGTTTTCTATCATAAGGCCTAAAGTTTCAGTCAAAACCATTCAAATTGATTTGATATCCAAATACTGTCCCAGGCATTGTAGGCAGGTCTTTTGATGAAAAGACCTGCTCCTTATTGTAAGCAGCTCAGAGTCTAGTGGACAAGACGGACTTATAAAAATATGTCTGACATAAATACCACAACAAAGGCATGCACAGATGCCAACACTTCTAGAAGCAGGAGCAACTAGTTTGATCTGGGAGTACTGCAGCGAGGAAGTATAATGTAAAGACATTTGAGTCTGGAAAGACGAGAGCATGTGCAAGCAGAAGAGTGCGAACTCATGAGTGCAAGAATGTGTCTACCTTGTCAGCACTTTAAACTCTGGCACATTCCCATTGCCTGACACAAAGGATGTATTCGATAAGTAGTTATCTTTATCAATTAATGAATGAGTGAAAGCAAAAGAGTAAAAAGAGGAAGACACTTTCTAATCAGAGAGTACAACTAATTCAAAGAACCAGCTAAGTAAAGAATGTTTTTTTTTCAGGAAACCTCTACAATGCAGATGCTAGAGATGAGCTGTTGTGGGGAATAAAATTATTGTATGGGTTTGTCCAGGTTATAAATATCTCTTCATCCAATGCAAAGGAGTTTAGAGTTGATTTTATGGAAAACGCAAAGCCTTAAAACTGCGGGGCAATATGATAAGTTCTGCCTTTGGGACAACCTGAAAGTCAGTGGTGAGCTTTTTGATTAACTGAGCAACTGAGCTTTTTTATTAATTAGACATTGGGGACGAGGGAAAAAAATGTAGGAGATGCCTCCACTGCTCTAAACTAGGGAGCGGTAGATTGTGATGCCATTGATTAGAATGCAGAACTCAGAGGTAAGAATAACCTTTCAATAGAGAAAAGATAACGGAGATGCATTTTTGGCAATAAAGATTAATATCTGAGTTTAGGAAAGGAAAGCGAGGCTTTTGAATGTTGATTCTATGGTCTTTCCAGAATGCAATGCACAAAAATTTAGCTTTATATAAAAACAGGAATAGTTTTTTGCTGCACTAAAGTATTCTTTATAAGACATGCATGAAAGCATTATTTTATATATTATACATTTATGATATGTTTTGATTTTTAACAATTATAGGTATATTTTCAGGAATAAATGTATATATAATTTGTGTTACAATTATAATAAACTGCAGCTGTTCTTTGATAGATTTACCCTATATAATTTAACACTGATTATATGGAAGAATGTATATCTACTTCATCTAGCTATAAAATATTTATATTCATAATCTTTTGATCTTATGCTTTCTTCTTGAAGTAGGTAGGATATTCTATTGAATTAAAATAAATCCTGTGGGGTTTGACTTTGAATTTGACCTACAAGTCAAAAAAAAAATACAAATATTACTCTTTTTTTGGGGAGAGTGGTATAAATTAAATTTCAGAGAAGATAAATTTCCTTCAGTTCAGCTCTGATTTTGATTATTTCTTGTCTTTTGCTGGCTTTGGGATTGTTCTTGCTTCTCTAATTTTTTTCAGTTGTGATGTTAGGTTGTTAATTTGAGGTCTTTCTAACTTTTTGATATGGGCATTTAGTGTTATGAATTTCCCTCAACACAGCCTAACACTCATGACATGAGTTTACCTATATAACAAACTTGCACATGCACCCCCAAAACCTAAAATGAAAATGAAAAAAAGGAAGAGAAATAAAATAAAAGGCTTAGCTTTTTTTTTGGTAATCTGCACAATTTTGCTATGTTCCTGCAATAAAATAAATAAATTTTATTTCTAATGAAATTATTACAATTTGATTCATTTGAAGCACCATTTATTTAGTACAAAACTAAAGATTTTAAAAATTTAATTAAAATCTCTTTACTAATATAATTAAATTAATCTAAGCTGATCAATAAGCTTACTTCAATTTTTAGAACTATAATATTTCTCCCCAAAGGCAATAACATACACTGATCCATATAAAGTTTAGTGTGTAGTAAGTAGAAAATTCTCAATAAGTAGAAAAAAATAATAATGGCCCCCAAATAAATTCTGTATTTAGCAGACAGTAATATTAGTTAAGAAATATACATTTAACATTTGCTCAATGTCACCTTTTCAACAAGACCTACCCTAATCTCCCTATTTCACTGCAGCCACCATATCCCATATCCTTCCTCCTAATCCTCCTGACTCTACCCTACTTTATCCAAAAGCATGTATCACCTTCTTACAGACTATATAATTTGCTTAATTTTTATTTATTTTGTTCATTGTCTTCTTTCTCCACTAAAATGCAAGGTTCATGGGGCAGAGATTTTTGTCCATCTAGTACATATCACAAATATCTTGAATAGTGACTGCTGTAAATAGTAAATATTTGCTTATTGAATAAATAAATTCAGTAATATTTTTATCAAATGATTACAATTACAGTAAAATAACTCATGTTGTATATAAACTACACTAAGTTTCCAGTGTCTAGTTAACCATCAGGGAAAATTCAGAGAAGTCACTATGGACAACAGAACCATTAAATACTATTATTTTTGGCTGCTTTAAAAAAATAAACTACACCAAGCAAAGAATCAAACTGATAAACATTTAAAGTCAACACTATGGATCAGACTGGTTTCATTTTGGGTAGAAAGACAAAAAAATGTTTTGTAACTAAAATTTATCAGCTCTAAAATTCTTGTTAATAGAACTGCAAAATTCTCATACAGATAATAACGATGATCATTTTGCTGGCGTGATAAAGACTAGATGTTAGTGTTGAAGATGATGGATATTTAGTAGTCCAGGACCTTATTTTAAAGTATTCACATCGAAGAGTCACTTTCCTATGCTGCATATCTAAAAAAGAGATTTGTCCCATGACTTAACTTTTATGAAGTTCTCTTCTCACTATAGGCCATGGCCCAAATACTAACTGAGCTCTCTACTTGCCCAAAATAAAGTGGTGAATAGTTACCAAGCCCATAAATCCCACATTACCCCCTAAAAGTAGCTGAAATATTTGTAGACAAGAAAAGATACTGGGAGAAGAAAGGAATATCCTAAAATTACACTGACAGTACCTGAGGAAATATATTTGTCAGGTTCCATTGGGGTACCTGGTAAACCAACCACCATGCATACAATTTCCATGGGAAATGAGTTCTAGGTATCCGAAAATCCATTTGTAGATACCAAAGAAGGAATAAAGTTGCTAGTTCTTTCCCTCCCCTGCAAGCATTAATGTCACTCAAAGAGACAGCCCAGAGTTTTACATCAGCTCAATTTCTAAACCTTCAGGCATCTACAAATGAAAGAGATTGGAAAATCAGTATACTTTTAATGAAAAATCTGAGATAATTGTTTTTCATTAGTTTAATATAAGTTGTAATTCCTCAAAGGGAAAAGTTCAAAGTAAAAATATCCTTGAATAAATTACATCTTGCTTTTAATTAGGTATTGTTTAGTTTAGGGGTGAAAATCCTTATGGTTGAAATCCAATTGTACAAGACAACACTTTTTAATGTTCTCCAAAAATTCAAAGGAGTCTTGTAAGTACAGTAATAAACATGGTTCATAATATTAGAAACTAGGGGTATTAGTTCTGCCAAATAAGGAGATATTAATTCTGGAATATCTGGCTCCTAGATCAGATATGAAAAAGGTATTTTAGCTTAGATCACGTAACAAACAAAAGCTGGCTCTCCTTCATTATTCTTCTATTTTCCTAAACTGGGAGAAGTTGGATGGCAAAGGCAGTAATTAGTACTGCTCAACCCTTACCTGACTCAACCTAGGGTTTCCTTTTATTCATGCAGTGGTTTATAGAGAATGTTTATAGACGAGGTAAGCAAGGAGAGAGAGGGAGAATACCATACACCCTTTAGGAATCACAGCAACAATCTGTGAACGTGACCTCACTCCAGATTTCAACCTTTATTAGAGTCAAAGTGCTATCTCCATTGATGGCCATTCTTAGTTGTGGTCTCACAAAACATTTTTCTATTAAAGAAACTATTGACTTTTGACAATATCATTTCTCCCATATATCTTTATTTTATGAAATACAAAAATCTAGTTCTTCACATTTTATGTTATTGAAATATTATCTAGCAAATAGCATAAGCTCAGCCATATTAGTGATATCTGTACTTTAACTGTACAATAAGCCCCCCACACTACATAGCTTATTTGAATACTATATTTTATTTCTTGAAATACTCAACAGTGTTCTCCTATGCATCTTCTAGTGGTATTTTCTAAAAAAAAAAAAAAAAGAAATATGTTTGTCTCCAAATTGATTTTTCTGTATTTTGATTAAGAAATATTTCATGCATATATGCCTGTATAAAACGTGACTAAATATTTTGAAGAATAACAAAATAAGATAATGTATACCACATCCCAGCTTAATAACTAGAACATAATGATTTCTAAAATCTACACGAGCCTATCTCTTTTCCTTACAGAATCACCCCCAACCCCTTGCCAAGTTAGCTATAGTCCAAATTTTGTGTTAATCATTCTCTTGTTTTCTTTTGTTTTATCACTTGCACTAGTTAAGGTATGGATTGGTCGCCACAGCAAAGACCAAATATAGCAACAATTTCAACAAGATAGAAATAGGCTGGTATAGTGGCTCCTTCATCACCATGCCCCTGACTCTTTCTATCTCTTCTCTGCCATTTCCAGCACTGGAAACTTGCAGTTCAAGATGGCTCCCCATCTCCCTCTGTCCATTCTGTATCGCAGCTAGCTGCTCAAGGAAAGGAGAAAGTGGAAGGCATATGTACTTAGAAATTATTCTATTACTTTCCTGGATTTAAGAGTATTCAGATTTTCTATTTCAACATCAAACAATTGCATTTTTAAAAAGAAATTTATGTGTTCCATGTCAAATTTAGTAGTGTGTGGTTGTTTATAATATTTTCTTATATCTACTTAATTTCTATAGTATTTATAGTTATATGTCTTTATTTCTAACATTTTTCTTGTGCTTTTAAAGATTATTTAAAGATTATTTTTAAATAATCTTTATTTCATTTAAATAAAATATTTTATTTAAGTCTTTTTTAATGTAAATCTTTATTTATCTTATTTTATTTAAATCTGTATTTTAAAGATTATTTTTCAAATAATCTTTCCAAACTATGTCTATTTTATTAGTCTTACAAGTCTTGTCAAAGAACCAACTTCTGACTCCTTTCACCCTCTCTATTTAATGTATATTTCATATTATTTTTAATAGTTTTCTTTATTACTTTGTTCTGTCTACTTTGTTGGTGTATTTATGCTCTTGCTCTTTTACTAATTTTTAAAATCTGACCTTTACCTTATTAGTTTTGAGTTTTTCCTCTCTTCCAAAGTAAGGATTTAAGGATATGAATTTGCTTCTATTACTTTAGCTATTTTCCATATTTTTCAGTTTTGTGTTTTCTGATTTCCATTATACTAGATTTTTTTCACTCAAAAGATGCTTAGAAATGTGTTTTGAAATTTAAAATAAATTAGATTTTTAGCTACTTTTAAATTTTTTCTAACAATTTTTCTGCGGTCAGAAACTGTGGTCTATATAACAGTTCTCTAAAACTTGTTAAAGCAGCTTTTCGGACTAGCACATAGTCAGCTATAATAAATATTTTTCATTGTGCTTAAAACAAATTGTACATTTTTAACTAATTAGGTTCGATGTTTTCCAAAACTCTGTAAGATCAAGTTACTAGTTGTGCTTCTCAAATCTCTGTGCTCTGACCAAGTTTTGTCTCTTTTTATTCAGCAACTGATGAGACTGTTTTGTTAAACTCTCCTTCTATCATGCAGGTATTCTATTTCTTCTGATACTTCTGTCCATTTTGGTTCCTCTGCATTGTTAAATTATGTTATTCTGAACCCATTTAGAATGTTTCTGTGTGTGTGATTGATTAACCTTTTATCATTTTGCTGTGCACCTCTTCATCTATCTTAATTTTTTTGGTCTTTGAGTTTATTTGTCTGCTGATAATACAGGACGACCAGCTTTTTTTTTTTTTTTTTGAGACTGAGTCTCACTCTGCCACCTAGGCTAGAGTGCAGTGACACGATCTCAGCTCACTGCAACCTCCGCCTCCTGGGTTCAAGCGATTCTCCTGCCTCAGCCTCCTGAGTAGCTGGGATTACAGGTGCCCAGCTAATTTTTTGTATTTTTAGTAAAGAAGGGATGTCACTATGTTGGCCAGGCTAGTCTCGAACTCCTGACCTCATAATTCGCCCACCTCGGCCTCCCAAAGTGCTGGGATTACAGGCATGACACTACCAGCTTTTATAAGGCTAGTATTTACCTGGCATTTCCTCTATCCTTTCACTTTCAACACTTTATGACACTACCAGCTTTTATAAAGCTGGTATTTACCTGGCATTTCCTCTATCCTTTCACTTTCAATATTTCTGTGTCCTTATATTTTAGGTGTATCTCTTTTATTATGTTTGAAAAGTTTTACCTCTACCCGACATGTTTTATCCATTTAAATTATTTGTGACATTATATATTTAGAATAATTTCTACTGCCAGCTTTTTATTTTTTCCAAATATTCTTTCCATCTTTTCTTCCTGCGTTCCTATGCAGTTATTTTCTTTTATTTCACGCTACACACACACTTGTATGGGTGGTCTATTCTATACTTTGTGTCTATTTTAATTGTCCAATCATTTTCTATATTGTTAGACAGCAAGGATTGCCATAACAAAATAGTACAGAACTGTGTCTTAAACAATACAAATCTGTTATATTTTCTCCCAGTTTTGGAGGCTAGCCAAGTACAAGATCAAGGTGTTATCTGGGTCGGTTTCTAGTGAGACCTCTCTTTCTGGCTTGTACAAGGCTACCTTCTCATTGCATCCTCACGTGATGTTTTCTCTGTGCACATGCAGTAGAAAGAGGGATTTCTGGTCCCTTTTGCTCTTTTTACAAGGACATCAGCCCTATCGGATTAGGCATCCTTCTTTGTTTAAACTTAATTACCTCTGTAAAGGCCCTTTTCCACACAGAGTCACTTTGAGTGTTAGAGCTTCAACATACGAATATTGAGAGACATAATTCAGTCATTAATATCATGTCTACTTAATATATAAACATTTAAAGATAATCCATTTTTTTTTCTCCTGAACAGTATAAAGAGCCTAGGATATTTTAACTTAGACCATCGCTTTCTATTTACATGCCATTTTCCAATTTTTTAGTTCTAGTCTATTATTCCTCCATAAATTACATAATTGTATTATTTTTTAAAATCAGTGCTCTGTAGAGTTATGTTCATATTTATTAATATCTTTGTTCACCATTGTATTTTGCTTCTCAGACCCCCTATCTGGGGTCATGGTCCTTCTTCTTGAATATATCTTTTGAATGTATTTCAGAGAGTGATTTTGGTGTTAAATTCACAGTTTTTGTTTGATAGATTTCTATAATTCTTGAAACATGTTTTTATAGTTATAGTGTGCTAGATAGGTTATTATTTTTTATTTTGCACATTGAAATATATTTATATATTTCTACTGCCTTTTGGCTTTCTTTTTTTCTATTTAAAAGTCAGCTAGCTATCAGTCAAATTATTATTCCTTTGTAGGCAATCTTTTCTCTTTGGTTGCTTTAATGATGTGTGTGTATATGTGTGTGTGTGTGTGATAGAATTTTACTTTGCTATGCCTAAGTGCATATTTCTCCTGAATCTGTGTATTGATCTTTCCCAACAATTCTTGCAAATTATCAGGTGTTATTTCTCAATATTCAATTGCCTCATCCTAGTTCTCTGTATTCTCTCCCTCTGAGTCTCCAATTAAACATTCTGCACTTTCTCACTGTGGTTTCTAAGCTATTTAACATCTATTTTTATGAGTAGTAACTTCTGATTTATATTCCAGCTAGTTAATTTTCTCTTTAGCTATGTCTATTTTGACCTATTTACTGAGCTTTTAAATTGTTATTTAAATTTAATTTATGTAAACTCTATTTGTCTTAAGATTTGCCTGTAACTTTTATAATCTTTTTCATATTTTCAATTGCTTCTCTAATTTTATTAATCATATGTAAATGTAATTATATTTTGTGTCTGTGTCCAACACCTCTGAGGTCCTTGTGGGTCTCTTTCTTTGATTTAGTTTTTATTTATTTATTGCTGGTTCTCATTTTGTTGAATTATTTTCTTGCATGTTCAGTACTTTTAAACATTGAAATTTTTTTTTAGTTACTATGGAAATTCTTTAAGTCCTATGTTGCAGCTTCTTGTAAGAGTTTTCAATTATATTGCTATTTCTCTTTAACACACACATAACATAAATTAGTGCTTTAAGAAAAAATGCTCATGGTTAGGAATTTTTAGGGGATATTGTTTTCCCTTAATTCAGCATGATATTTTCTTTCTGCTTCTGCAAAGGATACCAGCTTTATGTGTATTTTCTTGTATGATTCCCCACACACATTTGGCCTGGAGCAATATCTTTTATACCAAGCTCTCCTTGCAACATGATACACTGAAATCTGAAATCCTATTTTAAATCCAGCTTTAAAATGATTGTTGCACTTTAAAAGATTGTTTTTAATATTTTAAATAGCATCTCATTTAGCATGGGAATCTGATTTGTCATGCTGCTGGATAGAAAAATATGCTATGTTATTATATTTTGTTTCAGTCATTTTTACAACTAGAAAGAGCAAGGTTTTTCTCAGTGGCACACACACACAAACACACATACACATATGCTTTTTCCTAAGAAAGTATAAGGGAAGCTTCTAAATAGTTAACATTTAGGGCAATAAAATTTTTTAAGTAAATATTGGATTTAATCATGACTTTTAACATTTCTGAAAAATAGAGTTTATTTATAAAGAGGCCTCATGTCCTTAATGCTACATTTTAAACATCTCTTTATTCATCACACACAATAAATGTTTATTACTTTATAAACATATCCAAATTCACAATATGTAATAGTTCTTTATTAACTACGGTGGATAAAAATTCTATTTCAGAGTCTTACCGATAACTTCAATTTTACTACCAACTCCTCTGAATTCTTCAGGTTATTACTGATTATATTTTCACTAGATCTTCATGAAGAGTTCATACTAGCTGTAAGGAGAAGATCCTCTCCTACAATTTCTTGCTATTCACTTATCTAGTACTTTCATTCAATAATTTCTTTACAGAAGGATGTGGGGAGAGTTTAGGTATCCCTTGTAAGAAAGCAGAAACACAGGAAAACGTTGCAGAGTGATACTGAGGCCCATCTGAGGTCAGAGGTTGTGGATTTCTCACAGCACCAGCGAGCTTAGCCAAGGGATTTTCTCCAGTGGCATCCAAGAGAGCATAGAAATTGATTTTCATATTAAGCTGAAGTTCAGGGTCCATAAAGATGGGAACAGCAAAATGATAAGCCTGCTGGGATGTTGAAGGCACAGCAGGAGAGTTGTCAGTGATTCATCTGAAGGGATAGGTTTGCCCTGGTAAAGAATGAGGCCTTGAGAAGGTCTAGAAGGACTTGAGCTCCTGATAGGGCCAAAGAGAAGGCATGGAGAAGAAAAAGGATGGGAAAACTAAAGGGATCAACTATTGTGATCAGAGCTTCGTCTAATAAAGAATCCATTATAAAAAAAATTTCTTTACAGAAATAATCTTCTTATAGACATTTTAAACCATTAGAACACTGTAGGAAGGCTGGTTTAATTAAATAACATAATCTGTTATTAACTTAACTGAGGATCTTTAAACTCAACATGCAGACCAAAAGGACAGGTTCCCACTGTCTCAATTCCTCTGTGCACTATGGAACTTCCACTCTCCTGTTCCCTTTTTAGTTACATCATCTACCAACATATGGACCACGAAAGCACCAAGGTCAAAAGTGGGCATTAATTATTAGTAAATATTTATTTCTTTAATTTTGAAATGTAAAAAGATAAATATTGCATCTTCCATTAAGATGGCAGGTTAAATAGGCCCATTTGTTACCACTTTTCTAAGTCTTCATTAAAACAAGAACAAATAGACTTTCAAATATAATCCAAATTATATAAACATCAAGAGAAGACATGACAGCAAAATCATTTTGGAAGCTGGAAAGTAAAAAGATGAGTGGAAAATAACCCCATTATCCCCAGTAATCCCATGGAAGCTGAATCCTAAATCGGTAATGAAAAAAGCCAATAAACAATTCAATTTCCATAGCAGCAGGCTTCAACATTTTTAAAATGCTGAAAAGCAGGAGGAAGAAAAAATTGCTTGTGAAGCAGTTAAATCTTCTACTTTCTTCCTCAAATCCACATGGATGCAACAGCTTCTAATCCACCAAACAGAAATATGATCTTCAGACAAGGTAAAACGGGATAAGGAGAACCAGATCCAGTTCTGGGCTGGGGGAGGGTGTCACAAGGAAAACAGGGGTACTGAGCGATAGCTTACAAGTTGAAAATGGAGAACCCGGCCTTCTACCTACACTGGTCCAGGAGCCAAGTCTATGCCTTTCGGGTGTCAGCAGGCAGAAGGCCAGATGATGCTTCCTTGGAGAACACAATCAGCGTTAAGAGAGATGAAAACATTGACCTTAGAATTTTCTCAAAAAAAGGCCAAGTCAGATGACATTACAGTGAAGCTTACAGGCAACAACAAATCCCAAAATACGAGTGCAGAGCTTCTACACAAATATTCACCGCCTGAAATGTGAGCAGACAACCAAAAATTCCTGGATATCTGATGAAAGCCTCAATTATGAAAGAGAGATTGCCAAATAAATAAAAAGAAAAAAGAGCAATTTGCGGGAAACAGAGACTATGCAAGAAGAAGAGACTATAAAAAAGAAAATATCATTAATATAATCAGAGAGGCAAACAAATATATTACTTGTATTTATGAAATACAAATACAAATAGTATTCTATAAAAGAGAATCAAGAAGGCAAAAATACAAAATATGTAAATATAAAATAAAGTATAAATGTAAAATATAGAGATATAAAAGCATAAATGGAAAATTCAGTAGACAAAACAGAAAGAAACAGAATAAACAGGAAATAAGAGGAGTTTCCAAAAAAGAATAGGAAAAAAGAGAAGAGTATATTAAAAATTCAAGAAAGTTTCTACAATGGAAGAGTACAAGTTTTATGATTAAAGGACTCACTAAATGTCATCAAAATGAATGAAGCAGACCCACACAGGGCAGGTCTGTTTTAAAATCTTTGAGTTTTCAGAATACTATAAGATGACCCTAAAAGCTCTCAAAAAGGAAGAAACACTAATTCCTTACAAAGGATCAAAAATATGAATGACTGAATACTTCTCCCCAGCAGCACTACTCAGAGACAGCAGAAAAACTGCCTTCAAAATTCTAAGTAACATTTATTTCCAACCTAGAGTCAATATCCAGTCAGACTTTTGATGAAATAAGAGGGAAGACTTAAGTCTAGATAGCTCTTTGCAGTTCTAGAGAAAAAATAACTAGGTTTGGGACAGGAAAGGAGGCCCTGAAAGAGATGTCATCAAGACAATAAAATTGGCAGAATATTGATGTGAATTAGGTATCCTATCACTTGATTGTTCTGAGAGAATGTTTAAGCAACCAGGGAATATTTGGGACTGATTCAGTAGTAGGTACTTTAAAAAATAAGCAAGTAAAAGAAGGAAAAGACATATTCTAACTTACAGAAGGGGCAGGAAAAGTAATGTATATCATATTTCTAGCTGTTAATAGAGCTCTAGGCAACATATTGAAAATGTGAAGTCTGTACTATAAGCAACATTATGACAGAGCCATAATTGGAGGATGATACAAAGTATACGTATTCAGTGAAGGAAGCTGTGAAAGAAATCTGCAATCGTTGCCACCAGGTGGCAATAGTGAGTTACATCTGGACCTGCAGGATTTCTGTTGTGACAGGTCCACTGTGATGATGTCATTGGATTCTGCATTCGGTCATGTCCTCATAGGAAATTTTTCAGTTACTTGGAAGAAGATGTGGAAGGCATACTCCACATGTATGGTAGACAGAAGGGATTGAATAAAAACACAATAGGTTACCATTGTGGTAAAAGCAGTATGAAATGGAACTCAAATGTAGTTTTAAAAATTCATAGAAGTAAAGTATTCTGGAAGGCAAGTTGGTACAGGGGAAATTCACTGAGAGAGAACTCACAGACATGGATTCTGCTTTCAAGTCTGTAGTAATCAGCTGGGTCACACTTGAGACTCATTTTGCACTTCTGAAATATTAGGTCTTTACACCATATAATCTCTAACTACCTGTCTGCCCTAATAGTCTATAATTCCTTTATATGTTAAAAAAACTTATTTCTGGCAATAAAAGTTACAAAAAGTATCAAGAAGGTGGAAGATACCACTAAGCTCATGATTAAGAAATAACTATCCTTAATATTTTGATATATTTTACTTCAGCCACATATATATATGTTTCATTTCAGGCACATGTGTATATGTAGAAATATTTTTTGTTTTAAAATTTTACATCATTTTGTACTTTTCACTTCACATAAATATCCTTATATAACACAAGTACTTTTCCATTCATAATATACCTGTGACAATGTCCTGTGGCCATAGGCTGAAACTACTATCTAGGCAGAAGACTAAAGATTAATCTGCTGTGATACCTGCCCCCTTTGTATAATTTCTGTACCACTAGTTGGCTCATTTAGTGGCTCATATCAGGCTTTCTTAAGAGCCCTATTTTTCAGCTCAGTGCCCTCTGCTACTGTCCCTCTAGTCCTCATGCTTTACCCTTTACTTCAGTATCATCTCTTCTGTGTTCAGCCCAGCGAACACAAGCACTCGGTAAAAATAATGATAAATCTGAATGCATGGAGCTCATGTTTACTGGCTAGATTAAAAAAATGGTGCATTCACCATTCCACTTCAAAAACTCCTCCTCTTAACCTTTAATTTGCATTATGATATATTAGTGTTAGCATTTACTGTAGAATTTTTACCCTGAATTTTAATGCCTTTATAAATTGTTGATGATATTTGCATAAACATCAGCTCATGTGCAGTAGCAATAATGTATATTTTAAAGGTCCTTATTAATAAAAAATGTGTGGTTAATTCATAAGGCATAAAGCATGGCAAACATATTAACCTGTTTCTGTTTTGATTTTTTTGTTTTATATCATCCAGTGTCTTTTAATAATTCTATATATATGCATATATTTACAGTTAAGCTTTTATATGAAATCCAATTTTTTCTTTATTTATATTTTTGAAAGTTTTAAGGTGGCAAAGGGAAATCATATAAACATTGCATATTTTAAGTTTCCATTCTTATTATCAATTTAATAATATTCAAATTATGCATCACTTTCTGGTTTGTGTTTGAAGTCTTTCCTATAGTAAACTATTTAATGTTAAGCCTCAAATTTCAATTGCCACTTTGTATGACTCATAAGAATTTTTAAACTTATTTCCCTATCTTATTTACATACCACTTATTTTGTGTCAAATTTCAATGGAATGTTTTATCATATAGAAAATACAAATGATTTCTATGTATAAAATATAAGGGAAAGGGAGACGTTTGTAAATTAGTTTATTTTGGGTGAAGCGTAGAGTCCTTTGTGGGCTGACCTTAAAGTTAATTAGAAAGTAAAAGGTAAATTACAGTCCAATGCACCTGACTCTGCCATGCTAAATGCCATTTTCATATCTATGATGACTTTTAGTGAGTAGTAATTTTTTCCTTATCACAACTTTTCAAAAAGATATTTTAATAATGTCTCAAATAGCATGTTTATCTGTATGGAAGATGGCATTTCTTCTGTTCATCCTGGAGAAGGGAGAACCCTTGTACAATGTTACTAGCAATGTAAATTAGTGCAACCATTATGAAAAACAATATAGAGATTCCTTAAAAAATTAGAAAAAAAATAGAAGTACCATGTGATCCAGCAAACTCACTTCTGGATATATGTACCCCCAAAATGAAATCAGTATGTCAAAGATATATCTGCTTCCCCATATTCATTGCAGCATTATTCACAATAGCCAAGATATGGGAACAACTTAAGTGTCCCTTGATAGATGATGAATGGATAAAGAAAATGTGGCCTGAGTTACTGTAACAATCCTTTTATGGTTGTGCTTGCATTAATTCTTGCCTATTTCAGAACTCTCCTATACACAGCAGCCTAAAAAATATGTACAAATGTATTTAAGAAATACACAAACACAAGAAGACAAAAGATAATAAGTGTTTATATATTCCTTAACTACATTTAGATTCTTGTAATCTTTTAGATTACAAAATCTTTCAGATTTTGTAGGCTGCAGTCTGTAGAATGAGTCTGTAACAGGCAAGAGTTGATGCAAGAAGATCTATAAACACACTATTTCATTAACCTAGGCCAGAGATAATGTTGACTGAGACCAGGGTGACAACAGTGGAGGTGGAGAAAATTGAACAGAGTCCAGGCATATTTCAGTAGATACAATTGACAGAATTTGACGGGATGAGGAAGATAATGTTTTTGAGGAGGACAAGCAATACATTACAGCAAAGTGGCTGAGAGTATGAGCTCTAAAGCAAGACTGCATGGTTTCAAAACCCAAGTCTGTCATTTTCAGGCTCTGGGACCTCGAACAATTCACTTAACTTCTCTATGTCTTTTATTTATAAAATGACATCATAATTTTACCCACCTCATTGTATTGTAAGACGTAAATGAATTAAAACATTTAATTGATTTTAACTTGGACAGTGCTTATTACATGCTAAGGACACTATAAGTGTTTGTTGTTATAGTGATGGTGATGACATCAGCTTATATAAGTGATCCTGACAAACTAGGTTTGACAAAAGAAGTAATAGCCTTGGTCCTGAACATTTTCAGATTGGAGTTTTATTGAAGATATTATACATATACATATATATATATATATACACACACACACACACACACATATATTCAAATATATATATATAGTTTTGTTTTGTTTTGAGACGGGTCTTGCTCTATTGCTCAGGCTGGAGTGTGGAGTGCAGTGATGCAATCTTGACTCACTGCAACCTCTGCCTCCCAGGTTCAAGAAATTCTCCTTCCTCAGCCTCCCAAGTAGTGGGGATTACAGGTGCCTGCAACCAAGCATGGTTAATTTTTGTATTTTTAGTAGAGACAGGGTTTCACCATGTTGGCCAGGCTGGTCTAGAATTCCTGACCTCAAGTGATCCACCTGCCTCGGCTTCCCAAAGTGCTGAGATTCCAGGAATGAGCCACTGTGCCTGGCCCTCAAATTATGTTGAACAGGCAATTGGATACATGGGTCTAGATGGAGGAGCCTGGCTGAAGACAGAAGTTTGGTGATCTGGCATAAAAATAGTCATTAAATCAATAAAAATAAGATATTTTTAAAGGAGAAACATTAGAGTGAGGAGAGACAAGGGCCTGTGACAGCTTAAAGAAATTCCAGTTTTAAGGAAGGATGGAAGGCAAAATAACTGGCAAGGGAGACAGAAAAACAGGCAGAGATAGAAAAATCCAAAGAGTGAGATATCACAGAAACCCAAAGCAGAGTTTTTTCAGTAAAAAGAAGAGATAAACTCTTTTAGATGCTTGCTAAGGGGACTACAAAGTTGAGATTGAAAGGTTCCTATTGAACTTAGCACTGAGGGGATTACTGATAATCACAGGAAGTGCATTGTGGGTGGAATGAGGAGACAAGCAAGATGGAAGTGTCTAAGAAAATGGAGTCAGTGAATGTAAACAACTCTTTCGAGTAGTTTGGCTGTGAAAATGGAGTTAGGACAATAGTTTACTTGAAAGGAGGGTTAAGAAGTCTTTCTTGTTTTTCTTCTGTAAGGATGGCTCAAAAATAATTAAATGTTGATGAAAATTCCAATAGTCTGTAGTGGAAGGTTTCTGAGAAAATCTGAGAGACTGTGGTCCAGAAACAAGAAGTTGGAGGAGAAACATTGACTCTATTAATTATGTAGAGAACAGGAAGATGGGGCAAATGCAAGTAGGTTTCTACATTTCACAGTGATACCATTGTCTGCTGGCTTCTATTTTCTCTGTGAAGTAGGAGGCAAAGCTACTTGTAAAGACTGAGAAGGACCATTAAGAGGGACGTATAGAGATAATAAAGAAGGTTTTATATTTCCTTGTGGAAAGAGGTAGAGTAATTTGGTTATGCAAACACAGTAGGGTAGAGGAGCAACATCATTACAGCACTGGATGTTTGTGATCATGAATGATCCCATCTGCTCTACTGTGCATGTAATTTTTAACAACAGTAGCTGGCTACTCAGAAGCAGACATGACATGGAGAGAGAGAATGGTTGGGTTTATAAATCAGTTGGAATTTTCATAAAGAACTACCATTCAAGAAAAGACAAGAAAGAGAGTTTGGAGTTTTTTTAAGAAAATTTATTGAAATGGTGTACCATGGAATCTAAACTGAATAAGGATGGAAGTAAAGAAAGGAGAGGACCATAACTGGGCATAACTACATACTTTATTGACTTAGATTTGCCAGTGCAGTTGAAGGACTGTAGAGATAGAATTAATTCAACAGCAAAGTTGGAAGAAGAAACTGTGATAACTGTGCCAATTTCTTGATAACCAGGATGGTAAAATGATACTCTTTCTACCCCTGAGTAACTATAATATCAAGCACACACTTAGGTATTTTTGCATTTCATTTCCACAGTACTTGCAAGTGAGGTGACCAAAAAACAGCTTTAGACTCTTAAACTTAGTGTTTAAAATGAGAAGGCTGAGAGACAGTCTGCTTATGGAGAAAGTTGGAGTATTTCCCCAGTGCCCCAACCCCCTGCCACTTGTACCATCACAGTCGAAAGAAGGGAAGAGTCTCCTACTTAACAAGGTGAGATAGACGTTAAGAAACTACTACTTGGAGAACTTGCTATCTACCACCTTAGACTTAGAAAAGGTCAACGGATTAGTGTTTGACACATTCTTGAAAAATTATAAAGTAAAAACTCGTGGCTGAATTTCTTTACCTAATCAAGTTTCAGCTGCACTGTCACTGACAACAGGACAGAGGTGACTGTTTCCCTTGGACCATATGTAGGAAACATGTGGGAGGAGTGTCATGTGGGATCATTTGAAAGGCAACTTCCTCCAGAAGGGATTTTTGACAGCATAAGTGGATTTCAACATAAAGAGACCAGGTAGACTATCACATGCAGACACCATGAGTGTGTCATACGTCACCAGGCAGAAGATGTGTGTTACCTACATAGAAAGAACAACAATCTGATGTTCTTATTTGGATAATAGGAGTCTCATAAAATCTCATAAAATTGCCCACCAGATGGAGTCATTTCAAAAATTCACCATGCCTGGAAAGTACTAATACCATTTTAAAATTAATACACAGTCAAATAAGACTTCTCCTAATCCTTACCACTCCTCTCCTGATCCTGTTCTTCTCTTGACATTCCAAATGTTGAAGGTTTAAAAACTGAGTGTAGCAAGTGGTGAGAAGAATTGGAACTAGGAGAGAAAGAGAAAGTCAAACTCACAAACCTCCTTCCAGCTATGGGTTTTCAAGCAGGCCTGATCTAGGGGATAAGAGAATGCTTAAGTTTAAAATTTGGGATTTTTCTTATTAAATAGGGCACTGTTTAACTACTGAAATGAAGCTATTCTCCTGACTAAACATAACTGAAAAACCATTCATTAAATGAAATGACCGGAAAAGTTATTGGTTCTTCTTTGAATTTCGCCACAGGAAGAGGAAGAATCAAACCAACAAAGGGTGTTTACAGGGTCATGGGTGAGAAAAAGAATGAAGTTGCTTTTGGCTTACACCCTAGAAAGTCATCTCTTAAATAAAACACTTACATTTGGACTAGTGATTCCCCAAGTGAAACCATTTCAGGATGTGCCATTGTCCAAGGTATAACTATGGGGGTGGGGTGACTGAGGTGGAGAACTGAAAATCGTTGGAAATGAGATAAAAAATCTGTGAGGCCAGGATATTTGAAGGGCTATTCATGAACATAGTGTAGTCATTCAGTCACTGACAAGATTTGGACTAAGGAAGATGATTAAGTGCTGAGTGCAAATGTTATCTTAAATGACAGTGGGTGACCAGGAGATCAAAATATAATGGTCAAAGGAATGGGGAGAGAAAGAGATATCCAAGTTACATGATCCTTAAAAAAAATGGATTTATTTTTTGTGTGAGTGGAGGATTAATGTTCTGGAATAGACAGTGGGAGCAAAGAGGACACTGACTTATCTCTCAATGCTGAGGTATATGGTGTTGAAAACATTCCACTTCAGGAGTAATATCCCCTGGGAACCATCCATTAAGGTGTGTAGATGGGGAAACCCTTCTTAAAGAAGTTTAGGGACTTATTGAGTATGTACCACCAGTATCAACAGAAAAATAATGAAAAGCTTTGGGAGTAGTGGTGAGAAGGAAAGACATGGGGGAAGAGTTGGGTAAGAGACAAGAAAGAAGGATGAAGAAATGAATGAAATTGGGTTTTTAAAATATTTCAGTGGCTTCAGCTTAAATACTTTTATTGCTACATCTCTATTGATGGAAAGATAAATGCTATATTAGTCAGCTCATATCACCATAACAAAACACCACAGACTAAGTGGCTTAAACAATAAAAATTTATTTCTTGCAGTTCTGAAGATTGGATCAGGGTCTGGCAGGGTCAGTGTCTGGTGAGGGCTCTCTCCTGGCATTGCAGACAGATGCCTTCTTGTGGCTTTTTCCATAGCAGAGAGAGAGAGAGAGAGAGAGAGAGGAATCAAGCTCTCTCATGTGTCCTCTTATAATGACATAATCCTATCAGACCAGGGCCACATCCTCAAAGGAAGGTACAGTATCTTCCAAATGCCCCATTGCCAAATACAATCACATCAGGAGTTAGGGTTTCAACATATGAATTGGTGCGGGTGGTGGGACACAAATATTCAGTCCATAACAAATATAGAGCAGTTCTCATGGTAGTTTTTTGTTGTTGTTGAACAGAACTCAGGCATGAGAACCAAATATCGAACAAAGAAGGGCCACGTGACACGTAAACTTACGTGTTTGTGCATTGCCTACTCTTCTACCATTGGTGGACTGACAACAATCACTGGTACCTCCACCAACTTGATCTTTGCAGAGTATTTCAATACGTAAGTAACCTTATTGGATTGGTGATTTAACATAAGGGCAGCACAAAAATTATAAAAATTATTCTTACCTGATTCAGAGAATTCAAGTACAGAGATGTTATGTTAACTCTCCCTTGTTTCCCTTCAGGACATCTATAGATCTACAGACCTTCCTTTATACTGAGAATTAAATATTCAGGGAATACTGAATTAACTTGTGCCAACAGATTTCCCAGGTCAGCTCAGAGGGGATAACTCTTGGCTGACCACCCTTAACAAACAGGAAAAACATTTTTCATTGAAAATAATACCACAAATGGTAGTTAACTAAAGTGAAAAGGAATTATTTTCTTGGGACAATTTATGTAGGGTTTGGGGACCAACATGTGAACTTAAGTAATGAATGGTGAACAGAGGTATTAATTTTGGAAGGCTTGGCTTTGGAATTCAAAAAAGATTTGAAAGATTGAACAATTGTAATAAGTGTCAGTAATAAAGTATTCTACAAACAGATATATGACTGTTAATATGTTTGGAACTGTGATGACAATTCCATTGCAGAAATGGGAATCTGTGGATTCAACAGGTAGAACACTTGGGTTAAAAAATCCTCAATTTGCAGGTACTTACATTGTGAATTATTTTACTTACTTATTTATTTTTCTGAGACAGGGTCTCACTCTGCTGCCCAGGCTGGAGGACAGTGGTGCGATCTCAGCTCACTGCAACTTTTGCCAAGTGATTGTCGTGCCTCAGCCTCCCGAGTAGCTGGGATTACAGGCATGCACCGTAATACCCAGCTAATTTTTGTACTTTTAGTAGACACGGGGTTTTGCCATGTTGGCCAGGCTGGTCTCAAACTCCTGATCTCAAGTGATCCACCTGCCTTGGCCTCCCAAAGTGCTAGGATTATAGGCATGAGCCCCTGCACCCGGCCACATTATGAATTTAACAACAAAAAGGTCCATGATTCTCCCAAGACTTAATTTTTTCATATGTAAAATAGTCACAGTTGATAGGGTTATTGTGAGAATTCAATGAAGTAAACTATGTAAAAATATTTTGCGCTATGTAAGTATCATTGAAACAATAGTATGAAAGTCCATGGTGTCATATGTGCACTCAGACTGGTTCTACTAAAAGAACAGATAATAATCAGAATTTCAAGAAGACAGACACAATTGAGAAAGCCTAGGAACAGGATTTGGGTTCACAGAAAAATTAGAGTTTAGAGGCAGGAAAACTACTCTCTGTGAAGTAGATTCATAGACTCTATGAATTTTCTGAAATTATTTGCAAAATGTTGTGCATGCACGGATTCTCTAAGAAATACAAGACTCAAAGAATGTCAATCTCCATTCTAGAAAGAATGGGTGTTTGTGTTCAACGAACACTGGTATAGGAGTTTAGGATCAATATTACACAGACCTCCAAGAGTATTGTTTCTATGAATACACATCCATTATCTACACTCCAATTACTGACTTAGAAAACTTTAAAAGGTTTTTGGTTTATAAATGAGAGGCTTCTGAAACTCACAGTACCAGTGAGGATTTATCCAATGTATCCCCTAATTTAAGACAAGAAATGCACCTGACATCTTTTTGAAAATGACTTATATCCTTTCTCATGAATTCTCCAAGAGAAGGGATTCCACATCTTAGTTCCTGTCTGTGAATTTCTTTTTCTAATATCCAGACCGAATTCTTATGCTTCATCTTTGTTGATATTAGAGAACTGCTGGTTTCCATCATTCACATGAAATTAGTTGATACAGTCAAGTAATTCATATTACTCTGTAAGATTGCAATATGGTAAATACTATGGAAGAAATTTTGACACGGCAGAGTTTGGACTTAGACCTCAATTCAGATTTCAAGCTCACCATATATTAGCTTAACTTCTGTGACTATCAGTTTCCTTTTCTGTAAAATGGGGATGATACTAGAACTTACAACATTATTGAATTAATTAAATGCCATAATGCACATGTGGCTCTAGCAGAGGGTCTGGCACATAGTAACTTGTCAATAATGTTAGCTGTTGTTATTGCCACTGCTCTACTTTTGCCATGGCTGTTAAAAATCTCAGCCTGGATCATGAATGATAAATAGTTAATATTTTGAGGAAAATCCTCTGGAAGTACACACACACAAAATGGAAAAGTAGCTTTATCTCAGAGATAATCAAAACTGTCATCAGTCAAAAGGTCTATAATTGGTGTGCAATTATAGTATCTATAGTAGCATACTATGACACTTAATGCCCAAAATCTGTTCCAAGGTTATAAATTTCCAAGACTACATTCATTCTTTTGAAGCTATGTTCTGAGTATTTCATGGGTATTAAAGTTATTTGTTTTGCAGTGGGGCATAAGTTGCATATAACATGTAAGTTACTTGCAGTGACAATGACTCTTCCTAAGAGTCAACCTTGACGTGTAAATGTGCTTTAGGTCAAAGCACATCTCCGTGTTATGGGGCATCATTTCTACAATTGTTTTAAAGTGCCAAGAAAACATAAAGTTTGTACTCCAGCCTGCGGATGTTTTGTAATATATGTGGCATTTTCTCTTTTTACCTGGGAGCTAAAATTGAGGATGTAATGGTTTAATGAACAGAGGTTGTGTTTTAAACTCCTCCTGGGTTAAAAATCCAGTTTGACTACACAATCTGACTTTGAGAAATCCACTTAGCCCCCTAAGACTCAGTTTATTCCTGTGTAAAATAAAAATTTAATGCTTTTTTCACAGGATTTTTGATAAAATTAAAAGTGCTTAGCTCATCTGCTCATTTCTACCTAACCTCTAAAACTTACAGTGCCCCAAGAGAAGCACTTCAGTTTCTCTTCTAAATCTCCATTACTGCTTAAATGATCAGACCCATTTCTATGTTTGTAATACCACCTATGTGCTGATAACTACCAATTTTTTATCTCTATCCCTGCCCTTTCCTCTGAATTTCAGACTTACTTATCCAGCTGCATTCCAACATGACCACTTCAAAAACTGAGGGACATCTCAAATCATCACATCCCAAAACAGCATGCTTGATCTGCCACCTCTCCCCTGCCCTCCTGCCAATCCAACCTCCCCTCAGACTTCACCATTTCAACATATGACATCTTTTCTCCATTTCCTAGGTTTTATTCCAAATATATCTAAAATATCTTGCCTTCTGTTTATCTTCACATGTAAACTAAAATCTACTCCACTCTACCCTACTTCCGAGGGACTTTATCTTGTAATAGGTTTCCCTGTGTATTCCTCTTCTACTGCTACCTTACAAATGGCAATCAACTTAGTGGCTTAACACAGCACACATTTATTATCTCATTATTTTTGTGGGTCAACAGTTCAGGAAGAAAGGGGCAGAGCAAGATGGTGGAATACAGGGCTCCATGGATAGTACCCCGTGCAAGGACACCAATTTAACATCTATCTACATACAGAAAAGCACCTTCATAAGGACCAAAAATCAGGTGAGCACTCACAGTAGCTCCTTTTAATTTCATATCATTGAAAGAGGCACTGAAGAGGTAGAGAAAACAGTGTAAAATCACAGATGCTGCCCCTCCCTCATTCCCTGGCAGTGGCAGCATGTTGCAGAGAGCATTCTTGTGCTGTGGGGAGAGGAGGAGCCCAGCAATTGTAAGTCATTGAAATCAATGCTGTCCTGTCATAGCAGAAAGAAAAACAGGAATAAACTCAGCCCACACACCAAGGGAGCATTTAAACCAGCTGTAGCCAGAGAAGAAGTGCCCATCCCAGCAGTTGGAACTTGACTTCCCACAACCCTCACCACTGCGGGCTAAAGTGTTCTGGGGCCAAAAATAACTCTGAAAGGAAGTCTAGGGCACAAAAACTACAACTCCTAGACATCTTCTAGTGCTGAACTGTGCCTTGAGCCAGAGGACTTGTGTGGGGGGAATGTAGTCTACTGGGACAAAAGACAGGGCAGCTAAGGGAGTCCTCATATCCCTCTTCACTAACTCCAGGTTGCACAGATTGCAGCTCCAAAAAAAGACTCCTTCCTACTGCTCGAGGAGAGGAGACGAGAGGAGAGGGAAGAGTGGAGAGGACTTTGTCTTGCATCTTGGATACCAGCTCAGCCACAGCAAGTTAGGGCACTGGCCCCCTTTCCAGGCTCTAGCTTTAGGACGACATTTCTAGACACACCCTGGGCCAGAATGAAATCTGTTGTTCTGAAGAAAAAGACCAAGCCTGGGAGGTTGCATCACCTGCTAACTAAAGAGCTCTTCGTCAGCCGGGTGCGGTGGCTCACGACTGTAATCCCAGCACTTTGGGAGGCCGAGGAGGGCAGATCAAGAGGTCAGGAGCTCAAAACCAGCCTGGCCAACATAGTGAAACCCCATCTTTACTTAAAAATACAAAAATTAGCCGGGCATGGTGGCACATATCTGTAGTCCCAGCTACTCAGGAGGCTGAGGCAGGAGAATCGCTTGAATTTGGGAGGCAGAGGTTGTGGTGAGCCAAGATCGCGCTACTGCACTCCAGCCTCCATCAAAAAAAAAAAAAAAAAGTTCTTGCCCCTGAAAGCAAGACTCAGGAGTTACATCAAGAGCTTTGGGTGAGACTGTAGAGACTCTAAGAGTTGCTGGCTTCAGGTGAGAATCAGTGCATTCTTAGCTGTGGTGGCTGTGGGTTGAGACTCCTGCTTAACAAAAGCAGAGGGAAAACTAAAGAGGACTTTGGCTTGCACTTTAGGTGCCAGCTTGGCCACAGCGGTGTAGAGCACCATGCAGGTTCTTAAGGTCTCTGATTCCTTGACTTGGCTCTTGGATGGCATTTATGGACCTGTCCTGGGAAGGAGGGGGAGTCCTCTGCCCTGAAAGGTGAGTCCCAGGCCAGGCAGTATTCACACAAGCTGACTGAAGAGCCCTCGGACCTTAAGGGAACATCAGTGGTAGTTTGGCAATGCTCCCCATGGATCTGTGGTGGCAGTGGACACGGGGTGAGCTTTCACTGCCTTTGGAAAGGGGTGGGAGAGTGGGAAAGACTATGTCTTGTGGTTTGAGTGCTAGCTGAGCCACAGTACATTAGAACATCAAGCCTTACCCTATACATGAAAAATAAAAAGCAAGAAACTAAACCATATCACTAGAGAAACTCACCTTCACTAAAAGCTTCCTTTTATTGAAGGAAGTAGAGATAAAAGGAAGAAAAGACCACAAAACAACCAGAAAATAATAACAAAATGGCAAGAGTAAGTCCTTACTTATCAATAGTAACATTGAATGTAAGTGGACTAAACTCTCCAATCCAAAGACATAGAGTGGTTACATGGATAAAAAACAAGATCTATTGGACAGTTGCCTACAAGAAACACACTTACCCAACAAAGACATAAGTTGACTGAAAATAAAGAGATAGAAAAATATATTCCATGCCAATGGAAACCAAAAAGGAGCAGGAGTCACTATACTCATATCAGGCAAAATAGATTTCATGACAAAAAGTATAAGAAGAGACAAAGAAGGTCACTATATAATGATAAAGAAGTCAATCCAGCAAGAGGATATAACAGTTGTAAATATATATGCAACCAACATGGGAGCTCCCAGGTATATAAAGCAGATACTATTAGAGCTAGAGAGAGAGGGAGAGAGAGAGAGAAAGAGACCTCAATACAATAATAGCTAAAGACTTCAACACCCCACCTTCAGCATTAGATGGACCTTCCAAACAGAAAATCAACAAAGAAACATTGGACTTAATCTGTACTACAGGCCAAATGGATCTAATAGATATTTACAGAACATTTCATCAAATGGCTGCAGTATACACATTCTTTTCCTCAGCACATGGACCATTCTCAAGGATAGACCATATGTTAGGTCACAAAAGGAGTCTTAAAACATTCAAAAAATTGAAATAATATCAAACATCTTCTCTAACCACAATAGAATAAAGCTAATAATCAAATACAAGAGGAATTTTGGAAACTATAAAAGCATATGAAAATTAAACAATATGCTCCTGAATGACCACTGGGTCAATAAAGAAATTCAGAAGGAAATTGAAAAATTTTTTGAAACAGATGTTAATGGAAACACAACATATCAAAATCTATGGAATACAGCAAAAAACAGTACCAAGAGGGAAGTTTATAGCTCTAAGTGCCTACATCAGAAAAAAAAAGAAAAACTTCAAATAACCTAACGATGCATCTTAAAGAATGAGAAAAGCAAGAGCAAACCAAACCCAAAGTTAGTAGAAGAAAATATCAGAGTAGAATTAAGTTAAATTGAAATAAAGAAAACAATACCAAAAAAATCAATGAAAACTTTTCTTTTTTTAAAAAGTTAAACAAAATTGGCAAATCTTTAGCCAGACTAAGAAAGCAAGAGAAAAGATCCAAATATTTAAAATCAGAGATGAAAAAGGAGTAATTATAGCTGATACTGCAGAAATTCAAAGGATCATTAGTAGTGACTATGAGCAGCTATATGCCAATAAATTAGAAAACCTAGAAGAAATGGACAAATTCCTAGCCATGTACAATCTACCAAGATTGAACCATGAGGAAATCCAAAACCTGAACAAACTAATAACAAGTAATGAGATTGAAGCCATAATAAAATTCTTCCAGTAAAGAAAAGCCTGGGACCCAATGGCTTCACTGCTGAATCCTTCCAAATATTTAAAGGAGAAATAATATCAATCCTACTCAAACTATTCCAAAAATATAGGAGGGAATACTTTCAAACGCTATGAGTCCAGTATTACCTTGGTACCAAAACCAGACAAAGACACATAAACAAAGGAAACTACAGAGAAATATCCCTTATGAATATTGATGCAAAAATCCTCAACAAAATACTAACAAACTGAATTCAACAAATACATGAAAAAGATCATTCATCATGACCAAATGGCATTTATCCCTGGGTTGCAAAGATGTGTCAACATATGCAAATAAATGAATGTAATAATACATCATAACAACAAAAGGAAGGACCAAAACTATATGATCATTTTAATTTATGCTGAAAAAGCATTTCATAAAATTCAACATCCCTTCACAATAAAACCCTCAAAAAATTTGTAAAGAAGGAAAATACCTTAACAATTTTTTTTAAAAAAAGAAGCTGTATACGACAGATAACAGACCCACAGCTAGTATTATACTGAATGGGTAAAAAAACCGAAAGATTTTTCTCTAAGATCTGCAGCATGAAAATGATGCCCACTTTCAACACTGTTATTCAACATAGTACTGGAAGTTCTAGCTAGAGCAATCAGACAAGAGAAAGTTAAAAAGGCACCCAAATTGGAAAGGAAAAAGTCAAAGTATCCTTGTTTGCTGATGATATGATCTGATATTTGGAAAAAATGAAAGACTCCACCAAAAAACTGTTAGAACTGATAAACAAATTCAGTAAAGTTGCAGGATATAAAATCAACAAACAAAAATCAGTAGCATTTGTATATACCAACAGTGAATAATCAGAAAAAGAAATCAAAAAAGTAATTCCATTTATGACAGCCACAAATAAAACTAAGTACCTAAGAATTAACTTAATGAAAGAAGTGATAGATCTCTGTAATATAAACTATAAAACATGGATGAAAGAAATTGAATAGGACACCAAAAATGGAAAGATATTTCATGTTCATGGATAAGAATCAATATTATTAAAAGGTTCATACTACTCAAAGCAATCTACAGATTCAAGGCAATCCCTGTGACAATGCCAATGACATTCTTCACAGAAATAGAAAAAAAAAATCCTAAAATTTATATGGAACAACAAAAGAACCAGAATAGCCAAAGCTATCTTTAGCAAAAAGATCAAAACTGTAAGAATCACATTACATGACTTCTAATTACACTGCAGAGCTATAGTAATCAAGACAGCATGGTACTGGTATATAAACAGACACATAGACCAATGGAACAGAATAGAGAACCCAGAAGCAAATCCATACACCTACAGTGAACTCATTTTCGACAAAGGAGTCAAGAATATACACTGGGGAAAGGCAGTCTTTTCCATAAATGGTGCTGGGAACTCTGGATATCCATATGTAGAAGAATAAAACTAGGCCCTTATTTCTTGCCATAAACAAAAATGAAATCAAAATAAATTAAACACTTAAGCTAAGACCTCAAACTATGAAACTACTACAAGAAAACATCGGTTAAACTCTCTACTACATAGGTCTGGGCAAAAATTTCTTGAATAATACCCCACAAGCCCAGGCAACCAAAGCAAAAATGGACAAATAGCATCACATCAAGTTAATAAGCTTCTGCACAGCAAAGGAAACAATCAACAACATGAATAGATAAATCCACGGAATGAGAGAAAATATTTGCAAGTTTTCCATCTAACGAAGTATTAATAACCAAAATATATAAGGAGCTTAAACAACTCTATATGGAAAAATCTAATAATACAATTAAAAATGGGCAAAATATTTGGATATTTCTCAAAATAAGACATACAAATGGCAAACAGGCATATGAAAAAGCATGCAACATCACTGATCATCAGAGAAATGTAAATCAAAACTACAAAGAGATATCATCTCACCCCAGGTAAAATGGCTTTTATCCAAAAGACAGGCAATAACAAATGCTGGCAGGGATGTAGAGAAAAGGAAACCCTCATACACTGTTGGTAGGAATGTAAATTATTAGTACAACCACTATAGAGAACAGTTTGGAAGTTCCTCAAAAACTAAAATAAAGCTACCATGTGATTCAGCAATCCCACTGCAGGGTATATACCCAAAAGAAAGAAAATCAGTATTTGGAAGGTATATCTGCACTCCCATGTTTGTTGCAATGCTGTGTATATTAATAATAGCCATGATTTGGATGCAACCTAAGTGCCTATCAACGGATGGATGAAGAAAATGTGGTACACATACACAATGGAATACTGTTTAGCCATAAAAAAGAATGAGATCCTGTCATTTGCAACAACATAAATGGAAGTGGAAGTCAGTATGTTAAGTGAAATAAACCAGGTCCAGAAAGACATTACATGTTCTCACTGATTTGTGGGATCTAAAATTAAAACAAATGAACTAATGGTGATAGACAGTAGAAGAATGGTGACCAAAGACTGGGAAGGATAATAGGGTGTGGGCTGAAAGGTGGGGATGGTTAATGGGTACAAAATTGGCAGAAAGAATGAATAAGACCTAGTATTTGATAGGACAACAGGGTGACTATAGTTAATAATAATTTAATTGTACATTTAAAAATAACTAAAAGAGTATAATTGGATTGTTTGTAACATAAAGGATAAATGCTTGAGAGGATGGATAACCCCATTTCTATGATCTGATTATTACACATTGAATGCCTGTATCAAAACATCTCATGTACCCCATACATATATACACCAACTATGTACCCACAAAAATTAAAAATTTTAAGAATTTTTTTTAAAAAGACTCCAGGCAAAGGTTAGCTGGGTTCCTGCTCAGGATCTTACCAGGCTGACAGCAGGGTGGCAACTGGGCCTGTAACCTAGACAGGGGCTCAGGGTATTCCTCCAAGCTCATTGATGTTGTCAGTAGAATTTGGTTCCTTGCAGTTTAATTACTGAGGTGTCCATTTTCTTGCTGGCTGTTGGCATGGGGTCACTCTCAGCTTCTAAAGGCTGCCTTCAGGCCCTTGCTACAGGGCCCCTTCCTCTGACAACAGGATGTTTGCTTCTTCAGGCCAGCAGGAAACTCTCTTTTAAGGGCTCACCTGATTAAGTTAGGCCTACCCGGGATAGTTCGTGCTTTTGATTAACTCAGTTTCAATTGCTAGGGACTTTGATTACCTAAGTAAAATCCCTTCACTTTTTTCACTACGCAACCTAATCACAGGAGTGATATCTCATCATATTCACAGATTCCATCCACACAGAAGAGGAGATCGTACAAGGCATGTACACCAGGAGGCAGAAATTTGAGGCATATCTTGGAACTCTGTCTACCACATCCTGAACATCACACAGTTTCCACTCTTGTTGCCTTCAATCCTGAGAATGCATCCAGGAGCCATTCTGTTTTATGTCAATTACTAATTAGATCATGTCACGTTACTAACTTACTACGTTCCAATTAGTCCTTATTGCATTTGTAATAAAATCCGCATACTTTCGGACTGGCTACAAGGTTATACATGATCTGATCCATATTGACTACTTCTTTCATGTCACACTCACCTTCACTCATTACCCACAGCCACAGTGGCCTCCTATCTCTCCACAAATGTGACAAACTCATTCCTAACTCAAGGACTTTGTAATTGCTATTTCCTCCGTCTGGAATGCTGTTTCCCAGTTATTCACATGACTGGCTCCTTCTTGCTATTTAGGTCTCATCTAAAATGTTACCTTCTCTGATGGCATTACGTAAAATTTCCCCCTTCCCCAATCACTTTTTATTACATTATTCTGCTTTATTTCCTATTTTGTTATATGTTTACCTGTTTATTGCCTGTGTGCCCCACTTTAACATAAAGTTCATGAAAGCCCAGACCAGGTCAATCTCATTCACCACTATGTCCCCAGTAGCTTGGAGAGCACCTGGCACTTGGTAGATACCAAACAGTGTTAGGTAAAAGAAAAGGATTTCATCAGAATTAAGTGTCTTAGCATAGTTCATGACAGAAGAAATCTGTATTTGCTTTAGATGCATGTTTGAAGTCTCTTCACTTGCAGGACATGAGAAAGAGTGGGAAAAGGAACATCACAGCAAAAGAAAATGCTTAGAGTATGCCATATATTTCTTTATTTGTCCAAAATATTCACTCTAGGTATAAGGGTAAAGGTTATGATTATAGAGGCATAGTCCCATGTGGTTGTTTATATACTTCCATACTATTAAACTAAACAAAACATAACAATGAAGTTTAACTTTTTCAGGCTTTCATTTTTCTAAAACTATTCCTCCAGGCAAAAATTCTGAAAAGCCCATCTTCAGTCAAATACATTTTGCAGGATTCTCTCCAGTGGGTAGAGAGAGCTCTGCATACTGATTTCAAGATATGAGCCACAGATGGTGAAAAGTGAAATTAGGCTTGAGGACATGGGTCTAAACCTAATCCAAGCAGCATTTCTGAGTGTCGTTAGGTTGTACAGAATAACATAGGTCATCCTGTAATCCAAGTCTAATGTTAATGGGAAATCAGCTTTTCTCCCATTACTTTATTTTCCAATTGGAGACAACAAACATTTTTCAAAAATGAACAGTTTTCAATAGAGCCTCATGGATGTGATAAAGTATTTTTCCATTCATCACACTGCACATTTTCTAACATCTTTAATTATCATTTGTCACTTTCTAATTGCATAAATATGTAAGCTAATCTTTGGATCTCTTCAAGGTAGATAAAAATTATCCTCCAGTTGCTAAAGATAATTCTAGGGCCTAGGGAGATTAATAGCTTTTCATAAGCTCAAAGAAAATGATAGAAAACCTTAGAAATCTAGAGTTTTGAGGGCCCATTATTATTAGGAACCATCTTAAAGTAGAAAAAGAAACACTCTAAAGTGTATAAATTTGCTACATAGATATAACATGAAATATTTTATTACTTATGTGATTTTTAAATGACAAAGTACAAAGTATGATTAAAATAGAAAAAATTGCAAATCAATATTTCTATAAAGTTCTACATATTTTATGACTTCAAACATATTAAAATATGTTAATGATGTTTTTATTACTTCTGTATATCTTTGTTTTTCAGATTTTCAAATTTATCTTTATGTTATTGCTTTTAGAAAAAAAGTAAAGACAACTGTTTCTCAAATTTCCTATTGTTTCTCCATAGTAATAAAATAAATGACTATATAAGAATTTATTTAGTATTAGACATTTTAGAACAATGAATGTGAGGTTACCAAAGAAACTGTGCTAGTGTCTGATCTTATGTTGTTGTTGTTGTTGAGTTATTATGTGAGTTTAAAAGTTGAAAATAAGTAGGTAAGATAAAAAAGAAAAGTTGTTGATTTCTTCAGAACTTTTAATTATTTTTATCTGGCTCAGAGTTACTCCATTTGACTGTGCCCCAAAGCACCACCTGGTTCTAGGAAGAAAGAGCTACCATATACCTGGTTCGATGGTTGCTGTGCTTTGGGGTAGAAGAAACAGAAAGGAAAACAGCCATGGGAGATGACCTAGGCTGGATCAGAGTACTTTCACATGGCCAAGAATTCCAGCCACCAAGGTGAAATGGGAACAGACATTCAGTCCCACTAATTTTCACCTGTTCCCATTTCTGCTTATGTGTCTTTCCTTGTTCATATACTGATGGAGTATTGACAACAAAACGCAAATACCTCATGAACACCCATTTCTTGTGCATTTAATACTCATTAAAGCCAAGAACTGCACTGGGTTTTTTCCACAAGCACTTCCTTAAAGATGAAATATAGAGAACAAAAATCAAAACACATCCACTCTTGCTTATATGGGATGCAGTGATAATTATGCAGTTCCAGAATCAAGACAGGAGACAAGGGGTAAAAGTACTCTATTTAATGATGAGTATATTCCAGGACTTCCTTCTTGGACAGAAACACAGGAAAGAGGTGGACTGCTGCTTCCCTGTGACAATCAGAAAGGATTCCACCTGTCTCTCCATCCCTGAACACGTCTCCATGTTTTCACACAGACGCTATCCTGACTGTCGTTGCCTCAACTTTGGATCATGGTTTACGTTTTCCTTCCCAGCTGCCCTTATCATTCTACTCTTATCCTGGATCTGGCTTCAGTGGCTTTTCCTAGGATTCAAGTAAGTAAATATTTCATGTTAATAGGCTAAATAAAGGTGTCTAGGTTCCCAGTTCTTAGCTTCTTATCCGATGCTCTTTCCCCTATGCCATGCAGGCTACCTTTCTGCATTTTTGTTGCTCACAAAATTAATACACACAAATACGTATTTTAAGGATAAGGTTGAATCTCATTTAAATAATACTGGCTGTGGAACAGTTAATTAAAGATTAGAAAGGGGCCAGCTGCGGTGGCTCATGCCTATAATCCCAGCACTTTGAAAGGCCAAGGTGGGAGGATTGCTTGCGCAATCCTCTCTGAGTTCAAGAGCAGCCTGGACAATATGGCAAAACTCTGTCTCTACCAAAAACAAACAAAAAACCAATCAACAAACAAAACAACAAAAAAAACCTCCCCCCTAAAAGGACCATCCAGGCATGGTGGTGTGCGCCTCTGGTCCCAGCTACTCAAGAGGCTGAGGTGGAAGGATTGCTTGAGCTTGCGGGGTGGAGGTGGCAGTGAGCTGAGATCACACCACTGCACTACAGCCTGGGCGACAGAGAACGGTCTCAAAAAATAAAATGAATAAAAATAAAGATTAGGGCCAGGCACAGTGGCTCACACCTGTAATCCCAGCACTTTGGGAGATCAAGGCAGTTGGATCACGTGGTCAGGATATCGACACAATCCTGGTCAACATGGTGAAATCCCATCTCTACTAAAAAAAACACAAAAAATAGCCAGGTGTGGCGGGTAGTCCCAGCTACTCAGGAGGCCGAGGAAGGAGAATTGCTTGAACCCGGGAGGCGGAGGTTGCAGTGAGCCAAGATCTCGCCATTGCACTCCAGCCTGGATGACAGAGCGAGACTCTTGTCTCAAATAAATAAATAAATAAATAAAAATAAAGATTAGAAAACAAATAATCTAAGTGTCCTTTGAGTCCTAAGATGATAAGATATTGAAGGGCATAAATAACTCAATCTGATGTCCAACTTGTTAAAGGGGAATTTTAAGGTTTGCCCCTCCACTTGGTTTAATGTGGAGATTTCCTTGGGTTATCAAGCTACTTACACTGTGACCTATAGGGCTTCCTGCATCATGCTAGCACCAAAATTGACATCCCTTTCAATATACCAAGTACAATAAAGATCTGAGGATGTTCTCTGTGGAAAGAATATTGTTTTAGGAATTAGTAGACCAGGAATAAAATTCTGGCTTCTCAGAGGCCAGATAAGAGATCATTGCAAGTCCAGACCCATTCTCAGTCTCAGTGTCTTCAATTGTAAGATGATAGAATTTACCCAGAAAATCAGTAAGATCCCTTCCAAGGCTATAATTCTAACACATCTGGGCCTAAGTTGAACACATAGAAGTCAAAGTAAAAAAAAAAATGTTGACCAATAAAGACCGACTGATGCCACTAAAATGTCAAATACATGCATTCAAAGACAACTTCAACATATTATCTTGGCTGGGATCAAAGCTGGTAGGTCATAAGTACCAATGAGTTACATAACTTAGATGACAACCAGCATTTAAAATTATGAAGGGCTCCAGAGCAAAATCTAAAATGCAGCCTGTAAATTCTACTCATTTAACAATACTCCTTAAAGAAAGGTGAAGTCGCTGTATATCAAATCTTGAGTATTTTTTTTCCTGAAAAACAAAACAGCTCAAATTTATTTTTGTGGGGTTTTATTTAAATAATTTCAAGGACCTATGAATAAAACAGCATGTTATTCACCAAACCAGAGAGACTGAAGCCAGCTATGTGTACTTCCTTTGAAAAGTGAAATGCTTTGGGAGGCCAGGGGAGTGGATCTCCTGAGGTCAGCAGTTAGAGACCAGCCTGGCCAACATTGTGAAACCCCTTCTCTACTAAAAATACAAAAATTAGCTGGGCGTGGTGGCAGGTGCCTGTAATCCCAGCTACTCAGGAGGCTGAGGCAGGAGAATCACTTGAACCTGGGAGGCGGAGGTTGCAGTGAGCCGAGATCGCACCATTGCACTCCAACCTGTGTGACAAGAGCAAAAGTCTGTCTCAAAAGAAAAGAAAAGAAAAGAAAAATGCTGAAATCAGTAGTGGTTCCATGCCTGTGGCCATGGGTTCCATGCCTAGTAATACGAGGACTGACATTCTCCCCTCTTGATTCCTCTTTCTGCTTTTTCTCCAGAACTGCCATGGTTTTATTAGTAGTGAGAAGATGGTACTGATGATTAAAAAGATAATTCTATCCAGATTGTGGGAGCAGCATGTGGCAGTCCTCCTGCTGAAGCAAATGTGTAAAATGTCACTGATTTCAGCAGGTGGGCATCAATGGGGAGAGGCCAGCTGCATACTAAGTGCCCCTTTCAGGAAATCCAAGCCTTTGGGGACTATTCAATCATGCAGGTAGCAATGCAGGATACAGGAGATGGCAATCCCAAGTCAAAAGAGTCACAGGTTCTTCATTGCTACATTTAATGACTTTATCAAACATATATGCAACCATTGTCATTATTTTAAAATGGCACACCATTTAAAAAGGAGAAATTAAGAAGATAAAAGGCAAATATATTGAAATGTGCTCTTAATGAGGAAAAAAATCCCATGAAGTGCATACACTAGGCAAAGTCTGTAAATCATGATGAGTGGTATGTTTAAACAGTTCC